>NC_000005.10:143203659-143828659 GCF_000001405.40 Homo sapiens
TTGGAACCAACCCAAATGCCCATCAGTGATAGACTGGATAAAGAAAATGTGGCACATATACACCATGGAATACTATGCAGCCATAAAAAAGGATGACTTCATGTCCTTTGCAGGGACATGGATGAAGCTGGAAACCATCATTCTCAGCAAACTAACACAGGAACAGAAAACCAAACACCGCATGTTCTCACTCATAAGTGGGAGTTAGTGAGAACACATGGACACAGGGAGGGGAACATCACACACCGGGGCCTGTCAGGGGGTAGGGGGCTAGGGGAGGGATAGCATTAGGAGAAATACCTAATGTAGATGATGGGTTGATGGGTGCAGCAAACCATCATGGCACGTGTATATCTATGTAACAAACCTGCACATTCTGCACATGTATCCCAGAACTTAAAGTATAATTAAAAAAAAAAAAATCACAGAAGTACTATGGAGTATGCATTTTATTATTATACCAATTCAAACATAGTGGTAATAAATGTTAAAATGCAGTCACTTTATACCAAATGTTACTGCTATGGCTAAAACATAAACAAATGAAATTCTGAAATTCTGTTGTTAAAAATTGCATTTGAGGCCAGGCATGGTGGCTCATGCCTGTAATTCCAGCACTTTGGGAGGCCAAGGTGGGTGGAACACCTGAGGTCAGGAGTTCAAGACCAGCCTGACCAACATGGTGAAACCCTGTCTCTACTAAAAATACAAAAAATTAGCCAGGCATGGTGGGGGGGATCTATAATCCCAGCTACTTGGGAGGCTGAGGTAGGAGAATCGCTTGAACCCAAGAGGCAGAGGTTGCAGTGAGCCAAGATTGTGCCATTGCACTCCAGCCTGGGCGACAAGAGCAAAACTCCGTCTCCAGAAGAAAAAATTGCAGTTGATACTACGGTAATTGACATGGGGATTGAGGAGTAAGTTATTATAATAGTTACGAATATCCTGCATTCCAGCCGCACCCCCAGATAATTTCAGCCGTGTAGTTCTGGCCAAAAACCACTTAGATATCTGAGGATGTGAAAAACATTTAGAACCCACATTGTGTTCACAGAATATGTTCCAAACTATGCCATTAGCCAAAGGCATAATTCTTGGTACAGATGGAATAGGAAGCTGGAGGTGTTTCCTACTTATTAAAGTCATTTAAAAAAAAAAAAGTTGGAAGGACTTTTTAATTGTCCTGTGGTAACCACTGACCAAAAGAACAGATTGGTACAAGCCCCTGGGTCTGGGCTGTTCTCTTGAACCTCCAAATTGTCCCTGGTTCTGCTTGGGTTCCTGGGCTGGGCTGTGGTTTGAAAGTTGTTGCCAGGCCTTGCCTACTAGGTCATTGTCTGGTGGGGCAGGGTTGTGTTGAGAGGACTGAGAAAGTGAGGCCTCTCTGACTAGCAGCAACTGTGGAAGAAAATGGAGACTGCACAGTAGAGAGGAGTTGACACTTTTCCTAGGACTCAAGACAGAGTCAAGGGGGAGCCAGGTATTAAGCTAGTACTAGCTTAGCCCTCAACTGATGGATCTTACTGTCTTACATTACTGTTGTTTTTAAATCTGTCGCTTCTTGTCAAATATATTTTAAGCTCTTGAAGTCAAGGGACCTTGGCAAATATCATTTATTGTATTGAACATACTGAGTGCTCAATGACTAGTTTTTGCTGGATTAAGAAAAAAAAGCTTTAAAGAGTCATACTCTTTACATTTTATTTCTTCTCTTATATGAATGCCATCTGCTATATGAATCCGCCAGACCGAACACTGGAGGCAGGATTGGGGATTTTGTTGGAATTTAGAATATGTTGAGTCTTATTGTGATTCTCTATCACTGTATTGTCATTTTCCCTTGCAAATAGGGTAGGTATCTAAAGGAAACACATGAATCAGTGGTTAAGAAGAATTCTAATGCTATGACTGAGTCTGTAAAGAAGCTTGGCACAGGCTAGAGGAACAGGGCAAGTCCTGCTATGTCAGAGGGAGTACGCTGGCTGCAGGAGCCCTGGGCTTAGAATCAGCAGATGAGGTTTGAACCTCAGCCCTGTTACTTATAGGCTGGGTATCCTTAGAGAAGCCTCAGCTTAGCCCAGGTTTCCACATCTGTGAAATGGGAATTATAGCAGTACTTGTTTGTGGGCTTGTTGCGTGGGTAAATGAGACTCATTAATTTACTCAGTAATGATTTGTTAAATATAGTACCTACAGACACTGGATATTTTAGACACTGGATATACAGCAGTAAGCAAAACAAAAGCCTCTGCCTCATGGAATTTATGTTCTAAAAATATACGTAATGGAATTTAATAAAGTGTTTATCAGTCACATTAGTTTGAGCCTCTCTGATGAACTCACACTGTGGTTTTTGCTGTTATTTGTCTATAGGTGTTACAACAGTAAGTAATTAGGGCTATTATTGGGTCTCATGTTTGAATTGGTATAACCCTAGGGAAGTCCCAGTAAGTAGGACATTTGTGTGTGCCTGCTAAATTGCAGTACGCTTAGAAAGTCTGTTCCCCTTGAACCGGATTTCTGTCATTTTTGCCCCCATGAAGGGCTTGTTTCAAATAGTTCAGCAGTCCGCTGAGATTCAGGAGTGGCAAGTGGTGGTGTGGCTGAACTGGTTTCTCTCTGTCATTGGTGTTTGCACTATTTGTGATGTATGATTTCACAGAGTTGTGAAGGTGCTTGTGTCATTTGTGGAAATAAGTCAAAGGGCTAACACAACCAATTAAAATCCACAAGCCACGTTTCAGTGAGTAATTTCAACCTTTCCTCTCCAAACTTTTGATTAGCTACCCGTCAAGGAACAAAATGAACAAATTGAAGGTTTCAGTTCGTTTTTTTCATTGCCTTCCCTCTGGGGCTTTTTCTTTGAGTATCGTAATGCCCAAATTCCACGAAAGGAGAAAGGGCAAGCCCAGGCAGCAAACCTCAGAGGAACCGCATTCTGCTGGTAATTGCATGCCGTCTCCCAAGAGGTGTATCTGTATTCACCTCCATCGGCTATCACCTTCTTCATGCAGTACTTCAGATCTCCAGTGGCACACAGCCCATCTAGTTAAAAATGCAAACAGGAGATTATTTTCTCACCGAATGGCCTTTGTGGCCCAGAAGAAAAAAAACATGGTCATTTCTGCTGAGACGTAACCTGAAAAACACTCCCACAAGAGTGGAAGCTGAAGGCTCGCTATAAGCTAGCCCTGCCTCAGAACAAGGCTGGTGATAGCACGTGGGTGTGGGAACTCATGTGCGTGGGCTCAGGGCATTTGTCGCCAATGTACATGATCGAAGAAGCTTCTATCACCTGAAAAGCAGTTGTTCTGCAGGGCAAAGCCTGTTTATACTCCGAGGAATTACAGAACAGACGTTTACTTGGACGTGGAGATTTGGTCTGGAGGAATGTGACATGGCCCTGACAGCACATCCCTGGGTTTCGGTGCTCCTCTGCTCTGCCCAGCTTTCCGTCATCTGGCCTCCCATGACCTCCTGTGCTCCCATTGTGGTTTCCCTGTGTGCTGACAAGTTTTCTGGTTGTTATGTCTTGCAGCCCCCCGAATCCAAGCCCAACTTCACCCCTCTCGCCATCTTGGCCCATGTTCTCGGCGCCATCCAGCCCTATGCCCACCTCATCCACGTCCAGCGACTCATCCCCCGTCAGGTCTGTTGCAGGGTTTGTTTGGTTTTCTGTTGCTGCCGTTGTTCTCTCATTGGCTCGGTCCTCTCTTCATGCAGTGTTCAGCCTCCTCGTCAACTTTGTTCCCTGCCATCCAAACCTGCACTTGCTTTTTGACAGGCCAGAAGAAGCGGTACATGAAGACTCCAGGTAAAATCTCGGATGATGACCAATCTGTTCCCGTTTATCCAAAGCTGGCCAGGGACAACAGGGGGCTGCCCCTGCTCTCCTGTGGTTCCATCCTAAGAGACCAGAGCTAAAAGGGACCATTTGCATGAATCAGCATGGCATTTTTCACACCCTTTTCAACCCTGACTCAAGTTTCTGAATTAACCTCTCTGGTGCCTAGAGTTAGGGGAAGGAGCACCTCCTGAACCAGACTCTGGTTTTGATGGCTCTCTCAATTTCATGTGCTCTCTGCACTTTGGTGTAAGATAACATAAGAGGAAACAGTGTTGGGACATGTGCCAACCTTTTCTTTTCTCATGTTTATCAGGCAGCGTCAGGCAATATTTATTTGTGGGGTTGGGCCCCTGGCCCTAAGCACTGACACCCAGTCACTTAGACCAGATCCACTGGGGGAGAGACGTCGAACATAGAATAAAAGCTTGAGAGACGAAGCGATTTCTCTTAAATTGCTCACGGCTTATGCCTCGTTGTCCCCCATATACTCCCGAAACCATCCATGCTCCCAGCCTGCTTCTGTCTCTGTGTGTCATGAAGCCTGAGCTGTCCTGGGAACAGGCACTACCTCTCTCTGAGGGAGAGCAGCTTGACCTAGTTCCTCTTCTCAGGGCCATGCTGTAGTTTTCCCTGCTTTTGTGACTTCCGCACTTAAGTTTTTTGCTCTTGTGCTCTTTGGGAAAAAAAAAGAGCTCTTTACAACCGGGAAAAGAACGAATAGGGATCCTGCAGAATTCCTATGCTGTGGAGCTCCTAAACGTGCTTCTCTCTCAAGCTTAGTCTCAGCTTTCAGACAACCAAATTGTAGAGCCCAGTTATAAGCATCAGAAGCGTTTTGGGCTTTGGGAGTATTTTCCCTTCTGTCTTTTTCTCCAAAGGGTGGATCCAGCAGAGAGGCTTAAATAATTTATGAAGCCGAGTTTCACTTTTAGAAGAAAAGAAAACCCCATGCTATTTATATATATACAGATACATATATTACTTTATTCCCCACTAGGCACTTACACATCTATCATTTCATTCTATCCTCGTGTGAGAATGAGAAGAGAAATGGCCTGAACCCTACTGTGGAAAAAGAAAACTAAAACACAGGGAGGTGACTTGGACACAATGCTATGACTAAATGAGAGCCAATCCAGAATTCAGGACTTCTCCCCCTCAGCTCAGCACTCTTTCCTCCAAACACGTGGGTAACCCCAACTTTGAGTTTCCGTGCAGCTCCCAGCCCAGAGCCTGACTTGCTCTTTTAGGTTTTATACAGCTTTCTACCTGGCTTTGTCCTGGATGATGGGAAGGAGATTTTCAGTAATTCTTTTTTTTCTCACTCTATAAATAAGGGAAATTTTCAGATCATGTCTTCCTGACATTCTAGTGATTTCCTAATCATTTCTTGGACATCTTCTGGGCACTTTGGGAGACATCAACTTTCTAAGATACCAGAAATAGCATAGATTATTCTCATTAGATCATGAGGACCTGAACCAGAGGAAACTAAGTGACCACAGACAAGTCAGCTTCCAAAATGCCTCACTTACTCATTAGAGAAACTTGGGCTTTAGGAAAATGTAATTCCTTCATTTTTATCAAAATGGAGTAAAAATCTTCAAAATATTGGCCCTTTGGACAAAATGGGTTAAGAGACTCAAGAGAGTGAAATCACTCAGCTAAAATCCTAAAATGTCCTCTCTGCCTTGATGGTACTCACTTTTTTGTGACTCTGAGATTTGGGGCCCTGTTTCTTGTCAAGTATCTCTACCTCTTCACTCGTTTTCATCTCCCCAAATATTTCCAGACTGTTTTTCCTTCCTACTTCTTCCTACCTCCCAAAGTATTTCCAGATTGACAGAGGGCAATGGCAATAGAATCTGCCATTCTGTTGCCATCTTGTGTGTCTGGGGTCACAGTTACTCAGTACCTCCTCCCCTGGCCATTGTTAGAATAGCACTATTTGGACACCCTTTAGGAAGCTGCCCTCTTGAAATAGTCAAGGCAGGCCGGGCACAGTGGTTCACAGCTGTAATCCCAGCACTTTGGGAGGCCAAGGTGGGGAGATCACCCGAGGTGAGGAGTTCAAGACCAGCCTGGACAACGTGACAAAACCCCATCTCTACTAAAAATACAAAAATTAGCCAGGCATGGTGGTGGGCGCCTGTAATCCCAGCTACTCAGGAGGCTAAGGCAGGAGGATTGCTTGAACCTGGGAGGCAAAGTTTGCAGTGAGCCAAGATCGTGCCATTGCATTCCAGTCTGGGTGACAGAGCTAGACTCCATCTCAAAAAAAAAAAAAATAGTCAAGGCAGAGTTGGACTAAATGTGTGTGCCCAGATGAGCACAGACAGCAACACTGCTGAGGAGCTAGCCCATCAGAGGAACAGAGAGGGCCGAAACCTGTACACTGTAGTGTATAGCAAAGAGGTGGTGGTATACACCCATTATTCAGGTCCACTGGGGCCTCCCTCAAATCCACTTCCAGAGCATGAAGCTTCAGATTTCCTTCCCTGAGCAAAGCCTTTATAAGTAAATATTGAATTAGATCTAATCAGTGGTCCCATGAACTTCTGAATGATGTCTCCTCTGGAAATTGCTTACTGTCTGAATTAGTCTGTTTTCATGCTGCTGATAAAAACATACCCGAGACTGGGAAGAAAAAGACGTTTAACGGACTTGCAGTTCCACGTGGCTGGGGAGGCCTCACAATCCTGGCAGAAGGCAAGGAGGAGGAAGTCACGTCTTTCATGGATGGCGGCAGGCAAAAAGAGAGTTTGTGCAGGGAAACTCCCGTTTTTTAAAATCATCAGATCTCGTGAGACCCATTCAGTATTATGAGAACAGTACAGGAAAGACCGTCCCCAGTGATTCAATCATCTCCCACCGAGTCTCTCCCACAACACGGGAATGATGGGAGCTACAAGATGAGATTCAGGTGGGGACACAGAGCCAAACCATATCACTGTCCCCTCTTCAAACCATTTATAGACCTTGTTTGTTCAAAGTCAGGAATGAAGATGCCTTTTGCAGCACAGTAGAGAAAGGGTGCTGGAGACACATTCCCTCCGTATTTCCCTTTTCTTTCACTTGCTCACCCCTCCCCCAAAAAAGCCGATAGCCCCAAACCCGTAACTTGCATTTGCCCAGGGGTCCCTGGAAATTATGCCTAAATGATCAACCCCTTTCCACCTGCCAGTCTAGCTGGTCCCACCTCCCTGTAGTGCCATATGATGGCGAATGGGTCATCATTTTGCAAGGTTTGCAAGGGCATTTGAGGGAAACTCCTGTGAGTGCTTTCCAGGCCTTGTGCCATGCTCAGAGGTGAAAATTAAAAGGGAACTAGCAGGAGGATCCCAACTTGTTCATGCCCTTAAAGGCCCAGCTGAGGTCTGAAGGGCACTGTTGACAGGAGCAGCCGAAAACTACCCCAGGCCCTCTGTATCCAGTTTTGAGATATACTGTGGAGAATAGGAAGCCAAAGAACCAATGATGCCTGGTGGAGATTTTTTATTTTATTTTTTTATCAGAGCCAAAGCCTACAAATACAATCTCTCTGCCAACAGGATTTGTCTGTTTTGGTAGGAACCCTACCTAAAGCAAACTGCTTAAGACCTTTCAGAAGGAGTTATGGGACACTTGACTTGTTGGGCTGACAAGCTTTTAAGAAGATAAGACTTTTTGGGTAGGGTTGCCAGATTTAGCAAATAAAATAAAAATACAGCAGACCCAGTTAAATTTGGATGGTAGATAAACAACAAAAATTTTTTCATATATGTATGTCCCATGCAATATTTGGGACATAACGTATACTAAAGAAATATTTATTGTTTATTCTGCCATCCAAATCTAACTAGGTGTCCTGTATTTTATCTGGCAACCCTACCCATTCCTATTCCTTGGGCAACAGGAATGGCCCCCTTTAAAAGCACCTCTTCTGTCATTTCTCCCATTTTTGTGCCTATCCTAAAGCAGTAGAGGGAGATCTCAAGGGAAAAGCCCTCCCATAGACTGTCAGTTGCCTATCAACTTGAGAAAAAAACAAGGCCCTTTCTTGGCTTGCTTATTTATTTATTTACCTACTTACTTTTTTTTTTTTTTTGAGCCAGGGTCTCACTTGACTAGAGTGCAGTGGTGCAATCTCAGCTCACTGCGGCTCCCACCTCCTGGGCTCAAGCAATCCTCCTGCCTCAGCCTCCCAAGTAACCTGGACTCCACACGTGTCCCATCATGCCTGGCTAATTTTTTTTATTTTTTTGTAGAGATGGAGGTCTCTACAGTCTGGTCTTAAATTCCTGGGCTCAAGCAATCCTCCCACCTCCCAAAGTGCTAGGATTACAGGCATGTGCCACAGTGCCTAGTTTGTTATTTTTTAACGTACTATGTTATTGCCACTTCATTATTCAATTTCACAAACCTAATATCAATGGAATGTTACTCCTTTTGAATGATAATCTTGGGCACCTGGACCACTCCCTTTTATTTCTGGCTGCCAAATACCCCTGCTGGTTTTCCAGCTTGCCCCTGTTTTGTCCCATTATCCTTGTTTAGTGAGGTTAATAAATAATGTTTGTGAAAATCCAGTCAGAGGAGCCTTTCCTCAGATGCTGTTTCCCTTACTTTTAGTCCCCCTTCCCTGGTCTCTTTGCTTTTTACCCACCTGCTCTGCCCTGTCCTCAAGAGGCAGAAATACTGCCTCAAAACCTGGTCTCTGAGACCCTGGCTAATGTGAACTGGATTCTCCTTTCACCTTCAATGTCAGTGTCATAACAGGCTCCATTTGCCTGTCAGTATAGTCTTTTATCTGTTTTAGCACTTTTCACAGCCAAGTCACTCCTCCTGTCTGCTTCCCAGCCTCTCAAGAAAAAAAAAAAAAAAAAATGCCTCTTATATTCCTCCCTGGAAAGTTGCACATAGGATGTTTGGTCCTTGCTGGCCAATACATAGACTCGGTTTCTTTGGCTCACAGGCAGTGCCCCTTGTCCTGAACTTTATTCTGTCATCATAATTAGCCAGGAAGAGCTGTTTTCCTGTTGGAGCTGGTGAATACTAAGGACTCTTCTTTCCTTTGTTCCCAGGGGTCCCACTTCATTTTCCCCCACTTTCCCAATGTTTTCCCACCTGGCCATCATCTCTTGGCTCCTAGAAAACCAGAGGGAACAACAGTAAACTATGGCCCAGCAATAAATTCGAGATAACCATTTACTCTGATCACTCTGCACGATGGAGACCATGTGGCTCACAAAGCCTGAAATATTTACCACCCGGCCCTTTGCAGAGAAAGTTTGCCACCTTCTGCTCTAGAACAGTGGTTCTCAACCCTCACTGCACGTTGGAATTACTTGGAGAGCTTTTTTAAAATACTGATGCCTGGCCGGGCGCGGTGGCTCACGCCTGTAATCCCAGCACTTTGGGAGGCTGAGGCAGGCGGATCACGAGGTCAGGAGATTGAGACCATCCTGGCTAACACGGTGAAACCCTGTCTCTACTAAAAATACAATAAATTAGCCAGGCTTGGTAGCAGGCGCCTGTAGTCCCAGCTACTCGGGAGGCTGAGGCAGGAGAATGGCGTGAACCCAGGAGGCGGAGCTTGCAGTGAGCCGAGATCGCACCACTGCACTCCAGCCTGGGCGACAGAGCAAGACTCCGTCTAAACAAACAAACAAAAACTACTGATGCCTGTATAATATCTGCATATCTGGGTAGAACCTAGACATCTGCATTTTCTAAATGCTCCCCAGGTGTTTCGGATGCACAGTGAGAGTGATTGTAAACATTCAACGGACATGAGAAAAGCAAAAACAAACCAAAAAAAATGCCTCATGTCCCCTCTCCCTTCTTCCTCCTCCCCACACTCCCCATACAGGTGCACGTGTGTGCTCATGCACACACATGTGTAATTGCCCTCATGCACCTTGTCTATTCCCTCCCCTGGGGGTTGGAGAGCTCCAGCTCTGGAATCCTGTCTCACCAGCAAGACCCAGTCTAGTAAGAAATCAGGAACATCTGGGAGAGCTCATGTCCGCCCGTGGCCTGGAACTGAAACTTGGCTTTGCTGGAATTTCTTCTTTTTGACTCACTGAGCATTGCCAGCTTTCAACAGGTTCTGTTGGGAGTGTGTTCCCCAGAGCAGCTTGGAACTTCTTTCCTGCCCCTGCTTCCCTCCCTTCCCCCAAGGCACTCCTGCTCCAAAAATGGGGCCCAGCCTGCCCTCCCGCTGTTTGGCTGTTGTAACTCCCAGGTAAAGTTTTAACATGGCACAAGGTGACCCCACAAAAAGTGTAGTTTCTTGAAGCTTATGGCTTTTCTCTGAATATTTCTCATTTTTCTCCTGTGATCTTTGCAGCTTTCCCACCTCATGTCTTGCCATCTGGCTGCCTTGCCAGGCACTTCCCACGAGAGGGGACTAGGTAGCTTACAGGGAAAGGGAAGAAGAGAGATGAAATGTCTGGGGCTTTCTAAGGGTTTTTTCAAAAATGTTAAATAAACTCCTGTTTTCACACAGCACACCGTTCCGGAAGGCAAAAGCCTTGTATGCCTGCAAAGCTGAACATGACTCAGAACTTTCGTTCACAGCAGGCACGGTCTTCGATAACGGTGAGTTTCTCATCCCCTCACAAAGATATGGGCGGGGGGCGGGGGCAAGGGGAGCACATAAATAACTGGCATTTTCAAAGCTCCTCCCGAGGGAAAATCTCAATACAATGGGTAAGAAAAAAAGTGTGTGTGCGTCTGTGTGTGTTGGTTTCTGTGTCTTTTCCCAAAATAAAATAGCAGCAGCAGGACTTCCGGAGACATTGTGAAGAGTGGACTAGTGTAATCAGCTCCATGTTGAGTTGTTACCACTGTAAATGAGATTGTGCCTGCAAAAGACCCAGCCCAGGACCTGGAAGTGGCTTTAAGAGATCATACACATCACATGTTTAAAATGGTACTCAACATGTATTAAGCATTCACTAAATTAATATTTTTATTATTAAAACCATCATCATCATTGTATCCATCTTCGAAAAAGGCCCTGATGCTCTCATAGTTCACAGTGACAGTTTTTCCTCACTTTTGTCTGGGCAGTGGGTGCTGCACCTGATTCCGTGGGTCCTGGCTGCATCTGTAAACACATTCCAGGCCAGAGCAGAGATGAGTTCCTGGGGACCAGCCCTTGACTGTAGTCACGTCCACAGGGGCTGCCATTGTGTGTGCCCAGCCCCTGCATTCAGCATAGCAGAGATATCCATCAGGTACAGGTAGACAAAAGGGGGAACAAGGCACAGAACATGAGGGTCTCTCCCAGGTCACACTCAACCCTTGGCCTTCTGGGTCAGCAGGAGTGGGAGGGATTACCCCAGAACTGCATGTGGGCGTCTGAGTCTGCATTCCCTTTTATCGTTCTCAAAGCCTCAAGCACTGTCCTTAAGCCTTTGCTCCATTAACTTTCATCTAGGCCCTTTATAAATCAAAATGCACGAACAGCCAGCCCAGCCACCTCTCCTGTCCACAGCTGGTGCTTGCAGGCCCCAGCAGACTGCAGGTGCAGTGGGTCTGCTGAAGGCTGTCCAAAGCCATTTCACTGGTGAGTGTCCCCCACACAGGCCCAGGCGGCGGAGTCCTGGCCCTGCCGTAACATGACACGGCCCTTGCAGAAGACAAACCAGAATGGGCTGCGTTGCTTGGGCTTCTGCCCCCCTGCTTTGTCAGCAAGGAAGGGGCTTCTGCCTATAGAAGAGCAGGATTTGAGAGATTCCTACATTGACAGGTGAATCCAGGGCTTAAAGGTCTGTCCTCTAAGTCCCAATTCACTGCTCATATGGGCAGGGGATCATCATGTTTCTAACAACCATTCCCTCTGACAACACAAAGGACTCCTGATCTCAGGGGCAGAATTGTTTTAAACTATCAAAAGTTATGTATATGCTTCTGTCTTCTTTTTGATTCCTTTTGGTGAGTGCAGCCTTCTTCCATTTTTTAACGGTTTATTAAGATAGCCATACAACATACAATTTACCCATTTAAAATGTACAATTCAATGGTTTTTAGTATATTCAGAGTTGTGCAACCATTGCCACTATATAATTCCAGAATATTTTCATCACCCCCAAAAGAAACCCCATACCTTTTAGCAGTCATGCCCCACTTACCACAACCCATTTCCATCCAGCCCAAGGCAACCACTCTTCTACTTTGTCTCTCTAGATTTGCCTGCTCCGGACATTTCATACAAATGGAATTATATAGTATGTGATCTTTGAAACTGGATTCTTTAGTTTGCATAATGTTTTCAAGGTTCATCCACATTGTAGCATGTCAGAACCTTCTTCCTTTTTATGTGCGATGGTATGGATATAGCACATTTTATGTAAGCTTATTCATCAGTAGATGGGCACGTTGTTTCCTCTTTTTGGCTGCTTGAATAATGCTGCTGTGAACATGTGTGTAGGTTTTTGTGAGGGCGTAGGTTTCCAGTTCTCTTGGGGATATACCTAGGAGTGGGATTGCAGGGTCATATTAATTCCGTGTTTAAGTGTTTGAGGAAATGCCGAACTGTTTCACAAAGAAGTTGCACCATTTTACCATTTTATGTTCCTACCTTCTTTCATTTTTAAGTCTTTCTGCAGTAGCTTAAATAGTTAAGCATAAAGGGGGAAAAAGGAAGAGAAGCCTGGATGATTGTTAACTGCCAAGTCCTTTTTTTCCCCAGCAGAGTGTCCTTCAGCTTCCACAGCCATCTTCACTGCCACACCGAAGCTCCGGGCACCTCCACCTCTCACCTGGGCACTTCCACTGGCCGCCTGACACATCTTCTCACATCTGCTCTTGCTGCCATAACCCCCTCTTTACAGAGCAGCGAGAGTGATCTTTGAAAAACGGAAATGGCATTAAAGCCCTTCAGTGGCCTCCCATTGCTCTGAGAATTACTTACAAGGCCCTCCAGGGCCCAGTTCCTGCCCCTCTGACCTCACGCCCTCACTTGACATACTACAGCCTCATGCCTTCTTCATGTTCTCAAGCAAGGTCGGCAAACTATGACCTGCCCGTCAAATCCAACCTGCCACCTGTCACCTAACAATTCTGTAACTGCTCCCACATACAACATGGTCGTCATCATAAATCCTATAGGTATTGTTGAGAGCAGGAGGAAAGTTTGGTTGAGTGAGTGAGAGACCTTACCCAAGCCTTCCTGTGGTCTCTAGGAGTCATGGCAGAGTTCGCTGACACTGGTCTGCTTTTAACCAGCCTTGCCAGTGACCTTTCAAATTCCCTGAGGAGCAAAAGGCCAAATTGAACCTGAAAGAAAACACCTCTCAGTGTTGACTGAGTTGCAGTAGAAAATGGACCTGACAAAACGTTAGTACACTTTCTCAATTGGGTTAGCTCAAAATATGTTATTAGGTCTTTTTTCCAGAGGAAAATGCTTACACAGACCCTCTTCCTCCCCACTCCTTCACCTCTACAGGAGAAAATGAGGCATTACAGAACACTATTATTCTGTCAGGCGGTGGGTGGGGTGGGGGGTCTTTTTCCTTGTTCCATTTCTTGTTAGTTTACTGCTGGGGATATGAGGTAAAGGCTGTTTAATTTGTATGCTGTGTAGTTGTCAGATTAAATGATCAAACCAATCAGAAAGTGCACGTGTGTGTGTGTATGTGTGTCTTTTTGTGTGTTTCAGGATTAAGAAGAATGAATAAGGAAGAGGAAAAGGGAGGGGCCCGTGGAGGGGAAAGTCTGTTGTTTCGTAATGATTAATCTTGAAGCCTTTGGATTCCAGGGGCCCCTACTGTGACTCTGGAGTGGCTGCTGCTGTCAGCTCATGGGCTTTGTGCAGTGGGAAATGGATGTGCAATACGTGCAATACCTAGAAATAATTCCAGTGTCATCCCTGGCCAATCTACTGGGAAACTGTCCATTTCAACAAGAGCACCTCAGACAGTAACTGGAAAGAGAAATAGCTCATATTCTCAGGAACGTTAGTCATCTTGAAGCAGCATGATTCGTGATACCTGGAAAATGCACATGGCAGTCACTAAAATTGGGTTCTAGGGATACTTTTAATAAGATTTGAGAGGAGCTGGATCCATTCATTCCCATGGTACCTAACACAGCACCACTACACAGCAGGCCTGTCCCAAATTTCCTTTGCTGCTGGAGAACATCCTCATGGGGGAGCCCCCAAGCTGCCTAGGAAATGGGTTAACAGGAGGGCACTCAGGGATCTCCTTCAGTTTCTCCAGCCATCTTCGCTGCCACGCCCAAGCCCAGGCCACCTTCACCTCTCACCTGGGCGCTTCCACTGGCCGCCTGACACATCTTGTCACTGGCTTCCACTCTTGCTCCCAGAACCCCTTCTTCACATAGCAGCAAGAGTCATCTTTGAAAATGAAAATCACATCATGTTATTTCCTGCTTAAAATCTATCAGTGGCCTCCCACTGCTCTGAGAATGACTTACAAGGCCCCTAGGGCCTAGTTCCTACCCCTCTGACCTCCTCTCACCCTCACTTGACATACTGCAGCTTTGCAGGCCTTCTTTATGTTCTCAAGTAAGGTCAGCAAACTATGACCTGCCAGTCAAATCCAACCCGCCACCTGTTTTTGTAAATAAAGCTTTACTGGAACACAGACACTCATGCCTTTGTGTCTGCGTGTTATCTGTGGCACTACAGTGGCAGAGTTAAGGAGAGAGACACTCTCACTATGAGGCCCTTTAAGAAATAGATGCACACCACTGTTCTAAAATCATGCCCAGCTTTTTCCCGTCACAGGGCCGTTGTACTTGCACTACCCACTGCTCTAGTCTTTCTCTCTCCTTTTACCACTACCTAAAATTATATGCTTGCTTATTGCTTGATTGTCCTGCCGAGCAAAATCTGGTCTGCTTGTTCTGTGCTATGTGCAAGGACCTAGCATGGTGTCTAGCACGTGGTAGGTGCTCAGTAAACATTTGTTAAATGAGTGAATGTACTTTAATTACCCAGGGGTCTGCACCTCTTTTAGTTAAGACTTCTTTTGGGGACAGTCAGCCATTAGAGACCTTAGTCACACACTTGCTCCCTGTCCATGGTGAGTGAAGGAGGGCAGAAGACATGAGTTGTGTACACAGGGATGTATGGTGTACATGGGTAGAGCCGAGAGAAAGTGGTTGGCAGGAAGCTCACCCATGTCCCCAGCAGCTTATATTTAGTATATGCTGTTGAGCTGAAGAGCCACTCAGGCAGCTTGTGGCAACACCTTTTGTGTTTGTATAGCATGTTGGACACTGGTGCAGTTCAGTGTTGCACATTGGCGCCATTCAGCCCAACAAGCACTTAGCATCTTTGATGTTCAGAGCATTGGGCTAGGCAACAGCAGTAGTAGTTAAGGTGACAGACTCTGGGATCAGATGTCTTGGTCTCTGATTCATTTTCATTGTCTACCAGCTATTAATATTTAATTTTGGCCAAGATGCTTAACTTTTCACAGCCACAGTTTTTCATCAGTAAAGTGAGGATAATAGCAGAACCAACTCCATAGTCATTCTGAAGATGAAAGGAGGAAACTCAGGTGTGAAGTGCGTATTCGCAAAGGGTCTGCCACCTGGCATGTGCTCAACATGTTATCATCCTTATCAGCATGGGTCACACCCTCTGGTTAAATAGAGGCCTGATACAGTGGGAAGGGAGTTGGTCTCTGGAGTCAAACAAGCTGGGTTCAAATTTTGGTTCCAGTATTATGACCATGCACAAATTATTTTACCTCTCTGAGCCTTAATTTTCTCATCTGCAAAATACAGATAATAATAATACAAGCTGGGATCCTGAGGATCAAATGAATCAACATGTCTAAAACTCCAAGCACACAGCAGCTTCATAACATATCTAAGTGTTAGCTTGTATCATTATAATTCACGAGGCAGAAGGGAGTTACTGAAGGTTGTGGAGCCAGGAAGTGCTATAATCCAAACCAAAACGCACTGAAAAACTAGATAGAGAAGCAAAGCTTAGCACGTTTGAACAGCATATAAATAGGACCCATGAATACTATGTGGAATGTACTATGAGCATTTTAGGTGTCTGGAGGAGGAGGGAGCAGGTAGAAGGGATTCCATGGTAGTATTTACAAAGGAAGTGGGGCTTCAGCTAAGCCTTTACATGGAAACAGAAGACAGCAGAAAGAAAGGGGGCACTGGTGCTGCCTCCCTCCTCTATTAGTAAATGACAATTTGCATTTTATCTCAGAGGCATTTGGGCACAGAAAAGTTATAGCTCCTAACTTCCTGTGAGCTAGTGAAAATACAGGTTCCTGTGTCCCATTCCCAGAGATTCTGCTTTAATTGATTTGCCATGGGGCCCAGGAATGTGCAGTTTGAATAAGCATCCTGAGGGTTCCGAAGCACATGGTCTGGCACATGCTTTCGTATAAATCCTGGCTTGAAGCCTCAGTGAGTCAGCAGTCCAACCCAAAGGCTGTGTTATCTCCTGCCATCTCCTGTGACCTACCTTTTGGCCTCCAGTTTGGAGGGCCTCTCTTGTCCCCTCTAATTCTTCCCTTAGCCCTCAAATTGCATTGTAAATGTTTTCACCCCAGTACCTGTGCTGTGGGTGAACAGCTAGCCAGGAAAAGGAGAAAGGTCTGAAGGAGATGGACTCAGTGCATCCAGTAGAGTAATAACTCAACTTGGAGCTTGGCTATAAAGCGGGAGGGCCTGGTTTTTGTTTTTTTGTTTTGTCAGTCTGGCTGCTTTATTCTTTCTACGTTTTTATTTTGGAGAATGGGTTTGATTTGTTAATTTTATTCTAAACATTTGATTTTTCCTGAAGCTTAGGTGGGTGGTAAGGGCCATCTGGTTTTACTAGGTCGCTACTAGGAGGGGGTCTTGCTGAGCAGTCCCGATCCAGGGTCTCCTACTGACTAGCCTGTACTGAGCATTTGCTCTGTGCCTGGCTCTGTGCCGAGTGCTTTATCCACACCAGCTCCTTTCATATTTGCAAGAACCCAGTAAAGGGAAGAGGGTCTTGTTGTCACCAGTATGAAGTGCAGAAACTGAAGTGATCTTGGAAGCTTTGGTTGGATGGATGGGCAGAGGGCAGGGGTATATGGGTGTTCTTTAAGAGTGGCATGGGAGAGCTTTGGTCATTGGAGAGGCCAGGTTGCTTTTAAGTTGTGTCTTCTTCCAAGGCACTTCTCTCCCAGACTGTCTCTTGTGTGGGTTGTCATGAACCCAAAGTATCCTTGCTGTTTATTCCTGAAGCTTAGTGATCTGAAATTGGCCAACTTTGGAGGCCAACTAATAGATGTTTAACCTTGTCTTTTCCTAAGGAGGCACTCAAGGTGTACCCAAAGTTGACTGACACTGATCTTCTGGAAGCCTCAAGGCTGATTCTTTTGCTGCCTCCCATTTGTCTCCTTTGGTTTCTGTTCTTGCGTCTTTCCCTACAAACTGAAACTAGAATTCTGTAGCAGTGTCGGAGCGGAAATGCTTTTCTAAAACAAGCTCAGGAAGTCATTTAATTAGCCCAGGAAGGGAATAGGGGAAAATCTATTCTCTCCAAATAATCTTGGAAAATTGGAGTTTTCCTAACACATTAAGAGTAAATGTCCTGCCTCACTGCAGAGTGATCTGTACATCTTCAGTTGACAAGCATGAACATCCCCCACCTCTTAGTCCCATGATTCCTTCTCTCTTCCTTCCTGCTATTGACTACTGTGCAGACTCAGCTGGATTTTAGATAATCTTTATAATATCACAATGGTTTCCATGGAGATGGATCATGATGTCACAAAAGTAGATATATATTCTTTGGATACTGAAAAATCAAAGGGCAATAGAGGGAGGAAGAGAAGAATTTTCAAACTGGTATATAGAGGAGGGGGAAATCTAGAGAACAGGAAAGAAAACTAAGAAAGGGTGTGAGTGAAACAGAGAAATGGCTATTCAAAGGCTATTCAAAATGACAGCAACCAAAAAAAAAAAAAAAAAAAACCCCAGAAAATTTGCAAGGAAATTAGAAGCAGGGGGTAAGGATTTGAAGGAAAGTAAGATGATGACAAGAAGCTGGATTGATTGATTGAGACAGGGTCTTGCTCTGTCGCCCAGGCTGGAGTGCAGTGGTGCAATCACGGCTCACTGCAGCCTCGACCTGCTGAGCCCAAGCGATCCTCCCGCTTCGGCACTCCCCCTCCTCCAAGTAGCTGGGACTACAGACACGCTCCATCAAACCTAGGTAGTTTTTGTATATTTTGTAGAGACAAGGTTTTGCCATGTTGCCCAGGCTGTTCTTAAACTCCTGGGCTAAAGCAATTCACCTGCCTCAGCCTCCCAAGGTACTGGCATTACAGGCGTGAACCACCAGGCCCAGCCTCTAGAAGCTGGATATCTTTAAAGAGTAGTTCTTAGCAGTCTTCCATGGGCACTGCACTGAGTACATAGTTGATACTGGGCAGGTGGGTGGGTGGATGGATGGAAGGAAGGAAGGAAGGAAGGAAGGATGGAAGGATGGATACATGTATGGATGGACCAGGACAACTGTTGCCCTCTAACAAGAGTAGGAATCTGTCACTTCTTTGTAGTTTAAACCAGGAGCTTCAGAAAATCCGTGAAACCCCTAAAATTGTACACAAAATTTTGTATGTCTGTGTCTGTTTCCTTTTTCATTGTAAAGAAAGTTCAGGACAGCTTTCATCAGAAGGCTTATATTCCACAAAAGGTTCAGAACCTTTGGTTTAAACTTCTAGAATGATGTAACTTAATAAGTGATTGTACTCATTGTCCAAGCTTCCTTCATACACACACACACACACACACACACACACACACACACACCCCACACACACATCTGCCGCCTGCTCTATCTGTAATGCCATCTCTTCTCGCTTTCTCTCCCCTTCCTGTACAGTTCACCCATCTCAGGAGCCTGGCTGGTTGGAGGGGACTCTGAACGGAAAGACTGGCCTCATCCCTGAGAATTACGTGGAGTTCCTCTAACCGTGGGCCCCAGCAGAACTGCTGAGCTTTACATGGTATCCATGACAACTGCTGATTCCAGTGTCGAGGCCATTTCTCTTTGCCACTGAGAAATGCAGCGTGACTGACTCTGTTGCTACCTGTCAACATGAATGTTTCTGTGAGCTCTGGTGTCACTCATCTCCATGATCATCTCAGCCAACATGCATCAGTACTGCAAGAAAAGAAGTCAATCAGCAGAGGAGAGCATTTGATAACTAAGAGGAAGACTTGCAAAGCCGTTTTCTCATGAGTACCCTGAATAGGGGGCACTCATTTTGTTTCAACGGTCCAAACGCCCAACCTTCAGAAAGAGGAAGTCAGATAGAAATAGTCCCTGAGAGCACACTGTGTAGCTAAGCCTGCTGGGGCTGGGTGAAGAAATTGGCGCTGAGATCCAGGCTGGATCCATTGCTTTTGTTTACAATAGGCACTCTCTCTACCCCACCTCTCAGTACTTGAGACTTAAAGTGCTACAGGCAGCTGGATCTGTTTGCATGCAGGATGAAGAGGGTTAAAACACTGTTTATATAAGATCCAATCTCTCACCATCTCTAAAGCAGCCGTTGGCCTGTCATCAGTGAGATACAATCCAGTCTTCTCATGCACGGGAACACACACACCCTGCGTTTCTCCCTCCCAGGCTAGGAACCTCTCTGCCACCAAGGGCTGCCATCCATCGCCTAGTAACCACGGCAACCCAACCTACTCTAAAACCAAACCAAAAAAATAAAATAACACATCCTCTTTGCATGACACATTTTTTTTCTCCCCTTTTTGGTACACTTTTTTTGAATGGTTTTCTAACAACTTGAAGCACAGGATCAAGGAATTAGGGTGGTCTACTTGAGGCAGATGGGATAGTAGCTGGGAACTGTTCCCTTTCTGATTAATTTCAGCAGCATCGGAATATATTTGGAGCACACCCTAGTAACCTCTTGAGATTAAATTACATAGTCTTAATATTTCTGTTCCTCCATGCAACTGATGTTTGTTTTTTAAAGGGTAAGATGCTGCCTCCCAATGGGTGATGCCATCTGACTGGTTTCCCCATGTCCTCCCATTCACCCATCTCTGCTCCCACCCTTGCCTGCCTCTAACCCACCACTGGCCAGCCCCCTTGCCCTACTCTGGGCTGCTGAACACTGGTGCTGTGGTGGTTTTCAAGGTTAATTCCTAGGCTAACCGTATGGCCTATAGTTTAAAAGCACATCTATGTTCACTGCCACTCTGAAAAAGGGAATTATTTCTCAGTCTTTCAAGGCTTGAGACTAATATAGGCCATTGTGATTCAGGAAGAAACCCAAGGTTGGAGGGTGGGATGAGTACCCTCTGAAAAAGGGAATTTGCTGGTGAAAAGAGGCTGGATCTTGTGGAAGACTGTCTTGGATGGGGAAGTACTACCTGGAGATTTCAAATTCACTTGGCCTGCAAACAACAGAGTTATCCGTATCTTCCACATGTGAATGTCATTGCAAGGGTGACTCTAGACAAACTACAAACCGATGGACCGTCAAGCTCCCCAGGAGCCCCTTGGATGGCAGCGTTGCTTCAGAGTGTTTCCTGTTTCTGGAATTCCTTGTTAGGGAACTTTAAAGAAGAAAAGAAAAACTTGAATTGTGTTGAATTACTGTATCTTTTACTTTTTTTTTTTTGAAAAGATAAACTTGTAAATAGAGTGATTTGAAATACTATATGGCAAAGTTTTATATTTGATATTCTTTAAGTTAGTTGCTCACACACTTAGGCTTTGATTGCTGAAGAAGTATGTTTAAGAGGGAGAGAGGGGAGGCAAAGCTGAAGAGAGTCAAGGTCACTGTCCCCGCTTCGGCCTGAAGGAAAGAGAAGACATTTCTATGGCCTTGCTCTCTGCTGTCCTGTTGGTGGGCACGACACATCAGTGGTGTTCAGTCTTTATGTGTTTTTAAGCATCCCTTGGGCTTTGGATTTGGAGATGGGAAGAGCATCTCCAGGCAATGAGTTTTTCAAAGAATGCCTACTTAGTAGTAAGATGAAGCTCAGGATTTAAATAAGTGGGGTCAGGCATTCGAGTTTTTGTCTTTCTTCTCAGGTGTATTTCTTGGTACCCCCAAGATATCAGGCCAGAAAGAGATGAGTCAGTTGCTGTGCTCTTTACTTCTTTTTCTCCACATCTTCTGAGGCTTTAGAAATGTGGACAAGCTAGTTTTCAAATTTTGTGTGCGTCTGTAAGTTCTTAAAGAACCAGCTTCTTAGAATGTTCAGTTCTCAATGTGCTGCTGCTTTCCCTTCTCCTAAACATTTTAAAACTCTTCCCTTTCACCTCCAATTCCCGTGATCCCAAAAGAAGAGGAAGACTCCAGGAGGGGTATAGATTGTGCCGTCATAGCTTTACAGGTGGTTTTAAAGTTAACAGGGGTTTGTCATGGTGATTCACTACTCAGTTTATCAGCTCAAGGATTATACAGCTCTTTTCCGGGAACTCACCCAGGAGCAAGCGAGACACTACCATTGAATCAGGGAATGAGAATTAAGAATGGACAGGACCAAGACAGAACTCAAGAAAGCCACTGGGGAAAACTCGAGAAGAAAGGGAGTATACTAGTAGGTTAGATCTGTGAACCTGAGGACAAGAAGACCTTGGGAAATGGAGGCCTCAGGGGATGTGCATTCACATACTATTACGCTTCTCAAAGAGAGACCAACATCATGCTTTTAACACATTTGATGAGGTTTTTTATTTGTGTTTTTGTTTGTTTTTTGAGATGGAGTCTCACTCTGTGGCCCAGGCTGGAGTGCAGTGGCGCAATCTTGGCTCACTGCAACCTCCACCTCCCAGGTTCAAGTGATTCTCCTGTCTCAGCCTCCCAAGTAGCTGGGACTACAGGCATGAGCCATCACACCCAGCTAGTTTTTTGTATTTTTAGTAAAGATGGGGTTTTGCCATGTTTGCCAGGCTGATCTCGAACTCCTGACCTCAAGTGATCTGCCCACTTCAGACCCCCAAAGTGCTGGGATTCCAGGTGTGAGCCGCTGCGGCCGACCACATTTGATGTTTGAAGTTGTAATCTGTCCCATCATAAACTTACCTGGAGCTCATGTGGAGGAACAGAAGGCCAAGATCCTTGCTTTGGGGGTGCCTCACGAAGCATCCCTGTAGACATTTGGCCCCAGCTTCACTGCTTGGAAGCATGTCCCTCCCTCTTGAGTTGGCTCTGATTTGAAATCGGGAGAAACAGAGCTGCTGCCAATGGGATCTTTTAGGTAACTCCCTCCCTAGCTTCCGTGTGTCTGTGCAGTGCCCATGAGCTGCTGCCAATGGGATCTTTCAGGTACCCCCTCCCCAGCTTCCCTGTGGCTGTGCGGTGCCCTTGACAGATGGCTTCTCTGTTTCCCTTTGCCCAGCCAGGCTCCCCTCCTTCCTATTAGCTACAAAACTGGATAAACTTCAGAATATGAGCCAATGAGTAGGAAGGAACTTGAAGACTAAAGATTTTACTCTCTCCCCTATCCATGCCCCCTACCTCTGACTCTCTCTGTGTGAACAGGAAACTTTAGGGCAGATGAGGAGAATGAATTGGTTATCAGAGTGGAAGACCATGGCCCAGGATCCCTGAGCTTTCCCAGTAGCCTCCAGTTTCCTTTGTAAGACCCAGGGATCACTTAGCCATAGCCTGAATCTTTTAGGGGTATTAAGGTCAGCCTCTCACTCTTCCTTCAGGTTACTAACAAAATTTCGTAGCTAAAGAATGCCATGGCCGGGTGCAGTGGCTCACGCCTATAATCCCAGCACTTTGGGAGGCCGAGGCGGGCGGATCACGAGGTCAGGAGATTGAGACCATCCTGGCTACGACGGTGAAACCCCGTCTCTACTAAAAATACAAAAAATTAGCCGGGTGTGGTGGCGGGCGCCTGTAGTCCCAGCTACTCTGGAGGCTGAGGCAGGAGAATGGCATGAACCCAGGAGGCAGAGATTGCAGTGAGCCAAGATCACGCCCCTGCACTCCAGCCTGGGTGACAGAGCCAGACTCCGTCTCAAAGGAAAAAAAAAAAAAAAAAAAAAGAATGCCATGCCAGGAGAAGACAGCTGGTTTCAAATCCCTGCCCCCAGGCAAGTAAAACCCTGACTTGCTCAAGACAGAAGATCTTTTCTCCTGTTTTTCAAAATAAACATATATAGGGATGGACCCTGTGCATTGTGGCCTGCCTTGGTGTCCTAGAATTGGAGCCAGTCTTTAGCTTAATGTCTGAAGTATTTATACGGCCAATATGTGTTTTCTTATGTCAGACCACACTGTCTTTTTGAATATCAGTTCATTTCCTCTCACCGAGTGCTTTTCGGTGAGAGGCAAAGAGAAAGAATGAACAATCAAGTATTGACAGACTGGCATTAGCAGGACAGAGCCATACTAGTGACAAGGGCATCCCAAGGCACTTGCCCAGAGCTGCAGAGTTGTGTGTGCCATACCTGCGGCTCAAAGGGAAGGCCTTCTATCCCCTGAGTTTCTATCAGCTGAAAATGGCAACTGCTGTCTCAGTAAAAGCTCTGTCTTGACTGCAGAGGCTCCAAAAGCATTCACAGTTGAGGGGGAGAAAGACAGAAAGAAGAAGCCAAAGATAACCTGATCCCTGCCTGTCTGTTGGCACCTGTCATCCTCTGGCTTCTGCTCCCAAAAGCAAGTCTGGATGACTGAGTTTTGTGGACATGGCACTCCCGGAGACAGCAGTGGCCACCATGGCACCCAGAGTTTGCCCAAGTACTGAATGTTTTGTGAGCAACCATGTTCCCCAAGTAGGTAGCCAGCGCTGCAGAAACCAAACAGCCTCTTAGCTACCTGACTTTAAAAGGAATGACCTAGGTGTTCTGCCAAAGGAGTTATCTATCATCTCTGGCAAACTTGACAATCATCACTTACCTCGACAACCCTGCCCCACATCACTTTATAAAGTCAGCAGGATGTCTTCTCACCCACCCTGTGCTGGTGTCTAACAAATTTATCTTGTCATGCTCAAATGTGTTTGGCAGCCACACCGATCGGCTGGGTGCTGAACCGCCTCTCTGTAATTGTAGCATCAAAATGACAACAGCAGCAGAGCAGCGAATCTTGCACAGCCCCACAGCATGCCTGAGACAAGACTCCAACAAGTAATAATTAGCTTTTTTTCTCCTGCCGCCTACAGTACCTGTCTAACTAAAGAGCTTCCCAAAGTGGAGGGAAAGGCCATAGAATCCAGGTGTCATTCAGAGCCAGTCCTTGCTGAAATGTGGTCTTCCAGTGGAAGCACCTGTATTATTGAGAGGAAAAAGTGTTGGATGCAAAGTAACACCAGGACTAGAGAGAAAGAGAAAGGTGAACCATCCTAAGGAGCTTTGGATACTTTTTTAGAAGGATAAATATTATGCTTACTGAGGAGAAAAAAAAAAGCGATCACAGAAAAATTTCACAGCTAATATTTTTACAAAAGTTGTGCCAGACATTACAGAGTGAAAACGTCTCTCAAGGTGGAATGCTTTAGAGAGCAAAGGCTTAGCATAGACCTAGACCCTTGTGTGGGTATGACATGACATGACATGTCCATGTCAAAATTCACTTTAGTCAGAACCAGAGTATTGATAAACAAAATGTCAGTTACCTGGAGCAGTCCTGGAGAGGTTAAGACATTCTATACTGTTCTACGTCAACCATTTCTACAAAGTTGTCCAGACACCTAAAAGCAGCTTTCTTGGTTATCCAGATGCCAGAATCAACCTTGTATCTGACAATGCACATCTGTTGATTCTAAAGTATATTTATGTGTGTGTGTATGTGTGTGTATACAGCACATATTTACATCTATGAAGACATAGACACTTACAGAGACCCACATGAGCTGGCACTTTCTGAGCCTTTACAGCCTTTAAGACTCGGAGGTTGAGAATTAGAGACACAAGAGAGGCTGTGGATGGCCTATTAAAATGATTAAAGATGTAAATTCAGTGCCATTTTAAAACTGTTCATATTTATCAAACAATTACTGTCTACAGCTACATTTTTTGTTAACTTACTTAAAGTCATGTCGCAAGAAAGATCAAACCCATGAATGCTTAGTAGCTAAGGCTAGTGTTCAAAAGCACTCTAAAAGACATTTTGTCCACATTTTGGAAAAGAAAATATTTGCATGTTTAATTCATAATTTAGGCTATCTTTGAGTATACTGTAAAGTGCTGTGTGATATAATATCAATAAAGTACTTATTAAATGGCACTTTAATGTTTTCTTTTAAAATAACGCACTGTTCTAAACTTCAGTATTGACTATTGACTCGTGCATAGAATCCAATGCTGTAATTAGAAAGTAATCTGTGACTAGAATAGACCTTTGTCCCTGTTAGTAGCCCTGTTGCCATGTTCAGGCTTTTAAAAAATGCTTTTGTGTCACCAAATATATCTATAAAGAAAACAAAATTTCTGTTCAGAGGCCTCTGAAACTTGGCTTTCTTACATGTGGTTGGTTTATGTGACAATCCCTATGAAATGAGTGGACGTATGATTTTTGAATTAAATGACTTTTCCATTTGGTGGTATTTTCTTGAGTTTCTGATAGAGTTTGACTCAATACATGCTTTAATATGTCTTCAAATAAGCATATATACATGATGATCAAAGGTCACAAGTCTCGGCTCCTGCGGTTTTTGGTGACAACCACCGTGCTTATTTCTGATGAGCTCTGAGAAGCTTTGCTTTCCATTTAGGAAGAGGTCAGATGCTAGGAAACTTGAGAATTTGCTCCTCAGGCATATTAAACAATTGAGCCCGAAGAGTCATAGTCCACTTCACATTTCTAACGTTCTTCTCTTAGAATACATATTGTTTTATTCTTCCTAAATTTGACTTTCTAATCACCTATTTTCTGAAACCTCATGAACACAAGGATGGAATCATCAGAGCCAGAACACAGGCAATGCCCCCAGCACAGCTGGTTTGTAAGTCTGTTGTTTAGAGCTTGTTGCATGCTGTCCCAGGCCAAGCCAGATCACTGAGTCTTCGCATTCATCATGTCCCTTCCAGATACATTCTGAGTGGCAGCCTGGGACCCAGGCTTCCAGTGAGCTCCCAGCTTCTGCCACAAGCACAGAGGACTCCCTGATGGGCTCAGTGGAGGCGGCATGGGGAAGCCAGCGCTCTGGGGACTGAGGATGAGGCTTCTGGCTTCAGATGCTTGCCCTGGGAGGGGAGGAAGGGATGTGAAGCTCCCTTGGTCCTGGTTCTAAGGGGAGGGGGGCTATTTAAATGCGTGGGTCACATGTGAGCTGTCTGCTTGTCCTCATTTGCCACTTCGGGCACTCGTTTACCCCTGTGAACAGCACAGGCTGGCAGCAGCTGCTGCCCTCACTGAGTTGACAGCCTCCTCTGGAAAACTCCCCCAGCACCCAAAGCGTCCCACATGTGTGGGTCATCCTGTAACTAGGCGAGGCTTTCTGAGTATGGTGTACATCTATGTCTGATCCTTCATGGAGAGAATGAAATACGTGGTGTGTATTTTATCTTTGTCCTTGGCCTTTCCAATAGATTTCCCAATCACTTCAACTTTCATGCCTTCCTAGCAGAAGGTTTTAATTTTGTTTTGCTTTTAACAGCCACTCAGAGCAGAGCGCAAACTGTCACGTCCTGTGGTTTTGCTTGGTGTTTTTCACTCAGTTCTGACTGCATGATTAGTCCTAAGAGCACCTGGGTTAGAAGTGGATTTGATTGACAGTTGAAATTAGGTAAATGTTAGAGAGTGAGTGTGATGAGAGATTTTCTCAGACCCCAAACACGCTTGCTCATGAGAATTAAGTCATGGCTCTAATTTCTTATTTTCTCAGTTCTTTCCCAACCTCCACTCAGATACCACACTTCTCTCCTACCTGAATGTGTCAGTGTCATTGGCTTGCCCTGCTTTTAATAGCACCAAGCTAAGCTGCCACTAATTAACTATGCGGGGTTAGTCAGTGTTGGCTGACTGCAGCCTGCACAGCAGCCAAGGGAGGCTCTAACCTCCATGGTAACTGCTCGGGGTGGGTGAGGTTTGTCACATGGAGGAGCTTTGCATAACCATCCGCAGGGAAGGGGCATGCCCATGCCGGGATGCATCCTTCAGAAAGCCACCCTGCGGTACCCAGTCAACATCAGACAGTGAGGACCAAAGCCAGAAGGTTTTAAGTTGAAATGATCAACACGGAGACCCTCTGTATCCCACAGCACTTAGCAACTCCTGTCGCACTGTAAATCTGTCACGTCTCTTACGTCATTGGCTCCATGAAGCCTGCTGCAACTTCCTATTAGCTGAAAGCCAGGTAGCTTTGATGCCTTCCCCAGGCCAACCAGCAAATTAGTAAAAACGTGAGTCCATGGGTTCTTTCTTTAGGTGCCAAATCACATCTTACCCTCCAGGTCTTGTGCCCACCGTAAACTTGAAATATTTGTTCTGACACTGTGGCTGGATGTCCTTTTGGGATTTGTGGGTGGGGGTAGATTATTGGAAAGAATTATTAACTGTTTTTCTACCTTTTCTGAATCTTCGTGACAAAGAAAAGGAGTAGTCATGCTTGCCTCACCTGTGATGAGCAAGTTGAAATTATGGCCGTAGAGGATGGCCATCTTTCTGTTACACCTTTTCTCCTATCACACCATTTTTCTCCCTCATGTACTTTCTACCTATAATTAATTCATGATTTGTCATCAAATGTTTGAGGCCCATCTTGCTCTTAATAAACAGCTCAGTTAGGACAGAGACCAGGTCTTGTTCATCTCTGCCCAGTACCCAGCCCAGGGCTGGCATGCAGCAGGTGCTCATAGCCCCTGGGTGGGCTGACCAAGGGGAAAAAAAGTGGGGAAAGCACTGCACTAGAAGGCAGTTCCTCCTCCCTGTTTTACTCTACAGTTATAGTTGGAAGAAAGAAATTGCATGTTATTACACTTGGGTACTTGAACACAGGGTAACTTTGTGACCCTTGGCAAAACGCACCATTTGCTCACATACTGGGATTGGAGCTTGTGGGAGGAAGACCTCCCACCCTCCACTCAGGCACACACAGCCACATTCTTTCCCAGCCTCCTTGGCTGGTGCTGGGCACAAGAAACCATCTGGAGAAGCAGCTGACCAAGAGCCCGAGACCCTGTGCTGTCATCTGGGTTACTTAGGGGTTGTTTCATGAACCTTATGTGAAAAGGGCCTGCCTTCAAGCAAAACCACATCAGAATCACCCCCAAACATAAAAGAAGTATTCCTTTGTAAAGTCCCTTCACGGAAATTCCACACTGTCCCACAGGAGTTTGGTCTGATATCTAACACTCTCACTGAGGGAATTCTTTGGGTCTGACTGAAGTTTCCCATGTGGCAGCTTAAGTCCATTTCCGTTCTGTTTTTCCTTACAGTGGGGAGTAACTGGCCATGGCCCATTGAGAGCAATCACCCTCGATTTTTTATGTTTCCATTCAGCCATCAGTTATTGACCACCTCTTCCATGCCGGAGCTGCTACAACCAGGAAGTGTAAGACATGATCTCTGTCTTCAGGGAACTCAAAATTGGCTTCTGCCATAGGGAAATATACAAGGAACAGCGTTTGCCATGTGGTATGACCATACTAGCAGTGTGTGGCAGGTAGTGCAGTGCGATGAGGAAGAGGCATCCTTCCTACTGGGAAATAGGAACCAGAGAAAGTTTCACGGAAGAGGTGGCATTCAAGATGGACCTTGAAAGATAGAGAAGAGTTTCCCACTTAGGCAAATGGAGACATGTCCCAAGCAGAAGGACAGCAAGGATCAAGAATGAAGGGGGGAGAGAGAGAAATGGGGAAGGTGGGAGTGGGGAGAAAGAGCAGAGAGAGAGAGGTGGCTGGGTGGTTAGGTATGATTTCAATGTGACTGAAACATGAGGAGTCAGGGCTTTCTGGAGAATTGAAAACTCTAGTCACCCTTACCCACCCCGCCTGTTAGCCTTTAGGCTCTGTTTTCTCTCAATGACTGACAATATTAGCTAACATTTAACTAGGTACCTAACGCTGTACTATATTAATCACTGAATCCCCAAGACATTTGAATGAAGTTCTATAATCATCTATAATTATAGATGAGAAAACTGAGGATCAGGGAGGTCACACAAGCCAGGTGGCGGTGAACCTAAAGTTCAAACACAGGTCTCTCTGCTTCTACAGCCCATATGACTTTTTTTTTTTTTTTGGAGATGGAGTCTCAGTCTGTTGCCCAGGCTAGAGTGCAGTGGTGTGATTCCAGCTCACTGCAGCCTCCACCTCCTCGATTCCAGCAATTCTCCTGCCTCAGCCTCCTGAGTAGTTGGCATTACAGGTGCAAGCCACCATGCCCAGCTAATTTTTGTATTTTATTTATTTATTTATTTATTTATTTTCAGTAGAGACAGTGTTTCACCATGTTGGCCAGGCTGGTCTCGAACTCCTGACCTCAGGCAATCTGCCTGCCTCAGCCTCCCAATGTGCTGGGACCATATGACCTTTTAAAACTTCCAAATTTATTTATAGATACACACACATAATTTTACATAAATGCATAATCACATCACACGTGATCACTTTAAAATTTCGTGGCAGTTTTTCCTTCTGGTTTTGATTTGGTTCTTCCATCCCCCACATCAGCCTCCTCCCTTTGCAGAACCCATGTTGACAACCTCATTTTGCCCTTCTCAGCAGTGAGCCCTTCAGAAAGCACAATCTCTGGCACACACTCAGCTTTGGTTTTCCAGTGGCAGGAATAAGAGCAGGAAATGTTTGGATTAAAAATTTTCTTTCCTTCTAGGAGCCCTCTGCTTACTCATCTTGGGTGAATAGTTCCCCATTTCTTGAGCTCTGTGCAGATACTCCTCATTCCCTGGGCAGCCCCGGGGACTCCAGCTGCAAGTGTTGGCCAGTCACTTCATCTTTGGGGATGTGGCATGGAGGCAGCCCCCACAGAGGGCCCAGCCGTGCTTTGCTGGCTGGAAATATGTAATGTGAAATTTTTAAAAAATTTAACAATGTGAGGCCGGACACGGTGGCTCACGACTGTAATCCCAGCACTTTGGGAGGCTGAGGCGGGCGGATCACGAGGTCAGGAGATGGAGACCATCCTGACTAACATGGTGAAACCCCGTCTCTACTAAAAATACAAAGAATTAGCCGGGCGTGGTGGCAGGTGCCTATAGTCCCAGCTACTTGGGAGGCTGAGGCCGGAGAATGGTGTGAACCCAGGAGGCAGAGCTTGCAGTGAGCCGAGATTGCGCCACTGCGCTCCAGCCTGGGCAACAGACCCAGACTCCATCTCAAAAAAAAAAAAAAAAAAAAAAAAAACTTAACGATGTGAAAATGGCTCCTTTCTCCACCCCGATCCAGCTGCCGACAACAGACCTTCAGGCTCTATGGGATTGCCAGGGAAATCCCATGAGCGTGTGTCTTCTTCTGGGAGAACCAGTGTGTTTCTAACCCGATCTTCTAATGCTTAAAAATAGATCATTTTCATGGCATTTGAACCCCCTCTTGAGCCTAATGAGATTTAAAGAAGTCAGAGCTAGCAGAGAGAGCACGAAGACTCAAAGCAGATGATGGGTGAGTATCTGTAGGGCACAGGAATAGTGGGAGTCAACTAAGGTGGGCTTACTGAGCAAGACTCTCACTCAAGTCTCCTACACTCCCTGAAGGGGGCTAAACTGTTGCATGTTAAGAGGCCAGTGATGAAGTCTGTCTCATTGATGGAGCACTTCCATGTTATGGGCATTGTACTAATTGCTCTACATTAGTCTCATTTAATTCTCAAATCAGCTCATGAAATAGGTGCTGTTGTTACCCTATTTTGTAGATGAAGAAGCCAAACATTAGATTGGGCAACTTGTTCAAAGTCACAGAGTTAATAAATAACAGAGCAGAGAATCAACCCCAGTGGGCTGACACTAGAGCTTAACGCTTAACTCCCATACTCTTGACGCTCTTAATTCCCGTACTATTCTCACTCTGGGAACGATCTCAGAAGCTCCACTCCCCAAACGTCCTTCACTTCTTTCACCCCAAGGGAATATCTTTTGTTTTGTCTGCTTGGCATCCAGTACCCATCTTTCTGGTAACAGCACCTCTGTTTTCCTTTGGGGAGCCACCCTGCCTCTCCCCTCACCTTGGGTTCCATGGGTTTGGGTGAGCTGGCATCAACCCGTGATCCAACCGTGAACCTGTGACCCTGCTCTGGCCTATGAGATCATCACATCTACCCAGCCAAAGTGATTGATTGATTCAGGAATGGGCACAGGGCCTAGTTAAGTCCCCAGTGCCAGGGCTTTGTCCTGGGGAATGGTATACAGGACACAGCAGAGGAATTCATCCTATCGGGAAAGAATAGTAAGTGCTCTTTCCCCCAGCCTCGATGTCTCCTCAGCATGAACACTGTCTGCCACTTGTCTTCGTTTAGAGGCCCAGTATAAAGGCTCCTATACTTTATGTTGACTATTTACTGAGATTTTAATAGGGTACCTCTCAGAAAAGTTGTTTCAGATAGCAAGCAGAAGATGTGAAATATTCATTACAATATAAAATGGACAAACAGTGTCCCACTTTGATCAATCCTGGAATGATTTCACTAAAAGAAAAATCTAGGCCAGGTGCTGTGGCTCATGCCTGTAATCCCAACACTTTGGGAGGCTGAGGTGGGAGTACTGCTTGAGCTTAAGTGTTTGAGACCAGCCTGGGCAAGATGGTGAGACCTCCATCTCTGCAAAAAAATGTAAAAATTAGCCGAGCACAGTGGCACATGCCTGTAGTCCCAGCTTCTTGAGAAGCTGAGGCAGGAGTATCCCTTGAGCCCAGGAAGTCGAGGATACAGTGAGCCGTGATCATGTCATTGCACTCCAGCTAAGCTACAAAGTGAGACAGTCTAAAAAAAAATTAAGAAAAACAGAAAGAAAAGACTTTATGCCTTCCTCCACTCTGGAAGCAAAGCTTATTTTTAAAATACTGACTCTCGTTCTCCATTCTGGGCCAGGAAAAGCCATGACTGGATCTCATAAGAATAGGGAGGAATTGTGTCATACAGAGGCCTCTGCAAATACTTTCCCAACCACAGTTGATTCAAGTCGTCACTTGATGATTTGGCCCATCCCAGGGGTGCATCAGTGTTGAGACATTTCACCCTGGAGTTCTTACAAAGGACCCCTCAGTCAGTTGTAATAAAGAATGGCAATAAATCATGCCCAGATCATGACATGGAATTGGATGGCATAAAGTGCTCCTCAGTTCAGAAAGATGTTCACACACCTTGGAGGCCGCACCCAAACCTGTTCAACCATCCCACAAGCATGAGTCTGAGACACTCTGGGGGCACCCAGTTCAGACCTTCACCTTCACTGAGGTGGGACAGCTTCGTTGGAGGCCCTGAAAGGGGTTAGGTATGTCTAATCTCAGATACCCTGCTGCTGCTCTTCCTCCATGCCGTGCTCACATTTTTCTTGTTTCAAGGACTGCCAGATAAAGGGATTCCAAATCTTTTTTCTTTTCCTTTTTTTCTTTCTTTTTTTTTTTTTTTTGATACAAAGTCTCGCGCTGTTGCTCAGGCTGGAATCTCGGCTCACTGCAACCTCCGCCTCCCAGGTCCCAGTTCAAGCAATTCTCCCACCTCAGCCTCCTAAGGAGCTGGAATTACAGGCACGCACCACCACACCCGACTAATTTTTGTATTTTTAGTAGAGATGGGATTTCACCATGTTGGTTAGGCTGGTCTCGAACTCCTGATCTCGTGATCCATCCGCCTCGGCCTCCCAAAGTGCTGGGATTACAGGCGTGAGCCACCGCTCCCAGCCAGGGATTCCAAATCTTGCAGGAACACCTTCACTGGCAAGGAGGGCACTCCTGGCCCACAAGAGATAATACATTCACTTAAGTACAGCACTTCAAAATGTTCAAGGGATTTTTTTCTGCTCCAAATTTTGATCATGGCACACCTCTGATCAAAAAATTTCAGAAGCTCCTTGTGGCCTGGAAAGGAAGGAAGGAGGGAACAAAAGAGGGAAAAAAAGAGAGAGAGAGAATCCTTGCTCCTTAGCATAGCATTCAAGGTTTTTCCAAGTATGGCCCCAACCTCTTCTCCAATGCCCCTGCATGCAACTCATGTCCCAGAAGCACCGACTCTTCATCATATTACAACCGCCTGAAGCAACATCCATCTATCCATTCCTTCATTCTATTATTTATTGGGTCCTTACTTGTATCCACACCCAAGGCTAGGAACTGTCTCCCACTTGTGTTCCTGAGGTTCACATGCCCTCCACTTCTCCCACCACAAGGAAATATCTGTTGTTTTTGCCTGTGTAGCATCCGTTACTCTTTCTTCTGGTAACAGCATCTGTTTTCCTTCACGGAGGTCCCCCCCTACCCCTCAGATCCCATGGGTTTAGGTGGCAACAATGATTTATTTATGAACCCAGTCTGGCCTATGAGATCATCAAGTCCACTGAACTAGAGTGATTGGTTGATTCAGGAATGAACCTAAGATCTAATTAAGTCCAGGGAGAATCAACATTCTAGATTTTTTAGAGAGGTAGTGGTGAGAGACTTGGTCTGCTAGATTTGGAGCCATGAGGACTGCTGGTGGCTATCTTGTCCCCTCAATGAAGGAGGCTGCCTGAGATCTGGGTGGCTTAAGAGCAGTGCTGAGAGAGACAAAGAATAGCAGCACCCATGCCATTGGGCCAGATGCACCTGAGCTTTTCCACTACATCAGCCAATAAATTCTCATTTTGCTCAAAGCAATCTGAATTGGGTTCTTTCACTTACAATAGAAATCCTCAGCTCTAGATAAACTCAAGGGTGATTTCTGCACCAGCCCTCTGTCCCACTTGATTGTCTGCTCCTCTGTGAGGAGACAGAGAACCTGACATCAAGTGTGATTCTATGGGATCTTGAGGTAATCGCTCCTCTTCTTTGAGTATCAGTTTACTCATCTTTAAAATGGACATAAGAACACTTCCCTTCTAAGGCTGTATGGATTAAATGACATCTATTAATGTGCTTTATAAAGTTCATTGCCCTCAAGTCAATAATATAGTATCACAATATGGATTGTTTTTTTCAATTTGTGGAAGGAGTTGGCAATGTCTTGATGTTTCCTAAATTGTTGCAGAGCCATTACTGCATTCAGCCTGCCAGTCTTGGGAGTCACCTGGGGCTCTATGGGTTCTGCCCATTACCACTGTAAAGGAGAACCCTACATATCAGGTGTCATCCATTTCTCCCCACTTGTTTCCCTGGCCATGGCCGAAAGGACTAGACACGAGTAGACACCTGATGGGGTCCGGATCTGTGTCCCTGCCCAAATTTCACATTGAACTGTAATCCCCAGTGTTGGAGGAGGGGCCTCGTGGGAGGCAGTTAGATCCTGGGTGTGGAATTGGAGGAGGGGCCTCGTGGGAGGCGGTTAGATCCTGGGTGTGGAATTGGAGGAGGGGCCTCGTGGGAGGCGGTTAGATCCTGGGTGTGGAATTCTCATGAATGGTTTAGCATCGTTCCCCCTTGGTCTGTACAGCGAATGAGTTCTCAGGAGATCTGGTTGTTTAAAAACATGTAGCACCTCCCATCTCTCTCTCTTCTCCTGTTCTGGCCTTGTCAGATGTGCCTGCTTCTCCCTCAACTTCTGCCATGATAGAAAGTTTCCTAAGGCCTCCCTAGCAGCCATCATGCTTCCTATACAGCCTGTGGAACCTTGAGCTAATTAAACCTCTTTTCTTTATAAATTACTCAGTCTCAGGTATTCATTTACAGCAGTGCAAGAATTAATACAACACCCAAGCCAGAGGCCATCAAAATGCCAGTGGTCTGGCTTAAACACATGATGCAGGCCAATCAGATTTTTGCTCCTGTGAGTTTGACCTTTGAGGGAAGCTGTCCTTAGAGATGGGTGCATGAGATGAGAGCTCCTGATATCCAGCTAGGACTGGTGGTCATGTTGCACTGGGTACAAGTTTAAGACACAAAGAGGCCTATCTGCAGAGGCAAGAGATTGGTGCACAAAGAAAAGACCAGAACCAGAGAAAGCAAAAAGCTGCCTCAGTCCTGAACAGCTTTCTATTTTCCTAGAAGGACTGTGTTCTGTGCTCTGTTTTAGGATCCCAGATGATCCCTGTATCCTTACAATTAACACCTCATAGTATTTGGGTGAATTTGAGTGACTTCTCTTCCTTACAACCAGAAAGCCCTGTAGTAGTCTGTTCTCACGTTGCTAATAAAGACTTACCCAAGACTGGGTAATTTACAAAGGAAAGAGGTTTAATGGTTTTACAAAAGAAAGAGGTTTCATGGTTTAACTCACAGTTCCACATGGCTGGGGAGGCCTCACAATCATGGCAGAAGGCAACAAGGAGCAAGTCATGTCTTACATGGACAGTGGCAGGCAAAAAGAGAATTTGTGTGGGGAACTCCTCTTTATAAAATCATCAGATCCCATGAGACTTATTCCCTATCATGAGAATAGTATGGGAAAGACCCAATCCCATGATCCAATTACCTCCCACTGGGACCCTCCCATGACATGTGGGAATTGCGGGAGCCACAATTCAAGATGAAGTTTGGGTGGGGACACAGCCAAACCATATCAAGCCCTCTCTAGAGCCATAATAGGTCCCAAATGGCAATGGGGAAAGCCAGAGGTTCTGGCAGCCCAAGGTCAGGTAGAGAAACAGTTTTCAGCTTCTGGGCTTTTTACCCTCAGTCTGGAGCTCCAGAACTGGGGTGCCCACCCTGAGGTTTCACACCAGGAGAGAGAAGGAGTGTGGATATTGTGCCCCCTCCCTTTCCTGCTAGGGTTGGGAAAAACAGGTTTAGAAACTTGCAGGAGTTGGGCTGGCCACTAATTTCCACAAACTACCTTAATGTCTTATTGTTATTAACATTAGCCATTGCTCTTAAAACACACACACACAGCAAGGATGTTGCAGGGAGAGCCAAATAGAAATGACAACTTCTTACTCCCTCAGCCTACTTTAAGCTCTTTCCTTTGGTAATACCTGGAATGGTTTTCAATTAAGGGCAAACCTGAGGGCCCTGAGGACTGTGAACAATCTCAAGCCCTCTGCCACATTGCTCCTCTCAAATGCCAGGGGAAAAAGGTTGAAAATCTTGAGAGGCAGGGACGGTGATTTTCTTTCCTTGGAGGCCTAAGCTGACCATGTGGCACTGGCCCCATTCATCCGCTGTGCGGCAGAGTAAGTTCTGCTTCTCTGCCCCATCCCTGTGGTAGCCCCAGCTGAAGCTGATGAATCTTATACTTAGAGTCCCTGGTGTGCTGGAACTGGCTCATCTCAGGTCACCAGAGCCAGCTTGAAACTGGCTATGGTGGGAGTTATTTATACCACCAAAATCAGCAAGTGCTACAAATCAGCCCTCCACCACCACCCCCACCCCCACCCCCGCCCCCGCCCCAGCCCGTTTTTAAACACCTCCTAGCACACCACTGCTTAGTCTACTTGGGTGTTAATATGATAGATGACACCTGAACTTGGCTCCATACAGCCTAGACTGGTTTCCACCTAAGTGAGGGTGGGCATGTGGGAACGGGGGTGGGGTGGGTGTAGAACTAGAGAGGTGCAGAGTCACCTTTCCCAAGAGCAGGCAGTACTCTGCCCTGTGAATCAACAGCTGGGTTTTGTTTATTTGCACTGGTTTTCACCAGATCTAGAAAAAGGAGTTTGTTCCCCACCTCCCTCAAACAAGCTTCTTAAAACTTGCTTAGAGCTGCCAAGACCTCTGTACAAGTCCTGTGCATCAGAGTACTTAGGCAGTGATGCCTTCCCTCTGCTGCTCCATTTGCTGCAGGAGGGAGGTGGGAGCTCCGTGAGACGGAAGCCACCACAAGTTCATTCTCCAAGGTCAGTGGAACTGTCACTAACCATTCCAGGTCTGGTTGCCTCACTTGGGGAACCACAGAATTACTCTTTCCATTGGTAACTGCTGAGGGCAAGAGGCCCAGAGGTTGGCATTGCCAGTATACAGCCAGCTGTGAGACCCCAGGAACCAGGCTTGGTCAGAGGCCCCACCACCTCCGAGCTCACTTAGTGACTGACTTTTAGCGTCCTCTGGGAAGCTTACTGAAACCAAAGATCCTGACTTGGTGTACATGGGATGAGGCCCCAAATTCTGCAGTGTGTGTGTGTGTGTGTGTGATGAGATCTCACTATGTTGTCTGTGCTGGCCTTGACCATATTCTGTGTTTTTGATGACACTTGGGATGATTATGAGGCTGGTGACCCTCAAAACTCATTTTAGGGTCAAATCCAGACATGACTGATGCTTTAATAGACACATTTCTTTTTTTATTAAATATTAAGCTTTTCTGGGTTCTGTGTATGCTGTTGTTAGCAACTTTCCTTGTGCCACAGATGTATGAATAAGAAGCTTCTTCACTGTGTCTTGATTAACATAAGCATAATATGGAAAAATCCATATTTAGGTAGATCATAAATTGGTAGCTATATGATGAAAGACCTCACCAAACTTTTCCTTTAAATACTGGAATGAACTCACTTACTTTAAAAGATTAGATTTTCAGTAACCCAATTGCCAGAAACTATTTCAAGCACGCAGGGATTCTGACAGGATCTAAATCGACACACCTTCCTAACTTTAGTGCTGATTAGAGTCAGGGAGGCTTTTGGCCAAAGCAGAAATCACTACAAATACAGGCTGTCAGTGACAAAGCCACGGTTTCTCCTTCACCTCCTCTGTCCTGAATAGATTTGAGTAAGTGGCAAAAAAGAATATAGGCTTAAGTATCCCATCTGCAAAAGAAAAATATCTTAAAGGGGCAATGTGTTCTGGAAAAAATCATGGGATTTCGAGTGGGCCTTTGAATTCTCATCATAGCTTTTCTGACAGGTTATTTATCCTGTCTGAGTCTTTCTCATTTTAAAATGGCGCAGGGAGGTGCCGGGCGCGGTAGCTCACACCTGTAATCCCAACACTTTGGGAAGCCAAGGCAGGTGGATCACTTGAGGTCAGGAGTTTGAGGCCAGCCTAACCAACATGGTGAAACCCCATCTCTAGTAAAAAATATGAAAAAATTAGCCAGCTGTAGTGGCGCACATCCGTAATCCCAGCTACTCATGTGGCTGAGGCAGGAGAACCACTTGAACCTGGGAGGCGGAAGTTGCAGTGAGCCCAGATCGCACCACTGCACTCCAGTCTGGGCAACAGAGGGAGACTCAGTCTCAAAAAAAAAAAAAAAAAAAAAAAAAAAGGTGTGTGGCAGGGGAGAGGAGATAATTCCTGTGTGGCAGAAACATCAAGAGGGATCCCCACCTCATAGAGTTGTTTTGAGAATTGAATGATTTAAATTTGATCGCTAATGAATTAAATGAAATAATTGTGTCTGGCAAACATTTGGGACAATTGAGTATCAAAATACATACATTAAAGAATTCCAACAGACATGAGTGATGCTTTAATGACACATATCTTTTTTTATTAAGTATTGAGGTTTTCTGAATAAGAATTCATGAGTCCATGCTGATATAAATAAGTAAGGCATACAAGAAAGTTCTTCCTTATGGTTGAAAGCCAATTAATAACTGTAGAAGGAATGACAGAATTAGAATATCACCATTTGGCAACCATAATAATAAGTATATGAGTCATCAAGAATTATCAATGAATGATTCACATAGGATATTTACACAGTTTCAAAGTATCTCCTCACAAGAGACTTATTAATCACAAGGGATAAAACAGTAGCTGTACGGTAGAGAAACCTAACAGACACCAACTTTAAATGGGTCTAACTGACAGCATGTCCCTCCTATGAGGCATTGAGAAGAACTGAAAAAATCCTGGAAAAAAAAAAACCCCATATAACCTGAATCTCACCATAAGAAAGATAGACCCAATTGAGGGGCATTCTACAAGATAACTGGGCTGTTCACTTCAAATATGTCAACGCCATGAAATAAAAAGATTCAGGAACTATTCTAGATGTCCGTGGACATGACAAGCAAATGCAACACGTAACTGGGTTTTCTTTGGCTAGAAAGGACATTATAGGAACAATTGGCAAAATCTGAGGAAGGATTATAGACTAGATAATTGTGTTCCATCAATGTTAACATTGTGATTTAGATAATTGTACTGTGGTTTTGAGAGGCAGAATTTTTAGGCAGGCTTTTAGGAAATGTACATAACTATTTAAGGGAATAGGGCATCAGGTCTCCAATTCACTCTTAAATGGTAAAAGAAAAAATTTAAAGGGAGATAGATGATAGATAAGGCAAATGTAGTAAAATGCTAACTTTTGGGGTATCTGGGTAAAGATTGTCCAGGAATTCTTCACTGTTTTAGCAACTTTTTTGTAGGTCCGATGTTATGTTTTAAAAAAGTATTCAGTACATACTGAGACCTGCTGTTTTATCTTAATGATGATAATAGAACATTGAGTCTATTGTAAGGAGTTTAGAAGCCAAAAAGAAAGCAAATACAAAACCAACACAGGGATTTGCTAGAGGGAAGTTTGGGGTTTTATAGTGCAAAATGTAACTGGCCACCAACCTTCCCTCATTCACCTTGATTTAGGTCCTCTTGGTGGCTCTGGTCCCAGGACTAGGGGCTGAGGTGGAAGGTGTGATCTTATAGGAAGCGCAGGCTTTATGAAGCATGTCCTGTGTGAAGCAGAAGCCAGTGTGCTTCACTCTGATGTTGTTTCTTAGGCTCATGCCTGGAAGGTACTGCAGGATACCGGATACTGGGTCTACCTTCCAGCCCCAGAGGACACTGTAAAAAGCCATCTCGGGCTAAAGGTTTCATCTTGGCCCTGTTTCTGTCTATTTGGAGGACATAAATATAAGAGAGTACTTTTGGCGGTACAAAGTGCCATCCACATGTGTCAGTCACATACACGTGCTGGTGGAGCCTGTGGCTAAGAGGGCAGCCTCTGGAGTCAGACAGGCTGCTTCCAAATCCCAGATATGCCACTTACCCGGTAGGCGATTTGAGGGAGATCATTTAACCTGTCTGCCCTCCACTTTCTGCATCCATAAAATGGGGATAATAACTGTAATATAGAGCAAACTAATAGGATTGGTGTTCAGTAAATGAAACAGTGCAAATGGCAGAGGCTTTATGTTCATGCATCCCAAAGTATCTTCAAGTGTAAAATAATTCTATTATGCTATCCTGAAATTACCTAGAATCAGAGCAATTGTATTAAAATTTGCTGTAACTTGTCTCATTCTCCTTGACCTGTCCTGGCCAGCCTATCTTCTGATGGCACAAATCACCAATTGCTTTTATTGTCGATTTTCTCTTGGTGCCAGTTCCTACTGGGCTTCTGGGGTGGGGCCTGGCTCCTCTCCTACCTCAAGATTCTAATTTGCTAGGAACCTTGGGACTCCTGAGATTTCTGTGCTTCTGCAGGAATTTATCCTGCTTGAGAAGCTCACCTGGAAAACGTGCGGCTGAAGATGGAAATTCAACGTTAGGCCCCAGAGCTGTGGAAGGTGTTTTCAGTTTGGCCTTCTTGCCAGGCACACTTGAGCCTGCACAAATTCTGTTCCCCACGCAGAGACAGGGAAAGAAAGCTGCCTTGCTGTTAGGACTGTAAGACTACACCCAGGATCTCAGAACAGCACTTCCCCCACCAATCTGTCCACGGTGGCCTTAGCCAAACCCGAGGAATGAAGGCTTAACGGGAATGTGTCATAAGAAAAATATTCCATTAGAGTTTTCTCTCCCAGATTCCACGCCCACATTTCTGCCTGCCTGTTGGACATCTCCAGTTAGATGACCCACAGGCACGTCCTTACCAAAACAACATGCCCAAAACGACACTTCACTCTCTCTTCCTGTCTTGGGTAGTGTCACAAGCCAACTGAAAAGCCTGGAAATCCTCCTCCCACATCTCACCCCTCCTGTTAGGAGGTCCTTTCCATTGCAAATACCAAATGGCTCAGATTCGATTCTTCCTCTTCGTGCCGCACATATTGACGTTCAGGGCTTCAAGATCTCTCGCCTGGACTATTTCAGCAGCCTCCTAACAGTCTCTCTTCTCCCAGCTCCCGCCTCTGGCTCCTCTGCATGTTAAGAGCAAAGTCGCCCCAAAGCAGGAAATGGGATTACTCTCCTATCGTGATGAAGCCTGTGTTGCCTCTCCCAGTGACTCAGGGATGGAGTGTGGACTCTTGAGTTGCCATGTAAGGGCCCAGCCCATTTCCCCAGCTTCATCTCGCCATGAACACCCCTCCCTCCAGAATCCCAAGCTGCTCACGGGTTCCCTAACTCCTCCTTAGGCATTTGCTGGTGAGCCTTTGAACAAAATCTTCCCTCGGTCTGGACCTTCTCTTCTCCCCCTTTTTTAACCTGGAAGATTCCTACTTACCCTTCAAATTCAGCTGAAAAGTCACCTTCTCAGGAAAGGAAGTCTCCCTATGCCCTCTTCTTTCCTCCCAGAGCAAGTTTTCAGTGCCTTTTGCATCATAATCTATTAGTTCATCTTGTGGTTGTTGGTTTATATATTTACACTAAATGCTTTTCAAGATCAGGGATTCTGCCCTGTTCACTTCTGTACTCCCAGGTGGACATGGTGTTTCTTCAGGAAAGAGTGCTTGGGTGGGTGTGTATATAATGCACCAACAATGCCACAGAGCAGCCCTGATATGGTTTGGCCATGTCCCAACCCAAATCTCATCTTGAATTGTAGCTCCCATAATCCATCCCCACATGTTGTGGGAAGGACCTGGTGGGAAGTAAGTGAATCATGGCGGCAGGTTTTTCCCATGTTGTTCTTGTGATCGTGAATACATTTCACAAGATCTGATGGTTTTATAAATGGGAGTTCCCCCACACATGCTCTCTTGCCTGAAGCCATGTAAGATGTGCCTTTGCTCCTTCTTCACCTTCTGCCATCATTGTGAGGCCTCCCCAGCCATGTGAAACTATAAGTGCATTAAACCTCTTTTTCCTTATAAATTACCCAGTCTCTGGTATGTCTGTATTAGCAGTGTGAGAACGGACTAATACAAGCCCTGTACACTAGAAGCACTGCCCTTTGCTGTAGCTTCATAATTCTGCCTAAGTACTAGAAGGTTGATGCTATGAAAGGTGGCATTCAAGGCTCCAAATTCACCTTTATCTCAAACTTCTTTCAATAGAACTTGTCTCCTTTCTTTACCTGCCTTCTTATCCCCTTTCTCAGCAAATCTCTGAAAGGATGTCTCTCAGCCATAAAAAAAAACATTGTATTGTGTATTTGCTGGCTACAGAAATTTACTTTCCTGTGGAATCAGAGAGAGAACTGATCTTGTTAAAAGGCTCTAGCTATAATCCCTTAGAGAGAGGATCCACTGAGTAGAAAACTGTCAACAGTATAAAACGCTGACACTTTAGGTGTCTATTTCCACACCCAGCCATGTTTACGTATGATATTTAGAACCAGGATTCAACTGACCCTGGCACTCAACAACCTTCGTTCTAATTTCTTCCACGTTGAGTTTTGTTCCAAGTTTCTGACCGTTTCTACTCTGGAAGGTGGCCAGGGTCCTGGGGTGGCCACGGTCATGCCAAGTCTCAGTGCCCCCTCCGCTTCAGGGGCTTAGACCGCCACTTGGAATGCGTGCATTCTGGCAGGTGCGGTGCATGCAGGGGTCAGACCCCTATGGTTTGATGAGATAAGAGCCTCCTGCACAGAATCTCATTTTTTCTCCATCTGCACCGCCATTTGGGCCTCGGGCCTCATGACTCACACAGTGGCTATCCATCTGCCCATTTACTCCAGAAAGAGAAAAGGACTTCTTTGCACACAGTGAGTCATCGTATCACATTTCAGAGCCACCTGCCTGACTCATAGACTATAGCAGAGCTCTGTAATAACGGGGCTCCCTATTGCATGAAGATGAATATTACTTGCATATGACCCTTTACACCCCCAAACCAACTTGATATTCCCACCCTGAGCCAATAATGGGATAGGTCAGGGTTGGCAGATTTTTGTCCTCCTGTTCTTGAGTCCCCTCCCTGCACCTTGAAGACATGCTAATTGATGGATGAGCTTTCCTGTGCTGAGGCCAGCAGAGGCCTCAGCATCAGAGTTAAGACAACACTCCCAGCGGCAGCCCTTCACAATTGGTCAGACTTGGTTCCAGAGGTTAAACCATATTGATATGCTAAGGTTAGATTGGGAAGACAGGACTGTTTTCAGGGTGGGCACTGTGGTCTCCAGAAGGCTACCCTTCTTTTCTTATATAGTTAATTATTTGAATCAGGAATACAGAGGGAGGTAACATACACACAGGGTACGAAACTCAAAAGGTATGCAAGAGTATGTAGTGAAAATTCTCTTTCCCATCTCAGTTCCTCAGTTCTCCTCCTAAAAGTAACCAATATCATCAGGCTTTTTAAAATTTTTTTTATTTTTATTTTTTTTAATTGAGACAGAGTCTCACTCTGTTGCTGAGGCTGGAGTGCAGTGGTGCCATCTTGGCTCACTGCAACCTCTGCCTCCTGGATTCAAGTGATTCTTCTGCCTCAGCCTCTCGAGTAGCTGGGACTACAGGCGCATGCCACCATACCTGGCTAATTTTTGTATTTTTAGTAGAGACAGGGTTTCACCATGTTCGCCTTGCTGGTCTCGAACTCCTGGCCTCAAGTGATCTGCCTGCCTCAGCCTCCCAAAGTGCTGGGATTACAGACATGAGCCACCATGCCTGACCAGGCTTTTTAAAATGTGTATTTTTTTCCATATCTTATATTGACAGATACACACAAATATACACAAAAATATTTTGTGTGTGTGTATACATAAGTGTATGGATGTATCTATAGATAGATAGATAGATAGATAGATAGATAGATAGATAGATGATGACTGATTGATAGATAGATAGTAGGTGGGTAGGTGGATGGATGGATGGATGGTTAGATGGTTGGATGGATGGATATATAGATAGTAGGTGGGTGGGTGGATGGATGGATGGTTAGATGGCTGGATGGATGGATGGTTAGATGGCTGGATGGATGGATGGATAGATAGTAGGTGGGTGGATGGATGGATGGTTAGATGGTTGCATGGATGGATGGTTGGATGGATGGATGGATGGACAGATTGATAGTAGGTGGGTGGTGGCTAGATGGATGGATGGTTAGATGGTTGGCTAGATAGACAGTAGGTGGGTGGATGGATGGATGGATGGATAGTAGGTGGGTAGGTAGATGGATAGCTAGATAGTAGGTGGATGGGTGGATGGATGGATGGATGGTTAGATGGTTGGATGGATGGATGGATGGATGGATGGATGGATAGACAGTAGGTGGTCGGGTGGGCAGATGGATGGATGGTTAGATGGTTGGATAGATGGATAGATAGGTAGCAGGTAGGTGGGTGGATGGATGAATGGATGGTTAGATGGTTGGTTGGGTGGACACATAGATAGATAGATAGATATGCTATATTAGTTTCTAGGGTTGCTGTAACAGTGTGCCACAAACTGGAAATTTATTATCTCACAGCTCTGAAAGCTGGAAGTCTGAGATCCAGGTGTGGGCTGAGTAGGTTTCTTCTGAAGATTGTGAGGGAGAATTTATTCCATGCCTTTCTCCTAGCTCCTGGTGGTTTTCTATCAATCTTTGCCAGTTCCTTGGCTTGTAGAAGCATCACCTTGATCTCTGTCTTCATATTCATAAGGCGTTCTCCCTGTGTACCTGTCTGTCCAAATTTTCCCTTTTTATTCAGCACACCAGTCTTATTGGATTAGGGTTCAACCTAATGACCCTATTTTAACTTGATTATCTCTTTAAACACCCTATCTCCAAAGAAAATCACAGTTGGAGGTACTAGGGGTTAAGATCTCAACATTTGAATTTTGGGAAGGGCACAATTCAACCCATATACCACAGGCATCTAAGTATATGCTAATTTTTACACAAACGCTAACCCATTCTCAACACTATTCTGTGTCTTGCTTTTTTTCATTTTAATATTCTTGAAGATTTTTCTACATCAATACATAGAGACCTGCCTGCCTCATACTTTTTAATGGCTGTGTAAAACTGCAGTGAATCACATGGGAGTAAAATTATTTACTTTCATGGTGAGGGATACTTAAGCTCCGTTCTAACTTTTGTTATTACAATAAAGTTTCAATGAATGCCCTTGAACATATCAGTTCATACTTTACGTGAAGCACAGCTGTAACATATTAAAAATGGAATTGTTTGTTTATACGGTAAGTGTATTTTGATTTCAATATCTACATAAACTGTTCTTACTCAGAGAGAGGACAGAGATGAGTTTATCAGATTAGCTAACAGCCACCATGGGTCTATTTCAGGTTAAAATTCAGGACTAGGAATGGTTCATAGAAGGAAGGAGGGGGATCTTTTTAAATTGACACTCATGAGCCCCCCAGTTTGAAATGACGCCCTTGAGTTGTGCCACCAAAAAGTATTTCTCTGTGTCTGCTGCAAGACCACATCTTCACTACAGAGCCCATGGACTGAAACTGTGTCCAGAGATTCTAGAACCTTCCTGAGGCTTGAGCACAGTGTTTGGAGCAGCACTGGTAGGTGGAGAGGAGAGAGAGGAGTGAGGGACTTGGAGGGTAGAGGGTGGTGCCCCAAACACAAAAGAAGAGATGTTCCGACTAATGCGAGGCCTACTGTGCATGTCATTTCCCTTCTTGTTCTCTCTGGTTCCCTTTCTAGGAGAATGTCTGTTCAGCTTCTGTTGAACCAAACCTCCAGGTTGATTTTGGCCAGGAATCCCCACTGGGGATTCCTGGTGGAGGGCTGTGAACTTGCTGAGGATATGAAGATATCTGAAGTCAATCAATCAGATTGCAACATGACACTTTTTATCTTTTTAACCTAACTGCCAGCTGGAAACTTGGAAATCCTCCCTCAGTTTTTGCTTATTATGGGAGACTGACTCATGGACATTAACTTGCTTCCAGCCCTTTCTAGCCCTACCCTCCCTGACTCAGCATTTTAGTATCACAAAGAAGTCCAGAAGTCATGTCCTTGGTGACTGTTGAAGCTGAAGCACAAAGAAGTGAAGTGACTGACCCAACTATCTATAACCAGGAGCAGCAGAGCCTGGGTTACACATCCATTCACCCATAGGTGCATGCATGAGACTCATTCAACACACACTTATTAGCATCTACCAGGTTCCAGGCGATATGCTAACTCCTGGGGCTACAGAGTTATAATTAAGATAGACCCTCTTCCTGCTCTGTTAACACTCATGGTCCTGTAGAGAAGATAGTCATGAAAGGAATTATTTGCATTTGTAAAATGTGCACAAATAAAGAAATTAACAAAAATGAAAGATGTGAGAGCTGTGAAGGAGATATTCATGGTGCCATGAGAGTGTGGGGGGTGGGTCAGAGACTGCTCCAAAGGGGAGCTGCATTTCAGCTGTGACCTAAAGATGTCTCCATCCATGAAGAGGCTTATTGCTGAGGTGCCCTCTTCCCTTGGACCAGAAAAGTAGGACAAAAAACCATTCCTCTCACTGACCACTCCAGACTTAAACAATGAATGAGAAAATTCCCTGGCAAGACAGGTAGCTAGCCATGTCCTGCTGAAGAAGCCTAATAGAGGGACTTTCCTGGCCCAGGAATAGTTTGGAAGATTCTTTATAAATGACTAAAGGACTATTCACTGCAAGTTCTAGCTTTCCTGCCTCTTCTCTGGACGGGGAGTTAGAACACCTTGCCTCTACTTCATTGTTAAAAAAGAAAGCTTCTAGCTCATCAGGCGTATCTAATGCTTCCTACCTGGCAATGAGGGGCCTGCTGGCCTCCACCCCAACCAGGGCAAGGGCAGCTGTGGAGGGGATTTCTTTTTTAACTGTGCTCTTGAGCCTGGCCTTCCTTAGACCCTGTTTTGTACCAGCAATAATTAAGTAATTGATGTATTCCTAGTTTGAAGACACAAGCTCAGGCCTGGGACCCAGCATGTCTGGAGCTGAGCCCAGGCATCACCAGCTCAGTGACCCAGCAAGTATCACTCGGGCCTTCCTTACTGGATCCTATGACTGTGAAAATGTGGGAAAGGAACTTATCTGTGGTTCATGAACACTGAAGAGAGAACCACTGTCTTCATTTCACTCTAGCACCATATGAAGTTGATATAATGATCTCCATTTTACAGATGAGAAAACAGAAGCATGGAGTTTTTGCCCAGAGTCACAAAGTCTGTAACTGATAGAGCTCAGATTTGAACCTGTATCTTTCAGATACTGGACCTTGCTTATAAACAGGCATCTAAGGCCAGGTGGTCAACAGAAAATAGACCTTATAACACAGTACAGGACTTTCTTCCCTCTCCACCCTTTCCTTCTTGTCCCAGGTAACTTACTTCAGCAGTTCATTACCTAGCAAGACAAAAATAATGAATATGGGCAGAAATGGGGGAGGCTGGCCTTTCTGTTTGCTTTACAACTAACCAAGGGGAAGGGCAACTCTGGGGAAAGATGTTTTGGGGGGATGGGAAATACAGTGGGGATTTGATTGTTTCCCAGTCATCTAACTTTGTGACAGAGGAGGGGCAGGTTTAGAATCTTATCCCTCATCAACACATGTGAACCTGTAACTGCCGGTGGGCCCCTCTCTCAACTGTCTCAGGAGCAGTCCCTGTAGCTTCTCCATCACAAAAGCCCCTCTGGGAGGCCAGATCATAAGATGGTGTGTGCCAGTGTGAGGTGCCACCTGGCATTTGGTGAGGTTTCTACTTCTCCAACCCCACTACTCAGTTGTGTTTAAAACAAGGACCCAGGCAAGTGCCAGTATCTTTGCATAAAAATAGGCCAGTCCTTTGAAACTGATGGCAGTTGCCAAATTTTTGAGCATGAAAGCAGTAGATGAGAAAGTTCCCTACCCATACCCACATCCAGTGGATAGCAAAAGCCCTAGGAGCAGAAATGCGCCAGGCCCACAAAGGGTTTCTGTTGAGTCTTGGTCATCTGTTTCACAGGTTCCCAGGCACTATGCTTCTCATTCTTACTGCATTGTGGACAAGTGCAAGTTAGACCTTGGTCAAATATATTCCCTCCTTCGAGTTTCGGTTTCTCACTGATAAGATGAAGTGATTGAATTAGTCTGTCTGAGATCATATGGATTCAAAATCTAAAGTTCCTCTTCCTTCTACTGCATTTGTCAGACCAAGGCAGAGTTGGGGAATGGTAGGGACAGGGCGGGAGGAGAGAGTGGGAGCAGTGTGTCCTGGGCTGGCAGTAAGGAGGTGTGTTGTCTATACAGAATTTAAACAGATAAAATCAACTAAAGGCTGGTGTCCTTCTTATTACGAGCTGGTGATTCTAAACAAGGTTATGATAAAACACTCCTCCCTGCAGGGTGGACTGATGATGCAGGGTATAATGATGAGCATACCACCCTGCTCTTGGTATGCTACTTACTGATACTCTTTGGTTGCCAGTGAAAGAAACACAACTCAGAATGGCTTCAATGAAAAGGATTTTATTGGTCCACATAAGTGAAAAGACCAGACATAATTGTGCTCAGACAGGGCTGTTTGCAGGTGCTCCATGATATCCTCAGGGATCTCCCTCTCTTCATCTCTTAGCCTCAGCCTTTCCCCTGACTGTACTAGCATCGCTCCCAGCAGCTCCAGGCCTGCACCCTATCAGCTAAGCTACCTCAGTGAGTCTCACTGACCCAAAACTTTCAGCAAAAGTTTTGGGCTTTCCCCTGGACCAGCTCGAGTCTCATGACCGTCCCTGATTTAATGAGATGGAATATGCTGACTAATCTGCCTCCTCATAGAGCAGGTCATCACATATATACTAAGAATGGTTGGTGGTTGGGGGGGGGGTCATTTCTCCAAAGGAATATCGAGGTGGTATTGCTAGAAGAAGGGAGGATGGATGCTCAATCACCAAAGCAATACTGTCTATCATATTCCTGCCTCAAAGATGAGCTCAAATGATCTCCCTGGCTTGGAATCCTCCATCCACATTTTCCCGTTTCTTCCTTCCAGTGCTGAAGATCCCACCTCCTACTCCCATGAAGGCTTCCAGATTCCTGCCGCTTATCTTCAGTTCTTTTTCCTTTCAACTCCAAAGAATTGTCATGCATACCTGTCATTCTGATAGTTAACTATTAATAAGATCAACTGCTAGTTTGTTGTCCATTATGAAGTTAATACATGTCTATTTTAGGGAAAAATAGAGAAGTAAAAAGAAGAAACAAAAATATCATCTGTGGCCCCTCCATTACATGGAAACTAGAAAGAAGAAATTAAAACCACTAGGTTTCTTCTATGCATAATTTTTTTCTATTTTTAAAAGTATAACATAGGCCCTTTATATAACATATATATATATATATATATATATATATACATTTATGCATATACACAAATCAACTCAATGAATTTTTGCAAACTGAACACATCCATATCACCAGCACCTAGAATTAAGAAACATAACAGTATCAGCATTCCACAAGCCCCTCCTTCTTGCTCTTTCCAATCAATACCCCTCCTGTAGGGTAACCAACATCCTAATTTCTAACACCTTAGATTAGTCCTGCCTGCTTTTGAACTTTATATAAATCATACATTGAAAAAACATAGTTGAGATCATTGTTCACTGGGTTTTGTTGTTGTTGTTGTTGTTTTGTTTTGTTTTGTTTTGTTTTTTGAGACACAGTCTCAGTTGCCCAGGCTGGAGTGCAGTGGCACAATCTTGGGTCACTGCAACCGCCCGGTTCAAACAATTCTCCCACCTCAGCCACCCCAGTAGCTGGGATTACAGGCATGTGTCACCACACCTGGCAAGTTTTTATATTTTTAGTAGAGATAGGGTTTGGACATGTTGGCCAGGCTGGTCTCCTGGCCTCAAGTGATCCGTCTGCCTTGACCTCCCAAAGTGCTGGGATTACAGGCATGAGCCACCGTGCCCCGCCTGCTTGTTTTATTTAAAATGATGGTGTGAATCTTTTCTATTTTATTTATTTATTTATTGTTTAGGAGCAGAGGTTTAATAGGCAGAAGAGAAGAGAAACAGAAACGAGAAACAACTCTCTCTATAGAGAGCAAGGGGTCTCCCAGTGGAAAAGACCAGCCGTCAGCAGATGTGCTGGATTTTATAGTCAGGTTTGAGGAGGTGGTATCTTATTTACATAGGGTAAAACTTCCCGCACATTGCATACACAGAGAGGATAAGAGATATGGCAGTCATGGACAGGAAAGGAGGAAATTACCATAGGAAAGTTGGAGATTCTGTTGCCGTCATCCCATTGGGCGGTCGGAAGCTGGGGTCAGTCCAGAAGCCTCTGGATAAACCTGGGGGTAGTCCCAGCCAGAAATCCTCAGTTGCCCCAGGACTTCTTCCAACCCCAAGTGATGGCTAAATCCTCCGTGAAAGGAAGCTGGTTCAAACATGGCCAACATGCCCAGCAACACATGGGTGCTGGGGGATTCTCCATGTTCTCCCCAGAAAGCCTGTCCCCCGAGTCTTGTAAGGCTGGCAGCCATGCTAATCGTTTTTAAATGGCTGAAGGGGGCCCAGCATTTGGCTTGATTTGGTTCTAAAATGGGGGCCGAGAGCCTTGAAATGAAAGGACAGAGCTGGCGCTGGGTGCAGTGGCTCACACCTGTAATCCCAGCACTTTGAGTGGCCACGGTGGGTGGATCACGAGGTGAAGAGATCGAGACCAGCCTGGCCAACATGGTGAAACCCCGTCTCTACTAAAAATACAAAAATTAGTTAGGCGTGGTGGTGCATGCCTGTAGTCCCAGCTGCTCGGGAGGCTGAGGAGGGAGAATTGCTTGACTCTAGAAGGCAGAGGTTGCAGTGAGTCGAGATTGCGCCACTGCACGCCAGCCTGGGCGACAAGAGCGAAACTCCATCTCAAAAAATAACACAATAACAAAAAAAAAAAAAAAAAAAAAAAAAGAAAAAGAAAAAGAAAAAGAAAGGACAGAGTTGGAGTCTGCTCTTCTACTCACCATTTTGATGAATATTCTATCTTGGTATCCCGGATGAGGTCCCCAATATGAAGGGGCTACGTTGTCTGGGGTATATACCCTGGGGTTCGTTGTCTCACACCAGGAAAATTTAGGACACAGACACACACGAGGAGTTTAGGAGCAGAGGTTTAACAGGCAGAAGAGAAGAGACAGAGAAATGAGAAACAGCTCTCTCTGTAAGAGAGAGAGGGGTCCCCAAGCGGAAAATATCCTATTTTCTTTTCTTTTCTCTTTTCTTTTCTTTTCTTTTCTTTTTTCTTTTCTTTTCTTTCTTTTTTTTAGACAGTCGCCAGGCTGGAGTCAGTGGCACGATCTCTGCTCACTGCAATCTCCGCCTCCCGGGTTCAAGTGATTCTCCTGCCTCAGCCTCTTGAGTAGCTGGGAGTACAGGCGGGTGCCACCACGCCCACTCTCAGGCATGAGCTAAAGCTGCAGTCCACAGGTGGAATTTCTTCAAAAAAACTTCGGTTCTACTTGTCAGGCCTTTCAAATTATTGAATCAGGCCCACCAAGAATTATCTAGGATAATTTCCTTTACGTAAAGCCAACTGATTATGTTAATAGATGTTAATCACATCTGCAAAATGCCTTCACAGCCACACCCAGAATAGTGTACGATTGAATAACCGGGGATTGTAGCCTAGCCAAATTGACACACGAAACTGCCCATCACAATTATTCCAATAACGTTTGGTTTATTAAAAGAGCCATTCTTTCCTCCATTTCTCTGCTGTTGCTGCCTTCAACATTAACCATGTACATTATCTTAGTCTGGATATCTGTTTCTAGGATCTCCACTGGCCCATTCAACTATCCTCTCCCAATACCAGAGTTTATCAATCATTTTATCTTTTATAGTAAGTCTAAACATGTGGGAGAGTCCTTCCGTGCAATCTTAATATTTTCAAATATATTGTATAAGCTATTTTGAAGAATAATATGCATATTCTCATGTATTATATACTGATTTTGACACATGAGAGGACATTACCATTTTAACATGGCTATCAGGCTGACTCATTTTTATGTGATCCTTGGATTTAAACTTCTATTATCATTATTATGCATACATTAGAAATTTTTTCTTAGTCTTTGAAAAAATTGAGATCTGGGCATATATATTTGCATATGTAACATTGTACAAGCATGTATACTACTATGGCACATATGTACCTCACTTAATTAAATAATAGTTAAATTCTAGGCAAGATTAAATCCCGCTGCTCAGTGTATGTTCTCTTGACAGTTTATCTTAGAATGATATTTGGTAGCTGGGTGCAGTGGCTCACGCCTGTAATCTCAGTACTTTGGGACGCTGAGATGGGCTGGTCACTTGAGGCCAGGAGTTTGAGACTGGCCTGGCCAACATGGCGAAACCCTGTCTCTACTAGAAATACAAAAATTAGCCAGGCATAATGGTGTGCACCTGCAGTCCCAGCTACTTAGAGGCTGAGGCATGAGAACTGCTTGAACTCGAGAGGTAGAGGTTGCACTGAGTTGAGATCGCACCACTGTACTCCAGCCTGGGTGACAGAGTGAGACATTGTCTCAAAAAAAAAAAAAAAAGCATGAGATTCAGTAAAGTTATTAAAACTAATGAATATTTAGCAGTGGCGGTAATATTATTATTGTAATTTCAGTTTATAATTGAGATGCTTTGTTTCTGTTTTTTATATTTGTGATAAGGAATGTAAACAGTAAGATATTCATTCATTCATACTAATTTGCTAAATTCTTGGTGATTTTATGACTCAGTATTTAAAATAATTTTTCATTTCTTTAAAGTCAACCTTTAAATCATTTTCTGTTATCCATCTTTTAAGTTTCTAAGCCATTTTAATAGAAGAGTAGCTTAAGATTGTGAAGTAAACTGGTGAAGAAAAACTATTACCACTTGCAGACACTTATCTGTGTACATCAAGATTATTTTTGATAAATTGGATCCTGAAGTTTATATGGAATATAAACTATCAGACCTAACTTATAATTTAGAATTTTCTGAGCTCACTAAAACATAAATATAAATTTGAACATAATGTATACTAATAAAATGCTAATCAAATAGTCTTTATTTTGTATTATATATGTATCATATAAGACTTTGAAAAAAAATCTGCTGCTAAAATCATTATACAGCTACTGTATTAGTAAAACTAGTATTACTGAAGTGGATAAGATCCATATACACTAGTTTATTATTGTTTTCAAATAACCTAAGAAATACCCAATCATTGCGTAAAAATTAGGAAATTGTAAAGGATTAAAACCTCTAGAGAGATTCTATCATTCAGAAATAAACATTATTAACGTTGTCAGGTATTTCCTTCCAGATACTTAGTGCATGTGTACGTGTGTGTGTGTGTGTGTGTGTGTGTGTGTGTATGAAGACATTATAACATGGTGGTTAAAATCATGGGCTCTGGATCCAGTCTTTTTGGGTTTGAATCACAATTTTGCCACTTACCAGGTTTGCGATCTTAGGAAAGTTCACTTTTCAATGCCTTGTTTTCTTCACCCATAAAATGGGGATTATAAAAGTACCTATTTCAAGGGGTGTTGTGAGCATTAAATGTAAAGCACTATTCTGAGTAGTCCCTGAAACATAATAAATGTTCTATAAAATTAGTGATTATATATTATATAATGTATGTATAGACCTACATAGAAAAAAATTGTTCATATATATACACATATATATACACATACATATATATACACACACACACACTGTGGTCATATGTAGGCTAGATTTTTTTCATTGCTTTCATAAAAATCAGTTTTATTGAAGTATAATTTACATGTGATATGATGTACCCATTTTAAGCAAACAGTTTAATGAGTTTGAAAAATATATACACTCCTGTAACTACTGCAGTCACAATCAGGATATAAGGCATTTCTGTCATCCTCCCAAATTCCCTCCTACATAGTGTCCCAGTCAACATCTATCTACCCTTAACCCCTGGCCCTAGGCAACCACTGATCTCCTTTCTGTGACTGTAGATTAGTTTGCCTTTTTTAGGATTCCAAATAAATAGAATCATACAAAGTGTGCTCTTTCGTGTCTGTTTTCTTTCAACAGTTTTTGAGATTCTTCCGTGTTGTTGCATGTACCACTCTTTTTTATCACAGCAGTATTTCATTTTATGAATACACTATAATTTCCTTATCTATACACTGTTAGTGAACACTTAGTTGTTCTCAATTTTTGACTACTATGAAAAAAGCTGCTATGAACATTTTATGTATAAGCCTTTGTGGGGACATATGCTTCAGTTTTCTTAAATATAGATATTTTAAACAGAGAAACCTAGTAGTAACTTGCCTTGTTGGAGAGTGGGGTGAGCCAAATTCAGGAGTCCAGAGGGGCATTGTCACAGAAAAGGACCGGGTCCCAAAGTGCCACATCTGTCTTTGATGAGAATGGCTTGCCTACTGTAGCCCCATCAGCAAAGAAGACTGTTTTAATGGTTGTCATTCCATTTATTGTACTCTACATTTTGAGTCAGAGAAAAGGTGTCTTTTCTATTTTTACATGCAGTTTACATGAAACTAAAGCTGATTCAGGATGGATTTTTATGGACGATAGCAATGGCTAACATTTTTAAACATTCAGGATGCTGACCATTTCCCATGTTTTACTATTGAATTCTCATAACAACATTGTGAAGTAGGAACTGTTGTTTCCCCAATTAGAAAACCCGAGGCCTGGAGAAGTTAGGCAACTTACCCAAGATTATATGCCTAGTAAATGGTAGAGTCAGCATTGGAACACATTTAAACCAAGGTCTTTCCTCCCCTCCTCTCCCCTCCCCCTCCCCCTCCCCCTCTCTTTTCTTTTCTTTCCTTCCTTCCTTCCTTCCTTTCTTCCTTTCTTTCTTTCTTTCTTTCTTTCTTTCTTTCTTTCTTTCTTTCTTTCTTTCTTTCTTTCTTTCTTTTCTTTCTTCTCTCTGGTTCTCTTTTTCTTGTTTTTAAGTTGTCTCACTCTGTCACCCAGGCTGGAGTGCGGTGGCACTATCTCAGCTCACTGTAACCTCTGCCTCCCGGTACTAAAGCAATCCTCCCACCTCTGCTTCCCGAGTAGCTTGGACCACAGGCGTGCACCACTATGCCTGGCTAATTTTTTTGTATTTTTTATAGAGACAGAGTTTCGCCGTGTTGCCCAGGCTAGTCTCGAACTCCTGAGCTCAAGTGATCTGCCTGCCTCTGCCTCCCAAAGTGCTGGGTTTACAGGCGTGAGCTACCGCCCTCAGCCCTTATCCTATGCTCTTAACCACAAATTACACTCCACATAGTTCCTGACTCATACTACTTGCTAGGTAATATTAATGGCGGTCTATGCTTAATTGCTGATAGCTTTCTGATGAAGTCATTTTGGGTAGATTCATCCTGCTCTATCTTTAATTGTGTTGAACTAAAATCAAAAGCAGGTATTTTCCCCCCTGCCCGGTCCCCACAGGCAAATTCTTCTAAAAGAGCACAGATTATATTGTTGATCCAGCCATTCATCATTTTCATCCATGTCGTCATCAGATATTTACTGAATGCTTTGTAGTAGACACTGTGATTGAATCTAAAATATCCTTTCTACCTCTAGAGAATTAGGATTTTTAGCCAATGATGATAAATCTGCTCTCCCTTGTCACAGATTGGTTGAGGGGTGGGCCGACCCTAGCCTGTTTGGGCCAATGAGAGGTGAGTACAGGGCTGTCAGGATCTTCTGGGAAGAAGCCCTACCTCCACCGCCCTCAAGCTGGTCTCTCCATCTTGCAGCCCGAGGGAGGCCTGATGTGGCGTGAGGCTGTGGTCTGCAGAGTGGAAGGCTCCAAGAACCTGGTTTGGAGTCTCACCTTCTGTGTCTCCAGTTAATACGAGGTACAGCTTTCCTTTTTTTCATTGCTTAGGCTGATTTGAGTGGAGTTTCTAGCACTTGCAGCCCAGTTTCAGAGATTCCTCCACGGTAAGTACCTGCCCAGGTGCCTCAGGGCGTCTCTCTCACCCTGGAGAGGCAGGTGCTCGGCAGCACCTGGGCCTGCTCGGTTATGGCTCTTGACAGGCACTCCTATTACCCATCTCCCGTGCTTGAATGTAGGCTCCCTGTGGACAAGGACACCTCCCAATTCATTTTGGGATCCCCAGGGCCAACCTCGCAGGATGCATGTGGTGGACAACTGCTGTAGATGAAGGGAACCGTTATGGGGGGTTGTGTGTGCGTTTCCTCTGAAAGAACTGAAGGTTCAGGGAGGGGATTTACATGTTTGCGTATCTACTCTCTGTGCCAGGTGTTTTACACATACGTAAATTCATTTCTTCCTTGTAGCAATCCCAAGAGCCAGCCACAGCAGCAATTCCATGTTTTATAGATAAAGAGCCTGAAGCTTTCATCTAGAGATGAAATAACACTTATTTAAGGTCCCACAACTAGTAAATGTGCTAGGAAATGCTTAAGAATAGAGCTTGAAAAAGCCCTTTAATGATTCTCTCTCTCTACAATTTTTGTAAGTATATCTATGTAAGATAGATGGGTAACATTTTCTTCAATTCTGGTTTATAGTGGCTTAGGGTCATTATTTCAGATATTGGTTTTCATCAATTAATTAAATTTTTTGATTAGCACAAAATTTCCCCCAGACTTTACTGAGGTATAATTGACAAAATTGTATATATTTAAGTTGTGCAACATGATGCTTTGATATATATATATATATAGTGAAATGATTACCACAATCGAGTTAGTGAATACATCCATCACTTCACAAAGTTACCTTTTTTTGTGTGGTAAAAAAGTAACTTTCTGATCTTTCTTGGCAGATTTCAAGTATACAATACAGCATAATTAGTTGTAGTCACCATGTTGTACATTGGATTGCCAGAACGTATCCATCTTATAGCTGACGGTGTGTATCCCTTCACCAGCACCTCCTGTTTCCCCTACGTCCTAGCCCCAGGAAACACCATTCTACTCTCTGTTTCTATGAGTCTGACTTTTTTTAGATCTCATAGATAAGTGTGACTATGTGGTATTTGTCTTTCTGTTCCTGGCTTATTTAGCATAATGTCCTCCAAGTTCATCCATGTTGTTGCAAATGACAGGATTTCTTTCTTTTTTATGACTGAATAGTATCCCATTGTGTGTGTGTGTGTGTGTGTGTGTGTGTGTATATATGTATTTCTTTTTTATGACTGAATAGTATCCCATTGTGTGTGTGTGTGTGTGTGCACACACACAAATGGGCAAAGAAATGTAGAGTGTATCCCACACAATGGGATACTAGTCAGTCATAAAAAAGAAAGAAATACACACACACACACACACACACACACACACACACACTACATTTCTTTGTCCATTTATCTGTCCAAAGACACTTAGATTGTTTCCCTGTCTTGGCAATTGTGAGTAATGCTGCAGTGAACATGGGAGTGCAGATGTCTCTTTGAGATACTGATTTTGTTTCCTTGAGGTGTATATCCAGAAGTGGGGCTGCTGGATCATATGGTAGTTCTATTTTCAATTTTTTGAGGAATCTCCCATAGCATTTCCTATAATGGCTGTACTCATCAAACATTAAGAGATATTATAGATATCTTGTAATTAGATGCTAATCAGTGTACTGAGTTCTGAGTGTACATGAGCAATACAAAAGTAGGCCTTGGCTTTCAAGCACACACATCTATGGTGTCACGAACTTGGCTTGAGTGTGTGTTGACCCTTACAGCCCCTGCTAACATCCTAGAATTTTGGATTTGGAGTGTAAACAGTAAAGTTGCACTCATTTTCTTTAAAGATAGAATGCTAAAAACTATTATCAGTGGATTTTAGTGTTCTGGTTAGTTGGCCCTTTGTTGATCTTCATTATAATTGAGATTTTTCAGCTTTTTTCCAGACAATTGAACATCATTGATGATGTTAATTACTGTCTTTGAGGCAGATTTCGGCCCACATACCCATAATTGGCAGGGCAAACAAAGAATCCTTTTAGGATTATATTTAATGCAGTGCTTTATTCCCATGTTATAGATACAGAGCAGAATCTCTTATAAAACACCTCACTCTCCAGAAACTTCAGTATGTTCTAGATAAATTTGTACTCAGGGTACAAAGTAATGCTGAGACGTTTTCCCTGTGCTCCTAAAGGCCAAAAGATGGATCTGGCTAGAGCAAGGAGTGCTTGTGAAAAATGTTTTGTTCAGCTCTGTACTGTATATTTTTTGATAAACTGTTTTTTTAAAATGAATTCTTGGGACACATCAACTATGAAAGAGGTTGCAGCACATCCAGCCTTTCACCTGAGTCCCTGGCAGTTTTGTATATGAGAGGTGGTATATTAGCTTTCTGGTTCCTGTTTGCAATTTGATAGTGCGTTTTTTGGACTCTTTGCCACAAAGAGGTATGTAATCTGTGGCCTACTGTATTTGAGTAGGAAGCAGCTAAACTGTTCATGGCCCCCGGTCACAAAGATGATGCCATGTTTGATCTGTTCCATCACCCTGCTCTGACACACTGTATTTTTAAAACTTGAGATATGATTCACCCTTTCAAAGTGTAATTCAGTGGTTTTTAGTATATTCACAAAGTTGCGCAACCATCACCATCATCTAATTCCGGAACATTTTCATCACTTGAAAAAGAAACCTTGTACCCATTGCCAGTCACTCCCCATTCCGCTGCTTCCCTTTGCTTTTGGTAGCCACTAATCTACTTTCTCTCCTATGGATCTGCCTATTTTGAACACCTCATATAAATGGAATCACACATTATGTGGTCTTTTGTGACTGATTTTTTCTATTTAGCAATGTTTTCAAGGATCATCCGTGTCGTTGCATTTAATAGTACCTTATTCTTATTCATGGCTAAATAATATTCTATTGTATGCAGAGGCCACATTTTATTTATCCATTCATCAATTGATGAACATTTGGGTTGTTTTCACCTTTGACTATTGTGACTACAGTAATTCCCCCTCTATTTATGGGGGATACATCCCAAGACCCCCAGTGGATTCCTGAAACTGCAGATAGTACCAAACCCCATTGTGATAGTCTGTCTGGTAACCAAGATGGCTACTAACTGACTAATGGGTGAGTAGTGTATGTATAGCATGGATACACTGGACAAAGGGATGACTCATGTCCTGGACAGGACAGTGGGATTTCATCATGCTACTCAGAATGGTGCATGATGTCAAACTTTCAAATTGTTTATTTCTGGAATTTTAATATTTTCAGACTCTGTGGGTAACTGAAACTGTGAAAAGTGAAACCACAGATGAGGGGGACTACTGCAGTGCTGTTATGAACATTCATGCACAAGTTTTTGTGTGATTATATGTTTTCAGTTCTCTTGGGTATATATCTAGGAGTGGATTGCTGGATTATATGGTAACTCTGTGTTTAACTTTTTGAGGAAATGTTTTCTATGGTGGATGTACCATTTATATTCCCAGTAATGTATAGGGGTTCCAGTTTCTTAGTATTCTTGCCAATACTTGTTATCGTTCATCTTTTTACTTATAAATTTCCTAGTGGATGGTGACCCACTATATTTTGCTGGAAGAAATGTATAATCATCATATTTTCACATTTTCAGCCTTAAAGGCCTATTCAATACAAAAATAATCATTTTCTCTAAATCTTTATCTTTTACCTATTGAAGGCTATCATTGGAATAATTCAGTTATGTTATTTACTTGAACTTATAGGCTAATCATTGAAAATTCTTAATTATGACTTGAACTTTTGCCAGCTCTGAGGTGGATTTTATTGAAAATTTCAACCACATCTAAAAAAACTCATTATTTAGATGAAATTTAAAAATTATTTTAAATCACTTGACTATGTTCCCTTGCCCCAGACTATTTCCAGTGCCTCAGACAGTTAAATAATGTTATTGAAACAACTACAAACACAAGATTTTCAAAGTCATTACTAAACATTGCAGAAGAAATATTTGCTTCCTTGCTTTATAAGTCACCGTGGCCAGTGCCTTTGAAGATATTTTCAAATTGTTTACTGGCATTGTGCATTAAACTCTTTCTTCAGAGTAGGCTCTGTGAGCCAGAAAAATAGTAACCTTTTTCTTTGTTAATACTAAAATTTATGTTGACCGTATGATTCACAAACTTTTGACATTATGTTATCTCCTTGTGGTGGTTACATTATCCCTTTGAAGACAGATATTAATATTCTTCTTGTATATATGAAAAATATACTCAGAAAGATTAACAATTGCCCAAGGATTCACAACTAATAAGTTGCTCATGTAGGCTTTCGATTTCATTTCTCTTGATTTTTTTCCCTCACAGCTGTGAACCCCGTATATCTGAGACAGGTCTCAGTTAATTTAGAAAGATTTTTTTGCCAAGGCCTGTCATGACACAGCCTCAGCAGGTCCTGACCACATATGCCCAAGGTGGTCAGAATACAGTTTGGTTTTATACATTTTAGGGAGACATGAGACATCGATAAACACATGTAAGATGAACATTGGTTCAGTCTGGAAAAGGTGGGACAACTCCAAGTGGGGAGGGGGCTTCCAGGTCATAGGTAGATAAGAGACAAATGGTTGCATTCTTTTGAGTTTCTGATTAGCCTCTCCAAAGGAGGCAATCAGATATGCATTTATCTCTGTGAGCAGAGAGATGACTGATTAGAATGAGAGGCAGGTTTGCCCTAAGCAGTTCCCAGCTTGACTTTTCCCTTTAGCTTAGTGATTTTGGGGCCCCAATATTTATTTTCCTTTCTCACAGAACTCTCTTCTAAATGTAGAATGTTCTCTTAACAAATATAAAAATGATGATATTAATACAATTCTCAATAGTTGCTCTTACTGCTTTAGTGATATGAGAAAACAAAAATTTAACTTAAAGTCTCAGTAACATCTGCATTTACAAGTCTCTGGTCTACCAAAACACCCATTCACTTAGAATAGTGCTAGGCCCTGGAGAAACAGCTGGGTCAAGACATGGCCCTGGCTGGGTGTTGTGGCTCACACCTAGCACTTTCGGAGGCTGAGGTGGGTGGATTGCTTGAGCCCAGGAGTTCAAGACCAGCCTGGGCAATTAAACCTTGTCTCTACAAAAATTAGCTGTGAGTGGTGGCATGCACCTGTAGTCCCAGCTACTTGGGAGGCAGAGGCAGGAGGATCATTTGAGCCCAGGAGGTGGAGGTTGCAGTGAGCTGAAATTGTGCTATGGCACTCCAGCCTGGGTGACAGAGTGAGACCCTGCCTCAAAAAAAAAAAAAAAGTATATGGCCCTGTTGGTGAGAAGATCTCACTTTAGGGAGTGTAGACAAATCAATTGACTGTAATGTGTGTGCTGGATGCTGTAAAAGAGATGTGTCTTGTGGTATACAGGGGAGGGGATGGGCCCTGGAAAAGCCTTCCCTAAGATGATGTGTATGAAAGAACCAGATCAGAGAATGGCAGTTCAGGTAGAGGTAGCTCTATGAGCTGAATGGTATGGAGGACCAGAGGAGATGTCGACTGGAAATTTCAAGTGGTCTCAATGATGCAAACTTGGGGTGTATTTGCATATATTGAGTTAAAAGTTTGTGTTGGGGAAGATGGAACAGAAAATAGGCCTAAAGAGGTAAGTTAAGACTAATTTGAGAAGGGCCTTGCCAAATGTCTTTGGTTTTCTATTCAATCTATGGAAAAGCATCAGAGGCTTTTGAATGGGAGACCTGCATGATCAGATCTGATTTAGAAAGAAAATGGAAAGCGGTGGTGAGGATGGTTTGTGGTGCAGTGAGAAAACAATCAGGACAATCAGTTGAAGGTTTTTGCTGTGACTCAGGTGAGGAATAATAAGGACCTGTATGGCAGAGCTAGTGGTACTTTAAAAAAAAGACAGGTATTCCAGGTTTTTTAGTTGGCAAGTAGAATTTTCATATGTTAGTGATGGTCACAGTTTGTAACCTGAGAATGTTTATTTGAGCTATTTTCTAGTTCTTAATGTTCTTTACTAAAGAAGGACATCTAAGTCTGTGACTTACTGATTTTTTTCTAAAGGCAGTATTTGTTGGCTCACGGAAGTTGCAGATTGCCTTACAGAGAACTCTGATTCTGCAAGTTTGAGGGTTTTTTGCATTTGTTTTTAAACTTCAAATTTATTGAGACCTAATTTACATACAGTAAAATTCACCCTATTTAGTGTAGAGTTCACAGTTTTGACAAACATATATCGTCAAGTATGTAACTACCACCACAATCAAGGTATCAACCTATAAAGTTCTTTCCTGTGCCTTTGTAGTCAGCTGCCTCCTCTAACCCCCAGCACCTGGCAACCACTGATGTGATTTCTGTTCCTATGGATTTGCCCTTATTTACATAATATCACATAGATGGAATCATACAGTATGAAACCTTTTGTGTCTGACTTCTTTCACTTAGCATAGTACTTATGAGATTCATTCATGTTAATGCATGTACCAATTATTCACGTTGACTGCTGAGTAGTATTTCCTTGTAGGAATATACCACAAATTATTTATCTTTTCATTTGTTGATGGATGTTTTTATTGTGTCCACTTTTTAACTGTTGTAAGTAAAGCTGCTGTGAACATTCATGTACAAATGAACACATCTTTACATGGACATATAATACTTTTGGGTTAGTACCTAGAGGTTGAAAGTCTAGATTATATGGGAGATGTATATTTAACTTTTTACGAAACCACCATACTGTTTGTCATAGCAGTTGTACCATTGTAGATTCTCATCAGTAGTGTATCAGAGTTCCCCTTCCTCCACATCTTCACCAACACTTGGTATGGTCAGTCTTTTAAATTTAGCGTTGTAATAGGTACATAGTGATATCTCATTGGGTTTAGTTTGTATTTCTCTAATGACTAATAATGATCATCTTTTTATGTGTCTATTCTCTATCTGCATTTCTTCTTGGTGAAGAATCTATTTAAATATTTTGCCCATTTTTGTGGGGTGAGGATTTTTTTTTCTTATTTTTGAGCTTTGAGAGTTCTTTACATATTCCAGACACACAAGGTTTTTTTTTTTTTTTTTAAATCAGGTTTATGCTTTGCAAAGATTTTTCTCACAATTTTTGGCTTGTCTTTTCATTCCCATAAAATTGTCTTTTGAAGAGTAGATATTTTAAATTTTGATGAAGTCCAGTTTATCAATTTTTTAAATGAATTATGTTTTTAGGGTCATGTCTAAGCAATTTTTGCCTAACCCAAGGTCACAAAGATTTTCTCCATTGGTTTATTCACCAGTTTTATAGTTTTAGATTTTACATTCACGTCTTTTTTCCATTTTGAGTTAATTTTTGTATATGATGTGACCTATGGATCCAAGTTCATTTTTAAAAACATACTTAGCTAATTCTCACAGCACATTTGGTTAAAAAAAGGTTATTCTTTATTGCATTGCCTTTTTAAAGGCTATTTTTTAAAGAGAGGTTTTAGGTTCACAGCAAAATTAAGAAGAAGGTACAGAGATTTCCCGTATACTCCCTGCCCCCCAAATCTGTAGCTTCTCCATTATCGTCTCACCATGAGAGAGATAGATTTATTGCAACTCATGAACGTATATTGATACATCATTATCACCCAAAGTCCATAATTTACGTTAGGGTTCATTCTCGGTATTGGACATTCTTTATGTTTAGACAAATGTATGATGGCATGTATCCAACACTGTAGTATCATAGAGTATTTTCACTGCCCTAAAAATTATCTGTGCCCTGTACATTTATCCCTCCCTCCCATCTAACCCCTGGCAACTGTTGATTTTTTTTTTTTTTTTTTTTAGCTGTCATCATAGTTTTGCCTTTTATGGAGTTATATAGTTGGAATCATACAAGGATGTAGCCTTTTCAGATTGGCTTCTTTCACTTACTAATGTACATTTAAGGTTCCTCTGTGTGTTTTCATGGCTTGATAGTTCATTTCTTTTTAGTGCTGAATAGTATTCCATTGTCTGGATATACCACAGTTTATCCGTTCACCTACTGAGTGACATCTTGGTTGCTTCCGAGTTTTATCAATTATGAATAATGCTGCCATAAACACCCCTGTAGATGTTTTTGTGTGGACATAAGTTTTCAACTCTTTTGGGTATATACCAAGGGATGCAATTGCTAGACCATATGGTAAAAGTATGTTTAATTTTATAAGAAACCACCAAAGTGCCTTACAAGATGGCTGTCCCATTTTGCATTCCCTCTAGCAGTGAATGAAAGTTTGTTTTGTTCCACATCCTTGTCAGCATTTGGTGTTGTCAGTGTTCTGGATTTTGGCCATTCTAATGGGTGGGTAGTGTTTGCTCGTTATTGTGATTTTCACTTCCCTGATGACATATAATGTGGAACATCTTTTCATTTGCATATTTGCCATATATCTTCTTTGGTGAGATGCCTGTTTAAGGTCTGTGGCCCATATTTTAGTTAGGTTGTTTGTTTTCTTACTGTTGAGTTTTAAGAGTTCTTTCTGGGTTTTGGATAACAGCCTTTTATCAGATATGTCTTTTTCAGCTATTTTCTTCCAGTCATTGGCTTGTCTTTTCATTCTCTTGACATTGTCTTTTGCAGAGCAGAAGTTTTCAATTTTAATGAAGTCCAGCTTATCAATTCTTTCTTTCATGGATTGTGCCTTTGGTATTTGTATCTTCTGGAATTTCTCCTATATTATCTTCTAGGAGTTTTATACTTTTGCATTTTACACTTCGGTTTATTAATGTTGAATTAATTTTTGTGAAGGGCATAGGGTCTATGTCTAGATTCATTTTTTGCATGTGATGGCCAGTTCCAGTGCCAGTTGAAAATTCTTTGCTCCATTGAATTGCCTTTGTTCCTTTTTCAAAGACCAGTTGACTATATTTACACAGGTCTATTTATGGGCTTTCTATTCTGTTCCATTGACTATTTGTCTATTGCTAATACCACACTATTTTTATTACTGTAACTTCATGGTAAGTCCTGAATTCAGGTAGTGTCAGTCTTCCAACTTTGCTGTTCTCCTTCAATATTGTGTTGTCTATTTTGGGTCTTTTCCCTCTCCATATAAACTTTAGAATTGGTTCGTTGATATCCACAACATAACATTTCTGGGATTTTGATTGGGATTGCATTGAATCCATAGTTCAAATTGGGAAGAACTGCTATCTTGACAATACTGAGTCTTCCTATCCATGAGCATGGAATATCTTTCCATTAATTTAGTTCTTTTTTGATTTCTTTCATCAGAGTTTTGTAATTTTAATTGTACCGATCTTGTACTTTTTTGTTAGATTTATACCTAAGTATGTTATTTTTGGAGGTGCTAATGTCAATGGGGTTGTGTTTTTAATTTATAATTCCACTTGTTTATTATTGGTGTATAGATGAGTGATTAACTTTCATATATTTACTTTGTATCCTGCAACCTTACTGTAAGTGATTTTTAGTTCCAGGAGTTCTTTTGTCAGTTCTTTCAGATTTTCTACATAGACAATCATGCCATCTGTGAACAAAGACAATTTTATTTCTTCCTTTCTAATCAGTATATATATATATATATTTTAAATCTTACTGCAAATTAGCTGGGAATTCAAGCACAGTGTTGAAAAGGAGTGGTGAAAGGCAACATCCTGGCCTTGTTCTTGATCTTAGTGGGAAAGCTGCTTGTTTCTCACCATTAAGTATAATGCTAGCTATAGGTTTTTTGGTACATATGTAATTTTTTTAATCAAGTAGAGGAAGTTCTCCTCTACTCCTAGTTTACTAAGAGGTTTATCATAGATGGATGTTGTATTTTTTTTTCAAGTACTTTTTCTGCATCTGTTGATAGGATCATGTACTTTTCTTCCTTAGCCTGGATTACATTAATTGTTTTTTGAATGTTGAAACTTGCATGCTTGGGGTAAACCTCACTTGGTTGTAGTATATAATTCTTTTTTGGATTTGATTTGCTAATATTTTTTGAGGATTTTTACATCTGTGTTTATGAGGGATATTTGTAGTTTTCTTTTCTTGTGCTATCTTTGTCTGGTTTTGGTACTGGGGTTATGCTGGCCTCATAGAATGAGTTAGGCAGTATTTCCTCTACTTCTGTCTTCTGAAAGAGATTGAGAGACTTGGTATAATTTCTCAACCTCAAGTGTTTGGTAGAATTCACTAGTGAACCCTTCTGGGCTTGGTGTTCTCTGCTTTGGAAGGTTATTAATTATTGGAAGGTTATTAATTATTGATTCATCTATTTTTTCTTGTGTGAATTTTGGCAGATTTTTGTCCTTCAAGAAATTTGTTCGTTTTGTCTAGGTTATAAACTTTGTGGGCATGGAGTTGTTCACAGTATTCCTGATAATCCTTTCAGTGTCTCTGGGATCTGTAGTGATGTCCCCTCTTTCATTTCTGATATTGGTAATTTGTGCCCTCTCTCTTTTTTCTCCCTTAGCTTGGCTACAGCCTTATAGATTTTATTGAACTTTTAAAAGAAACAGCTTTTGGCGTCATTGATTTTTTTTTCTATTAATTTTCTGTTTTTGATTTTATTCATTATCCTCTAATTTTTATTATTGCTCTACTTTTGCTTACTTTGTATTTAATTTGCTCTTTTACTGATTTCCTAATGTGGAAGCTTAGATGATTGATTTTAGGGCTTTTTTTATTCTTTTCTAATATATGTATTCAGTGCTCTAAATTTCCATCTAAGTGCTACTTTCATTGCATCCCACACATTTTAATAAATTGGGTTTTCGTTTTCATCCAGCCCAAAGTACTTTTATTTTATTTTTTGAGAAATGGCCTCACTCTGTCACCCAGGGTTGAGTGCAGTGGCATGATCACGGCTCACTGCAGTCTTGACCTCCCAGGCTTGGGTGATCCTCCCACCTCAGCCTCCCGAGTAGTTGCGACTATAGGAACGTGTCACTGTGCCCAGCTAATTTTTGTATTTTTTGTAGAGGCTGTGTTTCACCATGTTGCCCAGCTGATCTTAAACTCCTGAGGTCAAGCCATCAGCCCGCCTCTGTCTCCCAAAGTTCTGGGATTACAGGTGTGAGCCACCACACCCAGCCTCAAACTATTTTTAAATTTCTTTTGAGATGTCTTCTTTGACCCATGAGTTACTTATTAATAGAAGTATGTTGTTTAATCTCTGTGTATTTTGAAATTTCCAGTTATCTTTGTTATTGATTTCTAATTTAATTCTACTATGGTCTGAGAGCATACCTTATATGATTTCTCTTCTCTTAAATTTGTTAAGGTATGCTTTATGGCTCAGAATGTGGTCTGTCTTTGGTGAATGTCCCATCTGAGCATAAGACAAATGAATTGCCTTTGTGCTTTTATAAAAAATCATTTGTTTTTGTACATTTATATGTGGGTTTACATCTGGACTTTCTATTCTGTTCCATTGATCTATTTGTCTGCCTTTATGCAGTACCACACTGTTGTGATTACTATAATAATTTTTGGAATCAGATAGTGTTAGTCCTTTAACTTTGTTCTTTGAATCATAGATATTTTGGTTGTCTTAAGTCCATTTCATTTCCATGTGAATTTTAGAATATACATGTCAATTTCTACATAAACCTGCTGGAATTTTTATTGTGATTACACTGAATCTATGTGTTAATTTGAGGACAATTGACATCTTAATAATACAGTTTCAGCATCCCAAGCTTGAAATCCTAAATACTCCAAAATCCAAAACTTCTTGAGCACCAACATGTTGCTCAAATGAAGTGCTCTTTCTAGAGCATTTTGGATTTCAGATATTCAGATTTGGGATGTTCAACTACTCAGTATAAAGCAGATATTCCAAAATCCTAAAAAATTTGAAATCCAAAACATTTCTGATCCCAAGCATTTTGGATAAGGAATACTCAACCTGTATTAAGTCTTTGAACATATCCATCTCTCCATGTATTTAAATCTTGAACTTTCCTCAGCAATATTTTGTAGTAGAGGTTTTTAGCATTTTGTCAGATGATTTGTCTCTTAAATATGTCATAATTTTGAAGCTATTATAAGTGGTATTTTTAAAAATACTAATTACTGGTTAATTGCTAGTATGTAGAAATAAAATTAATTTTTATGTTGATTGGTATCTCAGGCATCAGAAAACTTTTCCTGTAATGGATCAGGTAGTAAATATTTTAGGCTTTGCGGGCCATATGGTCTCTGTTGCAACTACTTAACTCTCCTTTTACAGTATGAAACCAGCATAGACAATATGTTAATGAATGAGTATCTATGTTTCAAAACATTTTATTTACAGAAACAGAAAGTGGGTTGGGTTTGGCTGTAAGTCGTAGTTTGCCAAACTCTGTTGTTGTATCCTGCAACCTTGCTAAGCTTGTTAGTCCTAGTAGCTTTTTAAAAAGTAATAATTTATTGAAGTGAAACTCACCTAACATAAATGTAACCATTTTAAAGTGATAAATTTAGTGGCATTTAGTATATTCACAGTGTTGTACAGTCACCACCTTTGTCTGGTTCCAAAACATTTCCATCACTCCAAAGTAAAACCCCTTACCCATTAGCAGTTTCCCCCCGTCCCATTCCCTTCTTCCCCCAGCCCCTGACAACTAGCAATCTACATTCTGTATCTATAGGCTTATATATTCTATATATGTCATATAAATGGAATCACACTATATGTGACTTTTTGCATCTGGCTGCTTTTACTACGCTTAATACTTTGGAGCTTCACTCGTGTTGTAGCATAAATCAGTACTTCATTCCTTTTTATGGCTGAATATTTCATTTTTATATATACTATGATTTGTTTATCTGCCATTCCTTGATGGAGACATTTGGACTGTTTTCACCTTTTGGTTGTTGTGAATAATGCTGCTATGAACGTGTCTACATGTGTTTGCTTGAGTACCTGTTTTCATTCTTGTGGGTATATACCTAGGGGTGGAATTGTGGGATCATATGGTAATTCTGCATTTAACTTTCTTTTTTCTTTCTCGAGACAGGGTCTCACCGTCACCCAGGCTGGAGTGTGATGGTGTGACTATGGCTAACTGCAGCCTCAGCCTCCTAGGCTCAAGTGATGTTTCCACCTCAGCCTCCCAAGTAGCTAGGAAAACAGGCATGTGCCATTATACCCAGTTATTTTTTAAAAAAAAAAATTGTTGTGGAGATGGGGTCCCACTGTGTTGCCCAGGCTGGTCGTGAACTTCTGGCCTCAAGCAGTCCTCCTGCCTTGGCCTCCCAAAATGCAGAGATTACAGGCATGAGCTACCACGCCCAGCCTTTTTGAAGTCTAGTAGTGTTTTTTAATTTTTAAAGATCACATCAGAATTTCTAAACAGATGATCACGTCATCTGTTAGTAAAGAGTTTTACTTCTTTGGTGATCTGGATGCCTTTTATCTCTCTTTCTTGCCTGATGGCATTGGCTGGAGACACCAGTAAAATAGTGTATGAAAGTGGTGAGAGCAGACCATGTTTTGCTACTGTTCTTAAGAGGAAAGTATCCATGAAGTATGTATAATGCTGGAAGATAATTTTTTTGTGTGTGATGCCCTTTATTAGGTTGAGGAGGTTCCTTCTATTTCTAGTTTGCTGATCTTTTTTTTTTTTTTAATTCAGAGTGTATGTTAGATTTTGTCAAATGGTTTGTCTGGCATCTTAATCACATGGATTTTTTCTTTTCCACTATTGTGAATTGCATTGGTTGATTTGTAAATGCTAAGTCAAACCTATATTCCTGAGATAATCCTTTGGTCATGATGTATCTTCCTTTAATATATTATTATATTCTATTTGCTAAGATTTTGGTTAGAACTTTTACATTTATGTTCATGAGGGATATTAGTGTGCAGTTTTCTTATATTTTGTCTAATTTTGTTATCAGAATAATGAAGACCTCATGGAATTAGTTGAGAAGTATTCCCCCCGCTTCAGCTTTTTTGGAAGTTTCTGTAGAATTGGCAAATAACAGAACAGCCTCCCTCAGCCTTATGCATAGCTTTGATTAATTAAGAAATGCAGGGTTGGAAATTTGTGTGCAGTTACTGTGTTCATACTGCTCTTCATCATTTGCCTCACTTCTATACATTTTTGGGGACAGCATTAAAAAATTCCCCTTCTCTTAGATTTTCATGAGGACTTAAAAAACAGCTAACGTGTATTGAATGCTTGCTATATGGTAGGAGTTGAGCTAAGCAGCTACATATATTTTTCAGATGTAGAAACAGATATAAAGTGATTATGGAATTTTCTCAAAATCACAGACTTAGTAAATAAAGAAGCAAGGCTTGAACCCAGATTTGTTTATTCCGAAGTTGTAAGACCACTAAGGTCTTAACAGTTATTAACACTTAGAATTCATACAAGACATGAGTAGTCATGTATATGCTGTGAGTTTTTTTACTTGTCATGTTGGTGATCTCTTTGTACATGGTTGCCCTCTCTGGGGATGGGTAGAACATATGACTAATTAAACATTACAGGGGCATCCATTAATATTAAACGAGTAAGGCTTTGTGCTGCTGAACTCCAGCTCATCCTTTAACATGTAGCACAATGAAGACATCTTCTGACAGGCTTTCCAAAAAAAATAGCTGCACTTGTTTTAGTGCATTCAAAGTGCATTTAGTGCATTTGTACCTGCTTTTGATACAACTGAATGGCAATTACACATTTGCTTGGCTGCCTCTATTTTTAATACGTATTTATTGAGATTTAATTTATATACCATATAAAATCCACCCATTTTAAGTGTAGCATTTATTAAATGTACAGAATTGCACAACCATTACTACAGTCTAGTTTTAGAACATTTCCATCACCCCCAAAAGTACCCTCATGTGCCCATTTGCACTTAAACCCTAATATTATCCCTAGCCATAGGAAACCACTGATGTGCTTTCTTTCTCTATATAGATTTGCCTTTTTTGAACGTTTCATGTAAGTGAAATAATATATGGTCCTTTTGTGTCTGGATTCTTTTACTTAGCATGATTTTGAGGTTCGTCACTTTTTTTTTTTTTTTTTGAGACGAAGTCTCACTCTGCTGCCACAGGCTGGAGTGCTATGACACGATCTTGGCTCACTGCAACTGCCACCTCCCTGGTTCAAGCAATTCTTCCACCTCAGCCTCCCGAGTAGCTGGGACTACAGGCGAGCGCTACCACACTCAGCTAATATATATATATATTTTTGAGATGAAGTTTCGCTCTTTTTGTCCAGGCTGGTGTGCAATGACGCTATCTCGGCTCACCACAACCTCTGCCTCCCGGGTTCAAGCAATTCTCCTGCTTCAGCCTCCCAAGTAGCTGGGATTACAGGCATGCGCCACCCGGCTAATTTTGTATTTTTAGTAGAGACAGGGTTTCTCCATGTTGTTCAGGCTGGTCTCAAACTCCCGACCTCAGGTGATCCACCCGCCTTGTCCTCCCAAAGTGCTGGGATTACAGGCGTGAGCCACCGTGCCCGGCCAATTTTTTTGTATTTTTCATAGAGACAGGGTTTCACCATGTTGGCCAGACTGGTATCGAACTCCTGACCTCAAGTGATCCACCTGCCTTGGCCTTCCAAAGTGCTGGAATTACAGATATGAACCACCGTGCCCAGCCACATTTTGTGTGCCACATTTTGTTTATCTGTACATTGGTTGATGGATATTTGAATTGTTTCCACTTTTTGACTATTAAGAATAATGCTGCTAAGAATATTTGCATGCAAGTCATTTGTGTGGACACGTTTTCATCTCTTCTGAGTAGATACATAGGAGTAGAATTGCTTAGTCATTTGCCTTTCATCTTTAATTCCTTGAGGGCAGGAACCTCTCCTTGGAGTCTTAGTATTGCCTTAGTGGTCTTTGAATTGCTTCATCTAGCATGCTTGCCACATAGTAGGTCTTGAAATTGATCAGGTGGTGTTTGTGACATATTCTCCTGTTTTGTGAGCCTTTGCTTGCTTTTATGCACACTGTCCCCCTTTCTTGCCATATTGAAAGAGTTTCATTTTTATCTTGATTCTTTGCAATCCTAGTGAACAACTGTAGAGGTTTTGGATGACCTAGATTTTTATTTCTAGCAAAACCCCATGTATATACTCAGTACTTTTAAGACAATGCAACTTTAACAAAAATAGAAAAACGTGTGCCTTATTTACATTATATACACATTATTACCCTATTGAATATTTTTGGTGAGGGTACATAAGGTGAACAGAATATAAATTGTCTCTTACTCAAGTGGGTAGAGTGAAGAAAGTCTTTTGAGTGTCTGATATGGTCTGCACAAACTCTTTTGTTCTGAGACTTACATGTTTGTAACCAAGTGAAGTAAAAATACTTCCCTAACAAAGTACTGCCCCATTTTAACTAGGAAACAGGAAGCCTAAATAAGAGGGAGGATGGGGTTATTTCACCAGAAAGAAAGTGCTATGAAGTTACCAATACTGTTAAGAACGACTTAAGTTAAAAGAGATTAGTTGAAATTCTAAAAAAAAAAAAAAAAAAAAAAAATCACCTTATGTAAAAGCCTCAGTATTTTCAACTTTTTTTCTACACCCAAAGTCTGGCTCTTTACCTGCAAAACTAGGAGCAAATTTTAACTTGCACTATAGTTCTCATTTATAAACAACTTTCTTCCTTGGTTTGACTGTACCCTATATGCTCCATATCACTTGAAGAAATGTTTGATTTTTCTGTGGGCATTAGTGAGACAGGCTCCCTGTTGTATATTAGACAAACCAAAGGGCATTCTGTAATCTGTGGGCAACTAGTATTTTCCACCATCAACCACCCCAGGGTACAGGACACGTTTTTAAGAGAAGGAAATACAATAGTGCCCGCCTTATCTGCGGTTTCACTTTCCGTGGTCTCAGTTACCCTCAGTATAGTACGATTTTTTGAGAGCTCACATTCACATAACTTTTATTACAGTATATTGTTGTAATTGAGTTATTGTTAATCTCTTGCTGCATCTAATTTGTAAATTAACTTTATCATAGGTATGTAATATAGGAAAAAACATGCAGTTCAGTACTATCTATGTTTCAGGCATCCATTGGGAGTCTTGGAACATATCCTCCGTAGATAAGCGGGGACTAATGTATCATTGTTAAATTTCTAAGTCAAAATTGATACGGTAGCAAAAGGGATTAGATTAAATGAGGACATGTCAAAAGGCCAGACACATAATGATCAATATGGGTTCATTCGCCCTAGTTAGCTCATATTAGTAATTTCTCAATAGTGGTTTTTAAAACTATGGATTCTGGAGCTAGCTTTGTGACTGTAGGCAAGTTACTCAATTCTTTAAGCCACAGTTTCCTGATATAAATGCAATGAGGATAATAGCACTGCTTTACAGTAGTACTTTAGAGGGGTACTATGATTAAATGAAATAATATATTGAATTATCATTGTGCGTGGCACATAGTAAGTGCTCAGTAAAGCATTAGTTTAATTTAAAACAGAAAAACATAACCAGTTCCCTGAGAGGCTCATAGGCCAGAGACATGCTCTTTGACATCTGATAGATGAATGGCCTCATTAGAGGCTTTCCATTCAAATTTCAATAACATGGGAGCTAGGGGCTATGAATCAGTGCTTAAATTCTGAGCCTGTTTACTTTCTTACAGAGTTTACTTCCTTATAAAATGGAAACGAGAATAATCTGCCTCATTATTTTCATGTCATTAATTCATTCAGTGAGGCTTGTTAAAAATGTATGTGAAGGTGTTCTACAGAAATGTAAGGTTACTACTTAAAGTGAATGGTACAGCCATAATGTGTATACACATTGATGCCGTATCTGGTATCTCTGCATTATACCTGAAGACACTGGGAAAGGTTTGTTATACACTTTTCCAATCACATACTCTGATTGAGGGTAGCAATAGTATTTTTCTTATTCACATTGTATCTTCAATATTATATAGTAGGCAGGTAGCAAATACTTGGTGCACATGATGATGGATAAGGCAAATTTGGCTTTTAAATCACAATGCTTTTTTTCTTAGTGATGGAGATCTCTTGTGGAAAAAAAGGTACTCAGAGAAGTTTGTTAGGTCATCCAGTTCCTGGATATGGCCTGAACATCAAATGTTTTGGAAAATACCGAATGGATTGTATAGAATAGCTGACTTCCACTACCCTGCCCGACCTTTCTATTCTATGTGCAATACTGCTATGATATTTATATTAAATGTTTATTCCTTTTCTTGAAGAGTTGATTTTAAAATAAGCTAAGAATTTTGACTAGATAACATTAGCTTACATAAAATGTCATCTTTTGTGATAAAGACATACATTTGAAGCAGCCTCAGGAGTGAATTTCTCCTTCCCTTAGTACCCTTTGCAGTAATTGGCACACAACCATTTGAGGCATGGATGGGATAATCTTCAGGTCTTTGGCACCAGGGTTAAGCTTATTTTGAATCTATGCCATATTAGCAGGCGAACATTGCCACACTGACATTTAAATGCCCACCATATTATCTTAAGGTTCCTGAAGCAGGGGTAACTCTACTTTCAGTAAACAAAAATCAGATTGGACAATCGGAACTGTACAAGTTCTACAAAAGCATGTTGGAGTCACATAATGAAAAAGCAGATTTTTTTATTATGATGTTTCTCCATATTTGGCATTGCTGTAAATGGCTAACATTTACTGCCAATTCGGTACAAATGTGTGGTTTGGTAATACCAGAACAGCAAATTTAAATGAAAAAATAAAAGTTAAACATTTCCACACAAGGTTTTACAGTCTGACATTTCACTGCGTAGGTAAAAAGACACTTTTTTTTTAACTACAGATTATTATTCAGCATGAATAAAAAACTACAACTTTTATTTTTAAACAGGAGTCACTGGTTTTAATTTTTACACATTTTAAAATTACTGTGATAAAAAATAATGAAAAAGCTTCTTAATAATGCCATACACAGTATAATATAGATTTGTCCCCATTATATAGCATTTAATATACAAAATAGAATATTGACACACTTGAATCTATATGTAGTTAAGCAAGTTATTTGAGGAGGGTATTTTCATACAGCCTTTCATCAGAAAATAAAATCCTTTCAGACATTTTCTAGAGAGAAGCAAATCCTTTCCTGAAAACCTGGTCACTAATCCTGGGTGGACCAGGTTGCTTGAAAATAGTCTGGGAAATTACGAAACTCCACCCAAAGGGTTTAAAGTGTCCTCCTTACACTTTTATTTCCCTTCTGACACTAAAACCAGACACACACACACAAAAACACATTCACCTACAGCTACAGTCAGGGAGTGACCAGCCAAGATGGAAATCTCACTGAAGGCTACCATGGTTCTGGAAGTTTGACAGATCAATGTATTGTATAACAATATTTTTCATTCCATGGTGATGTAGTTTTCAGGGTTTTTAAAAGGGAACTAAAATTATGAGACTTAGGTGAAACTGGAATTGCTCCCTGCCTCTGAATTCTGAAGGGAGCGTGGCTTTCCTTCATGGCATGCCCAGAGCTCATCCCATGCTAATTATCCAGCACTTCATAGACACAAATCATGTTAGTTTTCCTTTTGGGGTGGCCAAGGTTTCCTCCCATAGTTTTAGGCATTTGGATATATATACCCCAAAAGTGTTATGTCCTAAGTGCCTCAGTTCTGCTTGTATAGTATCCCACAGAATACCTACAAACACTAAAAATACTTTTCAGGATTTGTTGTGAGTAACCAACTCTCACTGAAGTTACTACAAACTTCAACAGTTTGGGTTGGGATGGCCAGATAACACATACATAGGAAATAAATCTGCTTTCAAACAGCACCACCATATAGCACTTAAATCCACAATTAAACATAATTAAGATGACTTTCTTTTCCCCCACGTATCCTAAAAGGGCACAGCTTCTTTTCCCATTTAATGAAAAGCCTCCTATAGTTGTCGATGAGCATCAGTTGACTTATTATTGACAACGAAGTGCACATAATCTTCTTTTTCTCATTGAGTTCTATTTTTTGAGCGCCAAGATTGTTGGGATGAAAATCAGATTAATGTGTGAGATGTGCTTTCTGGTTTTAACCACATAACATTCTATAAAGGAATGATAATCTACGTTTTAGAAGCTCTTTTTGAAACTTAACACTGTCATTGATAAGAATATTCAAGCAGTTTTCTTAGGCACCAAAAATTTATCCAGCCGGGTTACACACCATCTTAAAATATTACATTCCCTTTTAGAGAGCATTCAAAAAGCAAATGATTGTTTTTTTATTAAATAATTTCTCCAAAATACTGAAAATAACAAATAACATTCAAAAAGCATTCAAAGAAAACAAAAACATGTCCTCATTTTATTTGGAAATAAACTCTTGTTGTAGGATAGAAAGGAATTAGTGTATTATTGGCAACCTATGAGATTCTGCACTATTTACATATTGCTGGTACCTCTATGCAAACTATTGCCAAACTTCTGAAGCTTCTGTTGTCATTCAACTGCTGGGGGAGGGCTGTATGTGAAAGTAACCCGCTATTAGATGGTGCCTTTAAGGATGTAAGCACCACCTTCCTGTCTCCTGTTTACATACTTTACATACTTTAGTGCAAGGGGAGATTGAGTAAACTAAACCTGCGCTGACAGACTCACTGTTGGAATGAGAAGGGTGGTCAGAATGGGAGGCAGAGGATAACTTCCTCTGTAATCTCACTGGGTCAGAGCCTCAGCAACCTTCACTGCACACAGGACCAGTCTCCATCTCCCTCTTCCCCTAGAGCAAACTGTTTGGTTTCTGAGACCATCGCTGCCTGTATGAATGCATGTACAAACTATAAATCATATAGGTTATCCATCAGCATTTCTTTGACCCCTACAAAAAATATATAACATGTCATGATAAAACAATCTCATCTAAAAATCATTCTTATTTTACACTATACAAGCTATTTTACAATCATTTTAATAAATTGCATGTAAAGCTGCAGTAGCCCTTCCCTTCCCAGATTAGTGAATACCAATATGATATATATCTGAAACTATAACTAAATATAAAAATATATTAGAAGTTCCATATTTTTAATATTAGATTTTCAGTTTTCTATTACACAAATAATTTGGCCACCTTGAATAGAAATCAAATTTCTTGTGGCTTAGTAAATATGTTAAGTTTTGAGTTTACAGAAAGTTGGTAAGGTGCACACAGAAAGGGCTACTACAGCTTCTATTTTGTTTAAAATAATTTTCAACAGTGAAGAAATTCACAGGACTTGTGTTAAACTCTATGGCACACATTAGGGATGTGTAGTTTTACAAACATGGATGTCTGACATACAGTTCTAAATCACAAAAATCAGTAGCTGAGCTTTCCTGTACCATCAGGAAAGATTAACCAATTGGTGACAGATGGGAATGTGAAAATGGGTGTCTAGCCATTTTTGCCATATTAGAGATTTAGTTTTTGGGTAAAGTTTAGTGAGAGGAATTACTTTGTCTGATTAAAAGTCTCTCAGCTGTGTTACAGCTGGTTATCTGGAATCACAACTTTTAAGAAGTTATACAAACTACTTCAAAAGGTCCTGAAAGACAAATAGTTTACCAGCTTTCTTGCCATATAGCCATTGCAAAAATAGGGCGTTAGGTACAGACAGGGCCTCTTGGTAGTTATTTTTTAAATTAGTCTTTTGCAACCATCATCCACAGTTTACCCAGCAGGTCACTGGACTAGGTGCTCTATACCAGTTAGGACTGTTAATTTGCACAACCTATATAATTCTCCACTGAAGCAGATATATACAAAATATGAGCTTTTTTTTTTTTTTTTTTGACAAGAATACTGGAGATTTGAGTCAATTTTTGTGGTCTTCTGATAGCTAAGTGCCATCAGGTTAGAAGCACCAACCCATTTTCACACAGATGATTGATTAATGTTTAGAGTTTATTTGGGAAAGCTACGAACTAGCTGCCCATCTTAAACAGCTGTACAATAACTTGAATAAAAAATTATGTAAGAAAAAATGAGCAAGCGTAGTTCACTAAATATAAAGGAAATTGTTAAAACCAGACAGTAATAGCTATAAAAGGCACAACTTCCCTTTTCTGATATACACTTGTAAACTTTTTTTCAGGTTTCCATGCATAAATCAAAAATGCTATCCTAACTATACAGGGGGGGGATACACCAACAGAAAGTCTAGAAAATTTCATCCAGCCAACTGTGAAAAAAAGTATGAAGAGAAAGTTCATCACACAGACTTTGGGCACTGGTGGTTTAGGTGCCATCCTTCTTTGACTGTGGAGATTACGTCCACATATTAAGGTTTCTAATTTCTGGGATATATTAACTAATAAATTTCACCATCTACTCTCCCATCACTGAAAAGTGATGACGACTCAACTGCTTCTGTTGCCAAGTCTTGGCCCTCTATAAACCACATGTAGTGCGTATTTAAAACAAAACAACAGATGAAAACAATAAAAAATAAAACAACAAAACCTCTACAGGACAAACTGATAGTTTATACAATAAAAGCTATTAATTCGACTTTCTTTAAGGCAACCATTCTTATTAAGGCAGTCACTTTTGATGAAACAGAAGTTTTTTGATATTTCCATTTGAATATTTTGGTATCTGATTGGTGATGATTTCAGCTAACATCTCGGGGAATTCAATACTCATGGTCTTATCCAAAAATGTTTGGAAGCAATAGTTAAGGAGATTTTCAACCACCTGCAAGAGAAGATATGGTAATGATCAGGCTTCCAAATTGGTCAGTGGGAACATCTCATGTTTGTTGTCCTCTATTTTGAAAAAATTATCTGGCCTAGAATATACCAATCTCACTGGAATTCCCCAGATGAAAAATAAGCACTTCCGTACAAAACACATTTTATATTTCTTTGATTGTATGTAGAATTATATAGAATTATTTCATGAATCACTGTAGTACCATAATATATGAAGGGTGCATTATTCTAATTTAATGGATTAATCATACTTTTTAAAAACAGTATTACTAAATTCTGTAATAACATGGTGATTTTATATACACATGACTAGGTGAAAGGATATTTCATAATTGGCCTTAGGAAAAATGTCTACAAAACTGAAGTTCATAAGTTGAACTCAAGCTATCACCAACATCCACAAACTGGGGGCGGGGGTGGGGGCGCTGCTGGTATATAATTATATTCACTAATCAAAACATACTTTGTCCCAGAAAACTCTTATATTTGGCTTTATGTTTGACACTTACTTCATGCATAGAATCCAAGAGTTTTGTCAGTTGATAAAACCGCTGCCAGTTCTGGCTGGAGTTTCCTTCCCTCTTGACAATGGCTTTTCCTAGCTCTTTGATGTAGGTCATTCTAATTTCATCAAATAGCTCTTGGCTCTTCAGACCGTCCTTAGGAACTAAAAGGTTAAGATGAAGTCAGTTAAAGGATTTTCTTTTTCTTTTCTTTTCTTTTTTTTTTTTTTTTGAGATAGATAGGGTCTCACTGTGTCATCCAGGCTGGAGTGCAGTGGCATAATCATAGCTCACTGGAGCCTTGACCTCCTTGGCTCAAGTGATCCTCCCACCTCAGCCTCCTGAGTAGCTAGGACTGTAGGCACAAGCCACCATGTCTGAGTGGCATAATCATAGCTCACTGGAGCCTTGACCTCCTTGGCTCAAGTGATCCTCCCACCTCAGCCTCCTGAGTAGCTAGGACACAAGCCACTGTGTCTGGCTAAATTTTTTTGTAGAGACAGGATCTCCCTATGTTGCCCAGGCTGGTCTTAAACTCCTGGGCTCAAGCAATCCTCCTGCCTCGGCCTCCCAAAGTGCCAGGATTACAGGTGTGAGCCACCATTCCCAGCCAGATTTCTTGCTATAACTTTTTATACATGCAAGATGGGCATTTAACATTGTTTATGTACTCTTACTGCACTCTAAAATATAAGCATTTTCTTAGGATTATTAATTAAACTACAGCCAAGAGAAAATGCAGGATAACAAAGAATTGGAGGACTTAACCTTGAGTAAATCACTTGATTTCTCATCTATAAAATGGAAGTGGTGATGATACACCTTCTCCTCCTTAGCTCACAAAGCTATTTGGAGGACCAAATGAAATAATACAGTGATTTTTAGTTAACTTTGTCTGCCATTCTGCACTTGAGTTTAATTCTAGTACTGAGATAGATAGAAGGCTTCAACAACAGTGTTTATTCCAGCAATTATATCTTGGAATATCTGTGATATCACCAGTTAATTATAACTTTAAAATCGGCATGCAATACTTTTTTTAATGTAGCTAATAGATATGTCTTAGTAGGGAGCAAATATCTGTCCTTCCTTATGTACATGGATTCTGGTTAGTGAAACTAGTATAAAAGTTTTGGGGGGATACATTACTCTTCAGAAAATGGTACTAATAAGGACAAGGAACAGAGGGTTAATCATGGTTTCACTTAATCCTGTGGAGATTAGGACTTTTGTAGAGTGCTACATTTTTCACAGTGTGCTCCTGGGAACACTGATTCTGTGTTAACTATAGTTAGAGCGAGACAAAGGATTTGGTGGTCAAAGTTTGAGAAAAGCTAAATGTTTAATACATATTAGGCAGACTTCTGAATTTCAGTACTTCTTGGAGATATAACTGTGCACTCTCCAGAGAGGGGAAATGCATTATTTCCCAAACTGAAACTTCACTGCTGCTGACATTTTTAGAAGATGCTGGTATAGAGGAAAAGCTATGGATTTAGGAGCTTCTAGAAGTCTTATTATTATTATTTTTTTCCCGAGACAGAGTCTTGCTGTGTTGCCTAGGCTGGAGTGCATTGGCATGATCTCAGCTCACTGCCACTTCCGCCTCCCAGGTTCAAGCAATTCCGCTCACCTTGGCCTCCCAAAGTGCTGGGATTTCAGGCAGTAAGTCACCATGCCCAGCCGAGTAGTCTTATTTCTTACTTGCCATGTGGACTTGAATATAACCTCCTTGAGCATCTTTCCTGCTCTTTTTCATTGGATTATGATTAGAATTAGACTAATGAATATGTATGAAAATGTTTGATTCCATAAAGCATTACAAGACATCAGTATTAACATGAAAATGAAGACCGCTTAATCAGGAGTGATAACGGCATTCTATATTAACAATGGGTTAATTTTACACATTACTATACTACAGAAAATCTAATTATTGCAAAATTGTAAAACAGCGATGGCTTATAGTTTTTTTCCCTGCCGTATAGTTTTTTTCCCTGCCGGTTAGTCCTAATTCTAAAAATAACTATGGTGAAGCCCAATTCAATATGCATATAAAAGAATTTCATCCATCTTAAATTTTTTTTTAATGTTTTAATATTGAAATCACTAACATTACTTCCTCTTTTGGCTGCAGGAAGTAAGTACAGCCTGGAATTCCCCTCCTACTGGAAAACTGGACAACAAGCAATACATGATTATGATCCCTAGGAAAAGAGAAACAAATACGGTAAGCCATACCTAGCCCAGGAGTAAGAAATCTTAATTCTAAACCTTTGTGCTTGAAAGTAATTATCATACTGCAGTGAAGGGAAAGGGAACCCAGGGTCTAGCAATCTTGCTGGGTTGAGGAGAAAGAGATTGAAGTTTGGGGAGGCTAAAGCAGCTTTAATTTATGGGTCAGACTACTGGAAACGAAGGAGGTACACAAAGAAAGGCCTCCAGAAATCTGTACAATTTATGGGTCAGACTACTGGAAACGAAGGAGGTACACAAAGAAAGGCCTCCAGAAATCTGTACAATTTATGGGTCAGACTACTGGAAACGAAGGAGGTACACAAAGAAAGGCCTCCAGAAATCTGTACAGTCTTCGGCTGAATAAAAATTTGTGCATACTTAGGGTGAAATCCCTTGAGGCCATAGAGGAAAGAAAGATCTAATTAAATATGCCGGGCATTCAGTAGAGACCTAGGGGCCACATCTCAGAAGCAAGGCTAAATTAGTCCCAGAAAAAAGGCTACATAGATCAGTGGTTCTCAAAAGGGAGGGGGAGATTTTGCCTCCAAGGGGATATTTGGCAATGTCAGAGATATAGCAGACAAATCTAACATTATAAACACCTTTGTCTCAGAATCAATAAGAATAAACAAGACTTAAATTTGACTGACATTTCTGAAACAGTCTACCCAAGAACTTGCATTCTTTTCAAGTATACACAGAACATTAATCTAGAACATAAAACAAGTCTGAATACATTTAGGAGGATTAAGTCATACAATGAATGCTGTCTGACAAAAATGAGATTAAAATAGAAGTCAGTAACAAACATATCTGGAGAAAAACCCAAATGTTTAGAATTTGACATTTAATAAGCTATAGATTAAATAAGGCATCATGATTAAATAAGGTATCATAAAATTAAAAATCTCTAGTACTGAAAACACAGCATATCAAAATGTGTGGGATGCAATGAAGACAGTGCTTAGAAAATTTACAGCATTAAAAGCTTTGATTAGAAAAGAAAGGTCTCAATTAATTATATATGCTTCTACCCTAAACACAAGAAAAATGGAAAGGATAAAGAGTAGAAACGAATAACTAAGAACATGCATAAACAACAACAAAATCAAGACCAAGCTGGTTCTATGAAAACATTGGTAAAACTGAAAAACTTTTAGCCAGACTGATTAAAAAAAAAAAAAAAAAGCAAGAATATATTAAATACCAATGTCGGGAATGAAAGGGAATAACACTAGAGATACTGGAGCCATTAGAAGGATATTATGGGAATATTATGAATAACTTAACTTTATACCAATAAATTCAACATTTGAAGGAAACAGTTAAATTCCTTCAAAGATGTAAACCAACAAAGCTCACTCAAGAATAAACATATTATCAGTAAACATTTGATGAACTTGTACTTGAAAACCTTTCTACAAAAAAGGCTCCAAACAAACCAAGACAGCTTCACTGCTGAGTTTTACCAAACGTTTAAGAAAGAAATAATACCATATTATCATAACACCAAAGCTATAGAATATATCCCTCATGGATTTAGATGCAAAAATACCAAAATTTTAGTACAATGAATTCAGCTATATGTAAAAAGGATACTATATCATAACCAAATAGGATTTATCCCCGGAATGAAAGGCTAGTCAATTACTCAGAAATTAAACAGTATATTATACCATTATACCATATTAGTGACTAAAAACGAAAAATATATGATCTTGAGGCACAAAAGCATATGATAAAAGTTTTTTTTGCTATTATGAATAATGCTGCTATGAACATGGGCAGTCATTAAATGCATGGCAAGTCACAAGGGTCAACTACATACTCTCTAGGATAGCGATAATAAAAAAACCATACCAAGCTCTGGCAAGGATGTAGACAAAGTTGTAGGATCTAGAACAACTAGACAGAAAATCAGCAAAGATACAGAAAACTTGAATTAGTCTATCAATCAACTTGACCTAACTGACGTTCATAAAACTCTACTTAACAAGAGCACAGTAAGTTTTTTTTCAAGCACTCATGGAACACTCAGGATAGACCATATGCAAGTGCCTAAAAAAGTCTCAGAAGACTTATTGGAGTCATTCAATATTAGAGTCCTTCAATGTACCTCCTACCTCAGTGGAATTAAATTAGAAATGAATAGGAAGAGATATGGAAAATCCCCAAATATATAAAAATTAAGCAATACACATGGGTCAATGAAAAAAATCATGAAGGACATTAGAAAATGAAATGAATGAAAATATACAAAAAATGTATAGCTTTAAACATCTATATAAGAAAATAAGGTCTTCAACTAACAATGGAAGCTTCTACCTTAAACTAGAAAAAGAGGAACAAATTAAATGAAAAGCAAGCAGAAAAGAAGAAATAATAATCAATGACATAGGAAACAAAAAGAGAAAATCAATGAAACTAAAAATTTCAATGAAACTAAAAATTGGTTCTTTGTAAAGACCAACAAAATTGATAAATTTTTAACTAGACTGACCATGAAAAAAAGATGATCAGGCACAAATTATGAAAATCTATAATGGAGGGGACACCTCTATGGATCCTACAAAACTTAAAGGATTACAAACAACTTTATGCCCAAGTTAGACAACTCAGACAAAATGGCTCATTTCATAGAAACACACAAATTACAAAACTATGTCAAGGAAAAATATAAATTCTGAATAGATCTATATAACAAATAAGCAAATAATTAAAAATCTTCCCTGAAAGAAAACACAGACCCAGATGGCTTCACTGGTAACATGTATCAAATATTTAAAGAATAAATAAGATCAATACTCTATAAACTCTTTAAGAAAACAGAAAATACTTCTCAACTCATTTTAAGAGGCTAGTACTACCCTGGTAGCAAAGCCAGAAAAAGATATCACAAGAAAAGAAAGTTGTAGATCAGCATCCTTCATAAAGAGAGATATAAAAATGATCAGCAAAATATTAGCAAACCAAATTCAAAATATATATGGAAAAGATTATATACCATGATCTAGTCAGAAAACTAGATCTTAAACCATTTCAAGCCATTTTCCTGATTTTGCAAATAAATTTGTATTAGAACACAAGCATTCACATACTGTATATAGCTGCTTTCCTGTTATAGCTGTAGAATTGAGAAATTGCAACAGGGACTATATGGCCTACAAAGACAAATATGTACTGTGAGTCTCTTTACAGAAGACTATTTGTGGAACTATACTCTGCTCAGTAGTATTTTAGTAGTATTTTTGGAAAGAGGATTTGATGGTCTCCCCACTCCTCCAAAGCTGGAATTCCTATTCTTTCTCAACAACTGGAATTTTTTTTTTTTTTTTTGGAGACGGAGCCTCACTCTGTTGCCCAGGCTGGAGTACAGTGGCACAATCTCGGCTTACTGCAACCTCTGCCTCCCAGATTCAAGCGATTCTCCTGCCTCAGCCTCCTGAGTAGCTGGGACTACAGGCATGTGCCACCACGCCTGGCTAATTTTTTTGTATTTTTAGTAGAGACAGGGTTTCACCATGTTGGTCAGGCTGGTCTCGAACTCCTGACTTGATGATCTGCCCACCTCGGCCTCCCAACGTGCTGGAATTACAGGCGTGAGCCATAGCGCCCGGCCAGAAATTGGAAATTTAAGATGTTAATTATTTTCAAATGGATCTATAGATTCAAGGCTATCCTAATAAAAATTCTATCAGACTGTGTTTTTGAGACAGAGTCTCACTCTGTTGCCCAGGCTAGAGTGCACTGGCATGATCATGGCTCACTGCAGCCTTGACCTCCCTCCTCAGCCTCCTGGGTAGCTGGGACTACAGGCACAAGCTACCATGCCTGGCTAATTTTTTCTATTTTGTGTAGTGACAGGGTTTCGACATTTTGCCCAGGCTGGTCTCAAACTCCTGGGCTTAAGCGATCTGCCTGCCTTGGCCTCTCAAAGTGGTGGAATTACAGGCATGAACTACCACACCCAGCCCCAAAAGACTTTTTGGTAGAGATTGTCAAGCTAATTAAAAAATACGTGGAAGACCAGGCACAGTGGCTCATGCCTGTAATCCCAGCACTTTGGGAGGCCGAGGTGGGTGGATCACCTGAGGTCAGGGTTTGAGACCAGCCTGGCCAACATGGCGAAACCCCGTCTCTACTAAAAATACAAAAATTAGCCAAGCATGATGGTGGGTGCCTGCAATCCCACTGCTGGGGAGGCTGAGGCTGCGATGAGCCAAGATCATGCCACTGCACTCCAGCCTGGGCAACAATAGTGAGACTCCATCTCAAAAAAAAAAAAAAAAAAGGAAGTGGAAATGCAAGGAAACTAGAATATCCAAAACAACAGTTTGGAAAAGAACAACAGATTTGGAGAATTCATATTACCAAATTTCAAGATTTACTGTAATGCAACAGTAATCAAGACAGGGTGTTATCAATATGAATATAGGCATACAGATCATTGGGTAAGAAATACAGATCGTTGGGTAAGAAAAAGAGTCTGAAAGTAGACCCACACATATACAAACAACTGATTTTCTACAAAATTGCCAAGTAACTCAATAGGGAAAAGAGAGTCAAGTTCTGGAGCAACCAGATATGGATTTTGGGGAAGAAAATGAACCTTGTCCCTTACCTTGCATCATATACTTAAGCATGTGAGCTGAAACTACAGAATTTCTATAAGAAAACAAATAGTAGAAAATCTTTTTAACCCTGGATTAAGCAAAACTTTCTTAGTAAACAAAGACACGAAGCTTTCTTCAAAATTATACACTTTTGCTCATCTCTACATTTTTTTAAGAAAACTGTAAATGTAATCCACTTAAAGAAAACATGCAAAACATATATTTAACAAAGGGCCACATTGAGAATATTTGAACAATTCTTAAAACCCAGTTAAAAAATGGGCAAAAGATTAAAAGAGGCACAATACCAAATAAGAAATATAGGTGGCCAATAAGCCCATGAAAAGATGCTTAATATTTTTAATCATCAGTATACCTACGATGAAAGAGGCTGACAGTACCAAGTACTGAGGAGGATATAGAATGGATCTTAAGAAGTCTCATACATTTCTGGTAAATGTTAACAATTGCGGAAAAGTTTGGCAATTTTAAAAATAAATTTAAACACACACTCAACCTATGTCCCAGTGATCTCACACCTCAGTATTGACCCAAGAGAGATGAAATGTACATCCATATCCTTATTTTTTTGTCTGCTTAATTTGTAAGAAAGGTATAGTAAAATCTCATTATTTTTACTAGATTTATCTAAGTATTCTTGTTCTATGAATTTTTGTATTATGTAATTTGAAACTATATATTTACAATTATTTTTCCTGAACAAATGCTTTAAGGAGTATTTTGCCTTAACATCTATTTTGCTTGGTAATAATGTAGCTCCTTCGGTTTTGTTTTGGTCAATATAGGGGCCAGCAAACTTTGGCCTATGGGCCAAATCCTACTTGCAGCCTGTATTTGTAAATAAAGTTTTATTGGAACACAGCCATGCCTGTTCTATTTGAGTACCGTCAATGACTATGTTCCTGCCACAAGGGCAGAGTTTAGTAGCTGTGACAGAGACTGTGCAAAGCTAACAACATTTACCATCTGGCCCTTTACAGAAAAAGTTGGCCATGTCTTGGGTTATACTATGCAAAGTAGATCCTTTTACTTCAGCCTTTCAATATCTTTATTCAGATATAGCTTTTTTTAAATAGCATAAATTTGGATTATTTCTAAAATCCTGTCAGATTAGCTTGGAGCATTCAGTCCATCTCTACATTTATTTTATTTTTGAGACAGTGTCCCTCTGTCACCCAGTTTGGAGAAGAGTGGCACGATCTTGGCTCACTGCAACCTCCATCTCCCAGGTTCAAATGATTCTTGTGCCTCAGCCTCCCGAGTAGCTAGGATAACAGGCATGCACCACCACACCCGGCTTTTTATAGTTTTAGTAGAGTCGGGGTTTCGCCATGTTGGTCAGGCTGGTCTCGAACTCCTGACCTCAAGTGATCTGCCCACAGCCTCCCAAAGTGCTGGGATTATAGGTGTGAGCCACTACACCTGGCCCCATCTCTATATTTAATGAAACTAAACTACTGATGTGTTTGAATTTAGCTGTACTAATGTACCTTATCTGTTACTTCCTGTTATCATGCCCTTGTTTATGCATTTTTTTCTCCCTCCTCTCATGTCTTTCATTCTTTTGGATTGTTTTTCTTAGGTATTCTCTTCCCCCAATGGTTTGGTACTTTGCATACCCTGCATACCCTATTTCTAGTTGTCATCCTTGAAACTTACTTTAGTTCTACTTTTTAGCCCTCAAGGAAATTGTTACTGTTGTTATTTTATATACATAGTAAATGTCAGTTTAAATGTATCTATATTATTTACCACTTTTGTTATTCTTCAGTCCTTCTTAAAGATGGGATTACTTTTATTATTTTTTTTCTAAGATGGAGTCTCCCTCTGTCACTAGGCTGGAGTGCAGTGGTGCTATCTTGGCTCTCTGCAACCTCTACGTCCCAGGTTCAAGTGATTCTCCTGCCTCAGCCTCCTGAGTAGCTGGGACTACAGGCGCGCACCACCACCCCCAGCTAAGTTTTGTATTTCTAGTAGAGATGGGGTTTTACCACGTAAGCCAGGATGGTCTTGATCTCTTGACTCTGTGATCTGCCTGCCTCAGCCTCCCAAAGTGTTGGGATTACCGGTGTGAGCCACCACGCCTGGCTGGGATATATCCTCTAATAATTTTTTAGTGAGCATCTGGTGGCAAACTTTATTTTCACCTCCTAGTTAAAAAAATAGCTGATTGGTGTACTTAGAGCATTCAAATTTAAAGTAATTACTGATACAGCTGGATTAATGTCTACTATGTTTATATTGCATTTGAGTTTGGGGGAATTTCCTTTGACCTATCTATCTTCAAGCTCACTGACTCTTTGCTTGGCTGTGCTCAGTCTACTGATGAGCCCATCAACATCATTCTGCATTTCCTTACAGCATTCCTTAGCATTTATTTTTAGAGTTTCCATCTCTCTGCGTACATCACTTCTTGCATGTTGTCTACTTTTTTCCATTGGAGCCTTTAACCTACTAATCATAGGTATTGTAAATTCCCTATCTGATAATTGAAATATTTGTGTCATATCTGAGGACTGCTTCTGATGCTTGTTTTGTCTCTTCAGACCGTGGGTTTTTCTTGCCTTTTAGCATGCCTTGTAGTTTTTTTGCTGAAAGCTGGACATGATTGATATATCAAAACTGAAGTAATTAGACTTTTAGTGTGAGGTTTCATGCTAATCTGGCTAGGAGCTGGGCTGTATTTAATGTTTGCCATAATTGTAGGTACTGGAGGCTTCAGTTTCCTCTAGTTTCCTTGTTTTTATTTACTTTTTCTTCTGTTGTTTTTGGGTTTCCTAAGAGCTCCTTAAACAGCTTGTGTCTTGCAGCTCTCTCAGTTGTAATCCACTGTTATTTTATCCTGGAGCCCTGTTTATATGGTGGTAAGGTGTTGGGGAGGGGGAGGGGAATTGTTTTTTAATCTTTATGATTAAATCTCAGTTTTTTTTAGTGGGTCTGAATCCCTGGGCTGTGACTTTCAGAAATGAGACAAGAAGGCTAAGGAAGGGCTAGAATCCTCTATTTGCCTTTCCCCCAGGTCACATAAGGGCCTGTTGAATTAGTTTTCCTTACAGGGCAGGCCTTTTGTTGTGAACACTCTGCTACGTATTTCCAAATTTTACCTTCCCTCTACTCCTACCAGAAAAAGGAGGGAATTTTTCTTGCATCTTCACCATAAGAACCTTGTGGAGTTTCTGGAAGTTAGAAATTTTGTGGGGTAAACCCAAGAAATTGCAGGAAACCCCCACTAAGACTGGGTCCCTGGGAGTTTTTAACTCTGAAGCTAGTCCTCACTCAGCCTCCAGCAATTCATCAAAATTGCCATAGTCTTCCTGGCTTCAGTGGCATCTTTTCCCAAATTGCCATAGTCTTCCTGGCTTCAGTGGCATCTTTTCCCAGTAAGCTGATCTTGGCTGTTTCTCTGTATTTGTCTATTCTTCTAGATTTTGAAGTGGTGGTTTGTCCTATGACCTCCATTCTCTGAGGGATCTAAGAAAAGTCATTGCTTTTCCAGTTTCTATAGCTTTGTTGCCATTTTCCTGTTGTGATTTTCAGTACCTACAGATTTCCCTTGTGGTTTATATACACAAACATATACACAATCATTAAAAACAATTGTATTCTTCTGCTTTTAGATCCATCCACTGCCTTTTCAACTGCATTTATATTTCCATCCCTTGTTTTTAAACTTACTAAATATACAGAACCAGTCCAAATGCCCATCAATCAACGAGTGGATAAAGAAAATGTGGTATATATATACCATGGAATACTACTCAGCCACAAAAAGGAACAAAATAATGGCATTTGCAGCAACCTGGATGGAACTGGAAACCATTATTGTAAGTGAAGTAACCCAGGAATGGGAAACCAAATATTGCATGTTCTCACTTCTAAGTGGGAGCTAAACTATGAAGATGCAAAGGCATGAGAATGATATTATGGACTTTGTGGACTAGGGTTGGGGAGGGGATGAGGGATGAAAGACTACACATTGGGTACAGTGTACACTGCTCGGGTGATGGGTGCACCAAAATCCCAGAAATCACCACTAAAGAACTTATTCATGTAACCTACCACTACCTGTTCCCCAAAAACCTATTGAAATCATTTTAAAAAAGATTATAAACTTAAAAAAACCCCAACTTACTAAACTTACTAATTTACCAGGTTCTACAAATGCCGTCAAAGAGCAAGTTGGCTTGAGTTCCACTTATCTCTGTAGGTTCCTGCCTTCACTTAGTTCTTAATTTTTTTAGTCTAGCATTTTTGGTGGGAGGTTATATACCTATTCCAGTAGTCTATCATAGTAGAAGTCTATATCTTAAGGTATATATTTCCATCCTTATGATTCTATTATTTTTTAACAAGAAGAACTCGTGATATTATTTACAATGAAAAAAATCATATAGCTCAATTAGTCTGGGATGTATACAATTGAAACCATTCTTTTTTTTTTTTTTTTAAACAAGTAAAGTTGTTAGTATCCAGGCACTGAATTATACCTTCATGGTATCAATCAAAGCTATGATCAGAATTTTATGTAACTGCTTAATCACTTCTTTAACAAGTGTACCGCTACAGGTAACATTAAACGTCTCTAGCAATGATCTTTATCGGGTTCTCTTGCCTTGACTGAAATATTATTAATACTTCTTATATCCATTAACATAAAATAACTTTTTGTTGAGCAAAAATAGTGTGAAAACATTAAGATGAATGTGCGCTTTGGAAATGTTTAAATAGATATGAAATGATTAAATAAAATCACAGTCTTGTGCAACATCCATAGCTTACAGTTATTTGGCAACTATGAAACCACAGTTACTAATGGAATTAAGACTTTTTAAAAAATTGCAAATGTACTTATTTGTATATGAAAGAGGTATTCAGCTATTAACTCAGTATTTAATAAACATTGATATGTAATTTTTACTTGAAATGGCCTAAGGTTTATAATACCAACTAGTTCATAGAGCTTTTTTTAAAAAAGACTTTTTTTAGAGCAGTTTTAAGTTCACAGCAAAATTGGGAGGAAGGTACAGAGATTTTTCATATACCTCCTGTCCCACACATCATCACCCAAAGTCCATAGTTGAGGGTTCACTCTTGGTGGTGGACATTCTTTGGGTTTGGATAAATGTATAATGACATGTTTCCACCATTGTAGTATCATACGAAGTATTTTCACTGCCCTAAAAATCCTCTGTGCTCTGCACATTTATCCCTCCCTTCCTTCTAAACCCTGGCAACCGCTGATTTTTTTTTGCTGTCTTCACAGTTTTGCCTTTTATGGAATGTTATATAGTTAGAATCACACAGTATGTAGCCCTTTCAGATTAGCTTTTTTCACTTAGTAATATGCATTTAACGTCCCTCCATGTGTTTTCATGGCTTGACAGCTTATTTCTTTTTAGTCCTCAATAGTATTCCATCATCTGGATGTATCATAGTTTATCACTTCACCTACTGAAGGACATCTTTGTCTTTGCTAGCTAAAAAGTAATCTCACAGAAGTTCGTTTTATAAACTCTTGTTGCCATTTTCTAGATAATGAATCTCTGACAATCCAGCTCCCATGCTATGTTAACCAATCCCCAATAGTAATTAAGCACACCTTTTCTAGGATGCGCCTTTTTCTCCCATAATTTCTCATACATGCTAATACTCATTAGGAAACTAAAATTTTTAACCAAATAACAGTGTAGTGGACAAAATCACTGTAGTTAGCTTTCTTTTTCCATGTCTTCCCATGATCAAAGATCAAAGGAAGGAAGGAGAAAAAAGTCTACACAGATTCTTATCAACAGAGATCCCTATGCAGCTCATATACCTCTCTGTTTCTGCCATACCTATTTGTCTTATTAATCTTGGTGTCACTTACTGTGCCTTTCTAATATTTTACATTCATAAAAATCATCTGACTAGTAGGAAATAATAGTAGACTTGGTATAATTATTAGTACTATGTATATAAATTAACCTTTGTTTCTAGGCCTTCATATTTCATGCTTTTGACATAAGGTGAAAAGGTGTTCTACCAACCTGAAGAGAGAAGCAGTAAGGTTTTCATACAGAGATACTCTTCATAAGATACCTGAAGCCTGTGTAACTCAGAGGAAACATACAGCATGTGTTTACATTGGTCGTACATGCAGGGTAGAGTCATTCTCTGCCTGTGAAAGATAAATAGCAGGGTATTAGTTAGAAATACTGCTACTTCCCCCCAAAAAGCACATTTTTGTTTTGTTTTGCAAAACTATGAACTCATAAAGAAAAACAACTACTGCAATAATATTATTGCTAATTCCCTATAAAATCAGAATTTTGGAGAACTTTCCTTAAACTTCCTGCATCTTGGCTGTTTAAATAGACTAATGAATAATCTAATGTAACAGTGGAGATATTATTTTCTATCATGCATGCCATGTATTATTTTATTATTTAATTAAAGTGTTAGAATTCTTATAGAACTTATTACTAGTTGCTCATTTAAATCAAGGTTTATCATTTGAATACGGTCAATTAGACGACAGTTTTAGGTCCTACACACTTGATTTTTAAAGGTAAATTTTTTCACAGCAGTCCATCCTAAAGACAAAAATGTGTGACACTGTTCACAGTTATGCAGAGGGCGAGACCTAGAACTTGATTCTAGACTTCTGATGCTCAAAATCTGCCTCTGACAGGCATATGCCTTAATATTCTTTAAACTAAAGGTACTAAACCAATTCTTGCTTATGATTCTGAAGTCATTACATACCTATGATTTTCAAATAGGTCTCTAAAGTTTCCTGACTTGTGAAATGACACTAAGAGCCTGAAACTGGGCCCAGTTCACAGCTTTTAAAATGCTTCAAGATTTTTTTTTTTTTTTAAGTTTCTGACAGAAAGTCGTCTTGGACTTAACAACAGAAAGGTTATTATTTTTCTCTACTGAATATGTGGTTTATTCCTTTATATAAAATAAATTAGACATGACTTATATGCTGCCAAAGTGATCAGAGGCTCTTCAAATTTAAAATCTGCTCTTACCGAAGAGGCACCTCCCTAGTCCTTAATAGTAGGTAAAGCACTCCTTTTCTGGGAGGCACCTTTTTTTCCTTTAGTTTCTTGTACATGGTTATACTCATATAACTGAAAATTTCAACAAAGTTATAGTGTAGTAGAATAAGTAAAAACTCATTCTTGTTGGCTGTAAAAACAACAACAATTTTTTTTTCCCCCACAACGTTCTGACCTAAGGGCAACCATGAGAGACTGTTTGACAGCTCTATAGAGGGTCAGAACTTGAATGCATACTTTCTGATATGCAATATCTGCCTGTCACAGACACCAGAGCAGTATGGAAACATAGTGGGCTAAGAAAAAAGGGTGGAGGGCTGGGTGCGGTGGCTCACACCTGTAATCCCAGCACTTTGGGAGGCCAAAGTGGGTGGATCACTTGAGGTCAGGAGTTCAAGACCAGCCTGGCCAATATGGCAAAACCCCGTCTCTACTAAAAATACAAAAAATTAGCCAAGTGTGGTGGAGTGCGCCTGTAATCCCAGCTATTCGGGAGGCTGAGGCAGAGAATCACTTGAACCCTGGAGGCAGAGGTTGCCATGAGCCAAGATCACACCACTGCACTTGAGCCTGGGTGACAGAGTAAGACTCGTCTCAAAAAAAAAAAAAAAAAAAAAGAAAAGAAAAAGGTGGAGGACTGCCCATCTTTTAGGCAGCAGCATGAGAACACAAGAATAGGAAGTACATATCCCTTAATGAAAATGAAACTAATGTAAATCTGTTGAGGAAAAAAAATTATAAATCCCACTTTATGTAAGGAATGTATGTGGCATGATTAGATTTTGCTGTGACTGCTTAAAGCTAAATCTGAATGCCCTAATAATAAAAACCCTAAATTAGGTTAGTTTTATAAACCAGGATAAGTTGGTGTTTCATACAAATCTGTTTATGCTTTTAATTCCACTTAAATGCCTTCAAATTACATATTAGAAAGTGACTAAAAAACAAATACTGCCAACATGGTATTTTTTAAACAGCATGGTAGGATTATGATGAGTAATAATGTCTTCAGTTTCCCCAGAAACTAAATATATTTACCAGTTAATTTAAAATTGGATCCAACTACCTAATCTTGTTACATTGTGATGCAGTAGTTTGAACAGTCCTCTTTTTGGCAATAAAAGTCAAGGTGACTTCTGTTTTCTATACAAACAGAAATCTCCTTCATTTTTTATTCTTCTTAGACCAGGGGTATGTGTGTGTGAACTCCCTGTTTACATTGTACTAATAGCAATAAGCTAGGGGTACGAAAAGTAGTAATACAAGGTAGAAAGTGAGAGTAACTAGGATGTGACTTCTCTGCTGTGTATCTGGTGATGTGAACACCAAGAGTCTAAGAGTATGCTGGAAAGGATGGATGGGAATGAAGAGTGTGTGAAGGAAAACAATGGGAGAGGAAGTGAGGTCAGATTCTGGAAAGTCTGAAATCATGCAGAATATGTACTGGAGGGTCAGTGGGAAGATACTGAAGACAATCTGTGTACTGGGGAGATATGTGATGCAGTCAGACTGTGCTTGAGGAAGCAAACATTAGCCAACATGATGAACGTTACACTGGAGGGAGAAAACGAGTGAGGAAACAACTGCAATGAGGTAAGGGGAAATGGACACCTGAAGTATTTCGCAGACACAGGAATAAGCTTAGAGGATAAGAGAATAGCTGATTTATAAAATCTTAAAGGCTTGGTCTTCTCTCAGTTAAACAAAACAAATTTGTTCCCATATTCTTAAACCACAGACACTGGGTGAGCCTTGCCATGCAAAGAGATACCTCTTGTGTCTGGGTCCATATGTCCCACCCCATCAGCCTAGATATCCTCATCTACAATTGTCCCCACTGAATCCACATGAGTTTTACCATGCTCCTTTTTCTTTCTGGAATAGGGTTATGTAAATGATATCACAGTAAGATTCCTTGTTGCTTGCGACAGACTTTACTAACCTCAGATATGCTGTTAAATATCCTCAAACATGTCCTGGGACAGTAATAATGCCACATGTACATTTGCTTTACATTACACTTGTCCTGCCCCAAGCACTCATAACTCTATTTCCAGTTTGCCTAGATCCTAGATACCTAGTAGGATTGTTTCAGTCCTGAATTATCACAATAGCAGTCAATCAGGAAAACATCAGCTGGTTAAAGATACCCTATGAATACAGGGAAAATGACACACATACAACTTACTCATTAATAATCAGATCAGGAGCAAAACACAGCAGGTTTGCACTTGATTGTCTATATGATCTCCACCCCAGAGCAAATGCCATAAGAAACATCCAGGAGTACTGCAGTAGGGTCATTTGGTCATCCAGGTGTAAGTTCCTGAAACCTGAATTAAGAGAAATAAAGGTATGAGGCAACACTCTTCAGAAGATCATCTCTGTGGGAATTGCCAAGGAGCAATGAGATCAATTAGCCCTGTCAAAACAAGGGCACCCCTAACAGAAAATGGAAATTAAATACTAGGTAGACACAGTTTTCTTCTGTCATCTGACACTTTAAGACTCACAAACCCTCTTGTGTTTTTTTTTTTTTTTTTTTTTTTAATTGAGACAAAGTCTTGCTCTGTCACCCAGGCTGGAGTGCAATGGTGCCATCTCGGCTCACTGCAACCTCCGCCTCCCGGGTTCAAGTGATTCTCAGTGCCAGCCTCCCAAGTAGCTAGGAATACAGATTCATACCACCATGCCCGGCTAATTTTTGTAATTTTAGTAGAGATGGGGTTTTGCTATGCTGGCCAGGCTGGTCTCGAACTCCTGACCTCAACTGATCCACCCACCTGGGCTTCCCAAAGTGCTGGGATTACAGGCGTGAGCCATCGCACCCAGCCCCCTAGGTGCTTTTTAATAGCTTTTAATGTAAAAAAAAAAAAAAAAAGCCAGTTTTGTCACCTCTGTCTGCTTAAGTAAACATGAACTAAATAGTAAAATAGCCAAAATTCTTGGCTTGGCGGTTACCAGTGACCGGGAAAGATAGTGGTGATGGGGATGAAGCGGGAATGGTTGACGGGTGCAAAAATACAGTTAGAAGAAATAAGTTTTAGTGTTCAGTAGCACAACAGGATGACTATAGTTAACAATAATTTACTTTATATTTCAAAATAGCTAAAAGAGAAGATTTGGAATGTTCCCCAAACAAATGTTTGAGGTGATGGATATCCCAGTTACTCTGATTTGATCCTTACACGTTGTATGCTTTTATTAAATTATTACATGTACCCCCTAAATATAAATATGTACAGTAAATATGTACAACTATTATGTATTGATTTTAAAAAACAGAAAAGAATCTTGGCTTGAGGTATTAATCAATGAGTTAAGCAAAACATTTGCCCTGCTATTCACACCTCTTTCCCCCTTAATAAAACAAGGATGACAGGAGGTCAGGTTACTTTCTTGCTCTCTCCCTAACTATTTGCGTGAACACAGGCTTGTCAATTCCCTGTCTTTAAAGTCAGAGCTGACACTAACATTGACCTCTGCCATTCCACACCAAATTCCAATAGGGTAACTTTTATTTAAAATTATCTTTAAAATTACATTCAATGTGTAGCATTTCATTTAGTGAAGGGTTAAAATCATTCTACTTTAGTACAAATTTTGACAATCAACATACTTGATGTTTACCAATCTTACAAACAACCTGATTTTTAAAAGTGGCACAATGAAGGAAAACAAATGGAATTAACTAAAAACATTTTCTTTCCCCAAACTTCAGTGTAAAAGGAGTTTTGAGTGAGTCTTGTAACTTGAATTCTGATATTACATCATCCTATGTGAAATTACCATCCTGTGCATAATGATTTGAAAAGCAGGGAGTAATGTAAATGTTTTATTATAAACTCCCTATCACCTGTATTCACCTGACTCTCCCCTTCATAGTCCCCAGAACTAAGAGAAACAAGATAAGCCATGGGCTCACGATGATATAAAAGCCAAAGTGTTTTTGCTGAAGAAAACACAAAGGTTTATATAGTTGCTCTTTTATGTTTTGCATCTTACCTGGTATTGCCTTTGCCCATTTCACTGCTGCAATCACTTGCCGCCCTCCTAACATGTTGAGCGTAGTCATGATCCTCCAAGTTGAGTCTGGAACAGAGCTATCATATCCTGCATATAACACTTCAGGTTCAATAACCTCCAACAGTGACACCAGGGTAGGGGTGAGTTGTGGTAACGTTGCAGGAACTATTGTTTTGTTACCAGGATTTTCAGAGGTTTCTTGTGAGACTCCTGTAGTGGCCTGCTGAATTCCTTTTATTTTTTTCTTTGTTTTTCGAGCTGTGGGTATTTAAACAAATACATAGAAATGAACTGTAATGGGAAGGTCTGCGCTACACAGTTTATTCAAGAAGTATTTTTACTTTCTAAAACTATTAAGATGGGAGAAATATTTTATTTAGCAATTATGATAAAGTGACATGGAAAAGGAGAAAAAACTTTTTTTTTTCTGAAAGCAAAAGATCCAGAGGAACCTATTCCCAATTAATTTTGCCTACAAATAGGCCAGAAACTTCATTAGAGTTATTCCTTATACAAAGTATTATAACGGTATGTTAAAACAATCTGAGTAAATAACTTTTGTAAATTCTTCTATAAATTATTTTTTTATCTCACTTTCACTCTAAATGCAACAATTTCATTGGTTATATAAGGCAAATTACTCTTACTATAAACTGAAAAAAAAATCTAAGCTTGGAGTAACGGATTACAAACTGTGGTTTAAGATTAATCTAAATCATGGTAGTATATATAATGAAGAGAATTACACTATTTACACTTGTTCAAAGCCACTTATAAAGATAGGAAGATGACAGCAGATTACATGCTAAAAATAGTATTAGTTCTACCAGTAGAAAAAATTCACTTTTCACCTTTACATAGGTACTAACATAAATACTGCGTGGGACTAAAAACATTTGGGAAGATGAAATGAAAAACTTTACATTACATAAATTATAAGTGGGAAATTTCCCTTTTATAAGGAAGATTTATATTGATTACTCTATAAACCTAAAGCAGCCATTTTCATATTATATATAAATTATCTTTTACCTTGACTTGGTATGGAACCATCTACTCAAACTACAACATGGATCCTGTAGACTTTTTAGTAGACTTATTCATACTCCTGAAGTTATTTTAGTGACTAAATAAATAAGAATTACATTGTTCTCTCAGAGGGAAAGTACTCAGAATTCCAGGGAAAGGCAAGAAATGTAATTTATATCACGAAGAAATGTACTTGTCTAAATTATTAGGGATGCAAACCATTTTGCAAAGGGAAGAGTAAATGTAAATCACCTTTAAAAATCATTTTTAGATCCTCTGTCCTTAAAATGACACACCATATAGTCTATGGAGGACAGATATGGTGGTGGGAACGATATCTCAATGTACAATGTTAGAATAGAATGGTTCCATTCTTATTGTGTTCTATACTAAATGGGGTAACTGAGAATTGCAAAAATTTTTATTAATAGTTCAAAATAGAAACAGAATCATGATAGAACCATGCTAATTAGTTTACCATGCTCTCTTGGAGGCACAGTATGATATAGGACTAAAGGGCAGAAACCTGAAATCAGCATATTTGGATTTAAGTCCTGGTTCTGCCATGTTGTAGCTGGATATCTGTGCAAGTTACTCCCTGACTCTTCATTTCCCCTTCTGTAAAATGAGGACAATATTAGTCCCTACCTCATAGGGTTGTTGTGAGAATTAAATATGTAAAATGCTTAGAACAGTTCCTGGCATATATTATAGTAAGTACCACATAACAACTATCATTACCTCAACTTGCAGGAGAACATGTTTTTAGAATATTTTAAATTTGGATATCACAACTTAATAGAGGAGTGATAAAATTTTAAAAAGGAAAGACACCAATACATAAAGAAACTCTTTAAACAACCAGAAGTATCTCAGTGAAATCTTGATCCAAAATCATAAAATGTACTTTTGTTGACAATGTAAAAGAGAACACACATGTGCCAAATCAATACACTGAAACAGTACTTTGACAGCCTCAATTAGTCATAACTTTAAATGGTTTGGAATGCATATTTCTTTACTCCACATTAGAACAAGGAAGAAAGAGTAACAAGCTGGAGGATTAAAAAAAAACATTTTCTATGACTCAGTTTGTAATTAATTTCTCACTACTTATATATAGTTCTAAATGAGAAAACTGATGTTTTTCAATACAGCTCAGAAAGTACAATTGAACCCAACTGTGCTGTACTGACTAGAGCAAGAAATAATACTAATTAATTTTTCAAAATATCTTCAGGAAGGAGTTAACTGAACTGAATCATTTAGTTAAGCAATCACTATTTTAAAGCAACTTAGTTAATACAACTTTATATAAATTCCTGACCCATTGGAGCATATAGTTGATTAGCAGTCAATACAGGAGCTCCACAGAAGTGTTCATGAGTCTGTGGTAACACTACTTCCTTCTTAATGAAAGTAGAGAAATCTTAATTAGCTTAAAACCTAGTTTATAAAAGTTGGTTACTTGAAAGGATAAACAAGATTGATAGACCACTAGCAAGATTAACAAAGAAAAAAAGAGTGAAGACCCAAATAAGCACAATAAAAAATGTAAAAGATGACATTACAAGAGATTCCACAGAAGTGAAAAAGATCTTCACACTATTACAAGCACCTCTATGCACACAAAGTAGACAATCTAGAGGAAATGGATAAATTGGAACAAAGGCTTTAAAAAATCTAGGGTTTATGTGTGTGTGTATGTGGGTGGGGGGGCGGGTGGAGTTTACTATGAAAGTATCATTTTTGTTTTCAGCTGACCCCCGTATATATAAAGCCATTATTTGGAGTAAGTATGTATGTGGAAATGGAAACACACAACCTGCCTAGATTGAACCAGGAAGAAACTGAAATTCTGAACAGACCAATAACGAGTTCTGAAATTGAATCAATAATAAAAAACCTACCAATTAAAAAAAGCCCTTGACCAGATGGATTCACAGCCAAATTCTACCAGATGTACAAAGAAGAGCTGGTACTAATCCTACTAAAACTATTCTAAAAAAGCAATCTAGAAAGAGGGCCTCATCCCTAACTTATTCTACAAGGGAAACATCATTCTAATACCAAAACCTGGTAGAGAAACAACAACAACAACAAAACTACAGGCCAATATCCCTGATGAACACAGATACAAAAATCTTCAACAAAACACTAGCAAACTGAATCCAGCTGCACATCAAAAAGTTAATTCACCACAATCAAGTAGGCTTTATTTCTGGGATGCAAGGCTCGTTCAACATATGCAAATCAATAAATGTGATTCACCACATAACAAAAAAAATAATGATCATCTCAATAGATGCAGAAAAAGTTGCGATAAAATCCAGCATCTCTTCATGATAAAAACCTTCACCAAACTAGGTATTGAAGGAACATACCTCAAAGTAATAAAGAGCCCTGTATGACAAACCAACAGCCAACATCATACCAAATGGGCAAAAGCTGGAAGCATTCCCCTTAATGCAATAAGACAAGGATGCCCAATGTCACCATTCCAATTTAACATAGTACTGGAAATCCTAGTCAGAACAATCAGGTAAGAGAAAGAGATAAAAGGCTTCCAAATAGGAAAATAAATAATCAAACGATCTCTTTTCACTTATGATTCTATACCTAGAAAACCCTGAAGACTCTGTCAAAAGGCTCCTGGAGCTGATAAACAACTTTGGTAAAGGTTCAGGATTTAAAATCAATGTACAAAAATCAGTAGCATTTCTATACACCAGTAATGTTCAAGCTGAGAGCCAAATCAAGAATGCAATCCCATTTGTAACAGTCACAAAAAGAGTAAAATACCTAGGAATGCATCTAAGTTAGTTTAAAATTTTTACAAGGAGAACTACAAAACACTGCTGAAAGAAATCAAAGATGACACAAACAAATGGAATAACATTCCATGCTCATGGACTGGTAGAATCAGTATAGTTAAAATGGTCATACTACCCAAAGCAATTTATAGATTCAACACTATTCCTATCAAACTACAATGTCATTTTTCACAGAATTAGCAAAAAGCATTCTAAAATTCCTATGGAACCAAAAAATGCCCCAAATAGCCAAAGCAATCCTAAGCAAAAAGAACAAAGTTGGCAACATCACATTACCCCAAATCAAACTATACTACAGGCTATAGTAACCGAAACAGCATGGTACTGGTAAAAAAAAACCACACACAATGGTACAGAATAGAGTCCAGAAATAAAGACACACACCTACAGCCATGTAATCTACACAAAGTTGATAAAAATAAGCCATAGGGAAAAGACTCCCTATTCCATTAATGGTGCTGGGATAACTGGCTATCCATGTGCAGAAGAATGAAACTGGACCCCTACCTACTGCCATATAAAAATTAGTAAGGTGGATTAAAGATGTAAATGTAAGACCTCAAACTATGAAAATCCTAGAAGAAAACCTAGGAAATAACCTTCTCGACATTGGCCTTGGGAAAGAATTTATGACTAATCCCCAAAAGAAACTGCAACAAAAACAAAAATTGACAATGGGACCTAACTAAAGAGTTTCTGCAAATCAAGAGAAACTATCACAATCTACAGAATGGGAGAAAATATTTGCAAACTATGCATCTGACAAAGCCCTAATATCCAGAGTTTATATGGAACTTAAATTAACAAGCAAAAACAACCCCATTAAAAATGGGCAAAGGACATGAACAGACACTTCTCAAAAAAAGACATACGTGTGGCCAACAAACATATGGAAAAATGCTGATTGTTAATCATCAGAGAAATGCAAGTCAAAACCACAATGACACCACTGTGGAAAGAAGTTTGGAGATTCTTCAAAGAATTAAGAGTTTAACTACCATTCAACCTAGCAATCCTATTGCTGGGAATATACCCAAAGAAAAATAAATCATTCTATCAAAAAGACACATGTACCCATATGTTCACTGCAGCATGGTTTGCAATAGCAAAGACATGGAACCAACCCAGGTGCCCATCAACAGTGGACTGGATAAAGAAAATGTGGTATTTATATGCCATGGAATACTATGTGGCCACAAAAAGAATGAAATCACGTCCTTTGCAGCAACATGGATGTAGCAGGCGGCCAGTATCCTACATGAACTAATGCAGAAAAACAAATACCATGTTCTCATTTATAAATGGGAGCTAAACATTGAGTACACATAGACATAAAGATGGGAACAGACACTGGGAAATACAAGAGGGGGGATAGAGGAAGGGAGGCACAGGTTAAAAAGCACCTGTTAGGTACTGTGCTTACTTCCTAGATGAAAGGTTCAATCATACTCCAAACACCGGCATCACACAATGTATCTTAGTAACAAACCTGTACATGTACCCCTAGAATCTAAAATAAAAGTTGAAAATAAGAGAGAAACTACTAGATTGGGTTTTTGAACTTAAAAAAATTAGTTTCAGTAATATTTGGTTATAAATCTGACAATGCCACAAGACTAAGCTTCATTTGACTGTTTATACTAAAAATAAAGCCATACTTTGGATTGATTACAATATATCTTAAAATGAAGTGAATAAAAACATTTAGTTTCAAGAGAAAAACAAGCAAGTTTTTTAAAAAAAAACATTTAGGATCACCATTAAAAATCTTATCTGTTCTTAAATGCTAGGCCCTTTAAGCAGTGAAGGCCACTCCCTTAAAATAAATCTTGAGATTTACTTGGTATGGGGCAAGAGTATAAAAATACACCACTTGGAGTCCTAAGTTACATTTATGGAGAGACTTGGGCAAAGTTATTCTGGGGCTATCATCGAAACTGCTTGGCTTAGGGGAAGCACTCTGATGAACAAGAGAATATTTCTGAAGGTTGTTAAAAAAAAAGTGTGAAACACATGGCTCATCTGTATTGTAAGTGTTAGGGTCTGCCAAAGATTCCTGGCATACGTACATACCAGGCCAAATAAAGATTTTATGTATACTGAGGTTAGTTCAATACAAAAATGATAGTTTTACAGTGAAACCACACACACAAACCCTAAGAACTTTTTTAAGCCTTTCTTTCAATTCATCTACAAGTAGAATTGGATCATTTATATGATATGTGCCACACGGTACATATCATAGTAGGAAATAACAAATCAGAATTTTCTTCCACTATGTAGTATAAAAATGGATATAAAGTAAATCATGGCCCTATTCAAAGGTGTTTTTAATAATCAGGGTCCAAAAAGTAGAAGAATGTATATCAAAGACTAACATGTAGTAGTTTTCAACAAATGCCAATTTCTACACTAACTGGATACGTTATACTGACTATAAAAGCATATAATTGGTTATTTTTAATACAATATTTTGAGAAACTGCAGCCTAAATTGTATGCTTAAATTTTTTTTTTTTTTTTTTTTTTTTTTTTTTTTTTTTTTTTGAGACGGAGTCTCGCTCTGTCGCCCAGGCTGGAGTGCAGTGGCGCGATCTTGGCTCACTGCAAGCTCCAACTCCTGGGCTGATGCCATTCTCCTGCCTCAGCCTCCCGAGTAGCTGGGACTACAGGCGCCCGCCACCACGCCTGGCTAATTTTTTGTATTTTTAGTAGAGACGGGGTTTCACCGTGTTAGCCAGGATAGTCTCGATCTCCTGACCTCGTGATCCACCTGCCTAGGCCTCCCAAAGTGCTGGGATTACAGGCATGAGCCACCGCGCCCAACCGTATGCTTAAATTTTATTCATGTAAGAAAAATTTCTGATGTCCAACAAAAGATTCAACTGGAAATGGCAGTGATGGTATAATTAATAGAAAAATCAGATGTCAGTCACTGCCTGGGGTCGTCTTCTAGTACAGTAAGGGCAAAGGGCACTGCAATTGCTATTAAACTGTAAGAAGGAGGAAAAAATGGACAGATTTCGTAGCCTAGTCCATCAAAATCATTACTTTGTAGTTGATATATCTTTTTTCTTTTGATGAAAGAAGGCCCTCATAGTTTGGATAGGGAGAAATTGCCCAGAAAAACATTATATACTTAAAACTCCAAAGATCTTAAACTTTATATGTATTCAGAAAAGCACCTAAAAATGTTACTGGGTAAGCAACCACAATATATTAGAGATACGACAGAATTTTATTTGGGTTTGTCCTTTGAGCTTCATTCAAAACCTATTTCGAAATATAAAATAGGTAAAATGAAAAAATGAAGATTAGAGATAATTGGGACCGGAGAAAATAAACCAAAGGGCACTAAAAACTCAAGTGTCTTAATACATATTTAAATGGTCAAAGTATATTACATACATAGGAGATTAGAGAGCAGCAAGATGAAACTGGGTAAAATCTGGGCAGAGATCTGGTATCTAAGAAAGTGGGGAATACTGTTTTTATAACAAAAATAAACTACCCTTGTGGAACTGAAAGCAAACTTCTGTGTGCATTTTTTAGTTAATCTCTACAGTTTTTATAACATTTACAAGAAAGTGGGCAGCTATCATTTTATGTAAATCAATGTTTAACATGCTGACACTCTGCAGTTAAGTTTAAATAGCCTGGTCAAACGTAGATAGAGTTGTGTGTGTGGTTTGGGGAATTAGACTCTTCATAGTCATACCCATAAATCTATTTTCTATTTAACAAGATGTCTACACACAGTGTGTGCTAGATAGCACCAACAATTAGTCTCTCCTATCAAAAGAACCACATAGGTCAGTTGCAGTGGCTCACACCTGTAATACCAGCACTTTGGGAGGCCACGTTGGGAGGATCACTTAAGGCCAGGAGTTAGACACCAGCCTGGGAACATAGCAAGACCCCTTTGTCTCTACAAAAAATTAAAACAAAAATTAAAAAAAAATCAGCTGGGCATGGTAGTGTACATCCGTAGCCCTACTGGGTGGGAAGATGGCTTGAGTCTAGGAGTTCAAGGCTGCAGTGAGCCATGTTCATGTCACTGCACTCCAGCCTGGGTGACAAGAGTTAGACTCTGTCTCTAAAATAATAATAATCATCATAATCATAAAAGGAACCACATGGTTTCCATTCTCTCTCAGTACTGCCATCTCTTATCTGGAGGACTGCCATATTCACTTAATTGGTCTCTCCATGTAAGATTAGTCTTTGTAAAATACAAATCTGATCATGTCTCTGCCCTTATTTTTCATCTATCTAATTCCTACTCAGCTTATAGATTTAAAATTCAATGTTACTTCTTCCTTGACTTCCAAGACAGAATTAGGTGACCTTCCTCTTGTTCCTGTGGCCCTATGCCCTCTATGGTGTGCCATGCTATTTTGTGACTGACTCTGCAACCTAACTAGCAGATAAACTACTTGAATACAGGCACTATTTTATTCATTTTATACCTAGTGACTGCCTTGTTGGTGCATATTTGTTGAATAAAAGTGCTAATTTCACAATAAATACTAAGCATATGTGTTATGAGATCACCACTACCTTCACAGAACTTGCAATTTCAACCACAGCAGAATTCCAAACTTTTTTCAGAGGAAAATTTTTTAATGCTGAGATCAGTGTTAATTATACAACTTGTTATATAAACAGGGATATGAAACTCTAACTTATAACTAGTTTCAGGTTTCTTTTTTTTTTTTTTTTTCCAAGACGGAGTCTTGCTCTGTCGCCAAGCTGGAGTACAGTGGTGTGATCTCGGCTCACTGCAACCTCTGCCTCCCGGGTTCAAGTGATTCTCCTGCCTCAGCCTCCTGAGTAGCTGGGACTACAGGTGACACCACCACGCTCCGCTAATTTTTGTGTTTTTAGCAGAGACAGGGTTTCACCATGTTAGCCAGGATGATCTTGATCTCTTGACCTCGTGATCCGCCTGCCTTGGTCTCCCAAAGTGCGGGGAGACCAAGAAACTTTCTCAGAAACTTCTCACTGTTGTGTGCATTCAGGTCATGGAGTTGAACGTTTCTTTTGATTGAGCAGTTTTTCAAACACTCATTTTATAGAATCTGCAAGTGGATATTTGGAGCGCTTTGAGGCCTACGGTGGAAAAGGTAATATCTTCACATAAAAACTAGACAGAAGGATTCTCACAAACTTCGGGGATTACAGGCGTGAGCCACTGCACCCGGCCCAGGTTTCTTCTTTACTTGAAAACCAAAACAAAACCCATCCAGTTCTTCCTTGAGGTTTTTTTTTTCCCACCACCCCCCGCTTGAAGATCTGTAATAAAACACAGATCTCCAAGTAAAAGGTATGCTTTTAAAAGGCAAACAGAAAAATGGACATGTAAATATGTCTGATACAGAAACATTTCCAACCCTAGGGAATAGTTTTGAGGCTGAAAAAAGGAGTAAGAATAATAAAGTTGCTGCATGTTGTGTAAGTTTCATTATTACATAATTTCCTTTCTTTGTATATAGTCTGGCTGTACTGAATTCAGTGTGTGTAAGAAGAACTGGTGGATAAACAAACAATATGACATATTCATGAAAAAAATTTCCCATTTTTATTGGGCAGTAACATTATGCTAGTCAAGCATATATATACTGAACTGACTACATTAATTACATCTGCTTACGTGTATCTTCAAAAGTAAAATGATAAATTTTTATAAGCTACAGAGACAAACAATTGCTTTCAGATATTTATATTACCTTCCAGGTTCATTCCAGCCTGAAGACATTTTCGATAGCGGCATGCTGGGCAGTTTTTTCTTCGAATTTTATCGATGATGCAATCATTCCTTCCAGCACATAGGTAATTGTGCTGTCCTATATGGAATAAAAGGCACTATTAAAGTTTCACAGGTCTTCAAACATATTTTATAAGGACAGCCTCTGTCTTTGTTTCCGGTGGAATATAACCAAGACACCCACAGGTATTGCCTTGAGGGAATGTTCTTGCCTACATTGCCATTATGAGGTCGAGAGGTCAAAAACAACAAAAAGAGTCTCCCTTTTTCTGTTCAACAAACTGAAAACAGTGCAATAAAAAACCTTATTGCAGTATTCACATATAAAAAAAGTACACAAATCAGTGAACCATTTAATAAATTTTTACAAACCAAGAACCTTTATGTAATCAGCTCTCAGATCAAGAAACAGAACAGTACCCCAACAGGCCCCCTTTCTGCCCAATTCCAGCCAGTACCCACCAAGGGTAACTACTTTTTTGATAAACTGTGTTTTACACAGTTTGATAGATTATGTTTTTTTATTTTTATTTTTTTGAGATGGAGTCTCGCTCTGTCGCCCAGGCTGGGAGTGTAGTAGTGTAGTGGCATGACCTCACTGCAACCTCTGCCTCCCAGGTTCAAGCAATTCTCCTGGCTCAGACTCCCGAGTAGCTGGGATTACAGGTGCACGCCACCACGCCTGGCTAATTTTTATATTTTTAGTAGAGACAGGGTTTCACCATGTTGGCTAGGATTGTCTCGATCTCAGGACCTCGTGATCCACCCGCCTCGGCCTCCCGATGTGCTGGGATTACAGGCATGAGCCACCACGCCCAGCCAATAGATTGTGTTTTAAACAAATAATAGTTTGGGGTAGATGGTTAACTGTATCAGGTTCAATTCTTTGTAAAGAATAGGCCACAAAATTGACCACTAGACTATAATTCACCTTTGTTCAGAGCTGCTCTCCAATGCCAAATATCTGTACCAGCTGTTTCAATTTCTTTTTGTACTCTATAAATATCCTAGCTTCTTTACTTGGACAGAAAATGGAAGCACTAACCCAATTCTATCCCCTATAAATCAAAAGTACGATCAACAGATACATCTATTGATGAAGTGGTTATAATACAAAAAAGTTATACCCTATAAGGAATCTCTAAATCACTGTCCTACAGTTACTGGAAGAAAAAAAGAAAAAAAATCACCCACTGCTAAAAATGAAAAATTCCAAAGTTTTGTTTATATCCAACTGAAATGTCAGGATGTGCACATTACGCCAATCTTGATTTCTTTATCCCAGGTATGTCTTGTGCACAGCTAAGACTCTGAGCTATAGGATCAGAGGCAATGTACCTTCATAAGTTAAAAATAGCCCTTTGTGGTTATTAGCATGAAGTTGGACAAGTCTATCTATCTGTTCCTTATCTATAAAATGAGGAGTTTTAACTAGTATTCACTATTTCATAACACATGGCCACGTACAACTAATAGTCATTTCCTGTCAATCCATTCATTCATTCCTTGACTCATTTATTTATTTATTTTTAGACAAGTTCTTGCTACGTTGCCTAGGCTGGAGTACAGTGGTGTGTCATAGCTCTTTGCAGCCTGAATCTCCTGCTTTAGCTTCCTGAGTAGCTGAGACTACAGGTGCGATGCCTGGATAACGTTTTTTTTTTTTTTTTTTTTCCTGTAGAGACGGGGTCTCGTTATGTTGCTCAGGCTGGTCTCAAACTCCAGGCCTCAAGCAATCCTCCCATCTTGGCCTCCCAAATTGCTGGGATAATAGGTGTGAGCCACAGTGCACAGCCCATTTTCCTTGAGCCACAGTGCCCAGCCCATTTTCCTGTCAACCCTTCTGATAAGACAATGAGATATCTTATTTTGGAGTTCCTGTGTCTTCTACTACTTGGTAAATTCCCTTTCTAACTAATAGAAAGATGAGTCTTCAAGTCAGCTGAAATTTTGTGACTTTGTTTTGTTTATATGGTATTCATTTTTGTGGTTAAAGTCTATTTTTGGCAAATAATTCTGGTTTTCTATTTATGGTGGGTGTGGTAGCCAGCCTCCCAAGATGGCCCCCAGTGATCTCTGCCTCCTTGAATGCATGGTCTTGTGCAGTCCCTTTCCGTCCTTTACCAAGATTGGTCTGTGTGGCCAATAAAATATGGCAGAAGTGATGGCATGTTACATGTGAAATCAGATAATAAAAGACAATAGTTCTGCTGCATTGATCACATACTCTCTTGGATCATTTGTTATGGGGGATGTAAATTATAATGCTACTCACGTTACTCCACAGAGACCACAAGGATGCCAGCTTTGGCTAGTGTAGTAGTCCCACCTATTGATTAGAGTCAAAAGTAAAGCCCACCCCTGCCTAGTGTAAAGCTCTGAATAAAGTGCAACAACTTGCTGATACCCATATTATACTATGCCAATTTTGAGGGATAATCTATAATTCTAGCAGGTATTAAGAATGGAGTGCTAAGTGTAAGATATTTTCAATTCACAATGGGTTTATCTGGAGGCAACCCCATTGTAAGTCGAGGAGCCATACTGAATGCGTATCACTTTCCCACCATCATAAAAGTTGAAAAATCGTTAAGTCAGGGACTGTCCGTATTATTATTATCACTGCATTTATATCGTGGAAATACTTAAGCAGTTAAGAAAGTGAGGAGTAAAGTGAGGACACGAAGACGCTTCTGTCTTCTGCGTATGTGTTAAGTAACATCCACTTTATTAGGAGCAATGCACAAAGCAGGGCTGGGCTTTACTTTTGACTCTAATCAATAGGTGGGACTACTACACTGGCCAAAGCTGCCATCCTTGTAATCTTTGTGGTGTAATATGAGTAATTTTATAATTTGCTAATGTATTAAAAAGTAAAACAAAAGAAAATGACTCATCTAACTCTCATGGATATGCAAACACAACATGAGACAAATAATAATAATCCTCATACAGTGAATGAATAATTGTTTCTTTAAAAAATTAATATAATCAGAGCTTTAGGCCAAGCTACTTTCAAACTGCTTTAGAAATAACTAAATTATATGACAATTTTTTTCCTAGAGGAGTCACTGGTAGTATTAGGACATTTTAGACTCTCTTCTAATAAATTTGCTATGGAATGAATTTCTCATTCTTTAGGGAGATAATGCTGTTGCCCTGTCAGCAGTCTGAATCCATAACAAAGTAAGATTTGTGTTAATACAACATTTATATAGTGAAATCAGTTTCTCTAAAATACCTTTCCTGACCTCCTCAGGCCGAGTTTCTCTCTCCCTCATCTATATTATAATCTCTGTACCTTGTCATTGTTAACTCATCTTTCACTTCAGTGGAGTGTGACTTCCCAGAGGGTAAGGATCAGGTCTTATTGGTATTTATACCACTTAGCACAGTGCCCTGGCTTAATAGAAAAAAAAAATGAATAAGAAATGAAATGAATATCTTTTTTTTTTCCTGTCACAGTTCTCACTGTGACTCATTTTTGCCAGGCCAGTAAAGTTGGTGACTTTGAAACCTATTAGCTTATGGAAGTTAAAGCCCATGTTTCTAATACAATGAACATTATGTTATGCCCAAACTTAACACCATCATTTCATATGATAGCACTTTCTTATAGTGTTACCTTATGCTCCCTGACCAAACTCCCAGACATCAACTTGTACTTTTCTATTTTATTCTAGATCTTTTTGTATTGTTGTTTTAAATACTTTCCTGCCCATTAGAGGACCTAGGAGCCACCCTCCTCTCCCCTCTTAACTGATATTTAGCCTTTCATGGGCTTTGCATATAATGGAAATTTCAAAATCCACCCTGAGAAATGAAAACCAAGTAGAGGAAAAATAAACTCTTCAAAACACACACTACCTTCCACTGCTCTTTTGAAGAAAACTTTACAGCTTCCACAAGTTAAGACTCCATAATGACATCCTGAAGCTTCATCAGAGCACACCAGGCAGAGTTTGGGAGGTGGTCCTGTTGTTGCTGTTGAGGAGCTGGATGGAGGAGAGCTTACATCTGGTCTCATGCTGGGGCTAAAGAAGGGGAAGAACAGTGTTATGATTTAACTGTCAAAGGAATATCAAAATACAGTTCTCTTAGCTTCTCACTTCATAGTCAGAATGCTCACAGTGAACTCTGGCTTCAAGTGCTAGCAGGCACTAAAATATCCTAGCTAAATATATTCAAATCATGTTATATTCTTCTTTAAACAAAATTAAGAATGAGGTCATTTCTTTTGAAGTGTCTCCAAAATAGAATGGTGTGGTTCTGGTTCACTTCTTCTTCTTTTTTTTTTTTTTTTTAGATGCTTAGGATTTATTTTTATAATCACGTTTATTAAGGTGTCACATACAGTAACATTTACTGTTTTCTAAGTCTATAATTTATGGTTTTTGTTAAATGAATATTCATGTAACTACTATCACAATCAGGAGAGAGGATATTTCCATCATCCCAAAAAGATGCCTCCTATGCCTTTAATTGCTTAGGCCATAATTTTTTTCCTAATTTTAAGATCTTATACAGGCATCTTTTAAAATTCAATCAAGTGTCATTACAATTCTACCCATGTTTCCTACTAGAGTCAAAATTTTTTTACAATCTTAAAGTTTTTGTCCCATGTCTCTAATTCCTAATGTCATCTTGGCTGAAACCACAATTTCATATGACTCAGAGAAGACTGATCCAGAAACATTTTCTATAACCTTCCTGTCTGGCTTGCAGTAAGATTGGACAAAGCACTAGGCTTTCAAAAGTGAGTTCCATTCTGCCCACTCCACTCTATGACTGTTTGGCTTGAAGAAGAAGACAGAAATGTGAATCTGCTTCTCTTACTAGGTCTCTAACATTTTTCATAGTCTCACCACAAAGAGTGCAGGTCTAGTGATTATTAGCTGTTTAAAAGATAATTTGTTGTTTTAAAAATTTTCAATCTCAAAAAAAATTGGAAAGAATTGTACAATGGATATATACTTTTCACCAATATTCACCAAGTCTTAACATTTTGCCACATTTAATGATAAAGATATATTTTTATAAACCAATGAAACAGTGATCTTTCTATTACTGGAGGAAAAATTAATTATTGCATTTCATATTACATGACACAATGGTTTTCAATGTTGTATTTTCCTAAGGAATTTTCCTCTTACGTGCTGACTTTAGAACCAAAACTGTATTATGCAGCTAAAATGATTTTGTAGCCTTCTGCTTGTAATTAGAGACTGCCCATTCCATTTTTGGTTGTGTTCTTAAGCAAATCTTCAAAAACATGGATGCTGGCAACCTGTTGATTCTGGAATTCTACATATTAAAGTCCGTTTTGCTTATCATCTATACAAGTTCATAAATATACTAGTACCTCTCTCTAAACTTTTCTTAATTTGCCTTTTCTCTAAAAAAGATGGAACTTAGAAATAAACTTAAATTGGGTGTTCGTTGTCTCTGTTATTCTTTATTATCTCTTGCTTTTATTTATTTCAGCCAATAACAGTAGTAAGTCTCAATTACAAATATGTTTAAACTAATTCACAGAGCAAAGTAACTTAAAATTTTTTTCTAGTTATCAATCTGGTTAGAAATTACATTTATCAAGTAATGTAGTTTGTTGCTAATGTTCCGTTTAGGAATAAAAGTTAAAAGGTAATAATAATGGAATGACAATTTCTTTTATAAATGTTACCTTAAGTAATTAAGCCAGTAAATCCAAACGATCGCCCTAAATTCTATCTTCAAATGAAGCTTCCTGAATCTTGCCAACTGCCTGCTTACCTAACAGGCTTAGTCAATAGGACAGCATTCCCACCACCCTAATTCTGGGAAAAGGCCCCAGGGTTTCACATTGTTCTCTGAACACTGTTAAGAAGAATTTGTAGATGCTTCCGTATTACAAGGCATTCATTCCCTGCTAGATTTGGGCGAGTGGACTGACTACACGTCGAAAGCCTGTAACAGAATAACCTGAAATGACTCTGCTGTAGGTCCGGCACAGGCCACCCCTGATTAATGGAAACTTGTGACTAATGTAGAGGAGCTGCTTTGGGCCAGAGTTTTCCAGAGAAGTAGGAAGGTCCTGGAACAGTGAATGGTGCGACAATGTGTTGGGGAAGCAAAAACTCCTCTGGCTTCTATTCTGAAGATACTCCTATTCTTGCTCAGCCAGTCTCTGTCACCTGACATCTATTTTTAGGGACCAAACAGTTGTTTGTATATTAGTTTACAGAAAACGAGTGCATTGTTTAAAGGTTAGGACAGTATTCTGTAATGTTTACCCCATTAATTATATATACACACATATGCATATATAGTATGTATTTATATTTTAAATAATAGTTTGTAGTACTTCGTAGTTTTAGCTCTCAATAACCCTGTGAAAATGACATCATCACCCCTGGATGCGGTCATACGGGCCGTGGCAGGTGGTTCATCAGGGAGCCTATCTACGGTGAAGCTGACATATTTTAGATCCCAGCTGTACCACTTCACAGCTTCTGTTACCTTGGGTAGGTATCTACTACTTTGACCCCTGAGTTTCCTCATCAGTAAACTGGGAAGGATATCACCTGTGTGTGTGTTGTGAAAATAAGGTAACACATAGAAAATCTACTACAAGTTCCTGCTTCTAGCAGGCACTCAATACATGTTCCTTTTTCTTTTTCAGGAACACTGAAGATTTTATGAGTAAGTATTATATAAATGGAAGGTAGTATTAAGTCTAAATCCTAGGACCGTATTCCCAAATTCTTAGATATTACAATGTATGCAAAACATGTTCAGGCCACTCAACTGTAAGCTACAGATGACAAGGGAAAGTAAAAATGAACAAATGGATTGATAGTACAGTAGCTGAAAATTTGGAACCTCAATCAGGCTTTTGGCATCCCTTCAGGCAGTCGTTCTGGGCTACATCAGATAAGAACTGAGTACATGGAAAGCTGCCAGATGTACCATAGACATCGGTGAAAAAAGCCAATTTTTGTCATACAAATAGGAGGAGTAAGATAGCCTATAATGAACACCATTGGAAAAAATGGATGAATGCTAAATGGTATTCAGTTGCAAGTTTGATATTGTTAAAAGGGCTAGGGTACAACAAAATGGTTAGAACTCAAGAGAAAACCATATGGAATTGACATCTTTTATTAAGGATACATGGCAGAAGGAACCAAAAGTATACCATAGTAAGAGTGCATATTTCACCCCCTTTGAATGGGAAAGCTAAAATATCCTGGTCTTAAGGGCATCATTATCTGTAATAGTTATTGATTGCTCAATGTGTGTTCACTCACAGCTGTGCCAAACATTCTGAGAATGTTAAGAAGTTCCATTATGAACTATTGCTAGGGTGCTTGCTTTTAAGTGAGGAACCCTTGGAACAAAATGCCTTGTTCCAGGTGAATACCTGAATGCTGGTGGTTCCCAATCAGAATGGCAAATGTAGTAGAAACCGAATAATTCCTGAGGCTGAGTTTATGTTAGAGTTCAGAGAGAGAAAACCATGCATAAAGCTAGATATGTCTACTTAGTTTTGTTGCAAGCAAAGCAATTGCTACAAGGAGGATTATGGGTGAAAGTCATGGATGGATTATGAGTTAATCACACACCTAGAGAAGCATGTAAAATGTGCAGGTAAATTACACCCATTCATTCAGGCAGACGTTTCCTGGCACCTGAATGAAAGGCAAGCACTGTGAGGATCCAGTATCATGCTACAAATGATAACGAACCTTGAAACTCTGGTCTAGGATGGAGTACCAGAATATTTTGTAGCCGCCTCTTGTGTCTCAGTACTATTACGAAGAGAATCAGCTTTACATACAGACAAATCTGGGTTCAAATCCTAGTTCCAGTGCTCTAATAGCTGTGACAGTGGCTAGCTGACTTAACTTCTTTGAGTCCATTCCCTTATTAGTGCCATTTTAGGGGGTTTGTGTGGATTATATATATTAGAGTTATATAAAGCATTGTTACATACTTGGTGATCATCACACAATAGGTCTCTACCCTACCCCCAAGGATTACCTTCTTCCTTTCTGGAGGATCTTAGGGAAAGAGAAGTGCTACAGTCTTCCCCATGAGCCTGTAGAAGGTTAATGGTCCTCCAGAAACTTAAGTTCAGGTAATTATAGATTGCCTTTTCTGATTACTACACCAAAATTGGACAATTTCGTTTTTTAAAGGTTTTAGTATTGCAATGTGGAATCCAAAACTGTTATCAATGAACTTTTGATTGTTACATTGAAATATGTCAGTCTATCTTGCACTTTGAATGTATCTTTTACCCATGCATGATTTTGTATTATCATGCATTAGTCATCTGGAAAATACTGGTTCACTGAGTTATGCAGATCTTTCAAATGTTGACATAGTTCATTATGTAATATAAAAGAGTCACATTTGTCAAGCTCACAGTGGCAGATACAAGTCTTCAAAAATTCTGATTTTTGCTTGAAACCTATATTTTATCAATTGGCAACAAATACTTTAAGTTGTTTTCCTTAAAGTGCTAAGTTTACTTCAGTCATTTTTGGGAAAACATCGCCAAATACCCAAGGCTGAAAACCAGAGTTTATCTCTCATGGTACTCCATGAAAAAAAGTAGGTTAACTCACAGTTTAATCTTATACACTTTTCTTTGAGACAACTATCAAATGCTATATGCGATATAAGTGGATTATGCACCTTCTCATTTTGTCACACTGACATGAGAAAGACCACATGTATTTAAGGGTTGAAATTTAATGTAATTAATAATTTTTTTGCTTCTTCAAAGATTTTAAGTGCATGACAGTGAATACAGTAACTACTGTATACTAAGATGCCAACAGTTTTACTCATCTTTGCTTTTGTACCATTATTGCAAATGCTGACATAATGAAATGGCAAATAAAGTACGTGTTACTGTGAAAATAGTCTGCCCTTTAAGGGGAGACTCCCAGGGCCCCATGGACCACACTGGAAGAATTGTTGTTATGGAGACTAGTAAGGTAAAGATTCTAAACCAGATAGGCTACAATTCATAACCTAATTCTACAATGTAATAGCTTGGTGACCTTTTAATCTTTCTCAATCTCAATTGCCCTATTGCTAATAGGAATGGTAATGTACCTGACAAAAGGATACAGTATCGCTTACTAAATTAGAGGCTTCCCTGACAGAGAAAGGGGCAGAGTTGGTAAACTATTACCCAAATGACATGATTGGCTTAGTCTTCAATTTAAGTGAATTAATCAGCAATTTTTCAGTGTAATGCAAGAAATCTATTTGGGAGAAAAAAAACAAAGATATTATCACCTCAGAAAGCAAGTGTTAATATGGAAAAAAATTCCAGAAATACAGCTGCTATAACTGGATTAATTTTTTACAACTACCAATAGAATATTCCCATTGGCTTGTCAGTTTTTGTCCAAACACCGTAACACAGTAGTTCTCAACAGAGAGCAATTTTGCTCTCTAGGAGACATTTGGCAGTGTCTGAAAACACTTTTGGTTATCACGGTTGGGGAAATGCTATTGGCATCTAAGTGAGAAGAGGCGAGGGATGCTGCTAACCAGCCTACAAGGCACAGGACAGCCCCCACCACAAAGAAGTATCCAGCTTCAAATGTCAATAATGCTGAGGATGAGAAAACCTGGCCATAAAGCTTTAAGCAACATAAAGTGGAAAAGAAAAAAAAAAAGGGACCAGAAACATTTTAAAACCTAAACTATGCTTAAAAATGCAACAACTGCACTACTGAAGCAGCCCTAAACAGTCCATTCAAGACAAGTCCAAAAAGAGATTCAAAACAGAACTGAAGCCAAGCCATGGACTATACGGCTTAGTTATCAAGTACAGGATTGGCTTGAGCCAGTAATTTCTTTTTCCCTCTAGCGCTAGCACTAAAAGGTAGTTTTTACACATTAAAGTCACCTGCACTTTTCTTATCTTTGTTCATTAGGAAAAATGTAAATACTCAGCTGCACACACCAGGTGATTATATTTTCTGACTGCCCATTTATCTCTGCATTAGCTAAAGAATTACTGATTTGTTTGATAATAAGCTATGGAATAGTTTTCAAATCAAATAGAAAAATGCTTTAGGGGAAACCTTTCACAATATTTCTGTTAAATGGTTTTAGCAGAACACATTTTATCTTATTTAACAAGCCAAAGAAAGACTGATTATTCTCTTTGCTTTGCATTTATTGAGAGAGGTTTGCATTGGTTTCAACTTTAGGTTCTTATTAAGATAGTTCATCCAAACTCTGCATCATTTATATTCACTCCTCTTGGGGAGAGGGTTACAGCAACAAAACCTATACATTAATAGATCAAGAGAATGTTCAGTAAAGGATTTTTCAGACCTCTAAGACACCAGTGGCCTACTACTCAGTGTCTCTGGGCTTGGTTTCCCTGTCTGTAAAACGAAGGTCTTGATTTAATTAACTCCAAATAAGCTGGCCATATCTTGCAAGATGGGTTTGGGGATGGAAAAGTGGAGAGGAAAACACTTGGATCTGTAAAGGGTTTCTTAGGTCCTGTGTATTTATTTGTAGAGAGAATATAATCATGTTATCTATGCTACTTAAAGTCTAATCTGTCTCACAGAAATAATGTATTTCTTTCTCATTGGAAGAATTAATCCAGTTTGGTCACTGTGTTTGGGTAACTTACTTCCTAACAGCTGTATCCTTCTTTGCTCTTCAAACCAAGTGTCAAAGATGGAGAAAAACAGAATAAGTCTTGAGACCCCAAGCACTCCCTTCTCAGGCTGTGTGTTATCAGTTCTGTTTGCTCAGGCTTGCATTAGGGGATGCGAGTTTTAAGCAGAAGCAATAATAGTACATTGAATGGTAAACAGAATACCAAGAACCAGTATGGTAAGAAGAAAGACTAAAAACTTTTTGATCGCATAGTTATTTCTAGAATGAAGACCGGATTTTGTTCCCACCTTATGGTTCCTCACACATAAGAGCATACAAGGATAATAGATGGTTCATAATTCAGAATTAGGAACATGATGTCTTCAGAGAAGGCAAGAACATGTTGGAGACAATAGTGCAGTTATTGACTTTTTCCAACAAGGTATCTCGAGCATCTTTGAAATGCCATTTGTGTTCACCTCAAATACAACAGTAACTTATTTCTAAATATTTTATTCGATTCTTAAAGAGAGATTTGAATTTCTCTCACTATATTTAGTAACCCAGACTTACATGCAGAGATTTTGCCAATTCTAACCCATCTTCCACATCCTATTTATTACTCCCTGTAACACTATGTCAGGACCTATTCCTTCCCATCCACTCTGACCGCTGCCATTCTAATGCATGCCTTCTCTCACCTCTTGCTTTAACCACTGCAATGGTTGATACTAAGTAGTCCTTCTGGCACTGGCTTCTCTTTCCATTCTATCCCCCACACACTGCTAAAACTCTTTTCTCAACATGATTAAAAATCTGAAGGGCTCCTCCACTGTTTATAGTACAAGCTCAGTATGGTCCATAATTTGGTCTTTTTATTTTTCCAGTCATATGTCTTATCACTCCCCTACATAATCCATGTAGTTTCTTTATCACTACAGGGATCCTGGATTCTACAAATATTTATCAAGTACCTATGATAGGAGTAGCTTTTGCTAAGATCTGTTTTCCCTGCCTGAAGTGTCCACCATGGTATTCCTGATCCATGACAGCTTCTAGACTTCCTAAAACACTGCCATATAGCACTTTGCACAGATGATCCTATGTTACCTTTTGATGTATATGTATCCTGTTTCTATCAATAATCTCTTTTAGGTAGGGCCCATGTCTTGGGTCTCTCCATATCGCCAGCATCTTGTACAAAGTTCAGTATATGTTCACTTATTTTTCTTATTTATACTTTCTATCTTTATCTGTTTTGCAAAAGAACTCTGAGACAGCTAACATGGTAAATATTTATGAGATTATAATCAGAATACAGGTATAACCTCACCATTACTTGGCACTATTATGCAAGCTCTTTCTTTGTATAGATTATCTCATTTAATCCTCTCCACAGACCTAAGAGGTGGGTACTATTTTCAGCATTTACAGATGAAGAAACAAGATTTAGAAAAGTTGAGTTGCCTAAAGTGATCTAAGTAACTAGTAAAGTCAGGGTTCAAACCCAGGTCTTTCTGACACCAACATCAGTGTTCTTAAGCAATCTTCTTCATTTTCCACTATGATAAAGTGTCAGAACTGAGAAGCTGAGGTATATCCAGGCCTTCAACTTGAGAAATAACACTTTCTACTTTGTAGGCTGAAGTTTGATGTCTTGATGACATAATGCAAAAAAGGTGGCAATTTTTTTTCTGTGCCTGCCTCCAATCATGACCTGCAAATGAAGATTTTTGCCCAAATAGGGATTGCCAGACTAGGTCAAATAGGTAAAAACATTTGTCTTAAAACTGTGTGACGATCTGTGTCATTTGACCAAATTTTCAAATGTTCCTCAAACTAACAGATATCTCATATTGCATAATTAGCAGTTCCTAAATCCTAAAAAGACATTTATAAAAACAAATGGAAATGCAGAACAGTTGTGTCTATATTCATATCAATATAAAGGAAGGAAAAGGAACCCTCAGAACCAATCTCAACCTGATTTAAAGCCACATTACCCCTTTCCTTCCCTCAAAGGCAAAGGCTTAATTCTTTAATTCTTAGATTCTCACATTAACTTGAGAACTTTTTGGTTTCTCTGTCATGCCAGTATACTAGACAAGTTTCTTTTGCTATCTGGATTTCCCTCAGGTTTTGATGCTGCTGCTCTCACTTCACACTCAGGTCCCTACATATCCACTGAAACAATTTAAAGGAATAATCTTAGGTACAGGACTCCCCACTTATCTGTGGTTTCACTTTTGACAGTTTCAGGTACCTGCAGTCAACCACAGTTTGAAAACATTAAGTGGAAAATTCCAGAAATAATTAATAAGTTTTAAATTCTGTGCAATTCTGAGTAATGAAATCTTATGCCCTGGAACGTGAATCATCCCTTTGTCCAGCATATCCACACTGGAGACGCTCCCTGCCGGTTAGTCCCTTACTAGCCATCTGTATTAGTTGTTTTCACACTGCTGATAAAGATATACCTAAAACTGGGAAGAAAAAGAGGTTTAATTGGACTTACAGTTCCACATGGCTGGGGAAGCCTCAGAATCATGGCAGGAGGTGAAAGGTACTTCTTACATGGTGGTGGCAAGAGAAAAATGAGGAAGAGGCAAAAGTTTTGGAAACCCCTGATAAACCCATGAGATCTCGTCAGTCTTATTCACTATCATGAGAATAGCACAGGAAAGACCAGCCCCCATGATTCAATTACTGCACCCCCACCCCCGGGTCCCTCCCACAACACATGGGAATTCTGGGACATACAATTCAAGTTGAGATTAGGGTGGGGACACAGCCAAACCATATCATTCCACCCCTGGCCCCTCCAAATCTCATGTCCTCACATTTCAAAACCAATCATGCCTTCCCAATAGTCCCCCAAAGTCTTAGCTTATTTCAGTATTAACCCAGAAGTCCACAGTCCAAAGTCTCATCTGAGACAAGGCTAGTAAGTCTCTTCTGCCTATGAGCCTATAAAATCAAAAGCAAGCTAGTTACTTCCAGATACAAGGGCCGGAGGGATGGGGGGCAGGGGGTAGGGGGGTGTCACAGGTTAAATACAGCTGTTCCAAATGGGAGAAATTGGCCAAAACAAAGGGGTTACGGGGCCCATGCAAGTCTGAAATCCAGTGAGTTAGTCAAATTTTAAAGCCCCAAAATGATCTCCTTTGACTCCAGGTCTCATATCCAGGTCATGCTGATGCAAAAGATGGATTCCCATGGTCTTGGGCAGCTCCGCCCCTGTGACTTTGCAGCCTACCTCCCGGCTGCTTTCACAGGCTGGCATTGAGTGTCTGTGGCTTTTCCAGGTACATGGTGCAAGTTGTTGGTGGATCTACCATTCTGGGGTCTGGAGGATGACGGCTCTCTTCCCACAGCTCCACTGGGCAGTGCCCCAGTAGGGATTCTGTGTGAGGGCTCCAATCCCACATTTCCCTTCTGCACTGCCCTAGCAAAGGTTCTCCATGACAGCCCTGCCCTGCAGTAATACTTCTGCCTGGGCATCTAGGTGTTTCCATACGTCTTCTAAAATCTAGGCAGAGGTTCCCAAACCTCAATTCTTGACTTCTGTGTACCCACAGGCTCAGCACCATGTGGAAGCTGCCAAGGCTTGGGGCCTCCACCCTCTGAAGTCACAGCCTGAGCTCTATATTGGCTCCTTTCAGCCACAGCTGGAGCAGCTGGGACACAGGGCACAAAGTCCCTAGCCTACACATAGCATGAGGACCGTGGGCCTGGCCCACGAAACCACTTTTTCCTCCTGGGTCTCTGGGCCTGTGATGGGAAGGGCTGCTGTGAAGGTCTCTGACATGGCCATGGAGACATTTTCCCCATGGTCTTGGGGATTAACATTAGGCTCCTTGCTACTTATGCAAATATCTGCAGCCAGCTTTAATTTCTTCTCAAAAAATGGGTTTCTCTTTTCAACTGCATTGTCAGGCTGCAAATTTTCTGAAGTTTTATGCTGTTTCCCTTTTAAAACAGAATGCTTTTAACAGCACCGAAGTCACCTTTTGAGTGCTTTGCTGCTTAGAAATTTCTTCCACCAGATACCCTAAATCATCTCTCTCAAGTTCAAAGTTCCACAAATCTCTAGGGCAGAGGCAAAATGCTGCCAGTCTTTTTGCTAAAACATAACATAGTAACCTTTGCTCCAGTTCCCAAAAAGTTCCTAATATCCATCTGAGACCACCTCAGCCTGGATCTTATTGTTCATATCACTATCAGCATGTTGGTCAAAGCCATTCAACATGTCTCTAGGAGGTTCCTAACTTTCCCACATTTTCCCGTCTTCTTCTGAGTCCTCCAAAGTTCCAAAGTCGCTTCCACATTTTTGGGTATCTTTTCAGCAACACCCACTCTACTGGTACCAATTTACTGTATTAGTCCATTTTCATGCTTGTGATAAAGACACACCCAAAACTGGGAACAAAAAGAGGTTTAATTGGACTTAGAGTTCCACAGGGCTGGGGAGGCCTCAGAATCATGGCGGGAGGCAAAAGGTACTTCTTACATGGTGGTGGCAAAAGAAAAATGAGGAAGAGGCAAAAGGGGAAACCCCTGATAAACCCATCAGATCATGTGAGACTTATTAACTATCACGAGAATAGCAAGGGAAAGACCAGACCCTGTGATTCAATTAGCTCCCCCTGGGTCCCTCCCACAACACATAGGAATTCTGGGAGATACAATTCACGTTGAGATTCTGGTGAGGACACAGCCAAACCGCATCACTATCTCTGTTACCAGTTGGACTGCCACAGTATCACAGTGCTTGTGTTCAAGTAACCCTTATTTTACTTAATGGTGGCCCTAAAGCACAAGAATAGTGATGCTGGAATATTGTTACAATTGTTTTATTTTATTATTAGTTACTATTACTCTTTTACTCTTCCTAATTAGTAGGTTAAACATTAACCATAGGTATGTATGTATAGGAAAAACAATATACATATAGGATTTGGGATTATCTGTGGTCTGTGGTTTCAAGCATACACTAGGGGTTTTGGAACCTATCCTCCATGAATAAGGGGTGGGGGCTGCTATATTTAGTAAATAATGAAAACATTGGTAACCTTACCCCTAGAAGATCAAGGAGGAAAGAAATAGTTTTTAAAATTATATAAAAGTTATATAGCAGACATCTGCAATACAGCCAGTTAGATAAAAAATTTAAGACTGAAAAAAGTTTTCAGTAGGTGAAACAAAATATCTCTTTCACAATAATAATCATACTGGAAACTACTGACTTGTAATTCTGTGTGTCAAGCTGCATGCCTAGGTACAGTACACAAATAAATTATCTCAAATAATTTTTACTGAGTCCATTTTACAGATAAGAATACAAAAATTGGGCCTTTTATTTGCCCAAAGTCGCATTATAAGGCAACACCTGGATCTGAATTCAGCTCTGCCTAATTCCAAAATCTATGCACCTCATAACCTTGTGACTGTTGCCTGGCAGGGGCCTGCAGAGTAGCATCCATTAAGCTTGACAGAGTTTTTTAAGATTATGTGGGTCACTTAACAGACAGTCTTAAGGTAAGGTTAAACATCAAAGTTAATTTCTGTTTTCTATCTATCCTGCCCCTTCTATCCTTCATATCACAATGGAGCACAAATTATAATTAAGAGATACAAAAGCATTCAGTCACTTCCATTTTTTTCTTTAGATACTTACTATATTAAGTCTTAAATGAACATATTGGCATTCCAAATTATTAAGATAATGTCATGCTGGTCATTGAAATGCTAAATTAACATGAAGACTACATTTCAAAAATACAAAAGTATAAATAGGAGTGTTTTGTATATTCATACCACGATTTTTGCCCTTAGAGGAACTCTGAAGTACATTGTTATATGTCTGACTAATGTATTCAACCCTGGAATTTTTGGGGAAGCATTTGTTTTTTTCTGAAATATACTGTCCCACTAAAGTATCAAATTGGGCATACATGATGACATGAAAAGCATTTCCCAAACCATAGTTAATTTAAGTAAAATGAACTTAATATTATACAGCCTTAACTAGAAATGAGATGTCTTGCCACACTACCAGTTCTGTCAATAGAAGTTGAGTGAATAGATTTATATCTATTAACTAGAAAAAAGTATAGGCATAAATTAACATGTCATCTGATGTGAGCAGATTGAGAAAGCCAACAAATTTCTAGTTATTCAATTTAAAGGACACTGAAGTACCACAATGTATACATTCAATTTGACTACATAATAATAGCTGCTATTTACTTAGCACTTCTTCATCTACATATTCTGTAATCTTCATTACTATCCTGTATTAGTCCATTCTGACACTGCTATAAAGATACTATCTGAGACTGGGTAATTTATACGGAAAGGAGGTTTAATTGACTCACAGTTCTGCATGGCTGGGGAGGCCTCAGGAAACTTATGATCATGGTGGAAGGGGCAGGGGAAGCAAGACACGTCTCACCTGGCAGCAGGAGAGAGAAAGAGCACAAGGGAAACTGCCACATTTAAACCATCAACTCTCCTGAGAACTCCCTATCACAAGAACAGCATGGAAAAAACCCCCCCATGATCCAACTGCCTCCCACCAGGTCCCTCCCCCAAAACATGCGGGTTACAATTCAAGATTAGATTTGGGTGGGGACACAGAGCCAAACCATATTATTTTGCACTTGCTCCCTCTCAAATCCCATGTCTTTTTACATTTTAAAACCAATTATGCCTTCACAACAGTCCCCCAAAGTCTTATTACAGCATTAACTCAAAAGTCCAAGACCAAAGTCTCATCTGAGACATGGCAAGTCCCTTCCACGTATGAGCCTATAAAATCAAAAGCAAGTTAGTTACTTCCAAGATACAATGAGGGAACAGGCATTGGGTAAATGTTCCTGTTCCAAATGGGAGAAACTGGTCAAACCAAGGGCCACAGGCCCCATGAAATCTGAAACCCAGCTGGGCAGCCCTTAAATCTAAAAGCTCCAAAATCTCCTTTGACTCCATGTCTCACATTCAGGGCACACTGAAGTAAGGGGTGGGCTTTCATACCCTTGGGCAGCTCCGCCCCTGTGGCTCAGCAGGGTACCCCTGTGGCTTTCACAGGCTGGCATTCTGTGGCTTTTCCAGACGTATACTGCAAACTGTCGGTGAATCTACCTTTCTGGGGCCTGGAGGACAGAGGCCCTCTTCTCACAGCTCCACTAGGTAGTGCCCCAGTGGGGACTCTGTATGAGGGATCCAACCCCATATTTCCCTTCCGCATTGCCCTAGCAGAGGTTCTCCATGAAGGCTCTGCCTCCATGGCAGACTTCTGCCTGGACATCCAGGCGTTTCTATACATCCTCTTAAATATAGGCACAGGTTCCCAAACCTCAACTCTTGTCTTCTGCGCACCTGCAGGCCCAACACCACGTGAAAGCTGCCAAAGCTTGGGGCTTGCACCCTCTGAAGCAATGGTGCGAGCTGTAACTTGGCCCCTTACAGCCACAGCTGGAGCTGGAGCATCAGGGATGCAGGGCACCATGTCGTGAGGCTGTACAGAGCAGCAAGGCCCTGAGCAGGAAACCATTTTTCCCTCCTAGTTCTCAGGCCTGTGATGGGAGGGGCTGCCCCGAAGATCTCTGCCATGCCCTGGAGACATTTTCTCCATTGTCTTGGTTATTAACATTTGGCTCCTTGTTACTTATTACTTATTACTTTTTACTTATTATTACTTATTACTCCTTGTTACTTATTCAGATTTCTGCAGCTGGCTTGAATTCCTCCCCAGAAAATGGGGTTTTCTTTTCTACTACATGGTCAGGCTGCAAATTTTCCAAACCTTTATGTTCTGCTTCACTTCTAAACCTAAGTTCCAATTTCAGACCATATCTTCGTGAATGCACATGACTGAACGCTTTCAGAATCAGCCAAGTCACCACTAGGATGCTTTGCTGCTTAGAAATTTTCTTCTGCCAAATACCCTAAATCATCTCAAAGTTCATCAGTTCTCTAGGGCAGGGGTAAAATGCTGCCAGTCTTTTTGCTAAAGCATAGCAAAAATAACCTTTGCTCCAGTTCCCAATAAGTTCCTCATCTCTGGGACCATTTCAGCCTGGACTTCATTGTCCACGTCACTATCAGCATTTTGGTCAAAAGTATTCAAAACAAGTCTCTAGGACGTTCCAAACTTTCCTATATCTTCCAGTTTTCTTCTGAGCCCTCCAAACTGTTCTAACCACTGCCTGTTACCCAGTTCCAAAGTCACTTCCGCATTTTCAGATTATCTTTATAGCAGTACCCAACCCTGCCAGTACCAATTCTCTGTATTAGTCAGTTTTTACACTACTATAAAGAATATCTGAGACTGGGTAATTTATAAGGGAGGTTTAATTTACTCATAGTTCTGCATAGCTGGGGAGGCCTCAAGAAACATACAATCATGGCAGAAGGCAAAGAGGAAGCAAGGAAAGTCTTACATGGTGGCAGGAGAGAGAGAAAGCACAGGGGAAACTGCCATATTTAAACCATCAGATGTTTTGCGATCTCCCACACTATCACGAGAACAGCATGGAGGAAATCACTTCCATGATCCAAACACCTCACACCAGGTCCCTCCCTCAATATATGGGGATTACAATTCAAGATAAGATTTGGGTGGGGACACAGAGCCAAACCATATCACATCCTGAAAGTAGGTATCTCTAATCCCATTTGACAGATGCAGAAACTAGGACTCAGAAATGTTAGAGAATTGGTCCCAGAACACTATATTATACATTTATTAAGAGGCAAAATCTAAATTTGCATTCAAGATTCCAAGTCTACTGCTGCTTTATTTTTTTGCACATGCCAATAGTAAAAGCTTGGTTTTCAAACTGTATCACAGATTAAGATAGATTAAATTAGAACAATATTATAATAATTAGAGGATGTTAGAACTCCTCTATTTCACAGAAATAAAGGTTAAATGATACCCAAAGTAACAGGTATCATAGGTAAGAAATTAACACCTTTTTTTAAATACCAATACTCATGTATTATTCCTTTACCCTGCATTCTCCAGATACAGATAAAAGGGCTGACTACATTTTTTTTAAATATGTGAATTGTTCTAAAATTCAATACTTTTCTACATTCTGGTGAGATCCTCTTGGTAAATTATATAATTAAATATCAGTCAAAACATACTAAAAAATGTATTGTGGTGCTGCATATAATGTATATGTACTCTGATTTTCACATATTTGTCTACATATACATTTGTCAATTCACAATAACAGAGTGATGTGCCAAGTAAACTATCGTGTAGTTTCACTTTTGAAAATTTAACAATAGAATATAAGTTTTGTTTTTCACAGTCTAAGTAAGTATAGGTTACTGTGGTTCATTTTAGAACATTCATTAGAAAAGTAACGTGTCTCTTCTAAAATGCTATTTGCTAACATTTTAGAAACTGTATGTTAAATAAAGAAGAAACATTTAAAGCAAGTGATGATGTAATTTTTGTTTTAAAATTTTAGGGATATTCTGCACAATGTAAAAATTTCAAGGGCACACTTAGCACTTTTTTTGAGAAAGAATAAATGGTAGCTACTGTTGTAGTGGGAGATGTGCAATGTGGAAGCTTTAAAATTGATAAACATTTATAAGCAAAATAATAGTAAATAATATTTTCCTTTTTTCTAAAATAATCGTCAGATTTACAAGTGAAATCAATACTGTATTCTCTCAAACTTGTTTTAAAAGCTTTGTCAGAGTTTGTATCTTCATAAAAGTATTGCAAAAATTAATTTTAACAAACCAAATCCCTCTTGAAAAGAATCAAAAGGAATAAGAATGTGAATGTCAGCCATAAGAAAGCATTTTTAAAACTGTGTTTTCATATAAGCAGTTCTGCATGCAGGAAACAGAAACTGCTGAGTACCACTGCAGATTGGACACTGCTGTTAACAGCTCCAAAGTCTAAGAGAAGTGGAATCTCTGAAAATAAAAGTCATTACTTAAAATTTTAATTACCAACATAATTTTTAGAGTTGTCACTTTCAACAAAATCATCCCTGAAAAAACTTCACAAGTAAAAATAGTTAAATACAACAACAAAGAATTGCAGGGGATAGAAAGAATCGATATTGTTAAAATCGCCATACTGCCCAAAGCAATTAGCGGGTTCAGTGCTATTGCTCTCAAAATACCAATGACATTCATCACAGAATTAGAAAAAAACTATTTTAAAATTCATATAGAATCAAAAAAGGGCACAAATAGCCAAAGCAATCCTAAGCCAAAAGAACAAAGCTGGAGGCACCGTATTACCCGACTTCAAACTACTACAAGGCTAAAGTAACCAAAACAGCATGGTATTGGTACAAAACAGACACATAGACCAATGCAACAGAATAGAGCCCAGAAATAAGACCACACACTTAAAACCATCCAATCTTCAACAAAGTCAACAAAAACAAGTAATGGGGAAAGGACTCCCTATTCAATAAATGGTGCTGGGATACCATCTCACACCAGTCAGAACAGCTATTATTAAAAAGTCAGAAAATAATAGATCCTGGTGAGGTTGCAGAGAAAGGGAAATGCTTATACACTCCTGGTGGAAGTGTAAATTAATCCAGCCATTGTGGAAAGCAGTTTGATGATTTCTCAAAGAACTTAAAACAGAACTACCATTCGACCCAGCAATCCCATCACTGGGTATATACCCAGAGGAATATAAATGATTCTACCATAAAGACGCATGCATGTGTATGTTCACTGCAGTACTACTCACAATAGCAAAGACATAGAATCAACCTAAAAGCCCATCAACAGAAGACTGCATAAAGAAAATGTGGTACATATACACCATGGAATTCTACACAGCGATAAAAAGAATGAAATCATGTCCTTTGCGGCAACATGGATGGAGCTGGCAGCCATTATCCTAAGCAAACTAACACAGGAATAGAAAACCAAATACCACATGTTCTTCTCAGTTATAACTAGGAACTAAACATTGAGTACACAGGGACACAAAGAAGGGAAGGACAGACACTGGGGCCTACTTGAGGGTGGGAAGAGAATGAAGACTAAAAACCTATCCATCAAGTACTGTGTTTATTTCCTGGGTGATGAAATAATCTGTACAGCAAACCCCTGTGGCACAAAATTTGCCTATATAACAAACCTGCACATGTACCTCTGAACCTAAAATAAAAGTTTAACAAAAAAGAATTGCAGGGTTTTTTGGGGAGTGGGCAGGGGAGAAAAGGAACCAATAAAACAATGATTATGACAAAACCTTTATCCATAGTTTAAAATTAGAACACAAAACATCTAACCACCTGCCAAAACATGAATCACAAAATTGATATTTTAAGGACAAGTCATTAATTTGTAGCATAAATAGCTGACAACCTTAGACTAAATGTGTCATTGCTGATAAATGATTCACATCTTCAATACTGAAAGCTGACAAGCATTCAGAACATTAAAACAATATATCACAACACAGACTGTTAAATATTAGGTGGACAGTCAGTGCATGAGTTTAGCTGTACCAGGATTATTTTAAGAAAGTTCGGGCACTTTGAGTGTTTTTTTTTTTTTTTAATCCATAACTTTCTGTAAGAACCACACTGTGGATCATAACATCTGAGCTATAAGGATTAAGAGTGTAACTGGGGCCCGTTGGGTGGGGGGGCGGGACAGCATTAGGAAAAATAGCTAACGCATGCCGGGCTTAATACCTGATGAGTTGATAGGTACAGCAAACCACCATGGCCACATGTTTACCTATGTAACCTGCACATCCTGCACATGTACCCTGGAACTTAAAATAAAAATTATAATTAAAAAAAGAATTGAGTAGCTGCACCACTAGAAAGATGGCAGTAGCAAGACAGAAGAAAGGAAAAGGGCTCAGGTTTAAGCGACTGGAATCATTCCTACATGATTCCTGGCGGCAGAAACGTGACAAGGTGCGTCTCAGACGACTAGAAGTGAAACCTCATGCCTTGGAATTGCCAGATAAACATTCCTTGGCCTTTGTTGTACGCATCGAAAGGATTGATGGCGTGAGTTTACGGGTGCAGAGAACCACTGCAAGACTTCGCCTAAAGAAAATTTTTAGTGGTATCTTTGTAAAAGTTACCCCCTAGAATCTAAAAATGCTGCATATAGTGGAACCTTATGTGACCTGGGGATTTCCAAATCTGAAGTCTGTCCGAGAACTCATTTTGAAACGTGGACAAGCCAAGGTCAAGAATAAGACCATCCCTCTGACAGACAACACAGTGATTGAGGAGCACCTGGGGAAGTTTGGCTTCATTTGCTTGGAAGACCTCATTCATGAAATTGCCTTCCCAGGGAAGCATTTCCAGGAGATCTCATGGTTCTTGCGCCCTTTCCACCTCTCAGTGGCCCATCATGCTACCAAAAATAGAGTGGGCTTCCTCAAGGAGATGGGCACACCTGGCTATCGGGGTGAACGCATCAATCAGCTCATCCGTCAGCTGAACTAGACCCAGGTGAGGCAGGGCTGAAAACTGCCCTTGGGCTGACTTTTGATAGGCCATGCCTTGCCACTTTACAAGTTCTTTTTGCATTTACTAGTATTTAAGAGTAACCTTGAGATTGGGAGGAAAGAGGAGGCTGGTACAAATAGATGGAGACCTGCTGGGATCAGTGAATGCCTGATTAGGACATGGGGCTATGCATAGCCTAAGAGTTATAGGCTTAAAGATGTCGAGTAACTAAAAACTGTATTGCTGGCCGGGCGCGGTGGCTCACGCCTGTAATCCCAGCACTTTGGGAGGCCAAGGCGGGCAGACCATGAGGTCAGGAGATTGAGACCATCCTGGCCAACATGGTGAAACCCTGTCTCTACTAAAAATACAAAAATGAGCTGGGTGTGGTGGCACGTGCCTGTAGTCCCAGCTACTCGAGAGGCTAAGGCAGGAAAATCGCTTGAACCCAGGAGGCAGAGACTGCAGTGAGCCAAGATTGCGCCAGTGCACTCCAGCTGGGCGACAGAGCGAGACTCCATCTCAAAAAACAAACAAACAAACAAACAAACAAACAAAAAACTATTGCTGCAGTCATTCAGATGGAAATGGGGAAAGAATAATATTAATAACTGATTTCAAAAAGGACTTGAAGATGTGAATCATCTATTTTGCTGAAGAAATCTTAACTTTTTGAAATTACTTTTTATTGCTGTTGTCATACTCTTAGGTGACAAACTGCGGTAAATTTTTTATCAGTGAAGTGGAAGCATGCGTTTTGTTGTTTTGGGAATTTTTATCAAGTATCTTCAGAGAAGATTATTTCCTGCTTTATCTTCAAAAACTGGAAAGGAAGGGTCAAAGAAAAGACAGTAGCTGGCCGGTCGTGGTGGCTCATGCCTGTAATCCCAACACTTTGGGAGGCTGAGGCAGGCAGATCACCTGAGGTTGGGAGTTCGAGACCAGCCTGACCAACATGGAGAAATGCCATCTCTACTAAAAATACAAAAATTAGCCGGGCATGGTGGCACGTGCCTGTAATCCCAGCTACTCAGGAGGCTGAGGCAGGAGAATCGCTTGAACCTGGGAGGTGGAAGTTGCAGTGAGCTGAGATCACGCCATTGCACTCCAGCCTGGGCAACAAGCGAAACTCTGTCTCAAAAAAAAAGAAAAGACAGTAGCTTATGTTCATGTCAAGCACCTCTCATCACAGTCTAGTTCCAAGGAAAAATTCCAGCGTTTTCTACATTGGGTGCTGTGTCATCTGAAATCGGCACATTCCATGGAGGAAGGAGTCCTGCTTTGTTGCATGTATCCTAGGGTTTAATGTTGGTAAATGAGTCACTCTAGCATTTGTAGAAGGCTCCCTGAGACTCCTACAGCAGTCGACCAAGCCCAAGGACATAATTGAATCTGGAGAGTCCTGGGGCCTTGTTTTGATAAAGACTTGAAATACACATAGGAAGAAAGGCATAAAAATAAATGTTCACTTGTCTCTGCTGTGAAAAAAAAAAAAAAGAATTAAGAGTACAGAGAGCAATAGAAAGAGGGAGATCTTTTAAATTACATTGGAAGCAGTAAGTTTTCTTAGTTAGCCTGAGGAGGAACTCTGTCCCTGTCCCTGCCTCCCAAAAGGGAGCAAAAGGGTATAAATAGTTTATAAGAAGCATCCACTTGAAAGTTTAATTTTTCTCACAGTGCGAAAAAGAATAAAATAATACCAGAAAAGGTTATTATGATTTCTGAAATGTAGCATAAAGCCAAAACCTGAAAAGAAGAAGAAACACTGAATTAGACAAGGGTATGCAATAGAGAACATGAGGGGTTCACACCTTCTTGACACTGCAGGGAGTAGCTGAAATGACTGGTTGACGCTATTTGTGGGTCTTGGTTTGAATAGGAGGCAATTTGATTCTCTCCCTACTAGCATCAAGAAATCACATCATACACAGTACAGTGGTACATGCCGAGGCCCTTCCAGTTGTAGGCTGGCCCCATTTTTCATTCATGTGGGAAAGGAAAACTGAATAAACTCAATACAGCTATGATCCCCACACTGAGGAAAACTCTCTGTAACCATAAAGCCCAACTCATGTTTTTACATCTAATCCGTAGTCTACTCTAAGATTATTGTTGTAAATTCATCTGCTCTAAGATTACTGCTGTAAATTCATTTAGAATTACATAGCTAGATAGAATGAAAAGGTAATTTGTCAAATGAAGCTAAATTGGAAGATACTTTTACATTATAAAAACTATAACTATTTAGACAATTTAGAAAACAGCAAAAAGTTTAAATTAGAAAATAAAGTCGCCATTCTTTTGACAGAAAACCAGCAAACACTTCCATATATAGCCTGCATCTTTTAAAAAAACTGCATCTATTTATTTTGGGGATAACAATATAAATGGCTAATTTGCACCTTGCTTTTTATGTGTGGTACTATTCATCTGTATACTTCACATTTTGATAAAACTCCTATGTCAATAGATATTTTACATGATTCTTTAGTAGTTGTAAAGTATTTGGCTGTAACTTCCATTCTCCCGTTATTGGTCATTCTTTGGTTTTTCACTATTATAAATACCACTGTACACACCTTTGCAAATGTCTGATTATTTCCCTAAGTTAAATTCCTAGAAGGGACTGGAAAGCCGATGGACAACTTTAGGGTTTATCACATGGATCCTTAAACTGCCTCTCCTTACCTGCTCCAGGAAAAGTAGGCAAAACATGGACACATGTATTTCCCCATATTCGCTTCTAACAGAAAACAAATCTGGTGAACTGGCTATTGATAAAATTTGCCTATTTCTCTGTTGGGGTGTTTGTCTTCTCTTGATTAGTAAGAATGTTTTGGATGTTAAGTACTTAAACACTTAGTCCATTGAGGACATAGCTATAAAGCTCTCATTTTGAATCAAAATTTCAAATATTTCAAGTATGATGATATAATCTGTGATGTTCAGAGCCCTGGCTGTTGTTCACATGATAATTCCTTTAGCCATATCTCTGTTTGAAGTGTATGTGAGCTTGAAAATAAAATGACCAGTCAAATGTAGTTCTGGTTAAAGATGGTATATTTAACACATGCTTTTATTTCAGCTCCCTCTCAAACCCAGTATATGTTTTTAAAAGCATACACCTCTAAGAATAAAGAGAAGAGACAATACCAGCAACAGTTCACAAGACAGAAAGCAGATGGACAAGGATTGTTGGCTTCCTAAGATCTGTTAAGTCACCAGTGGGGAAAGCTAAGAAGCAACCTAATTATTATGAAAAAAAATTCTGAAAGGCTCAAAAACTGGGGGTAAAGGTAGGGGTTCAAAATCAGGAAGACTGGTTCAAAGTCTGTTTAAGAACATTTACAGGTTTCTTTTTATAGAAATGGTAGGTCAGACTATGAGTGCCAACCTGCCTGCCAAAAACCAAAGTGCTAGATAAAAAATATTTTTAAAAAATATCCAGGCCAGGCGCGGTAGCTCATGCCTGTAATCCCAGCACTTTGGGAGGCTAAAGCAGGCAGATCACTTGACGTGAGGAGTTCAAGTGAGGAGTTCAAGTCCAGCCTGTCAACATGGCGAAACCCTGTTTCTATTAAATACAAAAATTAGCGGGTATGGTGGCATACCTGTAATCCTAGCTACTCGGGTTGCTGAGACAGGGAAAAGCTTGAACCCAGGAGGTGGAGGCTGCAGTGAGCCAAGACTGTGCCGCTGCACTCCAGCCTGGGTGACAGAGTGAGACCCTGTCTCAAAAAATACATACATACATATACATATATATATATACACACACGCACATGTGTGCGCACACACACATATATATCTCCTTAAAAGCACCATCAAGCTGACAAAATGATAAAGAATTAGGCTAAATCTAAAGGAAAGCATCCCAAGTTACTTGTGCTCAGAGAATAACAGATTTAGGCAAATTTGGATTTCAACTAAAAGGACAGAAAACTAGAAAAATGGACAAAAAAACTTATACTTTACAATACAGGAACTCCAAATGGCCAATAAACATATGAAAAGTTACTCAGCTTAATTAGTAATCAGGGAAATGCAAATTAAAACGACAATAAAATAACTTACATACCCATCAGACTGACAAAAATTAAACATTTGACAATAAGATGTGTCCTGAGTTTAAGGATGTAATCATTTTGGAAGACAGTTTGGTATTATCCAGTAAAGTCAAAGACAAGAATGTCCTATGATGTAGCAACTCCATCAATAGATATGTATTCAAAAAGAAATTTATACTTGTAAATAAATTAATGTGCATATACAGTAAAATGTGTAAGAATGTTGGCAGCAGCATTTTTTTGGTTAAATAAAAACTACAAACTAGTCAAATGTTCATAATAGTGGAATGATTTATAAACATCCATATATCTTATCTCTGAGGATATAATTCTATACAGCAATGAATAAACGACAGCTGTACACTACAACATGAATGAATCCTACAATGTTGAATGAAAAAAGCAAGATGCAAAATGACATATATAATATTCTATTCACATAAAATTCATATACATATGATATTCTATTAACATGGAATTCAAAATATACAAACTGAGTTATATTGTTTAAGGATGTTTATATAGGTAGTAAGAAAAACAAGAAAACAACGATCACATTTGTCAGGGCAGTGGTTACCTCTGGGGAGGAGGAACAAAATAGGATTTGTAAACTTATATGGTCATACTGGAGGCCTCCAAGGTATTGGCAATATTCTATTTCTTGCCCTGGTTGGTAATTACACACTGCTAGCTTTATTATTATTATTTTTCATTAAATTGTATGTATGGTCATGCACGACATAAATTTCAGTCAATGATGGACAGCATTTATAGTGATGGTCCCATAAAATTATAATGGAGCTGAAAAAGTCCTATCACTTAGCTGCAGCTGTGCATTGTAATACAACACCATGCTTATGTTTGTGGTGATGCTGGTATAAACAAACCTACCGTGCTACCAGTTATAGAAAAGTACAGCAAATACAACTGTGTACAGTACATAATACTCGATAATGATAATAAATGACTATGTTGGTGGTTTATGTATTTACTGTATTATACTTTTTTCATTATTTTAGAGTGTACTTCTTGTCCTTTTTTTTTTTTGTTAACTGTCAAACACTCTCAGCCAGGTCTTTCAGTAGGTATATCAGAAAAAGGCACTGTTATCACAGAAAACGACAGCTCTGTGTTTGTTATTGCCCCTGAAGGCCTTCCAGTGGGATAACATGTGAAGGTTGAACACTGATGACACTGACTTTGTATAGGCCTAGGTTAATGTGTGTGTTTGTGTATTAGTTTTTAGTAACAGTTTTAAAAATAAAAACATCTTAAAAATGGAAAAAAGCTTACAGAAGAAGGACATAAAATTTTCTTTACAGCTGTACAATGTGTGTGTTTTAAGCTAAGTGTTACTAAAAAGGAGTCAAAATGTTAAAAAAATTAAAAGTTTACAAAGTAAAAAAGTTACAGTAGGCTAAGGTTAATTTATTATTGAAGAAAATTTTTCTATAAATTTAGTGTAGCCTAAGTCTACAGAGTTTACACTACAGTAGACTTCATATAATAAATGTCCTAGGCCTTCACATTCACTCACTACTCAATGACTCACAGCAACTTCCAATCCTGGAAGCCCTATTCACAGTAAGCACCTATACAGGTGTACTATTTTTTTCCTCTTTTATATTGTATTTTTATTGTACCTTTTCTATGTTTAGATACATAAATACTTACCGATGTATTAGAGGTGCCTGCAGTGTTCAGTACAGTAACATGCTGTAAGTTTGTGGCCTGGAAGCAACAGCTATACCATATGGTCCAGGTGTACTGTAGGACATACCATTCAGATTTGTGTAAGTTCACTCTATGATGTCTGCACAATGATGACATCGCCTAATGATGCATTTCTCAGAACCTATCTCTGTTGTTAAGCAATACATGACTGCATATTTGTTTTGTTCATTCTCATGTACATATGCTTGTTTCACAGTAAAAAAAAATGTAACTCAAAATAAAAAATAGAAAAAGAAACAGATAGCATGACCTCCCCTACTCCAGTCTTTGATGATTTCTTACCTTTTGTTGTCTACATTTTCTCTTTCTAGAACTCCTAAGCTGGTTCTCTAATTCTCTTATCTTCTCCCCTATTTTACATTGCTGTCTTTTTGCTCTTATTTCTGGGATATTTTCTTACTTTTATCTTTCAATCCTTCAACTGAGCTTTTCATTTATGTTATCATCCTTTTAACTTTCAAGAGTTTAGTTTTATTCTCTGAATGTTCCCTTTTTCAAAATCCTTTAATTTGATAAATGCATTATTTTTCTTATTTCTGAGGATATAAGTAATAGGTTTGAGGGAAGTTTCCTTATCCAAGATGACTGCTCTGTTGTTTGTTCTGATCTCTGTCCTGAAGCTAGAAGCTCTCCCCTTCCTTTCACCCTATCCTTCTCCTCCTTCCTTCTAGGCTGAGGGTTGGTGGGGCTCCGGACTAAAGGATTCCAGACACAGCTGAGAGTAGAAATATCTTAAAAACAAAAGGAAGTTTAAGTGAGCCATTACATACCAAATTATTAATGGCATTCATTCAGTTGAAGAACACAGAGAAAAAGAAGAATGAAGAAAAATTAACAGAACTTCATGGACCTGAGAGACAGTATCAAATGGCCTTACATATGAATGGAGTCCCAGAAGGGGAAGACAATGAAAATTCAAGAGAAAGATAATGAAGACATAATGACTAGAATTAGTTAATTTAGCATGGTCACAGGACACAATATTTTTAAAACATTCTATATATGCGACAAACAATTGGAAAATAAAATTTATATTAATATAATTTAATAACTAGCAAAACACATATACACAATAGATATGGGACAAAAGATGTGCAAGAGCTTTACAGGAAAAATGAGAAAATATTGCTGAAAGGAACTAAAGATCTGAAAATATTGTTGAAATAAACTAAATATCTGACTAAATGGAGAGATATACAGTGTTCCTGGATTGGAAGACTCAATATAGACTCAATCCCCAAATTGAAGTCTCTTATACCCAAATTGATTTAATTTCAATGCAATACCAATCATAATCCCAGCAGGCTTTTTTTGTGTGTGTATAGAAATTGACAGGCTGACTCTAAAATTTATAGGGAATACAAAGGACCTGGAAGAACCTTAGACTTTGGCCCTGCCTTCTGGGGAAGGGTTAGTTATCTCTTTAAAGATGATTTTTTTTTTTTTTTTTTTTTTTTGAGACAGAGTCTCGCTCTGTCGCCCAGGCTGGAGTCCAATGGCACAATCTTGGCTCACTGCAACCTCCGCCTCCTGGGTTGAAGAGATTCCCCTGCCTCAGCCTCCCGAGTAGCTGGGATTACAGGTGCGCGCCACCACGCCCAGCTATTTTTTGTATTTTTAGTAGAGACAGGGTTTCACCATGTTGGCCAGGCTGGTCTTGAACTCCTGACCTCGTGATCCGCCCGGCTTGGCCTCCCAAAGTGCTGGGGTTACAGACATGGGCCACCACACCCGGCCAAAAGGCGATATTTTTTAAAACACATCAATTGATTTACCAAATATATATTTTTAAACTTTTAGGCTTGGGGATACATGTGAGGGTTCGTTAAATAGGTAAACACATGTCACGGGGGCTTGTTGTACATATTATTTCATCACCCAGATATTAGGCCCAGTACCCAATAGTTGTATCTTTTCTGCTCCTCTCCCTCCTCCCACCCTCAGTACCAGGAATTAAATATGAATAATGAAGGTAGCTCAGCCAATAAAACTGAATCAGTTCTTCAGTCTGTGGGCAAACACAAAATTCTTCTTTCAGAGGTTTGATAAGCTGTTGTAGTTTCGAAATGATCCAAATAATAACTTACATGACTTGATTTATTAAGAAGCCTGAAATATATTAAACAAATCACAGCTCCAAAGAATGAACAATAGGATAATGGAATGTTAAAGGAAAACAAACCAATTTAAAGGAAATTTCCATCTGCAAAAGGCTTAGTAGGATCTGCTAACTCAGAATCAGGAGTGTTCTTTAATTTATGAGGTTCTCATTTCAGTACTTTAAAAAATTAACGGTAAATGGCCCCATGGCTTATAGCAAAAGGAGACATTCTATTTAAGCAAAGTTATTAGAACAATGGTGATTGTGAGAAGAGCTGAAAACAAAAGTCAGTCACTCAGCAACTAGAATGCCAGAAAGAAAAAAGAAAAGACAAAAATAGAAATACATCTACCACTGGTCCTTTCAGGACATCTGGATACATGGCTCATAACTACCCCAAGTAACATCCCTTTCAAACACAAGAAGAGAAGTCTTCTAACTGCCAAAACTGTTCTAACAGAACATGTGTATCATATCCTAATTAGTATTAGCATATTTTTTGACCACCAGAAAGTTGAAAGTGAAATGATGTTATTTAATATAAACCTGTTCTTAAATAATACTTCTCCTAAGAATATTTTTTAGTTATTAAAATAGAATTTTGGGGAAAGAAAAGACCCACTTCAAATACTCTGTGGTCAAATATAAAATTATAATTTACAACAGATAATATATTCAAATGCCCTCAAATTTTATTATGAATTGAACTGAAATATTAGTACTATGGGCTTAACATCAATAATTTTATAGCAAAGAAAATACAGAGAGGGAGGAGGGGCAAAATGAATGTCTTTTTATCACATGTCCTGACTCACTTCTACTGGTGCTTGTCCAGGATGATGCAATTATTGAATCATAAGCTGTTCCACTGATGCCATGTTCAAAATGACAAGTCTCAGTCTCTCAGACTTTCAACAAGAATCTACGACAGCCACAGTCAAAACAGTATGAATAACAAAAAGGTGCCATGCAGGTGTTTCACAGAAAAAAAAAAACCAAGAAACTATTACATTTTAAGAATTAAAATTTCTTTCCTTCTGGTTACTTCGTTTAGTCTGTTCATTTTTTATGATCATACTATAATGACGGAGGCTAACTCTTGCTTAGTACGTGGCAGGCACTATGCCAAATCATCTACAGGAATTATCTTGGTTATTTTAATCTTGGCAACATCTCTGAGAATGGGTTCTATTAATATCCCCACTTAAGGGATAAGGAAACTGAGGCTTAGAAGGTCTACTGTCCAAGGTCACCAAGGTGGTGGCTCTGTGAGAACTGGAATCTAGATTCTCAGACCTCCAGGGGAGGAGTTTACTCAATGCATTCTGTTGTTGCTCTCCATATTGATGACATATCAATGACATTTATTATGGAAAAACATTTGCTGAATCAATTTAAGAGAAGTTGGAAATGTCAGTAAAAACCTTCATAGCAGTATGAGAATATGTTTCCAAAAACCAGGAGAAGGAGATGCCCCAAAATGTTTTAAGAAGGAATCAGAAAGTCCTGAGCAAGGAAGCATCGAAAAATGATCGAGTTCCTAGCCAGGAGCCAGGAAATGTGCTTTGTAATTGGAATTATAACTGCCCTGAGTAAAACAGATTGTGTTTTCATGAAGCTTCAACAGCTCATTGTAGGAGACATACAAGGAAAAGGCCAGTTAAAATACACTGTGATTCATGCCGCCATGTGAGAATATCAAAGGACCTTTAGACATAGAGAGGTGTCAGAGAAGTCTTCTGATTTGCTACGAGCTGGAAAGGTAAGTAGAGAGGGAAGTCGAGGAAGAGAAGACAGTCATGTGTGAAGTTTCCTGGCACCCAGAGTATAGCTCTTTTAGGGGAACCCAAAGACAACAGAAGATGACAAAAAAATATACTAAATAACACTAGAAAACACTGTCCAACCAAGGTTCTAAGTGATCTGAAAGTCACAGGTTAAATTTCATAAGGACAAATATAAGATAGCATCTAGGGAATGGAAAGTGACAAGCACAATGGTCATACTGCCTTTTCATATTTAGAATGGCACAGTATTCTAGTGCAATGCAGAGCCCAGAACTAGGAAATGGGCAACTACTGGGATTCCAGATATCTTTCTATCACCAACTCACAGGGTGACAATCAACAGCTCTTTCAGCTTCCCTGGGTTTCGGCTCCCTCTTTGGTAACTCATGGATAAAGCTAATTGTCTAGCAGGAGGCAGGTTGCTTGACCTGATAGTCTCCTCGGGACTTTCTAAAATCAATGACTCTCTAACTCAGATACATGATGGCTAACAACCAGGGATGAACAACAATACTATCTTAATGAGAACCACTAATAGAAATTAACACTATGTGTGAGGTAGGTACTATTATTATCCCCATTATATAGACAAAGAAAAATGCAAACTCAGAGAAGTTAAATTATCTGCACAATTTCATATAACTAGCCATTAGTGGAGTCAGAGTTCTCTTTCAGGCATCCCAGCTACAGAGTCCATATCCCTAACCATCAGAATATGCCATATGCTTCCTCTTTCTTACAAGTTGCAATATTCCCAGTATTGTTACTCTGTGTGTATTTATGATACGTAACTTTTTAATCTTCATAATATTCTTGGAAGGTGTTATTCCCATTCAGAGATGAAATCAAAACCTTGAGAGTTCCTACAGGGATTTAGTTGTGGCACTGGGCCTAGATTTTATCATGACCTCTATCACTATGCTCTTTCAAATACAGCAAATTATAGAGATTAAATAAACCAGCATCATAGATAAATGAACTGCAAATCTCATTCACTCAATTTTTTGTCATCAATTAATTTATAAAAAGAATATTAGTATTAACAAAAGATATTTTACTTTTATAAATCAGTCACTGTCAGCTATTTTTTTTTCTAAATTGTAGAATTTTACTAATTATGTTCCTTTTGGACTGTATAAGATGTAGCACCTTTAAGTTATTTAACTATGACATAGTGCTTAGAATTTAAACATTTTTAAACATTATATTTTGCTATGGCTCATTTGGAAAATCTAAGCTTTAAAAAGACTAAGACAAATTAGGTAAGAGAGAAAAAGTAGACTCCCAACAATTTTTCATACCCATATCGTACAAAAGTTTGCTTTTCTAATATTATAAAGCCAATTCTTAAATTTTATTTCAGCATGTCCTGATAGTACACAGGTGAAACCAAACAACCACCACATCAAAATAATAGCAAAGACAACAACTAATACTAATTAGTTATTATGGTCTAAGTACTTTATTAATTCTAATTCTTACAAAAACCTTATGCATTATTACTAGCCCCATTTTATGAATGAGGACATTTAAGCTCAGAAAGGGTTGCTAACTTTCCCAAAGAAAGTCACACAACTAGAAAATAGCCATACGGCAGGTCTTTGAATAATGTTTTGTTCAACATTGTTTTAACGTTGATGAGAAAAAAAAAATGATGCTGACTGGGCGCGGTAGCTCACGCCTGTAATCCCATCACTTTGGGAGGCCAAGGCGGGTGGATCACCTGAGGTCAGGAGTTCCAGACCAGCTTGGCCAACATGGTGAAACCTTGTCTCTACTAAAAATACAAAAATTAGCCAGGTGTGGTGGCGGGCGCCTGTAATCCCAGCTACTTGGGAGGCTGAGGCAGGAGAAACTCTTGAACCCGGGAGGTGGAGGTTGTAGTGAGCTGAGATCACACCACTGCACTGCAATCCAGCCTGGGTGACAGAGTGAGACTCCATGCCCCACCCTCACCCCCCACAAAAAAAAGAAAAAAAACTGATGCCTGCCCAGCTCTGTCCAGGGCCACTGTCTGTGTAGAGTTGGCTCGTTCTTCCCATGTCTGTGTAGTTTTTCTCCAGATACTTCGCTTTCCTCCCACATCCCGAAGCTGTGTGTGATACGGTAACTGGCATGTCTGAAGGGTCCCAGTTTGAGTGTGAGTGTGCATTTGAGTGCACCCTACAATGGGGTGGCGTCCTGTCTATAGGGTCAGTTGCTCTGAGCTATGAGTATAAGCTGCAGGCCCCCTGGACCCTGAACTGGAATGAACACATTGGAAAATGAATGAATACAAATTATTATTATTGTTTTTTGAGACAGAGTCTAGCTCTGTCACCAGGCCGGAGTGCAGGGGCACAATCTCGGCTTACTGCAACCTCCACCTCCCAGGTTCAAGCAATTCTCCTGCCTCAGCCTCCCAAATAGCTGGGATTACAGGTGTGTACCACCACACCTGGCTAATTTTTGTATTTTTAGTAGAGATGGGGATTCCCCATGTTGGTCAGGCTGGTGTTGAACTCCTGACCTCCAGTGACCCGCCTGCCTTGGCCTCCCAAAGTGCCGGGATTACAGACGTGAGCCACTGTGCCTGGCCTACAAATTAATATAAAATGAAAATTCATAAAGTCTGCGATAATCATTCAAATGCATGACAATAAACAGTGCAGTTTAAAAATGCTCAGCAAGCCTGCCCTAATTATTATTTCTGAGCTATGTGGTGACAGGGGGTGCTTCTTACAATTTTCACTTTGCAAATATTTATTCCTTGATTTCATCCACCATCACTATGATCACTATCACTCACTGGTTCACCAAAAATTGGGTAAATAATTATTTTTTGTTTTTATTATTCTTAAATGTATATATATAGCTCACATTTATTTCAGTGGTTAATATTATAAGTGTTTTGGGTCTTTATTTAGAAGTTTAGTGATGTTTTTGTGACCAGAAATATGCCACAGGAACTTAACTCTTGTTTATATCAATTAGCCTGTGGTAAAATTGGTTTCATTAGAGGTTGTTTTGCTTAAGGTCACAGTTTCCAAGAACCTACTGATGATGTTAAGTGAGAGCTTACTGTATGTGGATCCCAAATAAGTAGACCATTCCAGATGGCAGGCTCTTCACCATTATGCTAAACATACAATGTTATGACTTTCATAAACAGCAGATTATTATGAGGCATACACTGCATGCTGTCAGACTCCTAAATCTAGGTTATCAAAGTAAGTTACTGACAAGTTAGAGATAATCAGCAAGCAATTGAGATGATATCTACTTGCTCAAGTGAGATATCTGCTGTGGTCAACCCAGGGGCTGTGTCAGGGTCATTGTGCCTCTTCTTCTCCTCCTTCGTAACAGGCTTAGAATTCCATGGTATCTGCCACTTAACATACAGCACAATCTCCTAATCTGTTCTAGCCTAGGTCCTAGGATCTCAAACCTTCAGTCCACACAGAGTGGTCTCCAGAAGAGGAGATGTAACAGAAGAGGAAAACAGATTTCTATCTAGCCTTTTAACAAAGTCAGTATCAGTTTGGCCTGAACATAGTTTATGATTTTTTCATTTTTCATTGATACTTTATTTTGACAAAGGTATAGGGGCCTTGAAAATATATAGGAAATTAGACTTTTGTGTTACTGTAAAATTTATAAATCTAACAAATCAAAATTTCCCAAATTTGGTTGACGTCGTGATTACAAGGAGATCGCCACCAAAATAATGTTTATATCCTAGTTGTGACTAAAATGAAATATTCCTAAAATATGTTAACAAAGTATAGCAGCAAAATTGAAACAACTGTAAACTTCAAAAACTTAACACAACTATACTTTAAATGTCTTTTTACACATTAGCTGTCTTAAAAACTAAAAACGTAGCATGCCATTGTTCAATTTAGGATATTTTCTTTATGAGCAGAAAACAAGAGAATCACAAAATCAAATAAGATTCTTTTATAATTTAAGATTGCTTGGCAGAAATAGTGAATGGTATAAGGCTAATGAAAATCGACTTCTGATGCTACCAAAGCAGCAACATGTGTGCTCAGTGCTTTCTGATTTACAACACAGGCTTTAGTACACAGCACTGTAAAGGAAATCCCTTTTCAGAGAGGGTGAAGCTCTTTTTAATGAGCACTTTCCTCCCTGCCTGTCTCTCTTTTCTAGAATGTTTATATAGTACAAGAAATGTATATTTGACATAGAAAATGTCAAATGTTCAAATATTCAGAATTCTTTTGCAATTATTGCAGTTTATTCAAATTGTCTTACCAAACTAAAAAGTAGAGACTAAATTTCAAAATCTTCTCATCTGTTACAAAAGGGAAGAATATAGTCTGTAACATTTTTATAAGTTGCAGTCATTAATATTTGTAAGAACTGAAATTGGCATTTCCTCCTTCTATGTGAAACACACACAGACACACACACACACGAATAAAAAGAAAAACTTGCACTTGAAAACAGACTTTAACCCAGTGCTGCTATTTCTAGGCCTCAACTCTAATGTTAGTTATTTTTTTACAGGGCATCACACTAGTAAAGAATTAAAGGCCCCCTTCCTCTGTAAATCCCACTTAAAGTACATGTTATTTCTAATGTCTATTCAAAGGGATAGAGAGTGACTTTCTGGGAAATCCATTTTACCATTATAGAACTGGAGATTGCCAAGGGCTAACTTAAGTGTTAATTTTTGCTACACAAGAATTTCGGCCTGAAAAACCTACTTCCTTCCCCAGTAAAGACTATAAAATCACATTCTCATTGTAGAAATTTAGATCAAACACCAAGGGATAAGTATCATTTGTGTGAAATGACATTGATGTTTTCAGGCAGGTAACAGCTCTACCAAAATATATGCTGCTAAAATGCAGCTTTTATGCAACCTTCAAAAACCAATAGCTTTGTTTTGTAGAGGATAAAGTCTAAATTTCTTCAGTTAGCAAATATAGCTCTCCACATTCTGTGCCCAGTCTGCCTTTCCAAAACGGGCTCTCATTTTTTTAAGTACACATTCCAGTGTCAGCTTTCAATCTCTGTTCCCCAGTGAGGCCATCTGAGTTTGTTCATTTGGTGTCTTTTTGGTTTGAGGACTACACCCTCAAAATACAGGCAGCTTGACAGAGTAAACCTGCCTATGATTCTTCAGTATTCATCTCAGCTCTCTGGGCCTCCAAGGTTTCTTGAGCATTCTAGCCCACAGTTGTGATGGTGGATTACCTGTTGATTTTGTCTCACAGCATCAGCTCGTGTTTCCGGTAGCATACTTTGGAGCTTCAATTACAAAATTTGAAATGTGACTTCAGATAAAACTACTGAAAATGCCCAATGAAACTATAAACTACAACACTCAGTGAATGGGGCAGGTTATAAGGTGTTACAATAGTACTTTAAAAAACTGATTTAATGATCAGACTAACATAGTTGATTCTAACTACTTGTAGATTCCACATCTGCAAGTTTACACATTTGCTACATTTTATTTGTAACCCCCAAATCCACACTTGCTTTCCTATCGATTCGTGGATAAGCACAGAATAGCAAAAAATTTGAGTCGACTGATATGCATGTTCCCAGCTGAAGTCAAACGAAGTGACACGCCACCTTCTTGTTTTAGCTCTCAAACTGTAAACAAGTGTCCTTTTCATGGTAAATTTAGTGGCACATTTTTTGAGTTTTGTGCTTTTTGTTGGGAATTTTGCTGTTTAAAATGGCCTCTATGCATAGTCCTGAAGTACTACCTAGAGTTCCCATGTACGAGAAGACTATGATGTACCTTACGAAGAAAGTACATGTATCATAAGTTTTGATCAGACATGATTTATAGTGCTGTTAGCCATGAGTTCAATGTTAATGAATCAACAATATATATTAAGTATGGTATCTTTAAATAGAAACACACATGAAACAAGGGCACAACTTAAAATTTTCCCATAAATATAGAAAGAGAATAGGTCTTACTGTATTTGTAAATATTTTTCCCTACAAATGCTCCTTGTATTATTGACAAAGGAAAACATCTGAATAATTTTTCTCTCCATGCATGCCAACCTGGTGAAATTTTACACAAATTCTTAATTATTGTTGCATTACATGTGGTAAAACTGAAGTGGAGGGAGGATCAGAGAGAGAAGCCTCTTCTACAGATTTCTCTCTTCTTAGTCCTCCAAGTTCCTGAGAAAGGATGAGGGGGGTCAAAGATGATCCTACTGTCTTTTTGTGGCGATTGTTAAACAGTGGTAGTATATTCTTTCTTAGTTGCTTTGCTTTACCAAAATGCAGGTTTCCCCAAGGATATCATTTTCCTTACAACACTATCTGATGATGGCTGTTCCTTCTCTAACTGCTTCTACCTGAGAGATTCAAGGTTAAGAAGGGTTAGCATCCCCTTCTTCACTGGACAATTGCCTACTCTCTTCATGATGACTCATCATTTCATGTTTGAGATCTATGAGTGGAACAGGCTCATATTTCTATCCCCTAATCCTTCTTACTATAATCTATCTTCTTAGAAGACTTTACCCCTTCTGTTTTGGAATCTGGCTCTCTTCCTCTCCAACTCTGCCATGCATCAGTATCCACTGTTATCAGATAGTGGACTCTATCCACACCCAGGCCTTGGGTTTTTGCTTCAGTTATAGTGGTTTAAAACACAGTATTTCCTAAAACAAACTCTTCTTCTAGGTTTTAACCTGCTGCTTTCCTGCAGCTTTCATAGCCTTGTTTCCTAGTCTTGAAACTTACCCTCTTCCTGTTCTCTTTCTCATTTCTTCATACATCTAACAAATATTTTGAGAGCTTATCATATACTAGGCACTGGGGTATACCACAGTGAAAAACACAAACATGAACCTTTGCTCTCCCAAAACTTTTAGACTAGCAGGAGCTGTAGAGACGAGTACACAGTAGTTGTAATACAATGAGGCAAATGCTAGGATAGGGGACACACCTGGTGCGGTGATGGTACTGAAGAGGGATATCTAACCCAAACGTGGGAGATCAAGAATGGGCCTGCATGACAATGTGATATTCAGCTGGATTTTGGAGGAAGAGGAGAAGTGAAAAGGAGATGAAGGTTAGACGTGAGGTGAAGTATAGGGAACAGCATTATGCAAAGACACAGAGCCAAGAAAGAGGGAAGTAAAGGCAGTTTAGAAAGGTTATACAATAAAAAGCTCACCAAATCATAAAAGACCCTGTAAGCCATGGTAAACCCTTAGACTGTACTCAGGACAGTGAGAACCCTAGGGTGTTCTAAAGAGGGGACTAATCTGATCACATGTTTATGTTTGAAAGCTCTAGCTGCAGTATAGAATATAGATTGAAGATGACAAGGGAGCCAGTCAAGATGATGATGCAGTCATCCAGCTACAAAATTATGGTAGCCTGGCTTAAGGTAGGAGCAGTTAAGAATATAAGTAGAAGGGTTTGCGAGGTATTTATTTAGTCCAATCTATGAGGCCTAATGACTGAAATTATGTGCACAGAGAGGGGAAAAGGGTAGTTAGGGATTATGTCCAGATTTCTGCTTTGGGGTTGATAGCACCATATATTTCCTGAGATAGGGACTACAGGAGAAAGAGGAAGCAGGCCTTAGAATAAGTCAATGAATTATTCTGGACATGTTGTGTTTGAGAGACCTATAACTCATCCAAGAAAAGATACCCAGTTAGATAGTTGGAAATATGGGTCAGGAGGCAAAGAGATACATCTGAGCTGGAGATACAGTAGATATGGCTGTCCTTTGCATAAGGACAAATGGTAACTGAAGCAACAGAAAAGGATGGGATCACTTAGAGAAGGAGAAAATGAGAAGAGGGCCTAGCACAAAGCTCTGAGAAACTCTGAAAGAAGAACTTGCCAAGAGGCTAGAGAAGTAGAAGGAGGAAAACTAGAAACAGAATTGTGTCACAGAAACCACTGGCAGATGCCTTTACAAACAGGATCCTGGTGTCTAGCACAGGGCTGGTGCCAACAGTAGGTTACTGGAAAGTGCCCACTGAATTTAAGGACAAGCAGGTCACTGATAACCTTGGAAAGGTCAATGTGAATGGAGTGGAAGCAGAAAACCAGTGATTCTGTAAGGTCAATGAATTGCCTCATACTTTCCAAATGACTCCCACATCTATCCTTTTATTTCCTTCCCTACTGCTACCACTCCAGTTAATGCTTTTACTACTTCTTGCCAGACCTTTAGTAATGACTCATATAACTGCCTTCGTATGTAGTCTCTCTTCGAGAACTGTCTCCCCAAACAAAACAAAGCAACATACAGCTCATCCTATGTACAACTGCCAGAGTAATATTTCTAAGGTACAGCTTAGAACAAGTCAATCCTGGCTTAAAAACATAATGGTTCTCTACTGCCTTCAGAGTAAAACCCAAACCTCTTAGCATGATGTTCAAAGCCTTCCATTATTTGGTCCCAATCTAACTGTCCAGCCATATCGCCCACATTCCAAACACCTATCTTTATAAAAAAATGCTGACTTTAAAAAAATTAAAGCCATTCAAAGAGTCAGGATTATAGACATACAGACAAGAATAATTTTCCTCTTTTGTTGAGGAAAAAAAGATGTGTCCAGGGCTCTCTTCATTTATTCACCAAAATGAACAAACAGCATCTGACAGAACAGAACTGTCATAAAACACAGACAATTGTCCCTTTTGTGTTGTGGCATGAAACACATGGCTTACAGAGAAAAAAAATGGTGTTTTAGCATTTAATAACACATTTGATCAATATTAATCTGTTACAGAAAACATTTCTACTCTATTATTAGCTAACTTATTTTATATTCTCAGCTAAGTAAAATGACAAAAAATTTATAAAGATATAACTTTCTTTATAAAGGTTCTCCCCAGCAATCCTGTAGAAGCTATCCGATGGTTCCTAATTGAAAGATGGTAGTTTTTACATACTTCACTAACCTAGCAAGTGTGATAGCTTTGCACCTATACTACAAGCTAGTTGGGAAATAATTATATAGGTAAAAAGCCATTTTAGGCTTTCAGACCAATTTTAATCCAAACAGATGAGAGAGACCTATAACAAATTTAAGAGAAGATGTTCTAAAGATGACCTAATAATAGATGAAGAGAGTTTTGTTATATAATTTTAGGGGTAGCTTAATCCCTTCACAACATTCCTAGTCATTTAACTTTTCTGGGGTGGCTTTCTAATATTTTATACAATCACACACATGCACAAACACACACATGCATGCACACACAATGCGGTATGCTGATGACAAAATATGCTTAGCAAAAACTTTGTCCTTCTATAATTTGGTCTGCTTGTCTTGGTACTACATTGTAATATGGGGTAAGTGGTTGTAAAGTGATCCTAGGATTGATCATAAGAAGATTACTGTGTACTTTATAAATTCTATATCCCAAAGAAATAACAGCTATTAAAAGTATTCTTACTGAGATTGGTATAATGAGTTTTCATATTATGAACTGCAAGAATTGGCTATCTCAGACATATTTTCTTGGTTTATATCCTTCCCTAATTATAATTTATCATGTTCTTCAGTTAGAGAAAAACATTTTCATCCATATTACTGAACTCTCAACATATTCTACGTTTTTTTTATATGCTGGGTTTTTTACTTGCAAAATAATATTAATACAGGCATACCTCTGAGATATTTCAGGTTCGGTTCTAGACCACAATAAAGTGAATATTGCAACAAAGCAAGTCAGACGAATTTTTTGGTTTCCCACTACATATAAAAGTTATATTTATACTATACTGTAGTCTATTAAGTGTGCAATAGCATTGTGTCTTTAAAAATGTATTTACCTTAATCTTAAAATATTGCTTAAAAATGCTAACAATCATTTGAACTTTCAGTGAGTTGTAATCTTTTTCCTTGTGGAGGGTCTTGCTTCAGTGTTGATGCCTGCTGACTGATCAGAGAGGTGGTTGCTGAAGGTGGGGTGGCTGTGGCAATTTCTTAAAGTAGACAACAATGAAGTTTCACTTTTCTTTTCATAAAAGATTTCTTTGTAGCACGAGATGCTGTTTGATAGCATTTTACCCACAGTAGAAACTCTTTCAAAACTGGAATGAATCCACTCAAACCATGCTGCTGCTTTACCAATTAAGTTTATGTAATACTCTAAATCCTTTGTTGTTATTTCAACAAGGTTCACAGAATCTTCACCAGGAGTAGATTCCATCTCAAGAAAAAAATTTATTTGCTCATTTGTCCATAAGAAGCAACTCCTCATCCATTCACGTTTTCTCATGAGATTGCAGCAATTCCGTCACATTTTCGGGCTCCACTTCTAATTCTAGTTCTCTTGCTGTTTCTACCACATCTGCAGTGACTTCCTAAACTGAAGTGTTGAACCCCTCAAATTCATCTATAACTGTTGGAATCAACTTCTTTCAAACTGCTACTAATGTTGATCCTTTGACCTCCTCCTGCGAATCACAAATTCTTAATAGCATCTAGAATGGCCAATCCTTTTCAGAAGGTTTTTGATTTACTTTGCCCAGGTCCACCAGAGCAATCACTGTCTATAGCAGCTATAGCCTTACAAAATGTACTGATTTGAAACTTGAAATCACTCCCTGATTCATGGGCTACAAATGGATGATGTGTTGGCAGGCATGAGAACAACATCCATCTTGTTGTACAATTCCATTAGAGCTCTTGGGTGAGCCCAGGTGCACTGTCAATGAACAGCAATATTTTGAAAGTAATCATTTTTTTCTGAGCAGTTGAACAGGTCTTTACAGTGGCCTTAAAATATTCAGTGAAGCATACTATAAACAGATGTGCTGTCATCCAGGCTTTGTTGTTTCATTTCTAGAGTACAAGCAGAGTAGATTAAGCATAAGTCTTAAGGGTCTTCGGATTTTTGGAGTGGTAAATGAGACCTGGCTTCAACTTAAAGTCACCAACTACATTAGCCCCTAACAAGAATGTCAGCCTGTCCTCTGAAGCCAGACATTGACTCCTTTCTAGCTATGAAAGTCCTAGATGGCATCTTCTTCCAACAAAAGGCTTTTTCATCTACATGGAAAATCTATTATTTAGTAATCTTAGCTAGATCTTCTACATAACTTGCTGCAGTTTCTGTATCAGCACTTGCTGCTTCACCTTACACTTTTATGTTACAGCGCTGGCTTCTTTCCCTAAACCTCATCAACCGACCTCTGCTAGCTTCCAATTTTTCTTCTGCAGCTTTCTCACCTCTCACAGCCTTCATAGAATTGAAGAGAGTTAAGCTTTGGCTTAAAGGAATGTTGTGAATGGTTTGATCTTCTGTCCAGACCACTAAAACTTTCTTCGTATCAGCAAGAAGGCTGTTTCACTTTCTGATCATTCACATGTTTGCTGGAGTAGCACTAGTTATTTCCTTCAAGAGCTTTTCCTTTGCATTCACAATTTAGCTGTTTAGTACAAGAGTCCTTGCTTTTGGCCTGTCTTGGCTTTTGATGTGCCTTCCTCACTAAGTTTAGCCACTTCTAGCTTTTTATTTAAAGTGAGAGACATGCAACTCTTTCACTTCAACACTTAGAGGCCACTGTAGGGTTATTAATTAGCTTAATTTTAATATTATTGTCTCTCAGGGATTTGAGAGTCCCAGGAAGAGGGAGACAGACAGGGAATGGCCAGTTGGAAGAGCAGTCAGATCATGCGCAATATTTATCAATTAAGTACGGTGCCTTATACAGGTGAGGTTTATGGTGCCTGAAAACAATTAAAATAGTAACATCAGGCTGGCACGGTAATCCCAGCACTTTGGGAGGCCAAGGTGAGCGGATCACCTGAGGTCAGGAGTTCGAGACCAGCCTGGCCAACATGGGGAATCCCCATCTCTACTAAAAATACAAAAATTAGCCAGGCGTGGTGGCACACGCCTGTAGGCCCGGCTACTGGGGAGGCTGAGGCAGGAGGATTGCTTGAACCTGGGAGGCAGAGGTTGCTGTGAGCCAAGATTGAACCACTGCACTCCAGCCTGGGTGACAGAGCAAAAGTCCGTCTCAAAAAAAAAAAAAAAAAGAAAAAATCAAAGATCACTGATCACTGGTCGTAACAGATACAAAAATGATGAAAAAGTTTGATATATTGAGAGAATTACCAAAATGTGACACAGAGACACAAAATGAGCACAAGCTGTTGGAAAAATGGCACTGACAGACTCGCTTAATATAGGGTTGCCACAAACCTTCAATTTGTAAGTGAAACAAAACAAAATAAACACGCAATATTTGGGAAGTACAATAAAACAAGGTATGCTTATATCTAAATATGACAGAATACCCCTATAATGGCCACAGCTATTATGTTATCAATTGTTCTTAGAAGCAATACCAGAAACATTTGGAGGGCTTTACTAAAATTCAGATACCCAACCCCAAAATTCTAATTTAGGAAATCTGGTATACAGCCTTGGAATTTGCCAGGTGATTCTTACTTGATACTTAGCCACTTGGGCTGAGGTGGGAGGACAGTCTGAGCCCAGGAGTTCAAGAATACAGTGAGCTAGGATCATGCCACTGTGCTCCAGCCTGGGTGACAGAGCAAGACCCTGTCTTTAAAAAATAATAAATAAATAAATAAATACATCTAATGGGGGAAAAACTCCAAAACTCTTGGTTTCTAAATATCATATAACATTTTCCCCCCAAATAGTGATGGTCAGTAAATTAAATACATTGAAAGTAGGGCAGAGAAACTCCCAAATGTGATCCTAAATAAATCAACATAAGGAGCAAGCCAATTTGAGAAATTCCGTTTAACTATAAAACCACCCTTTAAAAACTTCTCATTATCATGTTAAAGGTATTCAGATTCAATGAAACAGTACTAATAACTTCCAGGCCATTCCTAAAAGATCTTATAAGCCCTAAAAGACCTTATGAAATACTTAATAATTAGTACAGTTGTGCCTTTAATGTTTAAAAGAGGCAGAGACAAACAAGTTAAAAGGCATTTTCCTAACCCTGACTGTGAGTCACAAGCTTGATGCTGCCTGAAGCCAACTGGCATGGTGCCCATTTACAGTAAGTTGTTTACTCCCTGTCTACCAATCACACCACAGAGAAGGAATGCCTAGAGACATAGAGTGTCTTTTCAAGATAGATCAACAGAGAAAGAGGAATTTATAAGTTTATTAAATTGTTACAGATACTGTTTTTAATATTGCTCCAAAATATTCCAATCCACTTTCCATAATCTCAGCATTTTTAAACCAAATAACTAGCCCTCAATAGACAAACTTACAGTAATAGTTTATCAGTGGAATGGGTAGTATCCTCTCATCAGTTTAAATATCTTTTAAATAAAATTTTTAAAGGACACAATATCGATCTTAAAATGGATTTGAACTTAAGCCAATTAGACTGAAGTTGATTTAAATTGTTTTAAATAACCAATTTTTAGCATAAAGACTGAGAGCTTAATATTAATATTAATATTAAGAAATGGAGCATCCAGAGAAATAGAAAATAGAAAAAATGAACCCTGATTATCAAGAGAAAAATGGGTGGGAAGTATCTGTCTAGTATATCAACAATTTCACTTAATTCCCAAGCCCAAATAGCAGAGCAAATCACTCCAGTAACAATATTTAATACTTTCTTTGGACCCTCAGAGCTAGTCTGGACTGTCCCTTTCCTCCACTGCCCTGTTTTTAGTACATTATGCCCAATAATTTTGGAGTTTTGGTTCCTGCAATCTTTTGATCCTATAGTGATATTTCTGCTGCTGCTTCTTTTACTTTTCTGTTTCTCACAATTTGTATTTCTCAAAAAAAAAAACACACGCAAATGTTGTCACATTATTAAATTACTAAATTATCCTATACTTCTTTATAAACATATACTTTTTGCTGAAAAAGCTCAGTGCTAATGATCATCAGATGTACGTTACTTTTCCTTTTAAGAGCCCAAATGAGAAAGAATATACACACAGAATACTAGGATTAGTTTACAGGTCAGAGTACACACGTTATTTCTAAGATCTTACTAGGTGCAAGATTTAAGTTAGACTTCAGTCAATAGGTAAATAAATAAAATCAAATTCTATCTTTGTCCCAATAGTTAGTACCTGGAAAGGTGCTGGATTCATGACCTTGGAAATTGTATAGTTTATAAACAGAATTTCGAAATAATGCTGAGGCAGCAGTGGTACTTCCTCACCTCTTCAGTGCTTGTATTTTAAATCCAAAGGGCTAAAAAAGCATCAACTGTAAATAGGTTGAAAGTTACATATTTATAACGTATTGCTAGTGTATTTGCCACAGGAAAGCAAGTTTGTCAACATGGTAAATAGCTTGAAAAAAGATTATGCACAAAGAAAATTCAAATTTAGATTGATACTTTAATAATTACAGGGAAAGTTACATTTTTTAGATAAATTTCTAGCTTCCACTTTCTCTTTAAATTTTAACCAATGGGAAAAAGAAGAACAAAAAACACCACTTTGTCAATTTAACAAAACTATATATGGTATACAAAATTGAGCATAGCAACATGAGAAAGCTGAAATTGGAGAAAATCAAAAAATACACGTTTTACCTAATAAGTGAAAAATAATTCTACAAACATTTAAAAAGAATTCTGTAATCCTCAGTGTGCAGCTGCATTGGCAAAAGGCAATTTAAACCCACCTCATGAACTACAAACAGGGGAATGCCATGCTCCCTTTCTCTTGCTCTCCTTCAGTTTCCACACTTAAAAAATTTCCTAGAGCCACGTAGATTCCTAGATTCCACACTCACTTTTTCTTTTTATGTTGTGCAAGGTAGTATCTCCAAAATAGAATTTCTAACACTCAATAAAAAAGAAAATTCTGTGCAAACATTTTAGTTGTCTTCACTGAAAAATACATATCTTCATAACTGCATTGTAATTTGTCTATTTTAAGGTGGTATAGTTACTAGAAGTTCATAGGCCATTCCGAAAGTCTCCCTTCATCTTCTCTTATTACTCCTCACCTTCTCTTATATATTTTAGACTTCCAGAACTAAAACTAGTTCTTTTGGTTAATAACTAACGTAAAACCCTGAGATAACAAAAAAACGTAAGCACTTGAGTGAACGAATAAATACTAAATACTTGATCAAGCCAAACGATAGTTCTTTCATCTGAAAACAGAAAAGTTAAGATGCCTTGATCGTTAAGTTATTGTGTACTACTGAATAGGAAGTTTATGTTCTGTAAAGCGGGTAAGGATTTGGGTAGATTTCTCTTCCCATCCTCTCTTGCCAGCAGCACTTCCCGTTCACCACCCCAATAAATTAAACATTTACTATATACAGAACTCCCCACCTAAGATGTTTTTTCTTAATCATTCAGTGAGACCCATGTTAGCTCAGCAGTGGACATAAGAGGACATGAGAAAGGAAGAAAGGCTCTGGGACAACTTCTACATTAAAAGCAAGTTTTCCACAGGAGTAACGTATTTAATTCTGAAGAGGGATAGCCTTATAATGTTCATTTTGATCATGAATCATGAATATGATAGCATCCTTTGAACACTTTTGCCATTATAACCATCTAATATCTGGTACCATTAAATATTTGTGGAGAGAATTATATTGTGTAAATATTAGCAAAGAATTCCAAACATAAGAGCCTCCTCTTTGCCTTTAGTTTTAATCAGTCTTAATCCATTCTTGCTAAAACAAGAGTTTCCAAACCCTTAGCAAAATATTTTCTTTTAAAAAATTAAATCTTGGCCGGGCGCGGTGGCTCACGCCTGTAATCCCAGCACTTTGGGAGGCTGAGGCAGGCGGATCACCTGAGGTCAGGAGTTCGAGACCAGCCTGACCAACATGGAGAAACCCCGTCTCTACTAAAATTCAAAATTAGCCGGGCATGGTGGCACATGCCTGTAATCCCAGCTACTTGGGAGGCTGAGCCAGGAGAATCACTTAAACCCGGGAGGCAGAGGTTGTGGTGAGCCGAGATCACACCATTGCACTCCAGCCCCGTGAACAAGAGCAAAACTCCATTTCAAAAAAAAAAAAAATTAAATCTTATGCAGAACCTCCAATACGTAAGACAGATAAAAGTTGCTATTTTACTGCTAAAGCTTCCTTTGTACATTCAAATTTATAATATTAATCTGCATAGGAAGCAATCAGTAAGATCAATGAAGATGTTTTGATAAAACCAATACAACTGAAATGGAAGTTATAAACAATAGTTATGTCAGGGTTATCATCAAAGTTTGGATTTAAACAGTTTGAAAGCCACTACCCTAAAACCTCACTGTGTCCCCATTAACAGCTCCAAGCCTCATTTCCAAACCCCTGTGAAACTTTCTCCCCGTATAAAAATAAAGCCCAAACTTTAACAAGGCTCACCAAAATCTAGACTGTAACATATGTCTCACCAGTTTCTTGTAGGAACTATCTTCCAGTCAGTATGGCTTTCTCAGTGTTCCTCAATATACCAAGTTCAGCCATTCATTCTAACAAATACATACTTGAGTGCCTACAATGAGTCTCTAGATTTTTGCTTATTCTGCCTATTATTGTCTTGGACTCTTCCTCAACCATCCTCAACAAAAGTTCTCTCTTATTTCCCAAAGTACTCAGTCCTTCTGCCACTCATGAATCCTGAAGTGTTTGCTTTTACAAGCTGTTTAAATGATAAACAGCCATATGGTATAGCGTCAAGGCTGCTAATAAATGTACTAAAATACACAATTCTGTCTTCGATTTGGATTTTTAAAAATCAAGTTTTTAGCTGGATGCGGTGGCTCACACCTGTAATCCCCAGCACTTTGGAAGGCTGAGACAGACAGATCACCTGAGGCCAGGAGTTCGAGACCAGCCTGCCCAACATGGAGAAACCCCATCTCTACTAAAAATACAAAAATTAGCTGGGCATGGTGGCAGGCACCTGTAATCCCAGCTACTCGGCAGGCTGAGGCAGGAGAATCACTTGAACCCAGGAGGCAGAGGTTGCAGTGAGCTGAGATCACCCTCCTGCACCATAGCCTGGGCCACAGAACGAGACTCCGTCTCAAAAATAAAATAAATAAATAAATAAAATAAATCAAGTTTTTATTTCTACTGGAAGGAGAAAAAACCCATTTCTGAATTTCAAAAGTGAAGACTTGAAACCCATGTACTATTTATAGGAAATGCATGTGCAAATGTGTACAGTTTAAGTGGTATTTGTGGTTTGTTTACTCTGTTGAGTACTTTAAAATTTTAAAGTCACAGTTTGGCACACAGAAAAGCTACTTGGTTGTCAAAAAAAGCCACATTTTACACACACATGATTAAAGAATAATTATCTAAAATGTTTTTCATAGCACAGTATTTGATCAAAAGTTTCAAACATATTAAATGCATGAGTTCCACTCTACTAATATTTGTAAACTTAATAAAAGTACTTCTAGTGGCTTGTATACAATTCAGTTTTAAACTATGTTTACATTTTTCTGTGACTTTCTGTGCTATCAAGCTTTTCTAAATTTATAAATGACTGCCTTTTTTTAGAGAGGACTTGAGACAGCTTTAAAAAACAGGTAAAATTCAAGATGGCAATTTAAAAGAGAGTGAAAAGTTTATCAATTACATTTCTACAGGAGTAGCTAATTGGATCACTGTTAAATTATTTAGAAACACAAAATATTTAGGATAGTATCAGACTTTTATCTTTGTTTGCTGATTAACTTAAGCCTAATCTAAAATTTTCTATTGCTACATCAAGGGAACAATTTCAACATGACAATAGAAGAATACAGGTCTTTAAACACCTAACCTTGATGCCACAAATAGTACTAGGCTTTGTCTTACCTATAACACTTAATAAAGCATTAAGGACACTGTTCCACCTAATGATGTTTCCGGGGTTTCTGGTATCTCATTAGGGACTCATCTAATATGACTGATATATCAACAGTAAGCAGAGTGACCTCCAAGTTAGATACATGTAAATACACAGCCAAGTTCTAATGTAAATTTCCTCTGCTATAAACTGATAGCTACACTGCAGGGTACCAGGTTTTATCTTGAGTCTATCCAGTGAAAAATAGAAACAAGCACACAAAAATCACAACATATTAAATACAATTTCAAACAAATAAGCTATCCTATAGAAGAACAGGAATGAGATAAAATGATCTACTGCAGGACAATTCTGAATTAAGCATTCTCCTGTCAACAACTAGAGAGTCTACTGGGTATTTAGTTTGAAAACAGTTCAAACTGTTTTTCTTAACTTAGGCAACAGCTTTCTTTTTTGATTGTTAGATTAAGCTAGCTTATTCAGTATAAGTAGGAAGCATGGCTGAATGACTAAAGACAAAATAGGTAGCAGCAACACTGGCATTAACTTCATTAGATTGAAACCTTGGTCTGGATTACAGCATAAACTGAAAATTGTTAAATTTTAATAAAATTAAAAAAGGAAATAAAAAATTAATTGCCAGAAGCTTTAACCAACATTCTTAACACTAGTATCAGTGCCTTAATTTTTCTACTTTCCATTGATTTCTCTAAAATAAAATTAAAATGCAATATAAGTGGCATTCAAGGTAATTTTTTAAACCTTAGAACTCCTTCTTCAAAGGAAAGCTTCTCTAGAAATAAGATGTGTAATGCAAGCCGGGTGGATTTCTCTACTTGCACCCAACTCTCTGAGCTACCTCTATAACCCCTGATAGTTCTTCTGAGTAGTTAGGAAAACACTAATAAACAATTGCTCAAACACTGCCTTATAGATAAAGATCGCTCTACTACTGAAGCTGTTGCCTGGTGGACAGTACTACCAGGCACTGACTTGAAATATTTGTCAGCTGCTGTAAGAAATTCCTAGATGTCCCACGAATAACAGTTTGATGGAGGGGGCATCAATGTAATTTCCAAACAATTGGAAACTTGCACACAAAAAGTTCATTTGTTCCAAAGTTGAACTTATGACAATTGAGGACCACCAGTATGCTAGACAATGTACAGGAATCATTAGATTCTAAAGTTTAGATAAATGGTAAAACAGCTTGAAAGACCTCTAGTATTGAATTTTGGTCAATACGAATTCATTTCCAAAATCAAAGGGGAGTAACAGTATTTTTAATTATTGGCTAGCCTTGAGAGAGACAACATTTGGGTTTTACAAAAAGTGCTTTTAAAACAATGTCAGCAAAACTGGTGGAAAAAAGAACTCAAGTTCTACATATCCATAAAAGCAAATAAAAAGGGCAAAAACTGTCAAACTGAACTTTTTCGGAACCTGAAAATTAATCAACGGCTTGAAGCAGCCCAGGGAATTTTTACTGAAAAACAAAAACAACCCTCTTCCCCAGCTTATTCTTGGTAAGAACAGCAAACTCTGTGGTGTTTTACCCAGTCCCCATCTATCCCTTGATTCCTAGCTTAGCAGTAGCCATGAAAATAACAGTCCACATTCCACATTCCTGGTATGAAAGACAGCAGAATGGACCTCTTTCATGAAGACTTGTTTTTTTTTTTTTTTGTTGAGACGGAGTCTTGCTCTGTCACCCAGGCTGGAGTGCAGTAGTGTGATCTCGGCTCACGGCAAGCTCCACCTCCTGGGTTCATTCCATTCTCCTGCCTCAGCCTCCCGAGTAGCTGGGACTACAGGCGCCCGCCACCACAGCCACCTATTTTTTCGTATTTTTTAGTAGAGACAGGGTTTCACCGTGTTAGCCAGGATGGTCTCAATCTCCTGACCTTGTGATCCACCTGCCTCAGCCTCCCAAAGTGCCGGGATTACAGGTGTGAGCCACTGTATCCAGCCAAAGACTTGTAATTAATTATTTGGTTTACCTGTCTGGTGACTCCATGGAAGACCACCTCAAAAGGATTGTCTTTATTTTGCCTAACTTAGAACTGGCTTAGTGCTTCCCTGGGGCACATGACGGGTGGAGGAGTTGAAAACATTTATGCTAATCTCTTAATTTGCTGCTGCCTGACAGATAACTGTTGAAGAAAACAACACACTAGTCTAAAGATTGAGAGGAAAAGCTGGGGAGTCTGTAAGGGCTTTGAAAGGGTCCAACATACTCCTGGAAATCTAGAGGGCCACATGCATGAGTAGGGCTGTGTATATGCTCAGGAAAGATGGAGTAGGCTCCAAACTCTCACCACCTGTTGACCTTAATGCTCTGCAGAAGCTGGTAGTAAAGGCTAAGGCAGGGTTGTAAACTCCCTGGGTAAGAGTTCAAGGCCTGCCCTAATGCATACACAGAGGCCATGGGCAAAGACTGGAAGATATTTTGCTTCTAGGCATTTAATGAAATCTCTGTTAATTATTAGGTGACCACTAAACTAACAAACAGAGACTTCAGGGTGCCCACAATCTTCAAAGAATATAAAATTTACAGAATTAGCCATGAAAAGTCACTAAACAAACATCTACAATACTCACCAACAACAAATACTGGGGAGGGGAGACAGTCTGACTGCCAGAGTTGTTACACTATAATATTCAAAATGTCCAGTTAACAACAACAATTACAAGGTATACAAAGAAACGAAGTACACAGGAAAAGAAAGAAAGAAAACAGAAACTATGCCTGAGGAAGCCCAGATACTAGACTTCATAGACAAAGACTTAAAATCATTGCGTGAACCCAGGAGGTGGAGCTTGCAGTGAGCTGAGATCGTGCCACTGCACTCCAGCCTGGGTGACAGAGCGAGACTCCATCTCCAAAAAAATAAAAAAAAAAAGACTTAAAATCAGCTATTTTAAATATATTCAGTGACATAAACTATGTCTAAAGAACTAAAGGAAAGTATAAAACAGTATCTCATTAAACTGAGAATAATATAAAGATAGCAATGATAAAACTGAACCAAAGAGAAATTTTGAAGTAGAATAACTGAAATGAAAAATTCTCTAGAAAAAAATTCATCTCACAGATGTCACTTGGAGAAGAGAAAATCCATGAACTCGAAGATAGGTCAAATTGAGATCATCCAGTCTGAGGAAGTGAAAGAAAAAAGAATGGGGAGGAAAAAACTGGACAGAGTCTCAGAGACTTCTGGGACACCACCAAACAAAGCAACACACAAATAATCAGAGTGACAGAAGGAGCGGAAAGGGGCAAAAAGATTATTTAAAAAAAAAATAGTGGCAAAAGAACTTGACACATCTGATGAAATACATCTACAAAGCTCAACAAACTCCAAGTAGAACAGACTAATAAAGTACACACCTAAATGCATCACAATCAAACTACCAAAAGCTAAAGGCAAAGAATGAATCTTGAAAGCAGCACGACAAGCAAGTCATTACAAACAAGTGATCCTCAATAAGATTAACAGTTGATTCCTTATCAGAAACCATGGAGGTCAGAAGACAGTACGATGACATATTCATAATGCTGAAAGAATTACATGTCAACCAAGAATTCTGTATCCTGCCAACACTATCCTTCAAAAATGAAGGATAAATTAACACATTCCCAGATAACAAAAACTGTGAGAGTCCATCATTAGCATATCTCCAACACATGCTAAAAGGAGTCTTTCAGGTTGAAACAAAAGGACACTCACAATAACCCTACTTTGCCTTTAGAAATACAACATCAGGAAAGGGAATTACATAAGTAAACATACAAGACAGTAAAAATGCATCTTTTGTTTATATCTCCTTTTCTCCGTATCGGATTCTAAAGACAACTACTAAGCAATATTTTTAAATCTACATTGATAAACACACAGTGTAGAAAGATGAAAATCTATGACAATAACAGCACAGAGTGGAAGCAGAAGAGGTATACAGAGGCAAAGTTTTTATACACTGTTGAAGTTGAGTTGATATTAATCTAAATTAGATTTTTTTTTTCCTTCATTTCTTTGGGCTAGTTTTGCCCTGGTACCCAGGCTGGAGTGCAGTGGTGTGATCAAAGTTCACTGCAGCCTCAACCTCCTGGGCTCAAGCTATCCTCCCAACTCAGCCTCTCAAGCATCTGGGACTACAGGCACACACCACCATGCCTGGCTAATTTTTGTATTTTTTTGTAGAGACAGTATCTCAGTAAGTTGCCCAGGCTGGTCTTGAACTCCTGGACTCAAGCTATCCTCCTGCCTCAGTCTCCCAAAGTGCTGGGATTACAGGCATGAGCCACTGTGCCCAACCTAGGCTGTTAAAATGACAATAAAATCTCCGTGGCAACCACTAAGAAAATAACTAAAAACATACAACAAAAGAAATGACAAAGAAATTAAAATCGTTACACTAGAAAATATGTAATACAAAAGAAAGAAGGTAGTAATGGAAGAATTTAAGAACAAGAGACACAAAATAAAGGAAACAAATGGCAAAATATCAGAAGTAATCTTCCTCATCAATAATTACATTAAATGTCAATGGTTTAAACTCCCCAAATAAAAAGCAAAGATTGGCAGATCCAATTGCTATCTACAGAGATTCACCTTAGACTCAAGAACACAAATAGAAAGTAAAAGAAGAAAATATTCCATGCAAACAGTAAACAAAAGAAAGCTGAAGTGGCTATACTAATATAGACAAATAGACTTAAGATAAAAATTGTTCTTATAGGGCACTGTATAATGATAAAAGAATCAATCTATCAAGAAGATATAATAATCATAAACTTACTTGTACCTAACAATAGAATTTCAAAATATATAAAGCAAAAAGTGACAGAACTGAAGAAAACAATAAACAATTCAGCAATATTAGTTGGAGATTTCAATATCCTACTTCCAATAGACAGAACAACTAGATAGAAATCTGCAAGGAAACAGATTTGAACAGAACTATGTACCAACACACCTGTCAAACACTCTACCCAACAAAAGCAGAATACACATTCTTCTCAAGTGTACATGAAACATCCTCCAGGATAGACAATGTATTAGGTCATAAGACAAGCCAAATAAATTTTAAAAGATAGAAATCATACAAAGTATGTTCTCGGACCAGAATGGAATGACACTGAGAATTAACAAAGAAGGAAATCTGGAAAGTTCACAGGTATGTGGAAATCAACAAGTTCCTAAATAATAAACGGGTTAGAGGGGGAAGAAATCACAATGGAAATCAGAAGACTATACCTTGAGACAAATGAAAACAAAAATACAACATACCAAATCTTAAGGGATGCAGTGAAAGCATATACATTTCTGAGAAGGAAATTCATAGCAGTACATGACCACCTTACAAAGAAGTAAGAATTCAAATCAGGAACTTAATTATCCACCTTAAGAGACTAGAAAAAGAAGAACTAAGTCCAAAGCAAGCATAAGGAAGAAAATAATAAAGACCAGTGTAGAAATAAGTGAAATAGAGAAGAGAAAAACAATAGAGTAGGTCAACAAAAATAACCAAAGCTGGGTTGGGCACGGTAGCTCACACCTGTAATCCCAGCACTTTGGGAGGCCAAGGCAGGCAGATCACCTGAGGTCAGGAGTTCGAGACCAGCCTGCCCAACATGGTGAAACCCCGTCTCTACTAAAAATATAAAAAATTAGCCAGGCGTGGTGGTGGGCGCTTGTAATCCCAGCTACTTGGCAAGCTGAGGCAGGAGAATCTCTTGAACCCGGGAAGCGGAGGCTGCAATGAGCCGAGATTGCACCACTGCACTCTAGACTGGGTGACAAGATGGAAATTCTGCCTCAAAAAAAAAAAAAAAGCTGTTCCCCTGAAAACGGACAAAACTTTACTTTAGCTAGACTGACCAAGAAAAAAAAGGAGAGAAGACTCTTAAATTACCAGAATCCGAAATGAAAGAGTGAACATTATGACTGACCTTACAGCAAAAAAATAAGATTATAAAGGAATACTATGAATAATTATACACTAACCAATTAGATAACTACATGAAATGAACAAATTCCTCAACCAACTGTCAAAAATGACTCAAGGAGAAAAAAATCTGAATGGACTTATAACAAACAAGTAAAGACATTAAGTTAGTAATCAAAAAACTTCCAAAGAAGACCCCAGATGGCTTCACTAGTGAATTTTACCAAATGTTTAAAGAACAATTACCAACAATCCTTCTTCTCAAAGTCTCCCCCAAAACAGAGGGAACACTTAGTAAACTATACAGCTTACTATACTTACTGGTCAGCTACAACAGACCAATATCCCTTATAAATATAAATGCAAGCATCCTCAACAAAATACTGGCAAACTGAATCTACAAGTATATAAAAAGGATTATAAACCATAACCAAGTGAGATGAAACCCAAGAACACAGGGTTTGTTTGACATATGAAAATCAATTAATGTGATAAACCATAAAAGACCAGAAAAACACACAAAAATCTCAATAGCTGCAGAAAAAGCATTTGACAAAATCTAATGCCCTTTCCTGATTAAAACAATCAAAAAGAAAACACTCAACAAACTAGGAACAGAAAGGAACATTCTCAATCTGATAAAGGACAACTATGAAAACCCCACAACAACACACTTAAACTGAAAGGTTTCCCCACAAGATGAAGACCAACACAAAGATGCTCATTCTCACCACTGCTATTCAACACTGCACTGGAGGTTCTAGCTAGGGCAACTAGGCAAGAAAAAGAAGTAAAAAATGTCCAGATTGAAAGGGAAGAAGTAAAATTATCTCTAATTGCAGATGACATGATCTTATATATAGAAATCCTAAATCTATTAAATACTCTATTATGCTAATCAATGATTTCAGCTAGGTTGCAGGATACAAAAATCAACACACAAAAATCAGTTGCATTACTAATCAGTAGCAATGAACAATCTTAAAGTGAAATTAAGAAAACAAATTCATAAAAGCATCAAAACCCAAAATATTCAAGAATAAATTTAATCGAAGTACAAGACTTTTATATTGAAAACTACAAAATATTAATGAAAGAAACTAAATATCTACAGAAATGGAAAGAAGTCTTGTATTCATGGGTTGGAAGACCTACTAATTGTTATGATGGCAATATTCCCCAAACTGATCTACAGGTTCAATGCAATCCCTATCTGAACTTCAATTGCCTCTTTTTTTCTTCCAGAAATGGAGAGTTGATTTAAAATTCATATGAGTTTGCAACGAACACGGAATATAGGCAAAGTAATCTTAAAAAAGAACAAAGTTGGAAGACTCACATTTCCCAATTTCAAAACTTTGTACAAAGATGTAATAATCAAAACAGTGTGGTACTGGCATAAGATTAGACATACAGACTCATAGAATTGTGAGTCCAGGAATAAGCCTATATATTTATGGTCAGTTGATTTCAACAAGGTATCAAGACCATTCAATGGGGAAAGAATAATCTTTTCAACAAATGGTGCTGGGACAACTAGGTATCATTACACAAAAGAATAAGTTAGAGCCCTACTTCACACCATATACACAAATTAATTCAAAATGGATCAAAGGCCTAAATGTAAGAGCTAAAACTATAATTCTTAGATGAAAACATAGGTGAAAATCAGTTTGACCTTAGATCAGGCAACTTTTTAAAGATACAGTGCCAAAAACAAAGAATTAAAAAATAAATTGGACTTCATAAAAATTAAAAACTTGTGAGTCAAATGACACTATCAAGAAGTGAAAAGATGGCCTTTTAAATGGGAGAAATTGTCCTCAAATTATATATTTCATAAGGGTCTAGTGTTTAGAATATATCTGCATATATACATACACATATATTCTAGATACACACACACACACACACACACACACACACACACCGACAACTCAACAATAAAAAGACAACCTAATTTTAAAATGGGCAAAGAATGTTAAAGACATTTCTTCAAAGAAAATACACAAATGTCCAAAAAGCAGATGAAAAGATGTTCAACATCGTTAGTCATTTGGGAGACACAAATAAAAAACACAATGAGATACCCATACCCAATAGGATGGTGTCTTAGTCTGTGTTCTGTTGGTATAACTGAATACGTGAGACTGTGTAATTTATTAAAAAAAAGAAATGGATTTCTTACATTTCTGGAGGCTGGGAAGTCCAAGGTCAAGGGGCCACAGCTGATGAAGAACTTCTTGCTGCTGGAGGACTCTCTGCAGAGTCCCAAGGTGACACAGGGCAGCAATCACATAGTGAGAAGGCTGAGCTTACTAGATTAGTTCTCTTCCTCTTCTTATAAAGCCACTAGTCCCAATCCAGTGATAACCCATTAGTACATTAACTCATGAATGGATTAGCCTATTCATGAGGGCAGACCTCTGATGACCCAAGCACTTCTTAAAGGCCTCACATCTCAATACTGCCACATTGGGGATTATGTTCCAACATGAGTTTTGGAGGGGACAAACATTCGAACCACAGCAGTTGGCTAATAAGAAAAGACAGTTAATAAATATAGGCAAGGACAGAGAAATTGGAATTCTTATACATTGCTGATGGGAGTGTAAAATGATACAGCCACTGTAGAAAAATGTTTGGCAGTTCCTCAAAAGGTAACACATAGAGTTATCATATGATCCAGTAATTCTACTCCTAGGTATCCACACAAGAGAAATAAAGATATATGTCTACACAGAAACTTGTATATGAATGTTCTTAACAGCATTATTTATAATAGCCAAAGAATGGACACAACCTAAAAGACCATCAGCTAAGGAGTGGATAGACAAAATATGGTAGTATATCCACATAACAGAATATTACTCAGCCATAAAAAGAAAATGAAGTGCTGTTACATGCTACAATATGGATGAACCTTGAAAACATGTTAAGTGAAATAAGCCAGGTACAAGAAGCCACATATATATGATTCTATTTATACGAAATGTCCAGAATAGGCAAATCCATAGAGACAGAAAGTAACATTTGTGATTGTCAGGGATGTTGCTAACTATCCTGCAACACACAGAACAGCCCTGACAGCAAAGAATTATCCAATCAAAAATGTCAATAGTCCAGAGGTTGAGAAACTGTTCTACGGTGAAGTTTAATCTATTAAAAAGCAAAAAAGAATCAATCATGAGAAAATAAATTAATATCATTCTGTTCCAAACTTACTAGAGCACTAAGTCCTCATTCATTTTGACAATATCAGATCAAAAGGTGAAGGAGTATTCAGTTATCAGTCTCAAGTTTAAAGTGCACCTTGGAGTTCACCTATTTTAAGATGTCTTCAAAATCTTGCAATCTTCAAGTTTTTTCTTTTTAAATGAACCCAGCTAAGAATTCATAGAAGAGCAGATTAAATTGGAATCTGGCTCTTTCCAGTCCTTTAGTTTAAGATATTATGATACTGAAGCAGTTCAGTGGATCTTTATAATAATAGTCCCTCCAATCCCTTTGCCCATGCTGCCCTGCAAAGATGGTTTCCTGCTACCTATTCAAAAATAAGATTCTCAAGTAGCTCAGAAACACATTGAGGGATGCTATCAATGTATTATGATTGCTCTCTTTAGCTGACTTTATAGCACCTTGGAATAGCAGCCAGGAACCAAGGACAAGATGGTACCCCTTGCATACACTCCAGACAGAAGTAACCTACTTTTTGTTTATTTAGGACCTGAAAAATGTTAACTTCAAAGAATAATGCATATCGTCAGCATTCTTCTCAAATTCATTAATTATAAATATGTCCTTATTGTTTAGCCAACTTTACTTAGAGGGGATACATCAATTTTGCAAATGTATCTTCTACAGCAGAATAACTTGTATTTTTTAAACTGCATATTTACAGAAGAGAGTCATGAGACATGAAGCCAACATATTAAGGGCACCGGCTACAGACTTGTACATTGTAGAATACCACACCGGTCCTCCCAGACTTTAGCAAGGTCGGCATTTAGCTGAAGCTGTATTGGTCTGGCTTCAGCCTATTACTGTTTCTACTCCTATTCAAACACCTACTTATTTGAGCAGCTTCATGATAGATGAAGAAACACAAAAATTCCCACTTGGAAATTTTTAATGACTCAATATTTCAATCAAATAGCAACTGAGGAAAAGAAAGTTTAAAGGAAGAGAAATTAGGTCTGTATAAAAGCAAGATATCAGGAACCTATAAGTGGTTGGAAGCTTCGCATCTGAGAGTGATGGCAATCTGATCCTAGAGATCTATCAATTTAGCATAAAGTTGTTAAAATCTGTCCTTTAAATTTTCATGGATTATCTAGACCATAGCCAAGTCAAGTATCTGTGTAAGGTATGGAGGACATTAATAAAAGTATAGAAATATACTAAATGTTTTCTATGTGTCTTTCTTTGATATTTAAATAAGTCCTTAATTAACCAAAGACCAGAAAAGGGGGAAATTTTGTTTTAGATTAGATTGTGGTCCTTAAAAATAAAATGTTTGCTTTTGTCATTATATGTACATCTTCTATAATATTAGGTGGCTCCCTGAAGGTTATCAAATTAGTAATACCATAATTACCAAAATAAAACATGTTTATCTTGAAAAAAATTCACAACTTTGAAAATTCCTTTAATTCCAACATTTCTATTCCATTCTGAAAAGACTGCTCTTGCTTTTGACTTACAGCTAAAGCAGATTTTTACTACATAGTCTAGCACCTTATTATAAATCATTTTGGTCTCTTCATATTTCATATCATTCTTTTCTGTTGCTCCAGCAGACTGTAAACTCCTGGCTTTTTCTTTCCAGTCCTTGCTAAGACGTAAGAGTGCTGAAGGCAGGGGATCAATGCTTGCTGACAGACATTGTCCACAGTAGAAACTGCAGCCATGGTGATCAGGAGGCAAAAAAGTATAAAGCAAAAAAACCGTGGGCTTGGCGAGAAGAGCCTTGGGGTCCCACCCCATCCCTGTCTCTTACCAGATGGGTATCATTGGCCAATATGTTTCATCTCTCTTACCTTTTATATCTTTATCAATAAAGCAGTGGTAGATGATACCTTTCTTTCAGAGTTATTGTTAAATGGGATCACAAATGTGAACGTTCTGTAAATACTAAGAGTTCTGTGTGACTATAATTTATCATTATCTATGCCACTATTGCTAAGGTAAAATACTAATCACATTTTTCTTCTTTCTCAAACAACTGTTTACCTATACTCAAACTGCTGAACTAATCTTCTCCAACCTCTTCCCCATCTCTGTTCCTTAGTGTTCATTTAACACTAAAAGAGTAGTCTCCCCTTATACTCAGGAGACCCCCAATGGATGCCTGAAATCACAGGTAGTACCAAACACTATATATACTTACCTTAAATGCCTTTTTCCTTTTAACTAAGCACTTATCATACACATTGGCTGCAAACTTTTGCAGTCTGAGATATGACAGCAAAACCAGCACGCATTTCTTTTTCATTCTTCACAATTTCATGTATAAAAGATTCATTCTTATCATAGATCTTAGCAGTCTCAGCATATGATTTCTTTTCTTTATATATAAGTCTAGAATTTTCATCTTTCACTTAAGGGAAGCAATTTACAGCTTCTCTTTGACATATCTGAATTGCCAGGATCACCACTCCTGCACTTTGGGGCCACTATGAAGTAAAATAAGGATTACTTGAAGCCAAGTGTTGTAATACTAGAAGAGTCAATCTGATAACCTGGATGGCTACCAAGTGACTAAGGGGCAGGCAGCACCTACAGCATGGAGATGCTGAACAAAGGAATGATTCACATCCCAGGTGGGATGGGTGGGAAGCATAAAATTTAAAACTCTTCGATTCTTTATTTCTGTAATTTTTCACTTAATATTTTCAGAACACAGTTGACTGCGGGTAACTGAAACCTTGGAAAGCAAAACTGCAGATAAGGCGGACTACTGCATAAATTTTGAAATCCTTTGCAAGGGTTCCCTGTGTTTTATCACAGCTGGTCACCATCTGGCCTATCAAACATAAGCCCTTAAACCTTGTTGCAACTTTTAACATAAAAGTTGGGGAGGCTAAAACTGACCCACAACAAGTGTCCCTTGTACAGTACAATCGTTTAGAAACTTTTTACTGCCATTCTGTTCAACAATCACAATTATTGCTCTGACTTCTAAACTACACATGCATAATTTAACATACTTATTTTATTCAGTACCAGAAAAGCTCCAGAATACCAAAAAAAGTTTTCCTTTTAGGAACTTTGCAACCAATGTTTATTCCAAGTCGTAATCTCAATGTCTGCATTAAAACAAAACAAGCAAAAAATAAAAACAAAAACAAAAAACTGCCTTGACTTCTAAATATTTTTTATAAAAATTATTAAATGGCACCAAGAAAAACTAAACATAAATATTTCACACCCACCATACTGCCACAAATGTAAAAGACTAGCACTAGTAAAAGTTGATGAGAACACTTCTAACGCTCCTTGGAAACAATTTGGCATTACCTAGCAGAAGTTGTAGATGTGTATGCCTTGTGATCTAGTTATTCAATTTCTAGGTATAATTCCCTTGGGGAAAAAAAAACTCTTATAAATGTGTTTCAGGAGACATTTTCACAGCAGCGTTGTTCAAAACAGCAAAACTCTGGAAACAATCCAAGTGTCCACTAACAGGGGAACAGAGAAATGTATGTACTGTATTCATTAAAAGGCTTAACAAAGATCTCTATAAAAAAGCTTCAGCTTACATGGATGAATCTTACAAACAATGTTGAGTTAAAAAAACAAGTTATAAAGACTACATTTATCGGGGGGTGGGGGGCTAGGGGAGGGATAGCATTAGGAGAAATACCCAGTGTAAATGACGAGTTGATGGGTGCAGCAAACCAACATGGCGCATGTATACCTACGTAACAAACCTGCACGTTGTGCACATGTACCCTAGAACTTAAAGTATAATATAAAAAAAAAAGACTACATTTAATGTGATTCCACAACATAAAGTTAAAACATATGAAACTAAATAATGTATTATTTAGGGATATGTAGATAGGTAGTAAAATCATAAAACAAAGCAAAATAATGCAAAAAATACAAAATTTACTAGTATAGTCCTGCAGATGGGAAGGGAGGGGGATGTGACTGGGAAAGGGCATCCAGCGAGCACCAAAGGGAATAGCAATGAGCTGTTCCTTAAGTTGGGTGGTAGGTACAAAGAGGTGTTTATTATTTCTTACACACATATATTTTCCTATGTGTATGAAATAAAAAAAATTTAAAAAATATGATGCCTATGGTATGACACAAAAAATGTGTTAAGATAAGCTCCTAACTTCAGTTACTCTTTCTGTCCTTCAACAACTGTCTTATTTTGCCATTTTATTGATATATAAAGTATTATGCTACTACCTTCATTGTTTTTTCAGGATGATCATTATCCAATATTTATATTCCCCAGATTTTAAATTGTTAAAAATTTGCCTCAGCTCCAGATTGGCTTGGGGAATGTTTTACAGTGGAGCAAATGAAAACAAGGGCTTAAAAACATAGTGAGTAAAGGGCCGGGTGTGGTGGCTCACGCCTGTAATCCCAGCACTTTGGGAGGCCGAGGCGGGTGGATCACGAGGTCAGGAGATCGGGACCATCCTGGCTAACACAGTGAAACCCCGACTCTACTAAAAATACAAAAAATTAGCCGGGCGCGGTGGCAGGCCCTGTAGTCCCAGCTACATGGGAGGCTGAGGCAGGAGAATGGCGTGAACCAGGGAGGCGGAGCTTGCAGTGAGCCAAGATCATGCCACTGCACTCCAGCCTGGGCGACAGAGCGAGACTCTGTCTCAAAAAAAAAAAAAACATAGTGAGTAAAAAAGACATGATCAGGTGGGTGATCATCCAAATTTTCTAGAGAGTTTTTAGTAACTCTGATTCTTGGGTTCTGCCACTATACTTTTAAATGGGGGCGAGGGCAGGGAGGAGAGACAGTATACAGAAATCTATTTTATGAGCCCAAATGACAAGGGCTTCAAAGCACAGTGAGTCAAAAAAAACAGTGAGTCAAAAAGACACTAGATTCAACACTTCACCTTGCCAGGCTCCAGGCTGACATACGCTCAGCAGCTGTACTTGAACACAGCTTCCACAAAATCCTTCGGAGGTCCTCATTCTTTAAATGCCCAGGATACGTTTTTAAGAGAAGTAATTTGTATGCACACATACATGCACTCACATGTATTTTACTTGGGCCTTCATACTCTACTGATTTTCTAGAGACTCCATCTTATAACTTGGGATGATTACCATGAAGTGATGAAAACCACAAATCTCATCAGTAAAGGGATGCTGGCATGCAGGCAGACACTAGATTCAACACATCACCTTGCCAGACTCTAGGCAGACATCAGGTCAGCAGCTATATTTGAACACAGCTTCTCCAAAATCCTTCCTGGGACCTCACTCTTTCGGCTGAGAAAGTCTAGTCATGCCACCTATTTTTAAATGGAAGTTTTCGGGAATTTTATGCAGAACAAATTACTGAAAGCTACTCATAGAGATGACATAAAACTTCTAAAAGAAAAATGTAAAAAAACCATGATTTAATGCTTCTGAAAATACTTAAGACAATTTCAAAACCTTTCCTAAGATTTAAACCTAAAAAAAAATCTGAAATAGCCAAGGGGAAAATATATGTACACTCGTACAAAGATACACACACAAAGATACATACACAGATACACACTGCAACACTATAGTAGCTACAAAAGAGTCAAAATTCTTTTAATAGGGGCCTAGTTAAATATATTATGGTATACCCATATGGCTATTAGAAAGAATGAGGTAGATTTGTTTGGACACGGAAAGATGTCTGTGATACATTTTTAAGAGACATAATTCGTATGTACGCATATCACACACATTCATGCTGCTCACATCTATTTTACAAATTAGATTGTTACTAAAAATTTTTAATACAAATTATGCACTTTTATTTACAAGTAAGTTGTCCACTTCCAGAAAGTATAAAAAATATGAAAAGTAACCAAAAGATTAGTAACCATGCTAACAGCAGAGAGCCACTTGACAATTTCTGTAAGAAATCTACTTCCCTGAAGACTGTTTACACTACTGGAAAAATTGATCAAAGAGGAACATAAGGGTTAATGTATAAAGTAACTTTTTTAAAAACTAGGGGAAAATCTTTATTTCAAAATAATCATGTTACATTCTGAACAGTATCTGGATGAGTATTTGGGAGAATACAAAACACAGGACAGGGTCTGGCATTTCAAAAATTTTCATGAACCACTTCTATTTAAACTAATATGCTAACAGGCATAATGCTCTACATTATATTTTCATGAATTCTCAATGTTATTTAGCTTTCAAGGGAGGCTCCCTGAAATTAGATCTATGCCAATGAGAATTTTTCTAAAGCAAAATAAGGAAAATTTTTACCCATCAGAAAGCTGAAAGATGTGGAGAAAAAAAAAAAGTTGGCATACACCTTGCATAATCACAATAAGCCAAAAAAGTTTGTATTTCACACAAGGGTAGTGGGAGAAATACATTGATGAGATGATACAATGGAAGGAGACTGGACCATAGCTTTTTGCTGTCTCACAAATGCAGTTGGAACCAAAGATTGTTACAGCGGGAAAGAACTGTGGATAAATTCTCATGTGAGGACACAGACACCTAAGCAGGGCTAGGACATTCAGAGCACCTCTTTACTTCTTGCACATGATTCTTTCCATGACACCTAGTGCCCTTCTCCATCTAGAGCTACCTCTATATGTCCACGTTCCTTCTCTCTAAGCTCATGATAGACCTCAGGAGAAAGTCAGGTAGGCCTGCTGCTTTTGGCTTTATTATAATGTAACTAGTACATGGACTATTTGGCTATTGTGGGATTCTCCTCATGTTATCAGGGTTCCAGCTTGCATAATCACCTCCTTGGCAACAGAATTTATTGGCATATTTGTTGTCCTTCTTAGTGCAGTGGTTCTAAATGTAGGTGATCATCCAAAATTTTTAGGGACTTTCAAAAACTCAGACTCTTGGGTTCTGACCCTGTAACTCTTAAATGGGGGTAAGAGCAGGGAGGGAAGATGATGTACAGAAATCCGTATTTTTCTTACTGCATTCCAGGTGTAGCTGTGTACCACTAGTTTTTAATACTACTTTTGACTGATTCACCATCTGTGACTTAAGGGTATCAGGGTTTGGATAAGGTGCGGTGGAGGACTGGAGATTTAGAATGAATGATGGAGGAGGGAGGAAAAACAAGGCAGCTACTGCTCTATGGGAGAGACAGATAGGACTGGTTTCCTGTGTATGTGAAGTAGGTGCTGTGATCTCGGTTACACTGGGAAGGCTCTTTTGTCTCAAAGTATCTCTCATCAGCTTTTTATTAATGCCTGAAATTCCATCCTTATGATTTCATTCCTTCAAGTTATGTCATTTGTTAAATAGAAATACCCCTTACTCCTCAGTATTCCACTGTAACCTTTCCCTAATGAAGCATAAATTCATTCACTTCTTTTTAACAATCCACTAAAACAAAGCAGGTTTAGGAGGGCACTGTATTCCTTGATTTGGCAGACAGGAAGGGGATGCCATTCCCCTCCCCCCACACAAAAAAAGGCCATGACTCAATATGATGGCTTTTGCAACTTGCCTCAGGCTAGCCTTAGGGCATTACCTATGGAGCTGCTGCATGCCAGGATGATACTTGACCCAGAGGAGATGTGAATTTGCATAAGGAAGAATCATCTGATGATGCTCTGGGCTATACCTTCGCCCACACTAGCTCTACCATTCTCTGACCTCCTGGTATATTCTTCAGCACCTGCTACAGTTAATTGTTTCTTAATTATTTCATGTGTCTGCATCATGTCTCTCTAGCCAGATACAGGCTCCTTTGAGGTCAGAAAAAACACATGATTTATCTTTCCTCCCTATGAGCACGCAGTGCAGCGCTGAAAAGGTACAAGGTCCTTAGTAAGACCTTCACTGATACACCCTATCAGCAGGCAATATAGGGAGAAACATTTTTATGGCTATCTCTTTATGATCCTCTCATTTCTGAACACTGAACTCGACCTGCCTCTTAAGTTTCTCTTCTCTCCAAGTAACTGTCTTTCCCAAATTAAGAGTCTTTCTTTACTAGTCCATTTTTGTAGGTTTTGCAAAAATGTATTGATATGAAATTAGCATTAATCATTTGGGAAAATATCCTTGGATCCCAAATATGTCTGAGGGAGCTGAAGTTTCCGTTGATTTATGGTTGAAAGTAGTCTTTGTAAAGGATGAAATTGGGGGCCAGGTGCAGTGGCTCACACTTGTAATCCCAGCATTTTGGAAGGCTGAGACCAGAGCATCAACTGAGGCCAGGAATGTGAGACCAGCCTGGGCAACAGAGCACTACCCTGTCTCTACAAAAGATTTAAAAAATTAGCCAAGGATGGTGGTGCACACCTATAGTCCAAGCTACTTGGGAGGCTGAGGTGGGAGGATTGCTTGAGCCCAGGAGTTCAAGGCTGCAGTGATCCAAGTTTGCCCCATTGCACTCCAGCCTGGGTAACAGAGTGAGACCCTGTCTCTTAAAAAAATAAATAATACAAAATGAATTGGGAAATGTCAATCAAAACAGCGAAGACTGCAATCCATAAAGGCTGGCAGTTCAACTTAAAAACAAAAAAAACTAAGGGCTTCTATGCCAAATGCCTTTACTCTCTACACTAAATTTCACCCTTAATAAAAAATTACACCCAAATGTTACCTTCTTTTCTTCTAAGAAAAGAAGCTTACATGAAAGGTAGCTATGGTGCGGAAAAATTCAGACTTGCTTGTGTTCACAAATAGATAATGCCAGAGGTGGTGGTCTCAGTTTCCAGTTCTTTGAGAACACTTACCTGGTACCTCTCCTAAAAGAGGCATTAACTCTAGTCAACATCTCTGACTGTCTGAATTCTGAGATATCTGGCCCTTTGTATAAATTAAATTAATCTAGTTTTACTGTGTGTGTGTTTCATCTTTTCTATTACTACTAGTTGGATGAATTTAGGTGTTTAGTCCTCATCCAATATGACAACTATGTTTAACACAAGAAATTTATGTGATTTTATTTCTATATGGCCCTTTTAATTTTTTAAAAGCAGTCATCTTTCAATTGTTAATGTGGAATGATACTGTTCTTTTTCCTATCTTATGTAAAACCTGATTTATAGGAGTGATAATTGCCACATATAGTATTAAGGCACCCAGTGTGTATAGGATGGACTACAATTCTTTAAAAAAAAAATCTAGACTGGGACTGTGTCTAATGTTACACCTCTCAACCCATGAATCACAGGGAATCCTACCCCAAGGAGACTTTTGGATTTGTATCTCTTAACTCTGAGCCTCAACCATTCTTTTCTTACAGGAAAATACCCCCAGTGAGTGGTCACTTTATTGGGGCCACAATTAGTCAAATATTTCTCTTCCTTTCCCTAACACACTTTCTCTTCCTTTTTAATTCAAGGAAGACACTGAGTCTTACACCTTGAATGGAGTGTGGGAGCCAGGTTTGCAATAATAAAAGCAGTTACATAAGTGCTTTGCATTTACCTAGCCCTTTCTTTAAAATACATAAAGAATCTGAGGTTCAGGTGAATCAATCATTACTGAATGCCTATCAGGAAGATTAACTTCTGCAGGATTGCAGAAATAAGTGATGGAGCTGGAATCTGAACCTTTGTTAGTCTCTAAATTCCAAGATTTTATCCTTCTGTCACAATGATTCTGCCTTTCCACCAGAGGCAAGGTTCATGAACAATTCGGATATCACAGAAGGATCAGAATTTTAAATACACCTGATTCCTACAACTACTGTGACAAATCGCAAAAAAATAAAAATAAAAAAACACCTCTCCCTACAGTCACACTCCTTTGCAGTGTAATTGCAGCTCCTCCACCCACTTGAATCTAGACTAGCCCCGTGATTTGCTTTGACCAATAGAATGTGGTAGAAATATAGTTGTTCCAAGCCTAGGTCTTAAAGAGTTTTGCATGGTTCTGCTGGTTCTTTTGTAACTCTAATGCTACTGTGTGAAAAAGTTAAGGGCAGCCTACTTTCACCATTCATTGCTACAGCCAACCAGCCAACTGACAGCAGATACGCTGAATGTGCCCAGCTGAGATAAGTTCAGCTTGGCCAGATCAGCAGAACTGCCCACCTCATTTGTAGACTCATGAAGAATAATAAATGGTTGTTATTTTAAAGCCACTAAATTTTAAAAGCAGTCAGCTCTAAACTGTTAATATGGAAGGATACTATTCTTCTTGGAAAGATACTGTTCTTTTTCCTATCTTATGTAATATCTCATTTACAGGAGTGATAATTGCCAAATCTAAGTGGGAAGGCACCCAGTATGTTTGTTATAGAGCAAATACTAACAGATACAACAAACATAGCTACTTTGAGCAAGCAGAGAAAACAAAAGATTGCTTATAAAGCTTATAAAAGAGGGCCCCGATATGCAAAAGCTTGATATTAAGACAAATATTTAACAAATCCTTAATTATTTGACTTAAATTTGCAAAGTAAGACTGAAAAATAAGACCTGATCCATTCAAGAATTTGCTAGGTGCTTTGGTGTAATAAATCTACTTATAAACATCAGTAATTGTGTATTTGAAAATCTACATTAAGAAAGTAAAGTCCTTTACACTGTGGGATTTAATTCACACTGAATCATACAAAAACCATTTTTTTTTAAAGTCTTTATTTGAAGAGGCAGAACCTTAGTATTATGACGTTCAAAGTGTTAGTATTCTCTTTAAGAAGAAGCCAAAGTAACTGGAGAAAAAAAGCAATGAAGTTATTTCTAAAACCCCAAGAATTTCTCAAGACATGAAAGGCTTGCTCTTCTTCAGACAGTTTTATTCTAATTTACCTTAACCCCAAGTTCCTCAGAGGTTCAAGTAGTTGATGAGTGACTGAGAGAGGAACTTGTGTGGATTATAGGGCAGGGGGGTGGGAGAAGAGAGCCAAATAGGAAGCATATGCATCACATATGCATTTTTCAGCTCCTCTTCAAGCTTATGGCCGAAATATAAATCTGATAATGGTACCACAAGTTAAAGTATCCACTTCCTAACTATAATCAATTAGTTTGAAAGTTATGCCATCTGCAACAAACTGACAGCTAGTATCATACTGAATGGGGAAAAACTGAAAGCCTTTCTTCTAAGATCTACAACAAGACAAGAGTGCCCACTGTTATTCAACTGGAAGTACTGGAAGACCTACCTAGAGTAATCAGACAAGAGAAAGATATAAAGGGAATCCAAAATGGAATGGAAGAAGTCAAATTATTCTTGTTTGCAGACTGTATGATCTTATTGGAAAAGCCTAAAGACTCCACCAAAAAAATATTAGAACAGATAAATTCAGTACAGTTACAGGATACAAAATCAACATACAAAAATCTGTGGCATTTCTAGATGCCAACAGAGGACAATCTAAAAAAGAAATCAGAAAGTAATCTCATTTACAATAGCTACAGATAAAATAAAACACCTAGGAATAAACTCAACGAAAGAAGTGAAAGAGCTCTACAATGAAAACAATAAAACACTGAGGAAAAATATTGAAGAGGACACACAAAAAAAGAAAGATAGTCCATGCTCATGGATTGGAAGAATCAATATTGTTAAAATGTCCATACTACCCAAAGCAATCTACAGATTCAATGCAATCTTTATTAATAAATATCAATGACATTCTTCACAGAAATAGAAAAAAAAAATCATAGGATTTATATGGAACCACAAAAGCCCCGGAATAGCCAAAGCCATCCTGAACAAAAAAAATAAAACTGGAGGAATTACATTATCTGACTTCAAATTATGCTACAAAACTATAATAACCCAAACAACATAGTTCTAGCATAAAAACAGATACACAGACCTAGAGAACCCAGAAACAAATTCATACACCTACAGTGAACTCATTTTCAGCAAAGGTGCCAAGAACATACACTAGGGAAAGGACAGTCTCTTCAATAAATGGTGCTGGGAAAACTGGATATCCATAGGCAGAATGAAACTAGACCCCTATCTCTCACCACATATAAAAATCAAATAAAAATGGACTAAAGCCCTAAATCTAAGACCTGAAACTAGGATACTAAAAGAAAACATTTGGGAAGCTCTCCAGGACACTGGTATGGGCAAAGATTTCTTTAGTAATACCTCAAATGCACAGGCAACCAATGCAAAAATGGACAAATGGGATCACATCAAGCTAAAAAACTTCTGCACAGCAACGGAAACAACAAAGAAGCAACCCACAAAATGGAAGAAAATATTTGCAAGCTACCCATCTGAGAAGGGATTAATAACTAGAATATATAAAGAGTTCAGACAACAGGAAAAAATCAAACAATCCAACTTAAAAAATGGACAAAAGATCTGAATAGACATTTCTCAAAAGACATACAAATGGCCAACAGGTGTATGAAGAAATGTTCAACATCCTTAATCATCAGAGAAATGCAAATCAAAACTACAATGAGATATCTCACCCCAGTCAATTATATATCACCCCCACAATTGCATGCTTGCATTAAAACATGACCTGTACCCCATAAATATATATGCCTACTATATACCCATAAAAATTAAAAATAAATTTTAAAAATAAAACTGAAATAAAGTTAAGATCATAATGAAGCCAGTTTGAGATCAATTAATGAAAAAGGCTTATCTTATGAACAGCGTGTAGTATGGCACAACAGACAGAGTTCTCAAGTAAAAACCTTTGGCATTAAGGAGTTGTCTAATCTTAAAACACATCACTAAAAATAACTTCAGGAGTGCTTTTTAAGTGCCAGACACTGTGCTATGCAGTTTACATGCATCACTTTGTTGTGCCCATTTTAAAAGTGAGGAAACAGAGTTTACAGGGTTATGAATTTGGTCAAGTTCACACAGTTGTTAGTCAGATTCATACCCAGGGAATCTGAAGAGTCCTAATTCTTACTCACAATACTGGACCTAGTTTCCTCATATGAAGTGAGATCTGGATATCAAAACTAGCTCCATTTGGAATTCTATGATTCTTTGACAATGACGGGAGCATACTTCTTCGTGGTTTGTGTACTGGGTACAGGGATGAAGACTGGCACCTTTCACTAAAAACAAATGTCCCTGGGGTGTATGCTGACATGAATCCCTATATCTAATCCTTTCCTCGTATATGCAAATACAGAAATGGTGAGGCTAGTTTGGGAAACAAGTCTACTGCCCACAGTCATCCTGGTCAGTTCACTACCTCTCAGGTAAGGTCTGCCTGTCTTTGGGCTTTCTCTTCAATTCCTGGCAGAGCAGGCACTAAGTAAATGCTGAATGAACGGAAAAATATTCCACAGTTTCTGCTGGAAAGAGCCTGAAATTGGATGGCATTTTAGAATGTGTCCTACAAATGTCTTGAATGTAACACCCATAAACCATAAGCTTCAGAAAGGCAGAAACAACTAAAGCTTTGTCCACTGTTGTATCCTCTGCAGTTTGAACTGTGCCTCACATATAGTAACTGCTCAATAAAAGTGCTGTTCTTATTATTGTTACTAGATTCTTACAGTTCCAGTTTTCCCTAAGAGAAAGTAAAATATATGTATTAAAGGCAAGGCCATGCTATTTGCTTCCTCTGTGGTTCTTTGTTCAAACAGCCCTACCTAAATTGAGTACCTTAAGTGCTAGGTGTTATAGTGAAAACGTTCCTTGTCCTTAAGGAGACTGGATTTACTTGGAGATAAATTAGAAATATATAAACAGTATTAATTCAACAAACATTTACTGGGTACCTACTATGTGCTAATGACTAATTTAGGTAGAAAGAACTGTGTGGTCTGTGGCTGCCAGAGGATACCATCAGATGAGGTGGGGGGCTATGGCCTGGACTACATAAAGGAAAGCATACAAAATAAGTGGCACTAAATTGGTCTTGAACATTACACATATTGTTAAAAGCAGAGAGAAGGAGCCTGAATTCTAGACTGCAACAGTCCTCAGCTATGTTATATGGCACACTGGTATGTTGTTATCAATTTAGGACTCATGGCAAGGAATTTGTTAGTAATAATGATTTATGTATTTTTATTATAAAGAAAAGTATAAACACTGCCAGGGGGAACTGTGACTTGCCATAATCCTCGAAAAAAGTAATTTGGAAATATCTGTTAAAATTTTAAATACACATACCCCTGACTCAGGAACCCAACTTTGGGGAAATCTATTGTATTATTCCGTTTTCACACTGCAATAAAGAACTACCTGTGTCTGGATAATTTATGAAGAACAGAGACTTAATTGACTTACAGTTCCACAGGCTTCAAAGGAAGCATGACTGAGAGGCCTCAGGAAACTTAGAATCCTGGTGGAAGTTGAAGGAGAAGCAAGCACATGTTCACATGGCAGAGGAGGAGACAGAGAGAGAAGGGGGAAGTGCCACACACTTTCAAACAACCAGGTCTCATGAGAACTCACGATCATGAGAACAACAAGAGGGAAGTCCACCCTTGTGATTCAGTCACCTCCCACTAGGCCCCTCCCCTGACATGTGGGGATTACAAGTGATTGAGATTTGGGTGGGGACACACAGCCAAGCCATATTATTCTGCCCCCGGCCCCTCCTAAATCTCATGTTCTTACATTTCAAAACACAATCTTGCATTCTCAATAGTCCCCGGAAGTCTTAACTCCTTCCAGCATTAACTCAAAAGTCCAAGTACAAAGTCTTCTTGGGTCAAGGCAAGTCCACTCTGCTTATGAGACTGTAAAATCAAAAACTAGTTACTTCCAAGAAAAAATTGGGATACAGGCATTGGGTAAATTCCCCCATTCCAAACTAGAGAAATTGGTTAAGACAAAGAGGCTACAGGCCCCATGCATGTCCAAAAACCTGCAGGACAGTCATTAAATCTTAAAAATCCAAAATGATCTCCTTTGACTCCACGTCTCATGTCCAAGCCACGCTGACACAAGGGGTGAGCTCCCAAGGCCTTGGACAGCTCTGCCCTGGTGGCTCTGCTGGGTACAGACCCTGCAGCTGCTTTCACAGGCTAGCATTGAGTGCCTACAGCTTTTCCAGGCACATGGTGAAAGCTGTCAGTGGATCTACCACTCTGGAGTCTGGAGGATGGTATCCCTCTTCTCACGGCTCCACTAGGCAGTGCCCCAGTGGGGTCTCTGTGTGGGGGCTCTAACCCCATGTATCTCCTCTGCACTGCCCTAGCAGAGGATCTCCATGAGGGCTCTGCCCCTGCAGAATGCATGGACATCCAGGCATTTCCATACATCCTGAAATCAAGGCAGAGGCTTTCAAGCCTCAACTCTTGCCTTCTGCACACCCATAGGCCCAACACCACATGAAGGCTGCCAAGGTTTGAGGCTTACCCCCTCTGAAGCAACAGCCCAAGATTATCTCCTGGCCCCTTTTAGCCACAGCTGGAGCTAGAGCAGCTGGGATGCAGGGCACCATGTCCTGAGGCTGCAGAGAGCAGCGCAACCCTGGGCCTGGCCCACGAAACCATTTTTTCCTCCTAGACCTCCAGGCCTGTGATAGGAAGGGCTGCCATGAAGGTCTCTGACATGCCCTGGAAACATTTTCCCTATTCTACTGGCTATTAACATTAGGCTACTCTTCATCTATGCATATTTCTGCAGCTCACTTGAATTGCTCCCCAGAAAATAGGTTTTTCTTTTCTACCACAAGGTCAGGCTGCAAATTTTCCAAACTTTTATGCTCTGCTTCTCTTTTAAACCTAAGTTCCAACTTCAGACCATCTCTTTGTGAACACATATGACTGTATGTTGTTAGGAGCAGCCAGGCCACATATTGAATGCTTTGCTACTTAGAAATTTCTTCTGCCACGAACTCTAAATCATCTCTCTCAAGTTCAAAGATCCACAGATCTCTAGGGCAGGGGCAAAATGCTGTCAGTCTATTTGCTAAAGCAAAGCAAAAGTGAACTTTGCTCCAGTTCCCAATAAGTGCCTCATCTCCACCTGAGACCACCTCAGCCTGGACTTTATTGTCCATATAACTATCAGCATTTTGGTCAAAACCATTCAACATGTCTCTAGGAAGTTCCAAACATTCCCTCATCTTCCTGTCTTCTTCTGAGTCCTCCAAACTGTTGCAACCTCTGCCCATTATCCAGTTACAAAGTTGCTTCCGCATTTTCATGTATCTTTATAGCAATGCCCCACTGTCCTGGTACCAAGTTTCTGTACTAGTCCATTTTCACAGTGCTATAAAGAACTAACTGAGACTGGGTAACTTACAAAGAAAAGAGGTTCAACTGACTCATAGTTCCACAGGCTTAACAGGAAGCATTACTGGGAGGCCTCAGGAAACTTACACTCACAGTGGAAGGCAAAGAAACCATGTTTTCACATGGCAGAGCAGGAGAGACAGTGAGTGAAGAGGGAAGTGCCATACATTTTCAAGCAACCAGATCTCATGAGAACTCACTATCATGAGAACAGCAGAGGAGAAGTCTGCCTCCAGGATTCAATCACCTTTCACCAGGCCCCTCCCCTGATATGTGAGGATTATAATTCAAGATGAGATTTGGGTGGGGATACAGAGCCAAACCATAGCATTTATATTTAGAAAAAAAGTTGCTATTTGTAAAGGGTACATAGAAAAGGGTGTTTATTAGAAACTTGCTTGTAGTGGCAAAAATCACGAAACCACATGAATAGAATATTGTCTATTTAAAAGAATGGGATCCGCATCTGTTAACCTGGAAGGATGTTCAGGGTGTACTTGTTAGGTGAGAAAAGCAAGCTGCAGACAAAGGGGTATAAGATAATCCCATTCTTTTATTTAAAGGCAAGCAACCCAGAAAATCTCATATGTGTCTGTTTATGCTTATGTAATTACAGAGAAATGTGGAGGATAAGGGGAGATGTGCAGGAAGAAAGAGGAAAGAAAGAAATAGGAAAGGAGACGTGATGGAAATAAGCTTATTAACATTTTGGGGTATAATTTTACTGATGGAATGAACACACTATTTCTGTAAATTCTGAAGGGGCATTTGCAAAAAGAAGAACAAATTTTAAAAGGAGTCAATTATAAGACTATCCCTATAATGCTCACTTACACTCAGATATGCTTTCTTGGATAACAGACTGTGTATAACCCAAATCCTCCAAAGGTTATGGAGAGTTCATGTGGCTACCCACCATCTATCATCGTGCATATGGGCTGTGGTACAAAGAAGGAGAACCACTATGCTATGAGCAACAAAACCACAGACATTTTTTGATCAGGGGAATAATACTGAAAGTGGTGTTCTAGGAAGATTAATCTGGCAGTAGACTGCAGAATGAATTAAGAAGGGAGAGGAGAAAACTAGAGAAACAATTAGGAGACTATTGATAAGAGTAATAAGAGTTTGAACTAGGGTGTGGCCAGTTTTTTCCTGTTGTGTTGGCTTCTCAGGGAACAGAAACTTAATTCCCTTCTGGCTTCCAGCCTTTCTACCTTACTCTTAACTGAATCTCAGGGTCTTTGTGGTCTCAGAAGTATGTTTCTTATTATCTGCTTTAATTACATCTAAATTTCAAATTTAAGTCTCCTTTTTAAAAAAATTATAAACGAAATCACTAGTTATATTGTGCCATTTAAGATTTCCCTAATTTATCTGGCTTTGATTTTTGGGAATGTTCCCATGTTTTAAAGACTGGTTTCAAGAACAATAATCACTCATATATTTATGTTATTCTATTCTGTCTCTTCTATGCTAGTTAATGTGACAACTACCCTCTCCCTGCCACATTTTAAGATTGTTGTCTCCTAATTCTTCAGCTATTCATTTATTTTGTGGCTGCTCTCTTTGGTTGCCTTCTAGAGCCCTGTCCTTGTCCCTCCCCTCTTTTTTCCTGAACATTAGAGCAGTTCATTCTTAAATGACCTCATCTGATTTTCTTGCTATGGCTAACACCTACTTAACTTGCATTTTCTCTTTTCTGCGACTGTCATTGCCATATTAGGTTGAACTCTCCTATAACTCTTAGTAGAAGAGATGAACTTATCCTACCAACCTCCTGACTGTTATATACTATAGACAGAATAAGTCAAATCTAAAATATAAATAAGCTGAAGAAAGATATTTTGAAAATTCAGGCAAAAATAAAACACCCCTCCTCTCTTAAGGTACTCAGTGATTACACACACACTTATCTGAAAAATGAGGAAACCGATTTCTTGCCTGACCTTCTAGGTAAGTCAGTACAAACATATACATTAGACTCATCTGCTTAAATAATCTCAATTCTTATAAAAGTGAAAAGCATAAAGCTTCTGCTACAAAAGTTCCTATATTGACAATTTACTATGTTACTGCCTTGAGCAAGCTTTTAACAAACCACCAAAGGAAAAAACCCTCTAACCCTTCATTTACAAACATTGGCTACTCTAATTTTTCAATGGTAAACAGACCAGAGTTATTCTAAGAAATTATGAAAAGCAATCCATTTCGAAGTCTTAAAGCAAATTTAGAGACTGTCAATTGAAAATACATCTTCTTTATGTATACTCTCTGTATTCATATACACCTGTCAGTCTTAAGGCTTATTTCTATCTGGGGAAGATAACCTGGGCTATCATCTCTCTCTCAGTGATATTCACTATCTGCTGACATTTTCCTCACTCGAGAAAGATTAGAAATATAATCCATTCCTATATATCTTTTTGGTTTATATGTTAAATTTTGTTTATTTAGGTATTCAACATGTATTTGTAGAGGTCTTACTATGTGCTAGACACTATTCTAGACGCTGGCATACAGGAGTAAGCAAGGCAGACAGTATCACTGCTCTCATGGAGCTTACATTGTAGCAGGTGAGCAGATAAGACACAAATAGATGATGTCAAGAAGAAGGAAAGACTGTGAAAGATTCTACTATTTCAGATAGAGCAGTCAGAGATCTCTTTTACAGAGCTGACATTTAAATGAGAGAGTAAACCATGTGGGTATCTGGGGAAAGAACATTTCAGGTAAATTTTCCTCAGATTTGGGCTTATACACTGGGGAGCCCAGAAAGAGGATTATTTCTCCTAGACAATAAGGATATTCTTAAGTGACTAGAAGAAAAAAATATCTTGCAACTAGGGTACACAAACTGAGGTTATGGTGAAAGTCATGTTTTCTCCTTGTCTTGTATCATGTGATATTTGATGACAACATGCATGCACATAATACTTTCATCCATTAGTTGCTGAAGTCTCCTGTTGGCTCATTCCTATGTACTCAGTCCTCATCTAGTCAACTAATTCTTTCCATCTTTTCTTTCATTTGTTTCAGACTCCTTGTTGCCCCTTTTCTTATTCCAAATAGTTGAATCAAATCTTGTTTCCCATTCATTCATGCACTTTCCTCCATGAAGTTTCAGTTATGTCTTCCCAGGAAGGAGTTTGAGATCTTTCAAGCTCACATTTCAAAAAGCAAACTGAGGGAGGGGGAGGCAGGGATGACTATCATCAGAGTGCTCTCCATGCTGCTGGGGATATTCATCTTCTTCATCTCCATATGCCCAGTGTCTAGCTTGATAAATGCTTGCTGCTGCCAAGTGCAATTAGAAGGACCTTGGAGATCATCTAGTTAACCTCCCACTCTACCTACCACCAGAATTCTTGGCCTAGAACATGTCTTTGTAGTTCTTTAGTTCTTCCACTTACGAACATAATAACGTAGCTAGGTTGCTTATTGATTTCCCAGTGTCCATAGAGAAACACTGAGGCATACAAAAATCAAATTTAGCCAGGCACCAGAATTGAAGTTTAGAATTTTCATTTTCTTTCTTAATAGTTTTATAACTTTTCCTTCTGGCTTCCTTATTTACTGTTTTCTTGTTTAAACATGTCTGTGGGACCCCCAAAGCACTGTACAGCTCTGTTAAATATCATTATCAATTAAAAGGTCACTCATCCCTAAAATACTGAATTAGAAATTACTTCACCAATTTGTCTTTCCTTTAAAAACATTTCTTGATTAAAAATGTAGTGCCCATCCACAGACTGCACTAACACCAGCCCATGATATGTGTTTAGTGATGAGAAGCATTTGCTACCTAATAGAAAATCTACCAGCCTCCCAGCTGACAGAACAAAGTAAGAGGTTCAAGGCAAATAAAGCAGTGCAGAGAAAACCTGTTAGCAGTAAAACATTACCTGCCATGCTAGGATGGCTCTTCCTTCCCATTTCTTAGCTCTGAAAACTTATAAATCATCTTTTGGGGAGAAAGAACAAATATCCAAGAAAACAGTTTGCTTTTAGTACAATTCTAAAAAATCTAAAGTTCTTAAGCAGGCTGTTGTCACAAAGAAATTCTAAGAACTTCGGCACTAACAGAATAGTTACAAAATGAATATCCTATTTTTGACACCACTACACATGTCTTCATCATTTCAAAGATTAGGATCCATTTTAACCTAGCATTTTTTGAACAGTAAACATGACTAAATTTAGCAAATAGTAGTAACAAAATTCATTTAGTTTTTAAAAGTACTATCAGTAATCGCAGAGGTTTTTTTCAGGTTGTGAGGAATAAAAGTCAAAAATATATTAATTTTATATTGTAGCTATAACTCAAACTATTTTATGAGTATAAATAACTTCAGTATACTTGAGTTGTTCTTGCTATACTGATAATCAGATACTTAATTCCCTGATACACTAAGGGAAATGTGTATGAATGAGAAATTAAACTGTTTGGGAGACTGTTGTAGGAATTCACATTATGTTTACTTTATATCTGCTATTGCCAAATTCAAGTCCAAGCCAAAAGCAGACCTACCTTACTTAAACATAAAATAAACACTTATTTAAAAAATCAGGCTTAGAGGTGAATAGTCTCTATTACTTCATTACTATGCCAAGAAGAGGGAATATATAAACTGTTATCATAAAGTTCCTTAATAACTTCAAGAAAACACAAATCAGAACTTAACCACTAAGCATCACCCATTTCAGAATAGTCACCCTGGGAAGCTATTCACTTATTCCAGGCATATTCAAAACAGAATTAAACATTTTCTGTAGAAATATCTATGTGGGCTCTTTTAAAAACCCTCAAAGAAAATAAATGTTATCATTCGAGAGAGGATTAAATTTCTAAATATCTGGCAATACTCATATGATTTGGAGTCACACAAATAAAGCTAAGGGATAAATACATTTTCTTTGAGCAAGAACAGTTAGGTGTTACTATAGTGCAATGAGTCCGATTTTCTTTTATGGCTTACAAGGTGGTTCTGAAGGCAGTTTCAAAGAGGAGCAATATACATAGCCTCCTAAGGTGGAAACTTAGAACATTTATTTTGGGTTTTCTGTTTTAAAAAAAAAACTCAATCTATTTTATAGCCATACACTTTGTCCTTAATAAACCCAGCTGAATTCCAGATGACAAATTTCACATAATGTTCTGATTAAAATTTTTTTAAGTTTCCATCTAAGAAAGCTGCCTACAAACTTAGGTTCTACATCGGTATGTTTACCAATTTAAACTGCCGTTTAATAATTCTATGCTTTCCTCTGCTTTTATAACTTTGGTTTAATAGATCAAATTTGTTTAACTGAAGTTTTTTTCAACCATTTGATCAATAAAGAAAACAAGTCAGTGCAGTCAAGTTTCACAATCCTCCCAACTTTATGCAGTTAGGATAAATTTTGGTATTCAATATACTCAAGAGCTTTTTCAGACAGCTTCAATAAATGTAATAAATGTAAAAAAATTTTAAACCTGAAAATTTCATTCCCATTTTCAGGCAAATTAAGGTTTCCAATGACAAAGAATCTTTGCATACTTGATTATATAAAAATATCAGAATAGGAAATACCAGAAAGAGAATACTCTAGCATTTATTAATAAAAATATAACAATGTGGTTGGAGTTATCACTATGGCTATTATGTAGATGGCATACTTAATATCCCTCAACAAAATCCACTGAAAACTTTGTCGAAGGCGCTTTCAAAAAATAATAAAACTGAAAAAAAAAATCATTGTGAAGATACTACGTTGGCATTTGAAGGCTTTAAAATACAGCAGTCTTTATGAAACTGCGATCCATGACCCTTCAGGGATTGCACATAGCAGACCCTAAAAGATTCTTGATTATAGGCAATACCTACACCACAGTCACAGATGTCATAACGTACTTAGCCAATGAGAGTCATGCTGGTTTAAGCTAAGTGGACTTGGCAGAGCTTTAAAAATTCCACCTTGCATTTTTATAATGCTTTTTAATTTTCTTTTCTTTTTTTTTTCTTTTTTTTGAGACGGAGACTCGCTCTGTCGCCCAGGCTGGAGTGCAGTGGTGCAACCTCGGCTCACTGCAAGCTCCGCCTCCCAGGTTCACACCATTCTCCTGCCTCAGGCTCCCGAGTAGCTGGGACTACAGGCACCAGCCACCATGCCCGGCTAATTTTCTGTATTTTTAGTAGAGACAGGGTTTCACCGTGTTAGCCAGGATGGTCTCAATCTCCTGACCTCATGATCTGCCCGCCTCGGCCTCCCAAAGTGCTGGGATTACAGGCGTGAGCCACCGCGCCTGGCCTAATGCTTTTTAATTTTCAAAGTAAACGTACATGCACAAATCCTGTCAGGTAAAAACCCTCTCACTATTTTACAGAAATTGAAACTGTGACAAAAAGCAGTAAGTGACTTTACAAATATATGCAGGAGAGCAGAGGCCTGATCCTTTATATTTTATTTAAAGATTCGCTGTTGACAAAAATTATTAAAGATACATGAGGAACTAACATACCCAATATTAAATATTTCCCTTCAGATAAGTGTTAAGGTTTCCTGGTTTTTTTTTTCTTTTTCTCTTTAAATGCCTTTAGTTTTCACATCTGTAAAATTAAGGTAAATAACAGCTGCCTTCTGTGCTTCATGGATATTGACAGAATTGAGACTTAATACAGTAACTAGAATAAAAACTTTCACAGAGTTGAGATTTAAATGAGATGAATGCATGCAAAGTGCTTAGCATAGTGCTGTCACATAATTGGTGCTTAATCATTATTAGGTAAAAAAAAATTAACAAAATGAATAGAGAAGAATACAGACACTGTATATTTTAAAAATCTAAATGAGTCAAAAGTAACTCTTATAAAATATGTGGCTAGTCTGTATTATGTCAATCAACTATTTGTTCCAGATGTCTAGAAGAGACCCAGATAATTAAAGAAGCCTACCAGGGAACTTAGATAACTAAGAATTGAGATATTCAAACTGGCAACACCGCTCATTAAGTGTTTTGTGATCTTTACCTCAACACTTTCTATGGATCTCAATTTCTCATTCGAAAAAATTAGGGGGTAGAATTAGGGAAACTCTCAAGTTCTTTTAAGTTCTAATCTAAAATAACTGTAACGAACATAGAAAACAAGCTCTGAGAACCCAAGAGCCCCACCTCTCGGGTGCTAACAGCAGCAATAGTTTATTTTTATATATCACCAACTACATTATTTTAAATCCTTATCTTATAAAAACACCAAATCTGCATTCACATCTATTTGTCTTACATTCGATAATCTATAAAGAAAATGTCAAAGAACCAACTTTGTTATACCATTCCCTACCCTAATTACTTCCCTCATCAAATTGACGGGTTAAAAGGATTGTGGAATTTTAGAAACACACACACAGGTGTTTTGAAAACAATTCAAACACAGTTGTAAAGAAAGTATTTTTGACTCCAAAGTACCTAGTTGGAGGCCATGGACTGTCTCCCTTAGCATTAGAAACTAGGTCTTTGGACTTTTAGTTGAGTATTTTTCTTCTGTTTCTACTACTGAATATCTAAATCAAATTCTTTGGAAGGGATGGTTAAAAAAATAAAAAAGCAAAATCTGCAATTTAAATAGTCTTAAAATTAAGGAAGCTCTTATCCTCAATAATTATAAAAGAAAACATTAAAACGATAACATAAAGTAAAACAGTGTCCATAACAAACTGGTAGAGCTTTAGTGTTCAGCATGTGACAATCATAAGGTCATAAGTCACAGCACTGCCCCAACCAGCATGAAATAATAAATCATGTAGTGAATTGTATCATTTCATAATAGCTTTCAAAATTTGGCTATCAAATATACTTTCATAATAGCCACAGCTAAATATTATGGACAGTTATGAAATCAACTAGAATAAAGGCTAATTTTATTGTAAAAAGAAATAGTAAGTTAACACTTTTTGCAACAAACTATGTCTTAAACACTGCATACTTATTGAACTCTCAAATTATTAGTTACAAAAATAAAAATTCAAGGTAAGATAATGCGTAAACATTTACAACTAATCATATCATTAAAACTTTTTTCCCCTTATATATATTTTTGGTGCCCTACAGTGAGAATGAAAAAAAAATTATAAAACAACAGGTACTTTCACTGAACTTGCTGCATTATAGACAGGATTAATGTTGTTGAAACTTGCTAAAAAGAAAAAATATTTAAAAGCACTCGAAATTAATACTTGGGTTACTCTGAAAAAGCATGTTTAAGCATGCAGCTCTATTGGGATGTAATTAATATTTAAATTGGACAAGTGATAAAATTCGGGGATAACACACTTTCATTCAAAATACTGAATTTAAGGAATGTATTGCAATATAAATGGTTTAAGTGACTGTCTAGCACTTGCAGAACCCCATAATTTATTCTGCATATTATGAAAAATTAATTTTCTCAATATTCCAGCAGAAAAATACATAACCCATAGAAATATATTACCAAAGAAAAGGGTTGCTCTCCAGTCAGTTGACAATGGCTGTAAAAGGGCACTATGATATATGAAATGATTATATCAACATTAAGACATTAGGTCGACTACATTCAAGTCATTAGATTTTCATTTATTAAACAGCAGCTTAAATAAAAATGAGAAAAATATGAACTTAATCTTAGCTAAAATAATCTTCAAGTAAAATGTGCATTTTATCCTTTTTTGATAATAAAGCATAGTAAGAAACAACATAACTCAAAAATTAGTATTATATAGCCATGGTCAGTTTTAGATTTCTACCTGAAATAAAAGAAATTAAATTGTAATTCTGATTGATGCATTCCCTTGTACCTATAGTCCTAAATTTTTCTTTTCTTAAACCTCTAATTCATGACAGTTGATCCAAACTGTTAGTTTTCAGAACTGATCTGGATATTCCTAAACTTATCTATAGCATCCCACATCTCTGTTGCTCCTCCCTCTTCACCCTCCACCCCCAATTAATTCATGAACTCCACTGGAAATTCTGTATTTAGAGACATTTACAACAGTATTGAGCACTAAGGAAAGCAACCTGTCACAATTAGGTGTCTGGGGGTTAAAACCACTGTCTACAAATAATTTTGAACTGCAATAAAATTCTATTTCTTTCTTAATATGTAAAATGAACAAAAATCACCATCACAAGTCACACCCTAATCTAGTTTAGCATAGAAATGATCACACATAATTCAACAGGGAAAGGAACACTTAGTAGACCTTTTCTTTTTTAAAATTGAAATTCTCAATAGGAATATTTTATTTACTTGAAAAATACAAAACCCAAGTATTAATAGAATATGCCAGAAGAAAATAAGAGCAGTCGGCTCTCTGAAGCTGCAGAAATAAGGACAGCATGGGCTTTTAAAAATCCTTTCTAAAGGTCAATATGTAATGGATTTTTTTTTGTAGTTATAGCTTAATTCAACAAAATTTTCTTGAAAACTCTTTATGCAACAGGAATCATCAATGTATATTTTCCATGACTCAGAAATATGAAAACAAGTGCCCATTAATCTGGCAAATACCTGTAAATATTGCATTACACAATTACTCTTGATGAAAATATTACCAGGATGTCCTCAGAAGGGTAAATGCTATTCAGCACAAACCTATTTTGCTTATTTAATTTGCCCACCTAAGTACTAGTACACAATGAGAACCCACTGCTCATTAAAATTAGGAATAATCATTAAAGTAAAAAAGAATGTGCTTTAAGAACTAAGCCTAAGCCTCAGACCTTGTCTAAGCTTAATGTAAATTAAGATTTCCTGGGCTGTTTCAGTCACCTGCAGGCCAGAGTAGACTAAGATTTATGTAACTAACCAATTAATGCAGATGTTCCGACTTTCACATTAGGCAGTCACATTAAAGTAAACCCTTTTGATCCAATCTTTCCTTCACTAAATCTCAAAAGGCCCCTAAAGTGATCTCTACCCACATATCCATTTCACTATTAATACAATTTGCATTTAACCTACATTTATGCAAGGTATATTTCAGAATAAGTCTTTCATAAAATGTATAAACATTAAATAAGTAGCAAAAGTGGTCAGACTAAAATACATGTAACACAAATAGACAAGACCAAAATAACATATGAATTATGTTACCAATTATAAAAATACAAGGGGACTAGCCATAGAAACATCGTAAGTAATTTCAATAAAATCTGACCACATGCTAGTCACATATTTCTGCATTAGTCATTTCACACTAAAATGACACACCTGAATACACAGTGTGTTTTAAAAACTTTTTTTACTAATCATGTAGCCATAACAAGTTACAGATTTAAAAAATAAGATTCTCATCATAAAGCTAAAAATAAGTGAAAATATATTTAAAAAGAAATCTCCTTTAACATTCAGAAATCACTTTACATAAATGAGTACCAGAAATATTAAGCTTAAAAAACACTGAAACACCCATTGCCAGAATCTTTAGAAGGAAAAGAAAAAGAAAAAAGGTAGGAAGTAAAGAAAGTATCCATGGGGGTGAGGGTAAATCACAGTCAAAACAAATCTCTTCTCTTCGTATTTCCTCTTTTTCTGAGAAAACATTCAACATGATGTTAGCAGAATTTGCTTCATTCATTCTGTATTTGTACAGGTCTTCAATTTCATTACTTTTATAAAACCAGATACAGATGCGATTACTAATGAGACATTAAAATCTACATAAATTTTAGTAGCTTCATTAAGTGCCAATCATCACTTAATTTTAGACTCTGCCGAAAACTGAATTTACAAGTTCATCCTACATCATTCATTCTCTCCAATAATCCCTCCCTTCAGGATACGAACAATTTTTTAACACTAAAATTTCAACATAATCCCAATAAAAGCTCTAATACCACCTAAAACCATTTCTGTTCTCTACCTCTGTCATTAATGCTTAAATGAAACAAGGCTGAAAATCAAATAATGCAGAAATGTGCCTTCGTCAATAAGTTTATGCTAAATGTACTGAACTTCAGTATTTTTAAAAGCATATTAAGTTAGAATGACTAGTTTGTTTTACTTAAAGAATAGATTTTGAGAATAAGGTTTCTCTTGTTTTACTATAAATGAACTTAGAAAATGCTTTACTAAGCTCAATCATAATATTCATAATTTTACAATTTTATGTGATAATTCAATGTTGTGGTGGAAGGAAGGAATTGCCTCTTCCCACCCCCAGAGAATAAAGTGAGGATTTTTTTTTAAGTATTCTGATAAAAACAATTTTAGGTGGCATTTTAAAAAGTCAAATTGCAATTTATAACTTTTTTTAATTTAAAAGGAATTCAAGTTATTAGTGGCATTTAATATTTTTCTTCGTAAAGTCAGAAGGTCAGTATTCAAGTTGTGGTCTCAATGTGTTGATTATTTGCTGATCACTCAGGGTCACTGGTCATAGCAAATGTTTGGCTACAGTCATGTAACATATAGAGAAGAGAAAGCAACTAATTTTAGCTATATCAGGGCTGTTGTTTGGAAACAATAGACTAATTCAATGATGGTTTAAAAGAAACACTGTTTCAATTTATTTGGATGAAGCTTTGTTTTGGGTAATCATAGTTCCCAGTGCTAAGTTAATGCCATAAGGTATAAAATCTTCAAATATTAACAAAATACCCTGTATAAAGTATTATACCTTCTTGTTAGGACACAGACTACTGATTATATTTCCCAATCACAGATTGGCATAAAAATAATAATTTCATTTGATATTAAAGAACTTCTAAAGAGCCGCATCATCATTGCCTTGCCTACTACCTCCATAAGGTTATGGGACCCAAATTAAAAATACGTAAAGATACTTTATGTCATGAAGTACTATAAAAGTTAAAGCATTAAAATCACCTTTAGTGATTTAAGAGTAACTATGTTCATCTACTTATACTCTATATCCCAGATTTTATAGGGTTTAAAAGTTCATAGCAAATGGAAAATAAGTTTTGTCCCTTGCCTTTTCTTTATAGTAAGGAAAATGAAAACCATGCCATGATGATTATCAGGGCAAAATCCATTAATAATCCCCAAGAGTTTCCTAAGATGTTTTATTTTTCTTTGTATAATTACATGTTTTATAAATCAATTTAAGAGTTTCCTACAGATAGCTTAGTCAAATCAACCGTACTTAACTCTTTTAAGAAAACCAAGTATGCGAATTCTATTGCCAAAAATTTGCAATTGAAAATTTTAAAACACAGCATGTCTTTTAGCATTTAAAACACAACAGCTTATGCAATAATAAAGATCTCAAATCTCCTTACTGAAAAGATTTTAAACCTTCAACTCAGGTTGAAGTAGTGTTCTTCTAAATAAAGGATAATTATTTAAACAATAGATTAGGAGGTAGTTCACATTAAGACATGTAAGAACCAAGGTTTTTTGGTTTTTTTTTTTTTTTTTTTGACAACTAAGCCTTTTAGAAGAACAGAACATAGCCTAAATCTAATTCTAAATTATTTCCCTAACAAGAAAAGCTTCTTAAGTACAGAGGAAAGAAAAGAGACATCCTCCAGGTTAGGATAGCTTTCACAGAAAAAGGATTTTCAAAAATCTGAATAACTAGTTAATGGGAACGATGAATATCACTAACATTTAAGAAAAAACTTCAATAGTTACATACAAATAAATCACTGTCTACCATGTCTTCTTTTAAAAAAACCCGCTGATTAATCAATCTTGTGTCACTACAATCCACATTTTTATATTTTCCTTCACAACTAAAATGGATATAAAACCTAGCATTTATCTGAATTGGGGATGAGGTTACGGGGTAGAGAAATTCACCCCTACCAACACGTATATCTACATTTAGAACTTTTTTCTGATAATTCCATTTTCTGACCTTTTTGGGTCAGACAAAAATATCAGTATGCTTATAAACGACTGAGTAAAAAAAAGAGAAAAATCAAACGAAAGCTGAAAATTGAAGCTTAACAATTTTGGCCATCAGTTATCTACTTGAGAACTTGCAGGAACATTTGAACGTAAAATTTTGTTTTGCACCATGTTGACACCAATTCCTCTCTTAAAGAGATTGATCAGCAGACATAACTTGTCTACTTTATGGCAAGAACCCTGTGAGCAAGACCTGTGTCTAATACTATGGTCTGGTACACTGTTCACTGCATTGCTTTAGCAACTTCAAAACTCAAATTCTTTAACAGAAGATTCAGTTTGAAGAATAGGGCTCTTTGTTAGTACTTCTGCTTTTAACTCTTTAATCTCAAGCTAACACTTAACGAATTTACAAATAAGGCAGCACAACTTTTGACTATGTAAGTAAGGGTATCATTTATTGTAATATAAGAACATATTCTAAAACAGCTGAATGACCATGCACAACACAATATGATATTATGAGACATTATACTCTCCTGAATTTATATAATTTTTCGTTAAGATATCTGTTAATGAGCAACATTATTTTAAAAATGTTAAATAAAATCCTCACCGTTGGCCAATGGGATACTGAAAACCACTATTTAAGGAAAAAACCTGAAATGGTTACGTACAGATGTCACTTAGGTTGTCTACCTTTCCTACTTTCAAAAGGCCACTTAAACTTATTCATATAAAAAAGCACATGAATCTTTAGAGAACACATATAAATCAATGAAGATTTACATCTATTAATCTACCTTAAATGTACCATTCTTAAGAAACAGAAAAACACTGATCTTACCTTGAATAGCCATTAGAAAAAACTGTTCGACCAGGGAAGTTCAGAGTCCCCAGAGAAGTCAAGTTGTCATCTCCAGATCCTTGGCACCTATTCCAATTTTCGGAACCAACGGGAATTGGTGGAATGACATTAAAAATAGGCTTCTGATCCTGCTGTTGAGAAAGGGATGCTGTATTCATGTCATAGTGGTACATCTGTCCTCCAGAGGTACTCACACCATGAACAGAAATGGCAGACATTTTATTACCAATTATATTTGCTCCAGGAAAGCTTGCCTGACAGTAAACTGTGCCCAGTTTCTCTTGCTTAATTACCCCAGGGGTGCAGAGTTCGATGAAATCTTCTTTTTCTGTTTTCACTTGGGGCAGTGTTACATTACTGGGGCTTGACAAAACCAGATCTCCATTATCCTTAATTTTGGGTTTAGTGTCCGGTAAAATGAGAGGCTTGCAGTCCTCATTCGAGTTTCCTTCCAAAAGGAATGAATCGTCTTCTCCCGCCAGAGGAGAAAGCAAACAGTTTTCATCTATCAACAGGTCTGATCTCCAAGGACTCTCATTCGTCTCTTTACCTGGGGACCCAGAAGAAAACTCCAAATCCTGCAAAATGTCAAAGGTGCTTTGGTCTGTGGTATACAATTTCACATTGCCACCGTTGGTGCCAGTCTGGCCCTTCAAATGTTGCTGTTCTGAAGATACATCAGAGTGAGTTTTTGGAAACTCCTTCTCTGTGGGGGCAGCAGACACAGCAGTGGATGCTGAACTCTTGGGGTTCTCTGGAACACTGGTCGACCTATTGAGGTTTGCAATGCTTTCTTCCAAAAGCTTTAAGTCTGTTTCCCCCGAGGAAAGGCTGATTTGGCCCTGCTGTGGGAATCCCAGGTCATTTCCCATCACTTTTGTTTCTGTCTCTCCCATATACAGTCCCATTGAGAGTGAAACTGCTTTGGACAGATCTGGCTGCTGCGCATTGCTTACTGAGCCTTTTGGAAAATCAACCAAAAGTCTTCGCTGCTTGGAGTCTGATTGAGAAGCGACAGCCAGTGAGGGTGAAGACGCAGAAACCTTCACAGTAGCTCCTCCTCTTAGGGTTTTATAGAAGTCCATCACATCTCCCCTCTCCTGAGCAAGCACACTGCTGGGGTTTTCTTCTCTACCAGGAGTTAATGATTCTTTGGAGTCCATCAGTGAATATCAACTACAAAACAAAAAACAAAAACGGGGGGAAAACATCATAAGCTCTAAAGTCACATTATCTTCCTGATCCGATTAGTAAGAGGCAGCTTGTTAAATGAACCTTTTAGTTAACTCCGAATCAAATTCTTTGTTACCAGAAGAGTAGTTTCTATCTTCCAGAATAAAAAGCCATGTCCCCTGCTCCCATTCAGCATGCCACATTTAAAAGTACAATGCAATCCATTTGCACAGCTGAGGGCAAAAGTGTATCGAACTAAGCTTGGCTATTCATCCTGCCGCTCACTGAACGTGTAGCTTTGTTAATCACAGACATTATAATTCATTACATCTGATTATTCTGAAGGTTCAAGTTGATGTCAAAGTATTTAATTTCAAAAAAAGGAAGTGTGATCATTAAAATTCCTACCTCTTTTCAATCACGGCTGTTTGCTTTTCTGAGAACCAATACATATAACATTTGATAAATACTATGCTAGAATTCTCAATCCCTAATTACTTCCAAATTTCCCTCCTACCAGCTAGTCACACATCCAAACCTTTGAGTACAACCAACTGGTGAACCATGCACGTTTTCTTTGAAAAATAAACAATGCTGATCTGCTTATCTTCCGACAGGCTGGGAAAAGGCTTTTTAACCCATACTTCTGACTGGATGTGCCTACCTCCAAATTTTGGATATATGAAATGAGATACACTTTATATAGGCCAACTAAAATTTAGATTTTAAAGAGCAGAAGAGAAGGTGTAGTAGTTTCTCACTACGTTGTTAGCTTACATAACTTAAATATAGCTGACCCTTATCATAACTCACAAAAACATCTAGATTAAGCTACATTTGTTTACATTGCTTGAGATCCTCAATATGAAATGCTATTACATCTCTAAGTTCTTTCCTTTCCAAACAAATATCGAAGTACTGAAAAATGGAAAAACACAGAACCGTAAAATCACATTCATATAAATTCAGGTACAACTGTATCCAGTAAAATGTTCAAAATAATTTTCTCTGCCTTCACCTATCCAAACCTTCACCTATCCCAATTCTCAGCCTATTCTCAAGAGAGTAAGACTGTTAGTATATCGTTAATCAGGGTGTTTTAAGAGATGGGCTAAGACGGAGAAGCGCATTTGGGACACTATAGTCAAATCCCGTCCAATAAAAGGTAACTTTTCCTATGCGATGACGTTAGGCAGCATAAATGTCACTGGCCCTCACTGAAAAGTGAATATGAAGGTAGAGAGAGGGGTGTGGACTTGCCACTACAAATCTTGAGGGTAAACTGCTTATCTCCCCACCTCTCTGCCCCGTTTATCTGAGGCGATAACGATCTCTAAACACGAGGTATCGAATGGAGCCCAATGAATTTCCATGCCGCTTTTTTGACAGCTGCCTTCAAACCCGAAACCAAAACAATATTTCCTAAAACGAAAACGCTCCCTCAAGCGACATTATCCCCCAGTTTAAGTTGCAAATAACCCAGCCACATTAATTGGCCCTAATGAACCATGCCAGAGGGTCTTAAGTGGTATTACAAGGTTGCAATTATCAAGTCTGCAACCCCAAACGTCAAACTAGCACTTGTAAAAATCGCAGCACAAAACCATTACGGTTACAGGGGGTCTTTTTCTAAAAGGGGCCACTTAGAAACCTCAGGCGCGAATTAACAACAAACGCTAAAGAGCAAGCCCTTGCGGGGCGGGGGTGGAGAAGAGAAAAAAGTGCGAGGTTAAAAGAGAAGTACGTCCAGACCTGTTGAGTTCTCTCTCCGACACGCCCACTTCTAACAGATAACGCCGGCCCCGGCCGCAGTCTCCAAGTTGCGGGCTGTCAGCCCCCCGCGTGTGCACCCTCACGCGCCCCGCACGCCCTCCTCAAGCCAGGCGCCGCCGGGGCCTCCCCGGAGCCCGGGCTCGCGCTCGGGCGCGCCGGGGTGGCGTGCAAATATTCGGGCGAGTAAAATTCAGACGCGGCTTAGCGTTCACCACGAAAACGGGTGTCGGGCGACCCCCTTGGAGGGAAAGGGGACACTAGGGGGAGAAAAGAGGCCAGGATTCCCGCGAGGAATGAGAGGCTCGAAGCCCCCGGCAGTTCGACAGGGCTCCGCTCGCCGTCCGAGGTCAGGTTCCTCCCCCTCGGCCCGGCCAGGGGACGCCTGCGGAGGGAGAGGAAGAGGCCAGCGCTGTCACCCGCGCGCTGCCCTTTCGTCACCGTCGCCCGGCCCTTGCCAGCCCCCCACCCCCACTCCCCGAGGCTAATAAAAGTTTGTAGGCTCCCGCGGCGGCCCCCGAGTTGTCTCCGGTCCCAGCGGCACCTCGGGGGAGCGAGCGCGCCCCGGCCCCCTCCCGCCTCGCTTCTTACCTCTGGCAGAGGAGCCGCTCGCCCGCCACCGTCCGCAGTTCCCGCCGCAGCCGAGATAAACAACTTAGCTTGTGAACGCAGAAGGAGCAGGAGGGAAATATATTTTTTTTTTCTAAAAAAAGGAAGTAAACAGCCGCCCCTTTCTCCATGGGTGGGGGGAGAGCCCCTATTTAAGAAAGTCTCCCATTGCCCAGCTGACAAGCCAGCCCTCCGCCCCGCGCCGGGCTCCGCGGGTCGAGGTTCCGGGCGCGCGTGCCCCGTCCCGGTCCCAGCTGCTTCGGCCGCTCCGGCTGCGGCGTCTCCTTCCACCCACAGAATCCGTCCCCGACGGGCAGGCGGTGACTCGGGCTCCCGTCACAGACACGAGCTCGCAAAATGGAGGAGGCGGCGGCGGAGGGAAGAGAGCGCGGACACGCGAAAGGGCAGCCCGGCCTGGGCGAGCGAGCGGGACCGAGCGGGGAGCGGGTGGAGGCGGCGCCACGGCGCGCACACACTCGCACACACGCGCTCCCACTCCACCCCCGGCCGCTCCCCGCCCGAGGGGCCGCGCGGCGGCCGCGGGGAACGATGCAACCTGTTGGTGACGCTTGGCAACTGCAGGGGCGCCCGCGGTCCCTGCCCCCACGCCCTCCGCGCGGGCCCCGCCACCCCGGCCCCGACGGCGCCTGCACGCCCGCGTCCCCTGGCGTGGCCGCCCCGCCCGGTGCGCCGCGCTTCGCCCCCCGCCCCCAACTCCCCAGGAAAAAGGGTGGCGGCGGCAGCGGCGGGGGCCGACCTGGTCTCTCTGGGGCGGCGTTAAGAGGGCCACCGAGTTTCTCCAGTTTCTTTTCTCGCTACCTCCTTCCCGCCCCCGCCCAGCTCCGCGGCTCCAGACCCACTCGGGAGCTCGCTCTGCCCCTTGGCGGCAAGCGCCGCCAGTGCCCCTGCGGGTGACAGCGGGCGGGCCACAAGAGCCGGGGCGCCTCCCGCGGCTGAGCTGCGTGAGTGGCCCGCGCCGCCGCCGCCGGGCCGAGTTGCGTGAAGTGTGTCACTTCGAAAGGGGCTACGGGGTTGCACGGAAACGGTGCCGCAGCGTCTCGGCCGCGCTCGGGGCCGGGCGGCCTGACACGCCCTCTGGGGAGGCTTCAGGGAAGGGACGGGATAGCGGGGGTCGGCGCATACGTACTTTGGGCCCGGGGGGAGTCGCGTGCCGGCAGGTCCCCCACCACCGCATCATCTGGGCGGCCGGGTCTTCAGCTGCCGCCGCCGCGCTCTCGCACTGGGAGAGAAGTTGCAAAGCAGAACCCACCCTCCCCCGCGCCCCGACCGTCCCCCACCCTCTTCCCCGAGTCTGCGAGGCGGCGGCGGCGGCAGAAGGAGGCGCCGCCTGCCAAGTTCAACCCCCACCCCTCCCGCCCAATGTGCTCACACTCGAAGGAAGTTGCACGCCAAATGCAAAACCTCCAGCGAGCTGGATTTCTTTGCACTTTTTTTTTATTATTATGATTAAGGAAAGCAGGGGGCGGCAGGCTTAAAAGCAAGTTGCAGGCGAAATAGTAAGTTGCTGGCGAAATATAGCCCCCCTTCCGAAACTCCTGACCTCTTCTTCCACCCCGGCCAGGGCCCGCGTCCAAGTTCCCGGTGCAGGCCCCACCCCCGAATCTTGACATTTGCTGCCCTCGACTCTGTGCGTTGCTCACCCTATCACGTTCATAGGACCCCTGCCCCTACAAATAAAACAAAATACAGGCAGCTTTAAAATGCCAGCGTTCAACTCCCTACAGATGTTCCTGTTAGGAGCTTCCCCCTCAGTCCAAGGGGAAGGGAACTCGTGGTCCGTCCTGAGAAAGGAGAGGGCCGTGGGGCGAGGGGTGCCCGTGCGGGAAGCCCCCGCCCCAGCTCCCTTCCCCAGCTCGCCGCGTCGGGAAGGCTTGGACGATGCCGGGACCGAGCCTCCTACCTTGTGCGGCACAGATTATGATTTTTGTGACTCTGGGAAAGGTTGTGCTGTGTGGGTTTAGGGTTTGGGGAGGTAACTTTTGCGCCCCCACAGGTGACATCGCTTGCCAGCTCCTGACACGGGCGGGGGCTGCCGCAGCTCCACCTAATCCTGCTCGGGCGCTCGGCCACAGCCACTCTCTCACCTCCCGCCGCGCTCAGACTGACGGCGGCTCCCCCTGCTCTGACATCTTGAAGACGATTGGGGAAGCGCGTCCCGGAAGCCGCCCGCCGCCATCTTGGTAGGGTACAGTGTCGCCAGCCCGTCCCCGCGGCCACCATCTTGGCAAAGGTTCGCGATCGCGGGTAGCCTAAGCCGTCCTTCCTTGGTTCTCAAGGGTAAACGGTTCCCTGTGCATTGTCTGATGTGAAAGGAAAGAAGTAGGCTTTCAGCAAGCCTCTTGTCCGGAGACGATCTACGGGGGCCGCCTCCAGAGGATTCTGGAGCCGCCATCTTGGCAAAGGAAGAGATACTCGCCACCTCGGAAAAGAAGAGGGAACCAACCGTATGCCAACGTAGAACCCTCAGCCAGAAGAATTTTTATGAAGGGCGCTGAGCAACTCCATGTTAACAAAACCCCCTTCTGGACCCAGAAGGCAGACTCCGCTTCTCCTGTCCCTTGGCACAAGTCAACTAGAAGGAGGCCCTTGCTTTGGATGCTCATCTGTGAGGCTATGAGAACACTGCTTGACCTAGTTGCCCGTTTTTCCAATTTCTGAGCCTCAAGCACTAGAATGAGATGTCTTTCGTTAATTTGGCCCCTAAACTACCAACAGTTTCATGGGAAACAAATCAAGACCCAACCCTACAATAATGTTTTACACGTTTTAAAAGTGAGTTAAATAGCCCATGCTAATAATTATCCTTGTACACTGCTTAAAATGATTAAGAATTCTATTTATATATACATGTATGTATACATATGTATACACATATATATTATATACATATATATGTATATAATTAAGGGGACAATACAGTTGTCTAATAGAACACATCTCCCCATGCCATTAGCCTGTCTCACTGCTGAATCTCTGCTCTAAGAATCCACCTCATCGCTCATACATGCTCAAATCCTTAGTGGTAGGTACTCTGCTTAAATAATTTATGATTTCACAAGAGTTCCCAATTATTCTCCCTTCATTTTTTTTTCTCTGCAGATCTTAATGGGGAAGAATACGTAGTTTTAAATATGCCATTGAAAACGTTTTTAATTGAGCAAAAAAAAAAAAAAACTTATCCTAATTTCTCTCTTCAGCAATCTAAATGTGCCTGTTAATTTTTTAATTTGATAGCAAAAAAATTCTCATTCTTTAGTCTTTCACATTCATTTGGAAGCATGCATGAACTATAAGTTAACCCCTCTTTTTCAGAGTAATACAAATAGTTATGATTTGTGGCTAACATTTATTGATCCCCACTCTTCTGCTGCCCACTTTTGCTGACAACAATTAAATGAGATAGGTATTGTTATTCGATTTTTCAATATGAGGACAACAGGCTTACAGAGGTTGATGCTTGTCTAAGTTCACATGGCTCCTATGCATTAAGAGAGGAATTAGACAATATTAAAGTGGTTTTCCTCACTGATCTCAATCATTAACATGAAGTAGTATATCAATTCTGATAGACTACTTACAATATGTGCTTACGGAATTTAATTGAAGAGATGAACTCCAGTGTGCCAGAAAGGACGTGAGATTTAGCATTATAATAATAACACAATTCTAACGAAAGTCAACATTTATTGCGCATCTGCTGTCTGACAGACACTATTGAAAGTGTTTTATGCACAGTATCCTAAGTCTTTAGGTATGGCATTTACTAATCTGTAACCCTGGGAACTTATAATTACTACAAGAAATAGGATGAATCCCTATCTGAGTGGGAAGGTATTTGATTGTCTTAGAAGCAGAGGTGGAAATGAAGGTGATGTATTCAGACTCAGTCAAGGCAAGGACCTGATCTATCTTGTCATAGCTTTATGTCCCACTCCTGGAACACAGCCCACTACATAGCAGGCACCCAACAAATACATTACAGGGTTATAATAACATTGAGTCAACTAGTTAACTAGATGTAAAATCACTTTTACTGGGTTATTGTTGTGGCCAAATGGGTTAATAAAAAGTGTACAGATAACCCTCAAGATCCTCATTTTTATTGTTTTGTGTTTAAACATCTGAGTGCTCCCCCCACTTTTTTTTAAAATAAACTAGATTAGATTCTTGATTGTATGTTCTTATAGTATTCTGCATACTTTGTTAGCACATTACAATGATAGTTCATTATTTGTGCCCTCATTTGTTATTTCTCTGTATCACCCACCAGAACATAAGTTCTGCAAAGGCAGGGACTGTGTCTGTTTGTTCACCCCTGTATCACTAGTGCATAGTTGGTGCTCAGTGGGTGTTGGTTAAATGAATGAATGAAGATAATATATGGTCTTAGAGACTATGTCCTAAGGCCAATAAAACCTTAAGCCTGACTAATAACCAAACCACTTGATACATTGATTTCAGAAACTGATATATTACCCAAGTGAGTTCTCCCATTCTCTTCATGTTTTGTCATCTCCATTCCCACTAAAATAATCCAAGCTGTACTGCCAGATTACCCCTCCAAAACATCAACTAAATCAGGCTGTGCTCCTTCTCAAGTATATACAATAACTCTTGATTCTAGTGCTACACAGATCCCAACTCCCAGTATGGTATTTAAGATCATCACCTTTACCTACCCCTTTGTAGAAAGTGAAGCCTTCTAGTGGATGTGATTGAACTGGAGTTTAATTTAAAAATTAGTTAAAAGAAGGAAATAATTTTAAGAAAGATAACTTGCAAACTTTAAACTTTTGAAACTTTTGAAACCTAAAACCTGTGATTGAACATTTATTTTCTAATCTTTTGATGAAGGTCTAAAGCTTTTATGAGCCCACTGACTGGAGTTCCATGTCTTCTTTAGTGTGTGTATAAACTATACCTGTAATGCATTGATATAGTGTAGCAGTTAAAAGCCAGACTATAAAGGCCAAATACAGTCTCCACCACTAAAAGGAATGTAACCTTGGGCAGGCTAACTCTCTGTGCCTTTTTCCATCATCTGTAAAATGGGGATAATAATAGTACTGATTTATAAAGATTAAACCAGTTTGATATATGTGAAGTGCTTAGACGAATTCCTGGGTCATAGGAAGTATTTGCTCATCATTAGCAATTATTATTCATCTGTAGAATTACTATTTTCCCCCTTTTTTTTAAACAAAGTAGAACAAGAAATTAAAGATACACATTCAGTATCCATGACCTGAAATGCTTAATACTGAAAGTGTTTTAGATTTTGGATTTTTTTTTTTCTGATTTTGGAATATTTGCATTATAATGAGATATCTCGGCCATGGGACCCAAGTCTAAATAGGAAATTCATTTTTTGTTTCATATACACCTTATAGCCTGAAGATAATTTTATACAATATTTAAAATAATTTGGGGCATGAAGCAAAGTTTGTGGTAAGTACTTCCATGTAGGATTTTTCATTTGTGGTATCATAACAATGCTCAAAAAGTTTTGGATTTTGGAGCACTTCAAAATTCAGATTTTCAAGTTAGGGATGTTCAATGTGTACTTTTAGAATAATTTTCGTGCAGATTTCTAAATTTTTATGATTCCTCACTCCTGCCCCCACACCAGTCTTTTAAAATTGTCTTACATCCACCTTACTTGACGCAACTGTAAGTCAAGGAAGGCTATAGGGCATCTTTCCATTTAGATTTTATAGAACAATTTTTTACACTCATTTCATCATTTTACTTAATATTTAATCAAATTAAGTAAGTACAGTAATAAGCAACAAATGGCATAAACATGTTTGGGAAGCAAAAGCACCAGGAACTGTTGGTAGCTCAACTGGTGGGAGCAGAATCGTGTGAAGTGCAGAAGTGACCATGGTTCCAGTGTTCAGCGCACCCTGGGCATCAATCCATTGTTTTCCAGGGAGACTGGAGAACTGGATCAGTTGAGATCGATATTGAGTAGTGTCTGTTACACGATTCTGTTAAAGAAAGGACATAAGACACCACATTCATTCCCATGTCTCCTGTTGTTTATCACATATATTTCCTCTTACATAAGCATACTTCTTTGTGACTTATTTTCCTATAGTCCGTGATTCTTTGTCATGGCTTCAGTTTCCATTTATTCTTTTTTTCTGTACTCTCTCACTTTAAATGTGTGATGTTAAATATAAATGGGAACCATGTATACGTGTATTGTGTACATGTGTATTGTGTATTTTGAACATGTTAAGCCCACACAAACAGCTTTTATTGGTGGTTAGAACTTACTTTAAAAAATTATTCCTGCAGCTATCATAGCTATTATTTGTCTCTTTAAAATAATATCTTGACTTTGGAAAATACTTCTATTCCTATTTAACTTTATAAGGTAAGAGGTTCAAGGGAACCCAGCTGAGCTTTGAATGAGCCATCTCTGTCTGCTTCAATATTTGTATTTTATGCCAGACATGCCTATTATAAACAATTCACACTAGTACAGCAAGTTCTTAATCATAATGAACTCCACTTTGGTATTCCTCGTTGTAATTAGAATTAACATTCCCGCCTGGACTGGGAAATGCTAAATTATTACTAGCTTTCCTGCTGTTTTGCTGTCTTTCATGATGCTTTCAATGATTTCATCATAAGCAACCTAAAATATCACAATTTGTGCTCATATGCGTGAAATGCCCAATGGGTGTCCTGGTTGACTTTATTCTTTATGCTGGCAGAACTTAGTTTAAGCAATACCTGATTCAAGGATGAGGCAGCTATCAGCAGATAAATGAGATAAATGTTGCCATAAGCAGGAACTCAATGTTTTTAATGTTTGGAGGCATTAGAGCAAGCACACTGAATAATTGCAACAAGTATTACGTACTTTGTTTTTTCATTTGTGGCATTTGTGGCTCCTCATATGTCATTAGCTTTCTTCCTTTCTTGATTTAATCTCCTTTTCTCTCCCATGTTCCTTTGGTAAAGAGTGTTTCAATCTGCCCCGCTGCTATGTGGAATCTTTCAGCTCATTTGAGAACCTGCATTTCCATTTTGGTTCTTATATCTTCTTATTAGAGCACACAGGGTTTTGTTTTGTTTTTAAGCTAACTTAGAAATAGTGGGGTTGAGATGAAAACATTCTTGGTATAGGGATCCCTTAACAAGATAAGAAGATACTTCATATCAAACTCCAAAGTGCTACAAAGGACATTTGTCACCATTGAAAAAAAAATTGTTTTGAGATCAGTATTTGTCAATTAAATTTTCTCTATCCTCTTGTTGAATTTTCAATACAAGACCTGGTTTTTAGACCCTATTCTGCCATTTACTTACTTGAATGAGCCTGGGGTAGGCATTTGATTTTTCTCAGCCTTGTTTTTCAATCTGTAAAGGAAGGATAATGATATCTACCCCACCTATCACACAGGAAGTAATGTAGGCCTTACATGGGATCATGTGTTCAAACGTTTTTAAACACTAAGCTTTATTTGGAAAACTTAGAGGAGCTTATGGAATTTTTGCACTATCACTTCACCACAACAAAAATGAAAATTATCATTGTCTCTTTTCACTTATTTCCCAGGGAATCAGTGCAATGGGCAGTCTGGAATTTTAGGCAGGGGAGTGATAATTCAGTAGTGCACCGGAAACAATTGTACCAGCTTGCAAGCACTGACTGTTAAATTTTCAGAGATTTTGTAAGTTGGTTGTTAATCACAGTCATTATTAAAAACCAAATTATTTATAAACTCACAATCAAATATTTTAACAACAAAAATAAATGCTGAAGACTTTACTGCCTAATTATTTTACTCCATTTTACTATTATCTATGTTCTTAAAGTTATTTCTGTCTGTTCTGTATAAGAACATACCATACGATGGTATGATGCAGCGTATCCCTTCCTAACGCTGCATTCAGAAATGTTATTTTGGTAGTTTGAAATCAACCATGGTGGAGTACCTATACTATAGAAATTGGGAAACATGACAAACCAGAGCTTGATTTGTTTTGTTGATTGTCTAGACTGACAGAGTAGAAGAAATTTTAATAATGAAGATTGAACTTAAAAGTGCCTTAGTTTGTGAACACAAAAACTTGAGGAAATATTTTTCTAGTACTTGAAAGCTATTATCAGCAAAAGAAGTCACTTCTGTCATTAATGAACGAGTTTAGTTCCAACATCCATTTTTGTTGCTTCACTTTTATCTCGCTCATTAATGTAAAAATATCAACCAACATTCATGTTGGGACTTCAGTACCATGAATGACTTCTTTGCTGATTGGATATTAATCAGATATTTATTTGTGGTCTGATTTTGCCAAACGTGTTTGAATTTTAGCTGTAGGTTGGCTATGGACACAAATATTCTGCAAAAATCACTGAAATGGTTCTGTGAAAATCACATGGCCATATAGAATTTACTATTAAGAGTGTTATATTTTTTCTTGCTTTTTGTAAATTATGTGATACATATATGTAAAAATTATAAAACACATAGATACTCTGTTCCCCTCAGGAGCTGTTAAACATTTACTAACACACTAATGGACATAATCTAATTTACTATTTGAAAAGCTCGTTCTGCTTGCGATGTGGAGTATGAGTTGTAGGGGCTAAGGGAGAAAGCAGGGAGAGCAGTGAGGAGACAGGCACATTGGCCCAAGGAAAGATGACGAAGTTTGTATTGGTTGCAATGGCAGGGGAGCTGGGGAGCTATGGTTGGACAGGAGAGGTATTTTGAAGGCCAAAGGTAAGCAAAGCAGTCATCCAGCAGCTCTATGAAAGAGATGGACTTCCAGGAACTTTTTATGCTAAGAGAAGACCTTCTGGTGAAGAGTAAGCAGGCTTAGTTGAATGGGGTGAGTGCATAGAAAGCTGTGCCAGAGAAAAGGAGTCAGGGAGGGTTGTAGTAGGAAGTAGGAGATGTTGGCAGTTCTAGGATTTCAAGGTAAATATCTTTATATCAGATGGAGAAAGTTAGGCTGGATTGTTAGTCAAATGTCGAATTGCCTCAAAGTGCAGGGGGGGAGGGGGGAGGGGAAGCCCCAAATACCAGTAACATGTTGCAACTGGAACTCACATACTAAGCTACTCATCTAGTAATTTCATTGATTTTTGCCCACATGGAGGGGTTATTTGTTCATCTCCATGCCTTGAGCCTATCCCAATTTATAGTAGATTTTTTTTTCTCACATTTGGCAATTTTAATTATAAAACTCTCACACTGAATCACCCTGTGTTACACATATATTGCTGTCCCCTTTCATGCTTCTCACTTCTTCATTCCTATTTTTCTTTGCTATGCCATAAAGAAGGACCCTACCAAAAGCCACCCTATTGTCTTGCCTATTAGTTATCAGAAAACTTCTGGCAACCACAGTTTTCCCCACTTTCCCTGCTTCCTCCATTATAACCTACAATCTATATTCCACATTACAGGTTTTTTTGTTTGGGTTTTAACATTTTTCAAGAGAAGTTATTACATTTTATGGAGTTTAAAAAATAGTAAATGTTTTGCAAAAGAAAGAATCATGTCTCCACATTCACCCACCCTTTCAACCCTAATGACCAGAAGAAGGAAAGATTCTCAGCTATACAGCTACCAATGACTAACACTTTGAGGATTCAGTTTGGATATGTTGTTTACTTTGGTCTTCTGATGATTAGCTATTTTAGGCATGGTTTCAATCAATCAGGGAATGTTTATTAATAGAAGAGACTTTCTTAATTAATATTCTCTCCATTCATTCCTTCAACAAAAGAGAATTCCTTCAACAAAATACAATTCCTTCAACAAAATAGCAACTATTATATGTTAGGCCCCAGTATAAGGCTGCAGGGATATCAAAATGATAACAATCTCTTCTCTGGAGGAAATGGAGACAGATACGGTTACAAGTCATTATAGAACAATGCAGACTTACAGAAATGTGTTAGATGCATAGGGCACTTCATAAGCTTCAAGAAGTCATCTGGTGTTTAAGGTTAGGAAAATGGGTGTGGATATGGAGATGGTGGTCACGGAGGGTTTCCTAGAGGTTAGCAGGACTGACTTGAATTATGAAGGGTTTTCTTCAAGTTATTTGTTTTTTTTTTCTCTTGAAGATAATACTTCTAATGGAAGCTTGTAGACAACATTCATTAGGTCATTTTTTGGTGCATTTATAAGAAACCCCACTGTTAAAAACAGAGTTTTTTGATTCACTGAAAAGTCCAGGGGAAGTTTAATTTCAGGAGGCATGACTGGATTCAGGGGCTCAAATGAAGTCCAAAGGGCTTAAATTTTATCCCTTAGCTTCATTTTCCTGTTTTGTTTTGTTTTGTTTTCTGGAAAGATTATCTCCACCTCTCCACCTGGTGGCCTGTGGCACCTGGATTTAACACATCCTGCCAGGTTAGTAACTTCAGTGGAAAGAGTTCTTTTCCCATAATTTTAGTAGTTGTTCCTGGGAGGGGTTTCACTGGTCTAGTTGGTTCAAATGCTTATCCCTGGACCAATAACTATGACCAAGGGATGTCAGGAATGTGTACTATGATGGGCAAAGCCTAGCTCAAGTGCCCACCACTGACACCTAAGAATGGGGTACAAATGAAAGAGAGAGAAGAGGAGGTGCTTCTCCAAATAATTGGAGATTTTAAATTTAAATAGGAGAAAAGGGATTTCTGGGCATGCAGAAAAAAACCCAGATGTCCATGACAATAGCTTTTTATCAAAATATTAACAGTGACATAAACATCATATTTTACATTTTAAGAGAATAGACATGACTTAAAATGTTTGTCAGCAATGGAAAGAACCCTGAAAATTAAGTATAGTTGTTACAAGTTTTATTGGTTTCACTTCCTGCCTTTAATAGAATGTGGGTTTGTACTTTGAAATTTCAAATGTTACACAAATGAATTGATGATTGCTTTGCAGAAATAGTATCTCCACTTAATTGGGCCTTTTTTGGGTGATGAAGTGATGTTTACAACTTTTAAGCTAGTTTTATCGTCTTCCACTGAAGGAGTTTGTCTCACTTGAATATGATTCCAACAATATGATGGGTATAGGCGGCTGCAGTGAGCCTCTGTCTGCTTATTTTGCTCCTTCTGTCTTGACAAGCTGAATGTCACGCAAATGTCTCAAGCCTCTGCACTGGGCAGGCAGGAAGCCAGAACCAGTAATAGAAGCAGTAGGCACTCTGTGAATACTTGCTGATTAATTTTAGCTCCATAGGCCTGATGGGTTTTCCATCCCTATAATTACCATCAGCAAATAGTTATTGAATGATGTCCAGCATATTTTTATTTCCCTTTTCTTGATCCTGATTTTCATTTTCTATTTTACCTCTCTGTGATTTTATCACGTGTGTTTCTGTTCATCAGACTAACAGAGCCTCCTGTGATTAGTTTATAATCACTCAGTTTTATTTCTACCTATGAGATATCTTTATCTGTCTGTCTAAATTTGTCTTTGTTATGACCCAGTTCAAGTTCTTTCTGGAATTAGGGAAAGGATGAAGTGTGAAAAAAAAGGAATTAAATAGTTCGGTTATTGAATGGCTATTTTGTGCTTGATGCTATATTAGTACATTTCCACATTTGCTTTACAAGTTAGTCTTTCTTATTAGAAGTAATGCTTAACAAGCCTACAAGTACTGACTGGGCTCACTTTATAGAGAAAATGGAGAGCAGTGAAGGGTGAGGAGGTTATGAGTTATGGATATGACAAATGGGGAAAGATCTTACAGAAGAGAGATTGGGGCCATCCAAGAAAAATCGTTATCTTTGTGTAGACGGCATTAGAAGGATGAAAAATAACTTTAGATATTACTTATGCCTTTAAGAAAAAAACTTCAAAAGATGCTAGAAAATAACACATACTTATTGTAAAAATCCAAACATACAGAAGGTAGAAATGTATAAAGGTAAAAACTTCCTCACACAATCCCATTTTGCAGATGTAACTATTTTTTTCTTTTTATATTTTGATGGCAACAAATTTGTAATTATTTTTGAGTTTTTATGTATATTCCAGATCCCCCACCCCATTATTCCCCTCTTTAAAAACTTTTATTATGTGAAATAGAAAGTAGAATTGTGACTATCAGAGGCTGGGAAGGGCAGGGGGAAGGGGAGGATGGGGAGAGATTAGTTAACGATTACAAAATTACAGCTAGATAAGAGGAATGAGTTCTGATGTTCTGCAGTACCATAAGGTAAATGTGATTAACTATAATTTATTGTATATTTTCAAATCCTTTTTGTCTATACATGGATGCATGCATGCATATATGTTTTTTAAAAACAAAAATGAGATTTTACTACATGTATTTTTCAACCTTTATTCATCAAATGTTATTGGACATCTTTTCATCTTTTCAATATTTTCAGGTAATAGTAGCATAGTATACCATTGTTTTAACCTTTCCTTATTGAAGTATATGTAAATTGTTTTCAATTTTTCACTATTGCAAGCCATGCTGCAATGAATATTTTTGTATCTAGATCTTTCTGCTATTGTACAATTATTATAGAATTGAAATTTCTCAGGCAAATGTGATTTGCAACAATTATCAAGCACCCAAAAGTGCTACATTATTGGGCTCATTTTAAAAATGCTTGTCCACTACAGCTCATTTTCTACTTTCATCTTCCTTTAGACATTCTAGAAAAAATCAATTAGAGCAGTAGTCATGGATGGCTATGCAGGACAGGCTACTAGCTGGAGACCCCTCATGTTTTGCTATTGATACAGTTTTGCTGAATCCATCCTTATGTTAAATGCATTAACAATTTAAGAGGATTGGTTTACATATGAACTGGGAAGGGATTATTCAGGGATACCATAATGCTTGATGGCTGCCTCCATCCTACCAGGGACCCTGATCTGCCCTGTTGTGGCCACATGGTAGATAGGTACTGTTTTACTTGCCAAGTATCCCCTCTCCACATATGATACTAGGACCTAACATTTCCTTTGGAAAACTATCCTTTCCCTAACTTTGGTCCATGCGCTTATGGTGGTATTAACCCATCTGTAACTCTGCATGGGCCAGGTCTGGTAATATCAGAGATAGGCACATGACAGGGACAGATACACCTTAATTCTTGGCTTTCTGGGACTACTTGGAAACTTGTCTTGTTTCTCAACAGGAATAGCTAAGCTGATACGATGCAAGCTTGGAGCAGCTGTGGTCTACCACTTAGAGACTCCATTGGATTGAGGTTTGCAAAAAAAAAAAGCAAAGAGATCTGGAAATAGATTCCCAATTATATAATATGAATGTCTAGATCCTAAGGTGAGGGCTGCTCCTAGACTTGACTATTACACACTTCAATACATTATTCCCCCTCCTTCTCTTCCTCCTCCTTCCTCTTCAGCCAGCTGGAGTTAGCTAACACTTGCATCAGAAAGGGTCCTGACATCAGAAGTAAAGGTCTAAAACATGGGGGTGTTGCTCCTTCTGGAAGAGACAGGGAGGTTAAGGTTACCAGACATGGAGGATGACCCCAAAAGAAAAGGGGAGCCCAAAAGAGAAGCCAGTTGAATGTCTAAAAATAAACTTTACCTGCTTCACAAGTTTGGCTCGAGTTTCCTTTTAATGATTAACTAGATGAGATGGTCAAACTCCTTCTTTATTTAAAATACACAAACATAAATAAGAATATCAGTCTTCAGTTAATTCACCTATTCTGGTTACATCTGCCTCAGGTTTCTATTTTTTTTATTAATACATAAATTGCTTTTCTATTTTAGGCTGTGTTTAAAAAGAGAGAGAGAGAGAAACCTGGTAATCCTCTAAGAAATGTCTTACGTAGTTTTTCTTTAGGGCCTAAATTATTACTCTACTTTCCATATTGATCCAGCCTTTTGTTTTATTGTTTTGTTTATAGTAGATTTGGTAATATATTAACAGTACCTATAAATATGATCTAGTGGAATTATGTATTAAAATATTTTAATATCTTCTTAGCATTTGCGATCTTGAAACTGAAACTTGATAGCTGAAGAAAAAGTTCCATTAAGATGAAAAATCAATCCCTTAGTGGAATTAAATCCACAATGCTTATATAAAACATTGCTTCTGTCTTATTTACATAAACTTTATACTTCTCTCTCTCATCAGTGGCAGGGGAATATGGAGTGGGATGTCATTAGTTGGATTCAATAGACATTTATTTACTTATTAGGAGCTTGAAATAGACTTGAGACTCTACCTCCTAGTAGACACATGTCTTTAGCAAGTTACTTAACTTTTCTGAATGTTAGTTTCCTTATCTGAAAAGTAAGGTTAATAATATTATCTGCCTCAGGAGGTTCTTATACAGATTAAAAAAGATATTCTCTGTAAAGCATTTAGCATGGTCTCTGACATTTAATTAATGCATGGTAAAGTAACTTATTATTACGCTTTCAGAAAGTGAGATAGCCCTGTAGGCACACCCCAAGCAGAAAGTACACGCCCATACACAATACACTAACTTCCTTCAAACGAAGCCCCTTTTCTCCTTACATCATGGATTGTGAAGGGAGCACCTGTCCAATAAAAGAAAGATTCTGTAAAAGAAATCCAGGCACTGGCTGGAAATTTTCACTATATGATTTATCAGGCCTCTCCCAGCTTTGAGGTCCTATAATTCTATAAACCACACAAGTTTACATATCACTGTGGGATTTGATCCTTATGAAACCCAAGAGAACCATAGGTTTTCCACATCCAGCTGAGCATGCTCAAATAAAGACAGACATTTAAAAGCATAGACATTGATCACGTGCTCTTTAACCAGCAAAATACTACAGCCAAAAGAAACAGAAGCACAGAGAAATAAAATGATTTGTTTGAAGTCTCATTGATTTGCCAAGAAACCAGACTGAATGTGCAAGCTTTCCTAATTCCTAGTTGGGTTCTCCACACACTAAACATAGTGATATATAATCTTCAGTTGTCAATATTTACCTTTTATGAGTTTATTGCTTGTCATGTGTTAACTCATAAAGCCATTTATTTACTTATATCAGTGCCATCAAAAACCCTTTAATTTCACAATCACAGTTTGTGTAACGTAGCAGACAAAGCACTGGGCTGGGACAAGGGACTGGGTTTTGGTTTTGGCTTTGTCCCCCTTTCTTCCTGCCCTCAACTGCATGATTTGGGCAAGTTACTTTTCCCCTTTTGGACTGTTTGCCTTTTTCTGCTTAAGTATCTGGACTTTCCCTTCCCTTCTTTCTCAACCCACACAGAAGTAATTATGTTTCTTTCATTATCTCTAACTGCAAAGTTTTTACTAGACAGCCCATATTTACTGGTCATCTGCTGAATGCCTCTGTGCAGTGAGCTGGAGATAGAGGTAAATAAGGTATGGCCCCTGCCCTCAGGGCTTTCCCAGTTAAGAGGGCACAGGGTGTGAAGGGGCACAGGTCAGAAGGTGAAGGCAGGGGTCAGGGAAGGCTCCTGGAGGAGGCAGAATGAGACTTAAAGGGTAAACAGTTGGTGCTGGGTGGCAGGCAGGTAGACATAAGCTCCAGTGATGACACAGATTATGCTGAAAGGAAGAATAGTGTTAACAGAACTGGCTTGGACGAGGGCAGAACTAGAAAGAATCCAGACTCTGACACTCCAAGTTGTGTGACCTTGACCTAGTTACCTCTGTTTCCTCATCTACTAAGTAGGCATAATGATCGGGTTTCCTCTTAAGGCTGTTGTCACAATTCAATGAGATTACATTTGCTAATTTTAGTGCAGTATTTGGCATTACTATAGGTCAAATATCCCTAATCCCAAATTCTGAAATCGGAAATGCTCCAAAATCCAAAGCTTTTTGAGTGCTATCATGATGCTCAAAGGAAATGCTCATTGGAACATTTCAGATTTTGGATTTTTGGATTAGGGATGCTCTACCTGTATGTATTCTGCAAATATTTCAAAATCTGAAAATATCTGAAATCCAAAACCCTTCCTGTCGGAAGCATTTTGGATAAGGGATATTCAATCTATATTACTACCAATTTATTTTCACCAACAACATGCTGTTATACCTGTTCTCTTGTCCCCTCTTTCTCTTCCAAGGACACGGGCATATTCATACCCTGCTATCAAATATATTTTGTTTATAAATATTTTCAGTAACACACTGAAATACTTATTTGAAGCACTATGATAAAAGAAATGTGGCATTCCATGCAATACTTTGGGGAGTATCGGGGAACCTGCCCCGATAGTCACATAGGTTCTTTTCTATTTTCCCTAAGCGTCAGCCAGTTTGAGAAATAAAGGGACAGAGTTCAAAAGAGAGAAATTTTAAAGCTGGGCGTCTGGGGGAGACATCACATGTTGGTAGGTTCCGTGATGCCCCACAAGCCGCAAAACCAGCAAGTTTTTATTAGGGACTTTCAAAAGGGGAGGGAATGTACGAATAGGTGTGGGTCACAGAGATCACGCGCTTCACAAGGTAATAGAATATCACAAGGCAAATGGAGGCAGGGCGAAATCACAGGACCACAGGACGGGGGCGAAATTAAAATTGCTAACAAAGTTTTGGGCACCATTGTCTTTGATAACATCTTATCAGGAGACAGGGTTTGAGAGCAACTGGTCTGACCAAAATATATTAGGCAGGAATTTCCTCTTCCTAATAAGCCTGGGAGCGCTATGGGAGACTGGGGTTTATTTCATCCCTACAGTTTCAACCATAGAAGACAGCCACACCCAAGGGGGCCATTTCAGAGACCCACCCTCAGGGGCATATTCTCTTTCTCAGGGATGTTCCTTGCTGAGAAAAAGAATTCAGCAATATTTCTCCCATTTGCTTTTGAAAGAAGAGAAATATGGCTCTGTTCCCCCTGGCTCACCGGCGGTCAGAGTTTAAGGTTATCTCTCTTATTACCTGAACAATTGCTGTTATCCTGTTCTTTTTTCAAGGTGCCCAGATTTCATATTGTTCAAACACACATGCTCTACAATTTGTGCAGTTAACACAATTATCACAGGGTCCTGAGGCAACATACATCCTCCTCAGTTTAGGAGATGACAGGATTAAGAGATTAAAGTAAAGACAGGTATAGGAAATCACAAGGGTATTGATTGGGGAAGTGATAAGTGTCCATGAAATCTTCACAATTTGTGTTTAGAGATTGCAGTGAAGACAGGCATAGGAAATTATAGAAGTATTAATTTGGGGAACTAATAAATGTCCATGAAATCTTCACAATCCACGTTCTTCTGCCATGGCTTCAGCTGGTCCCTCCGTTTGGGGTCCCTGACTTCCCGCAACAGGGGAGATCATAGACATGCTATTAATTATAATGGTTTTCCCTAGAACACTAGTTTTCAACTGGGTGATTTTGGCCCTAGGGGATATTTGGAAATTCCTGGAGACATTTTTGGTTGTCACAGATGGAAAGGGAGAATCTTATTGGCATCTAGTGGGTAGAAGCCAGGGATCCTGCTAAACATCCTGCAATGCATAGCACAGCCCCCCACAACAAAGAATTACCCGGCCCAAAATGTCAATAGTGCCGAGGCTGAGAAACCCTGCCCTAGATGTAACCCAGTCACTGCTTCTTTTCAACAATCATTGGGAAACACGGTAAAACCATGTTTCTTAAGATCCTAAATTCAGCTGCAAAAGTGTATCCTTTGGATATTTTACACATTTTAACATCTCCTTTGAAAACAAAGTCCTTCAGAGAACCTGGTGGAATCATTCCAACTTTTTTTGCTACAAAGATAATGGAAATTATTTTATTTTATCATTTTTCTCCTATATGTATAATTCAGGACAAATTCTTCTTTTTTTATGTGGTAATTTTAATGAAATTCACCAAAAAAGATACTTGATTAACCCTAGTTTGGGAGTCTTTTCCAGAGCAGAGAAAATTCTGGAAACTTGCAACAGTGTGGGCTTTTCTCCACCATCACGGGGGATACAAATGGCTAGCTACCAATGATGGCTCCTGTAGCCTCTGGAGGAGAGTGCTAAGTGTCACCTTTGAGTTCCCATAGTCTTCCTAACACTCCTGCCAAAGTGGGGCCAACAACAGGGGGCTCAGAAGGGCTTGCATGTTTTTACTATCCTTCATCCCTTATTTTCTTTCTTCTAGAAGCAACATAGTGATTAAGAGTGTGGGCTCCGGGTTTGAATCTGGTTCTGCTGCTTGTTAGCTACAGTGACCTTGATAAACTCCTTAACCTCTGTGTGCTTCAGAGTCCTTCCCTGTAAAATGGGGGGAAACAATAGTACCTACCTCACAGGATTGTTATGAGGACTAAGTGAGTTCTCATGGGTAGAGCACTTAAAACATAGCCTGGCACATGGGTGTGGAGGCTCACACCTGTAATCCCAGCACTTTGTGAGGCTGAGGTGGGCACATCACTTGAGGTCTGGAATTGAAGATCAGCCTGGCCAACATAGCAAAACCCCATCTCTACTAAACGTGCCTGTAATTTCAGCCACTTGGGAGGCTGAGGCAGGAGAATCACTTGACCCCAGGAGGCAGAAGTTGCAGTGAGCCAAGCTCACACCACTGCACTCCAGCCTGGGTGACAGAGTGAGACTCTATCTCAAAAAAAAAAGGACATAGCCTGGCACATAATAAGCAGCAAATAAATGTGAGTTGTTTCTCTTACTTTTTATTCTTACTTGCTTTTGTGGACACACTGAAGTAGGCTTTAGGTATGATATGGACGTGGTGGAAGTTACATGTCATTGCAGAGTATGGAACACAGTCACAGCCAGGGCCAGCTGGGGCCAAGGTAGGGAGTGGCTGAAGTGGTGTTCACTGCTTCATCAGGTCTGCCTCTTTTTTAGCCTAGCAATATCTTGTGTTTTCCCTTCTCCATGATCTTTACTAATACCCAGTTTTCTCTTACTTTCCCTGGCTTTTCCTCCCAAGTATGACATCTCACCAAGCTCTCCCCATCTTTACCTTCCATAGAGTTTTATTTGGCTATTTCTTGAAGCATTGATTTTCATCTGAGTTGCCCATCAGATCATTTGGGAATTTGTTTAAAGTATAGATATCTGGGCTCTGCCTCCCAACGATCATCCCAAGTATCTTGATTTTAGTGTTTATTTGAGAGACAGTATGGCATAGTATTTAAGAACATGACCAAAGAGCCAGGCTGCCTAGGCTACGGGTTCGTTGTATGACCTTGAGAAAATTATTTAACTCTCTGTTTCTCACTGTTCTTATCTGTAAAATGGGGGTGCTATGTTCTGAATGTCTGTGTCCTTTCCAAATTCCTGTTGAAATCCTAACCCCATGGTGATGGCATTAGGAGGTGGAACCTTTGGGAGGTGATTTGGTCATGAGGGCAGAGCCCTCATGAATGGGATTAGTGCCCATATAAAAGAGGCCTCAGGGAGCTTCTTTACCCCTTCCCACCATGTGAGGACAAAGCAAGAAGAGAAGATGGCTGTCCATTTGTAAACCAGGAAGCAGGTCCTCACCAGATAACAGTTCTGTCAGTGCCTTGATCATGGACTTCCCAGTCACTAGAACTAAGAGAAATAAATTTCTATTGTTTATAACCCACGCAGTCTATGGGATTCTGTTATAGCATCCTGAACAAACTGAAAGTAAGAGTGCTTATCTCATAAGGTTGTAAGAATAAATGAGATGCCCCTTAAAACAGTGCCTGGAATGACTTTTGTCTTTCTTGTTCATTTTCCCTTCTCTCTTACTTTCTCACCTGGCCTTTCTTTCTTCATTACTTTCTTCTCTCCCTCCAACACATATATATTGTTTTATTCTAGTGGTTTCATACTTGCAGGCCTTCGATTTAGGTTTTTAATCCAATTTGATTTGATTTTTGTATATGGCAAGAGATGACATTGGTCTGGCCAAATATTTTTTGAATAAGACATCAAAAGCACAGTCAACCAGTGCAAAAGTGGACAAATGAGATCACCTCAAGCTAAAAGGCTTCTGCACAGCAAAGGAAACCATCAACAAAGTGAAGAGACAACTCACAGAATGGAATAAAATATCTGGAAGCTACCTATCTGATAAGGGATTAATAAACAGAATATATAAGTTGTGTAAACAACTCAATAGGAAAAAATAATTTGATTTAAAAATGGTCAAAAGATCTGAATAGATGACATACGAATGGCCAAAAATACTCAACATCCTTAATCATCAGAGAAATATAAGTCTAAACTACAATGAGATATCATCTCATCCCAGTGAAAATTGCTTCTATCAAAAAGACAGGGAATTACGGATGCTCTCAAAAGTGTGGAGAAAGGGGAACCCTCATACACTGTTGGTGGGAACGTAAATTAGTACAGCCACTATGGAGAACAGTATGAAGGTTCCTAAAAACAACAACAACAACAAAATAGAGCTACCATATTACCCAGCAATCCCACTGCTGGACATATACCCAAAAGAAAGAAAATCAGTATATCGAAGAGATATCTGCACTCCCATGTTTACCGCAGCACTATTCACAATAGCCAAGGTATGGAATCAACCTAAGTGTCCACCAACAGATGAATAAAGAAAATGTTGTACATATACACAATGAAATGTTATTCAGCCATAAAAAAGAATGAAATTATGTCTCTTTCATCAACATGGATGGAACTGGAGGACATTATGCAAGAGAAATAAGCCAGGCACAGAAAGACAAATATCACATTTCTTGCTCATATGTGGGAACTCAGAGAGAGAAAGAATAGAATGATGGTTACTAGGGTCTGGGAAGGGTAGTGGGGAGGGGGGATAAAGAGGGGGTGTTTAACCGCATATTCTCACTCGTAGGTGGGAATTGAACAATGAGAACACATGGACACAGGAAGGGGAACATCACACTCTGGGGACTGTTGTGGGGTGTGGGGAGGGGGGAGGGATAGCATTGGGAGATATACCTAATGCTAGATGACGAGTTAATGGGTGCAGCGCACCACCATGGCACATGTATACATATGTAACTAACCTGCACATTGTGCACATGTACCCTAAAACTTATAGTATAATAATAATAAATAAAATAAAAAATAAAAAAGAGGGGTGTTTAATGGATACGAAAATGCAGTCAGATATGAGGAATAAGATCTAGTGTTCAGTAGACAACAGGGTGACTACAGTTAACAAAAATTTATTGTATATTTCAAAATAACTAAGAGTGGAATTGCAATGCTTCTAACACAAATACATTACAAATGCTTGAGGTGACGGATATCCCAGTTACCCTGATTTGATCATTATATGGTGTATGCTTGTATCAAAATGTCACATGTACCCTTTACATATCTGTAACTCTTATGTATCCATAATAATTAAAAATAAAAACTTTTTAAAAGAAAAAAAACCCCTATATACTTATGGTCTTAAGCATGGCTTTGGGACCCAGCAATGAATTAGATGTAATTCTAGCCTTATATGGCATTATAGTCTAATTAGTGGAAAATAGACACATAAACAAATAAAGATATGTATGTGTACAATGTATGAATGAGAGAGTTACTGATTTTCTTAGAAAAGAGAAGGGAGAGATGAAAGGCTCCAAAGGGGAAATGAACATGGCATTGAGTGTTAGAATAGAGATGAAATCAATCCATTCCATGCAACAAACATTTTCAAAAGCACCTACTACATACCAAGCACAGGTCTCAGTGCCTTTCTGAAATTGTCCTCCTTTAGAGAGTGGCAGCTTCATTTTTAACTTGATGTTTTAAAAAAATACTTAACTCAAAATAGCAAAACAATCTATAAAAAAAGGCAAAGTTCGAGGACTCACAAAACGTACTACTACTTACATACTACAAAGCTGCAGTAATCAAGACAGTGTAGTACTGGCATGAGGATAGGCATTCAGATCAGTCGGGTAGAATTGAGAGTCCAGAAACCCATATGCCTACAGTCAACTGATTTTTTACAAGAATACCAAGACCATTCAATGAGGAAAGAATCACCTATTCAACAAATAGCATTGGGACAACTGGATAGCTACATGCAAAAGAATATTTAAAAAATTAACTCAAAATGGATTAAAAACTTAAATGTAAAAGCTAAAATTATAAAACTTAGAAGAAAGCATGTATGTACATCAGAATCTCGGATTAGTCAATGGTTTGTTAGTTACAATACCAAAAGCACAAGAAAAAAATAGTCAAACTGGACTTCATCACAATGAAAAACTATTCTGCTTCAAAAGACGTTGTGAAGAAAATAAAAAGACAACCCACAGAATGGTTGAAATTGTAGACAACGTACAGAAATGGTAGAATTTGCAAGTCATATATCCAGTAAAGGTCTAGATCTAGAATATATAAAGAACTTTTATATTTCAACAATAAAAAGACAACCAACATTTCAAAAAAAGGCAAATGACCTGATAGTTCTCTAAAGAAGATGTGCAACTAGCCAATAAGCACATAAAAGATGCACAATATCATTATTCATTACAGAAATGCAAATTGAAAATACAGGAGATATCACTTCATACCCACTAGGACAGCAATAATTGTTTTTTAAAAAAAGGAAAATAAATGTTGGTGAAGATGTGGAGAAAGTGGAACTCTCATACATTGCCAGCGAAATTATAAAATGGTTCAGACACTGTGGAAAACATATTGGCAGTTTTCTCAAAAAGGTAAACATAGAGTTACTATATGACCCAGCAATTCAACTCCTAGGAATTTACCCAGGAGAAATAACATGTCTGCCCAAAAACTTGTACATGAACGTTCATAACAACATTATTCATAATAGCTAATAAGTGGCAACAGCCTAAGTGATCAGCTCATGAGTGGATAAACAAATATGGTAGATTCAGAGGACAAAATGTTATTCAGCCATAACAGGAAATGAAGTGTGGATCGATGCATGCTATAACATGGAGAAACCTTTAATACAGTATGTTGAGTGGAAGGTGCCAGACACAAAAGACTACATATTGTGTGATTCCATTTATATGCAATGTTCATGGTAGGCAAATCCATAGAGACAGAGAAATAATTAATTAGTGGTCGCCAGGGGGCTAGGGAAAAGGGAATTGGGAGTGACTACTAATAGAACCAGAGTTTATTGTTGGTGTGATGGATATGCTTTGAAATTTGATAGCGGGGATGGTTGTACAAAATTAAGAACATACTCAAACTCACTGAATTGTACTTTTTAAAATGGTAAAGTTTATGTCATGTGAATTACATGTCAATAGTCATAACAAAAATTATTAACCAACATATGCTCCCTATTTTCTTTGGAATGTTGATACATTGATACAAATCAGCTAAAATAATAAAGCACGAGTTATGCCATTAATATTCGTTTTACAAAAACACGTGTTTTGCATTCTAGTCGAAAAGTTAAAGTTTATTCAGATTATGATCAGGAGTAGGCAGAGGCCAAGGGAAGGCCAAGCTTAAAGGACTTAGTTGTCAAGACTCCTTTGACTAATTTTTAAACTCCCACATGATAATTCATCTGCTCAGCAAAGCTTCGCTTTGAAAAAACAATTTTTATTAAAACGTTACGGTACAAAAATTAGTGGGTCAAATCCTGTCTCATAGGTACAAATTAGTCATTTTGAAATATGTACGAATTCTTGTGATGCACAGAACAGCTGTTTGGCTGATGCTGACCTGTGAGGCTCTGATGTGCTACTGCAGCCTTTCAGTGTGTCTCCTGGTGAAGAGGGCACCAACAGTATCTGCTCCCTTTTTCTTAAATGTGCTTTTACGAAGTTTATCCCTTGGGAGGACCACCCATGTGAGTGGATGTCAGATTTGCTCATAAGTCCATAAATCATACAGACTTAACCTTGTTTATTAAAGCAGGTCTTTTTCTTCATTTCTGTTCCTTTTGAAGAGTTCAAAAGCTAAAACACTAGCCCCAATGAACTCCCCATCACATCTTAGCAAGCCTAATATTTCTAATTCTAGAGGAAGAACCCCAGTCTGCACTATAAGTAAGAAATAGCATTTTCATTATTTTGTGTGACAAACTGTGTTCTTACTGACCATTTCACTCCAGATATAGCTTAGTATTTTTTTTTCATAGAGATTTCAGGAAACGATAGCATAGTTTTTTAATAGTGAAAATATAAATACAGATTCTGAAGCAGTCTGTGGTCTTAGTATGTGGGAATGATTAGTCATATTGGGGACTGCCCTGATAGTAGGGTGGGCTGGGGGAATTACCCTGAGAGGTTAATTATGAAATTCATATAAAATGGATGAAAAGTCACCTTAATGGATAGAATGACAAATAAGGCAAGAAGAAGAGGGGAAAGATAGTTGGCAAAACAAACCTCAGCAGTGCCTCTTCCAGCACCATCTAGGAAATTATAGGATTTGGGAATTCCCATCCTAGTGGGAAGGCCGTAGCCAGTGTTGTAAACAAACATGGAGGACCTGCTAGCAATACCGTTCTTCTGCAAGATGGCTGCATCAGGCCCCATTAACCTGATAACATTAAAATCAGATTTTTCTGCCTTCTTTTCCCCCATGGATTCAATGTCCACTAGCAACCTTCTGAACATGTCTCCTATGAGACACTATGTTGTAGTGGCTAGGTATCCACACTCTGGTTTACACTGTGTGGGTTCAAATCTCATCTCTACCACTCACTAGCATTGTGATCTTATAAGTTTAGAACCTCTGACTTTATCTATAAGAGGGTTTTAACCACAATTCCTACCGATAGACTTGTGAGGTCATCATGGAAAATGCTTGACACTGTGCCTGGCACAATGTTATTGTTAATAAATGCTAACCATTATGGTCATTGTTATTCTAATATAAGTATGTCTATGAAAATAGAATGGGCTTCTCACATGTGGCAATTATGTTTTTCATTAAAAATTACTAAAATGGGCTTTTTGACTTAATATGTTAATCACCTGAACTTAGTGTAAGTCTTATAGGACTTACAAGAAAAGAGGACTTACAGGCGAATAGATTCAGGTTTCTGATCCTGCCAAGCCAAGGTCATGGCAAATCCACCAAGGCCACAAAAATGCCATCTTGTGAAGCCCCTTGGGGTCTGCCTCCTGGTCTTTCCCTGAAAATGCCATCTCATTCAGGAGCTTGCTTTCAATTTCCTTAAGAGGAGATTCTACAGAGGAAGTAACAAAATGGGATCAATGGTTCACATGGTGAGTGAATGTTGAAATACTGATCTGCTGAGGACTGAGCTTCTGTAATTCAGGTCATACCCTTTTCTAAAACCCTTCAAAGGCTTCCCTTCTGCTTTTAGGATAAAATCCAAACTTTGTGCTAGAGTTCCACAAGGTCTTTCCTCCCTGACTCCTTCTGCCTTTCCAACCACGTTCTACAATTCTCTCTTGCCTTACCATGCTCTAGTTCAGGGGCTGGCAAACTATAGGAAAGTTTGGTAACATTTTATTGGAACACAGCACATCCCTTTGTTTAAGTATTGCCTATGGCTGCTTTCACACTGCAATGGCAGGCTTGGGTGGTTGAGACAGACACATATGGCTCCACTGTAATTGTATGGTAACATTTAACTGTACAGGACTTGGGAAGTTAGGTCTAGCTGTGAGTCCAAGAAAAGGAAATGATTTTGTTCATCAGCCAACAATTTTTGCTATAAAAGCAAAGCAATGTGAGTGGGGGCCCTAAAAATCCCCACTGTTTTCGCCATTCTGACTACCACCCACTCCCCACCAAAGGTCCCTGGGGCACACCCTGCAGACCTTATTACTTTAGGGCACACATTTTGAAAAGGGCTGACTTTGCTAATTTGACTTGGCATTTTGATTAAAGTTACTTTCATATTTTGATTAAAGTTATAACTGCATGATACAGGCATACTCTTATCACCAGTGCTTTAAGAACATGAAACGGGAAGCTGATGACTTCTAAACCATTTCACATTGAGTCTAAATTCACTGCTTAATAATAAATAACAATGATAATAATAGTAACAGATGTGTACCACTCACATATACCACCATCTTATCTCATCCTCACTTATGGTAAGTGCTTCTGTTATTCATTTTATAGATGAGGAAACTAAGGAGAAGAGAAGTTAAGTAACTTGCCCAGGTTACACAATAGGAAGTAATGAATAATGGATCCAGGATTTAAAGCCAGTAGTCTGACCACTGAGCACAATTAATTAATTTTAACTACAAAATCTCACCATATGGTTAAATGAATACCTCATTCTTGTGTAGTAGTTTACAGTTACAAATTGGTGAGTATCTTCATTTTCCATATTAGAAACAAAGGCATGAAAATGTTAAGAGATTTGGCAAGGTTATGTAGCCATTTTTCAGGCAAAAGAATATTAGGAACTTGGTCTTTGGATTCTCCCGCTCACAAACAAAATCTAAACTTGAACTGTATGCAACTATCTCTGCTATGGCAGTCATGCACCTAGAACCTGGTGGGCACTAAATCAGAATAAACTATCTGGATGGCATTTTAGCTACAACATATCCAAAATAAAAAGAGCCAAATATTTATAAAGAAAATGAGAGGCAATGTAACAACAATAAAAGTTGGAAATGACCTTAATATTAACTAGTAGAAGAATGGTTAAATTAATTATATTGCATCCATAAGATGATGCCATCAAAAATCATGGTTTTTGGTCTGGTGCGGTGGCTTATGCCTGTAATTCCAGCACTTTGGGAGGCCGAGGTGGGCAGATCACCTGAGGTCAGGAGTTCAAGACCAGCCTGGCCAACATGGTGAAACCCCATCTCTACTAAAAATACAAAAAAATTAGATGGGCATGGTGGCAGGGGCCTGTAATCCCTGTTACTCGGGAGGCTGAGGCAGGAGAATTGCTTGAGCCTGGGAGGTGGAGGTTGCAGTAAGCCAAGATTGCACCACTGCACTCCAGCCTGGGTGAGAGAGTGAGACTCCATCTCCAAAAAAAAAAAAGAAAAGAAAAGAAAAAGAAAAAGAACAAAAAATCATGGTTTTCTAATAATATGGGGGAATGCTCACAATAAAAATAATAAGCATATATGTTTGTGTATATATAAAAATACATATACACACATACATATTAACTTTATTTTAAAATATCTTTATGAATTTCATGCTTTTATATTAGATTATGTTTTCAAACTCTATTAATGTGTACTGAATAACTTCACAGGAATTGTATTAAAATATTTACCATGGATATCTCTGGATGTGAGATGATGGTAGATTTTCTTCTACATATTTTTCTGTACTTTTTTACTTTCTCCAGTGAAGATATATTACTTTTATGAGTAGGAAAGTTTCACGGTACGTGTTGTTATATAGACTGAATGTTTGTGTCTCCCCAAAATTCATACGTTGAAATCCTAACCCCCAATATGATGGTATTAGGAGGTAGGGCCTTTGTAAGTAATTAGGTCATGAAGGTGGAGCCCTATGAATGGGATTAGTGCCCTTATGAAAGAGTCTCGGAAGAGCTCTCTCACCCTTTCAGCCTCTTGAGGACAGTGAGAAGACAGCGGGCTATGAACTAGGATGCAGGCCTTTACCAGACACTGGATCTGTCAGTGCCTTGATCTTGGACTTCACAGCCTCCAGACTGTGAGAAATAAATGTTTGTTGTTTAAGCCACCAAATCTATGGTATTTTTACTGTAGCATCCTGAGCACACTAAGACACATGTTATTTTAAGGAAAGATGCTAATACCCTGCCCTTCACAGCCTGCCTCCTCAGCAAGTTCCCACCGTGTTTAGGGGTGTTGAGCCTTCACTGCAACCACTAAAAACACAGTCCCACATTATAAGTAATTCTGCTTAGGAACTTCCAGTTGACCATCAGTACCAAATAAACGTATCTTGAATTCAGTCATCTATATAAATGTTGTTTATGTAGAGATGTGGGAGGAGAGAGGAGAAGGTTATGATCTCTTTGTGGTTTCATGGGATGTACTGTTTGGTCCCTTTCTGGGGCCACAGGGGTACAGGTTCAGACATGGTTTAGGATACCAGGGTTCCGGGACTGGGTAAGAAATGTGGCTCAGGAGCTTCTGGGGAGAGAGATGGGCCACACCCTTCCCCAGTGCATTCATTTTTCAATAGGGCTTAGGAACTTTCAGAGAAAGGACTGAAATCCTGCCCACCAATGCACTGCAAACCTATGTCTGAGAAAGTAGGGTGTTCCCAGATGGAGAACAGATTATAGAGAAGAACAAGTGCTTCCACTGAAGAACTAAACTGGCACTACAATTCCAATAAGAAAAATTGGTGTTATGCATGTTCTCACTCATAAGTGGGAGTTGAACAATGAGAACATGTGGACACAGGGAGGGGAACATCACATACCCGGGCCTGTCAGGGGGTGGGGGGTAAGGGGAGGGAGAGCATCAGGACAAATACCTAATGCATGCGAGGCTTAAAACCTAGGTGGTGGGTTGATAGGTGCAGCAAGCCACCATGGCACATGCATACCTGTGTAACAAACCGGCACGTTCTGCACATGTATCCCAGAACTTAAAGTAAAATAAAATAAAATAAAATAGAAAAAGAAAAGTTGGTGTTAGCAGAGAGTGGGGGTTATAGGTAGTTTCCCAGCTGACATCAAAACTTGCCTGTACACAGCCACCCTAGGGGCACTTTTGTAGCCTTGGAGAAAGGTGCAGTGGGTTGATTTGGAAGAATAATAACTCTGTAAAAGGTAGTAACACTATGGTTTAATCAGCTTTGCAGTGGGGCCCCTGGATGAGTGGACTATAACAATTACTACAGCAATTACATCCTCTGGCTTTGAATGACATTTATATGGGTTTGGGAACAGAGATGACTCTCCCTGAGGGGGTGGTGGTAGCTGCAAAGCTGACAGGAGCGGAGTTTCAACCTTGGTGGGGGTGGAGGAGCAGAATATGTGTACGACTATCAGGGTTGGTGGTAAAAACTGCCTTGCTTGGCTCAGCATGTCTCCAGTGAGGAAGCCCTGTCATGAGCCACTAGAATACCTGGGACTGGGTGCATCTACAGTGCCAGCCTAGCTGAATGTAGCACCAAGTGTGTTCATCTCACTTTGCTGAGTGGGAGGTGACACTGGACCAGTGATCTGGATCGCTGAATTATACATTTAAAATATGTAATGCGCTAGGTTAAAAGTGCTATAAAGAAATAAGGTCATAACAAGGTAGTAAGGCATCTAGCATATATTCCAAATTCACAAACATTGGTCCTGCAGGATTTCCAGGTGATGGTGACTGTGGTGGCAACGGGGATGGGGACAGATTTCTAGTCCTGAGGGGCATCTTTGTGGAAACATCAGAGCCTTGGTCCATGGATTCCTGCCATAGTGGGGACAGAAGTGAACTATTTCTGGCTGCACGTCAGCACCCTTAGGCATTTCCAGAAATATTTAGGGGAAAGACACTCTTTAAAAGGCTGAGGTAAAGCAGGGACACTCAAAATTGGTGAAGTGTGAGATGCTCGGGATGAGTTTGTTTAAACAAAGTAAGCCAAAGGGGCTATTAAAGCGTACGGTTCCCCATGAATTCAATGTTTTTCTTTAAGCAACTCAACTTCTGTGGCTACTTGTTACAGCTATTTCAAGGAGCTGCCCTTGGAAGCCTTCATTTTTATGAGGTGTAAGAAAAACCATGACTCAGGTAAATCTGTCAACATTTTCCCATAGAAAGTTTATCTTTAGAGGCTCCTCCCACCGGGATCCTCTCCATCTGTCCACAGCCTACTGAGTAACCCACCGACTATTGCGTTCTCTGCCCCACGTTCATTCGTTCCTTTTCCCTATTCAAACTTCAACTAGCTCTAATGGCAGAAAAGTGATCTGATATATAACGTCACCTAAAAGGACAAATGACTGACAGTAGCTCGATTTAGTTTCCATTTTAAAGGAGGATGTTTGGAGTCCACAATGCCTTAATGGAAAGGAATTGGGCTAATTGTGTAATTCTTTCAACAAGGCAGGCCATTGGTGGGAGGCTTTTGGGCAGGGGAGCTTCCTGGAATCTGTTAATGATATACCCCAAAGGCAACTCAACTGACTCATGAAGTTAACTCTGATGGTGCTGATGATGTTACTAAGAAGCCCTAAGCCTGTGCTGCCTAAAGTTCACAGAGTTTTATTTAACATATTCTTTTGAGCTAGGCAGAGAAGAAATGACCATCTCTCATTAACAGCAAGGATACTGAGGACTGGAGATCACCCTCATTTGCCCAAGTGTCTCAGCTAGTAGCTGATGGAAACAGCACTAAATATATATATATATAATTTATTTATTTAAATTATATATATATATAATTTATTTATTTAAATTATATATATATATATATATTTAATTTCATCTTGTGTGGGCAAATAAAGGCAGAATGTCCAAGACAAGGTTGTTTACCTTGGCTGTTATTGGCACCTTGGAATAATATTAAGCTGTAAGGGGCTTAAGATCAGCTAAATTACCTGATCTGTAAGCCTCTCTCTTTTTCTCATCCCCCATGTCCAATCCTCCAGCAACTCCTGCAGGCTTAACATTCAAAATAAACACTTTCCACCATTCCACTGCTCCCCTCCATCTGAGGCCTTACCTCTCTCATGTAGATGGTTATGGCAGCTTCCTGACTGCTCTCCTTCCTTCCACACTTGCCCATCTACAGTTAATTCTTCACACACCAGCCAGAGGGATCCTGTTCAAACCTAAGGCAGGTCAGGGCGGTCCTTTGCTTGGAACCTTCAGCAGTTCCTCCCTGCAGGCAGAGTCAAAGCCCAGTCTGCACCTGGCTCCTGGCTGCCTTGATGGCCTCAGCTCCAGTTCTCTTTGCTCCAGTCAGACTGTCTTTCCTTTTCCTCAAACTTGCCACACACCTTCCTACCTCAGGGCCTTTCTACTGGCTATTTCCGCCCTGCCCCTTGAGTCTTCCAGATATTCACATAACTGGCCTCTTTACTTTATTCAGACCCCTGATCAAATGTCATCTCCTCAGAGAAGCCCCTCCGCCACTATCACTCTTCTAGCCTCTCATTGTGTTTTAGCTCTCCTTATAGCACTTTTTACCTAACACATTATATATATTTTAAAACGCGTTGTCTCGTTCTCCTTTCTAGTTGGAAGCTCCATGTCAGTTTTGTTTTGTTCCCTGCTGTATCTTCATTGCCTACAATAGCACTTGGCACATACTTGCTGAATAAATGAAACTGAGAAACTCAGAGCAAACTATTTCTTTTTAGATAAAGCCCACAAAAATGTTTTCTTCCTGTTCAGTTTAAACTATCCAGCACACAACATCAGCCTTGTGATTGTCTTTTTTTCTGATGCTCTGACCTCTGAGTGACCTTTAACAAGTAACTTTGTTAGAACTCACTTTACCCAGCTATAGAATGGGAATAAAAATATAACCTACCTTCCTTCTCAGACACTTTAATGAAGCAAAGTCTTCTTTGTTCTTTGAGGAAAGGAGCCAGGCAGATGAAAATTCCTGTTATTAAGGTACAACTAAAGCCCGAGGAGGGTAGGAGCTGCATTTTGTTCCTCCCCATTCTCGCACAGAGAAGGCACTCATTAAGTGCTTATCAAAGTTAATATCTGTGGCACACAAACTGCACCTGCCTCTGCAGCAGTCGTCACAGAAGCTGGCCCCTTTCCTGGGCTAACTGCTCTGAGAGCACCAGAATGAAATCTGACTTAGATATGACGCAGATTCCTTTTTTCAGAAGAAGCCAGCTACACAACTCTTGATGAACAAATAGCTACCAACGATGAGCACAAACCAGAGAATTTCAGAAGTGAAGAAAATTTCAGATCAGAAGATCCTGTCTCTCGGGTATAACTTTTTTTTTTTTGGAGAGAAATACAGTGACTCTCCTAATTATGGTGAATTTCCTAGTTCAGCTCAGAGCCACTGATTCAGCAGATATTCCCCCAGGCAGATCCTAATGGAAACCAACATGTGAGGTCTGATGCTGGGAATTTTATCATGCTCAACAAGGATTTGAAAACTAAATGAATGCGTGCATATTCACACTAAGCAATTTTCCTCCCTGCCTTCACCACTTTCCCTTTTTTCTTCTCTTACCCTCTTTCTGTTTCTATTCCTTCCCCACTCATGCCCCAGTGCTTCCGTTGGACACATGCGCATTTTACGGTCCTGCAGGGCTTGAAAGATTTCTGACCTTCTAAGGTCCAGTGATTTGGTATCAGAAGATCTAAGTTTTCTCCTTCTCTCTGCCATTTAAAGAAGCGTGTTGCAATTTCCCCAGCAGAAGTGAAAGTGATTCGCCTCTACTCAAATGTCTGCATAGGCACAAGAATGAGGGCGAGAGGGAGCAAGAGAAGAGGAAGAGGTACCTTTTGAATGGGGTGAAAGCAAACCCTTACATAACCTGACCACACAATAGGAGGAAATGAAAACTTGGGTTCAAGGGCAATTTTGTCATTGGTTATTAGTCTGTGTCATCAAGCAGGTGCCAGAAAAACAAATTTTATTTTGATTTTAGGCATTCATTTTAACAACTGGATTTTCCTAATTTCTCATTCCCAAGGAGGATCTATGCAAGAATGCACAATTTATAGTTAATTTGGAGATGAATAAAATATTAACATACCTTTTGTTCCCCCTAAAACATAATACCTAAATTAGTGTGATGCCTTGGTTACCATCCTACATATGTATTTGGATTGTAAATGAGCTCAGTTTTAAGCACATTTGTAACAGTGGAACAAGTGAGGCTTGTATTACATGGCCAAATTGATATTAATGATGGTGGCCTCGAGAACGGATTCCATCCCAAGACATCTGATCTGCAGACAGTTGAGCATTCACAGCAGTTTTGACTTTATTGACTTCATTGGCCCCAGTCAGAAGGTTTTCATCTAGTGCATTCAGTTACCCTGATTTCTAATTACAATAGAATCTTTCAAATAGATTTGTTTCCAGAGAGCTTGCTTGAGATAGATTAAATGGCAGAAGTTGCAAAGGATGTCATTGTTTTACATAAAAGATCTGTGGAAATTACGCCTAGAAACTTGTTGCCTTTTTATTTTAAAAGCTGCTATATACAAAATAACAGTCAGGGTCAAATAGTTACCACTGTGACAACAATCATTTATGGTACGTTTGCAATTGTTCTAAAAAGTTAATATGGAAAAGTTACCAGAATTAAGTGGTGATGTTTTACTTAAGAAGTAGAAAAGATTTACAATTCATTATGGATGTAAAAAGAAATGGACTCTAAGAAACTTGTTACTGTAGTTGTTGAAAGAATATTGTCAAAGTGTTTATCCATATTAAGTGGCTCCATAGAACGTAGTTCCTTTAGATTTTAGTGTTAGCTTCTATAAAACTGCTGGTTTGTTTTAATCTTTTGGAAACCATAGGTGTTTTTTTTTAATACCAGTGATCATATTTTCCTTTGTGCTTTTGTTGGTAGGAAGCTCAGAGCCCAATTTACAATCTCTAATGACTCCTATTGAACTTTATATTTGCACTTCTTTTAGTTTCTTTTTTTTAGGGTGGGAATAGGGTTTTATTAATTTTTCCCTGGATTTATTTGCTTCACAATATTTCTCTTCACTTTGATTCAACTGTTTCTTTTCTCTTTTTCTATGATATATGTTCTTAAAAGCTGGCATGAAGTGAAATGGAGCATATCTGGTCTCAAAGTGACAAATTTAACACATCCAAAATCATCACCCTAGTGTGACTATTTATCCCATCTTACTATCGTTTTAGAACAATGCATTTAGAATGCTGTCCTCCTTCTTGAAGTTTTAAAAATCATTTAATTCTTCTCTGAATTAGTGTACACTAACGTTTACATCTTAATCTTTTATATTTTGTTTGTTTTTATCCTTTGCTTCAAAAGAAATTAATGTGCACTGTGACCTTAGTTTCCATTAGTCATCAACTTGGGGACTAACATGACTGCCTCACTGTCAGTGAGTATCTTTTTCTGATAGTTCCAGGAGGGGTGATTAATCTCACCTGATTCATCATGTTCTTTTACTCTGTCTGCCCAGTGACTATGGCCTTGCATTTCCTTGCATTTATTTCTTTACCATCTAATTCAACTTAATTATTTATTGTTTGACCATTTTGCATTCTCTTTCTTCCTGTCTCTTGCACAGAACTCGCCATTCCTTCTCTGTTTCCATTCAGCCTCCTTTGCTGGTTCCTCATCTCCCCTACATCATAATGCTGGAGTGCCTTAGGGCTAAGTCCTTGGGTCTCTTCTCTTACCTGCAAATACTCTTACCTTGGTTGGTTTGTTTAACCCAATGGCTTTAAATCAAATTTCTACACTGAAGACCGAAATTTATGTCAGCAACTTGGATGTCTCTTCCGAACTCCAGACTCACATACGCAACAGCCTACTCATCATGTCCAGGTGGATATTTAGTAGGCATCTCAAAGTTATTCAAAACTGAACTTCTGGTCCCTACTCATAACAAACAACTGTGTTTTTCCTGCAGCCTTCTCCTATTCACTTTAGAGCAATTCCAACTCTATCCTTTCAATTGCTTAGGACTTCGAAAGTCTAGGAATCATCCTGAGTCCTCATGTTCTCGCACACCTCATATCCAGGCCATTGATCCAATCCTGTGATTTCTAGCTTCAAGATATATCCATCTCTATCCTATATTTGCTTGGCTGCTAGCAGCATGACCCCAGCCACTGTCATCTCTTGCCTGGGTTAGCAACAGCCTCTTTTAGTCCTGGCCCTGTTCCTGCCCTTGCCCTGGAATGCGCTCTTCTCCACCCAGCAGCCAATGGGGTCATGTGAAAATGCATCCCCAGTAGAAAAGAAAAACCTTTTCACCTCACTCACACTTAAAGCCACAGTCCTTACAACGGCCTTCCCAGCCCTACAAGATCTGGACCCCAGCCTCTCTGAGCCTCCTCCTCACTCATCATGCTTCAGCCACTGTCCTCTCCCTGGCCTCTCCCAGCCACATGCCTCTCCCCAGGCAGGGTCACTCTGTTTGCACACATCCCTCAGCTGCCCTTACTCCTTATCTCTTTCAGGTTTTTGCTCAAGCCTTCTCTCATCAGAGACTCTTCTGGTCAAATATCTGATCATCCTACTGAAAATTAAGGCTCCTTTTCTAGCCCCACCCTGTCTATCCCCGTTCTTGTTTTATTTTTCTCTGTAGCACTTATTACCATTTCAGATACCATATATTATTATACTTATTTGTTGTCTATCTCCACCCTCTTCTTCCAGAGTATAAACTCCATGTGGCTAGGGTTTTTTGTTTGTTTGTTTTTGTTTTTTAGACAGAGTCTCACCCTGTCACCCACGCTGGAGTGCAATGGCACGATCTCAGCGCATCGCACCTCCTGCCTCCCGGGTTCAAGCGATTCTCCTGCCTCAGCCTCCCGAGTAGCTGGGACTACAGGTGTCCACCACCATGCCTGGCCAAGTTTTGTATTTTTAGTAGAGACGGGGTTTCACCATGTTGGCCAGGTTGGTCTCAAACTCCTGACCTCATGATCTGCCCACCTTGGCCTCCCAAAGTGTTAGGATTACAGGTGTAAGCCACTGTGCCCGGCCGACGGCAGGGTTTTTATTTGTGTTGTTTATGTGGTCTGCTGAACACCTAGAACAGTCCCTGATGTGTAGGTAGCTCAAACAATATTTATTGAATGAATGGATGAAACCAAATACTCTGGCCTCGTTGGCACTAATTCTAAACCATTAAGCTAATGAAACAGAGTGCCATCCAAAATAAATTAATAGAATAAAGCAAGTCCCCATTATCAAAGCAAAATAGATAATTAAAAATTAAAGCAATAACTAGTTAATTAGGGCAAAGGGATTTTTTTATAACTGTGTTATAGGATCATATAGGACCGTGGGACTGAGAGAAAACCTGAGCTCTCACTCAGTCCTGCCTCCTAACTGCAAGACCGAGAGGGCACACTCCAACCATGTCAAAGAGGATCTTTTCCGTGTTAAGGGTATTTGGAGAAATACTCTGGTTTTTCAGTTATTCATATATTTTCTTTTTAATGTTCAACCACTCACCATCTGCTTCCCTTCTTAGAAAAGTCATATCTCTACCTTAAATAACACCGAAAAGAAAGGCCAACTGCGAGTACATGCAAACTCCTACTTCTCTTTGACTATCTGGCCCCAGATAGGAATGGAAAAAATACCATGTTCCTCAGGTGTCTAATATCAAAACAATGGCAACTCTATTAAAGGTACTGAAAACTTTAGCATTTTCCTAAGTTATCCTGAGTAATTTCCTTTTAAATACATTTTTTCTATTATAAGTTAAAACTTTTACTTTTTTAAAAAAGTAGAGGGCTGGGGCCGGGCGCAGTGGCTCACGCCTGTAATCCCAGCACTTTGGGAGGCCGAGGCAGTCAGATCACGAGGTCAGGAGATCGAGACCATCCTGGCTAACATGATGAAACCCCGTCTCTACTAAAAATACAAAAAATTAGCCCGGCCTGGTGGCGGGCGCCTGTAGTCCCAGCTACTTAGGAGGCTGAGGGAGGAGAATGGCGTGAACCCGGGAGGTGGAGCTTGCAGTGAGCCGAGAACCCGCTACTGCCCTCCAGCCTGGGCAACAGAGCGAGACTCTGTCCCAAAAACAAAACGAAACAAAACAAAACAAAAACAGTAGAGGGCTGGGTGTGGTGGCTCACGCCTGTAATCTCAGCACTTTGGGAGGTTGAGGCAGGCAGATCACTTGAGGTCAGGAGTTCAAGACCAGCCTAGCCAACATGGTGAAAACCTGTCCCTAGTAAAGATACAAAAAGTGAGCCAGGTGTGGTGGCTATAATCCCAGATACTCAGGAGGCTGAGGCACAAGAATCGCTTGAACCTGGGAGGCAGAGGTTGCAGTGAGCCAAGATTGCATCACTGCACTTCAGCCTGAGCGACAGAACAAGACTCTGTATCAAAAAATAAAATAAAATAAAATAAAATAAGGAAGAAACTGCTAGCTCATCTTTTAAAAGTATGTATACTGTAAGTCAAATTCTGTTATGGGAATGTGCTACAGTTTTTTAAAATCTCATAGGGTAAGATTTTCTGGTCAAGGGGAAGGTCTATTTTTTGCTAATATATTTTTATGTTAGATATTGCTTGAAATCGATTTAAAACACTGGCAAGTTTCCAATGAAACAAAAAACTTGCAGCATGAGAGAAGGTAGGCTAGACTGGAAGTTAAGAGACCTGGCTGGAATCTGGTTCCCATTATGTGATGAAACTGCTGTGTGAGCTTCAGGCAAGTTCCATCTTTCTGGCCTTGAATTGAGCTGTAGAACGAGAGCCTTAGATGTAAAGGAACTATGTATTCTCTTTCATCCCTAGGATTTATGATTCTTTGTATAGTTGAAATGAATTTAGTCTGAAGTTTTAAATTTTGATTTTCTCTCTTCTTCTTTCCCTTTTTCCTTCTTCCTTATCTCCTTCCTTCCATCCTTCCATCATTATTTATATTTTGCTTCTCTATTTCTTTTTCCTTTCTATTCTTTCTCCTTTTCTCCTCACCTTTCCTTTGTCTTTCAATTACTTTCTTACCTACTTCTTTATCTTTTTACTTGTCCCTTTTCCTTCCTTTTCCTTTTATTTTTTTCTTTCCTTTTCTCTTCATTTTTCCTTTCTACCTTCTTTCCAGCTTTCTTTCTTTCTTCTCTGTCATTCTTTTTCTCAGCAGCAAATCACTTGACATTTCAACAAATCCACAAAGTAGCAGTAGTTTTATGGGCTGGTATTAACACCTATTATGACCAGCCAGGCATTGCAAACTGATGTGAGTGCCGATAGGCCCGCTTTTAGGCCATGCATGGAAAGTAGCCAAATCTGCACATGGCTATTATTTAATGATGCCCAGAGTCAAACAGGAAGCCTTCTGCAAATTGCCTCACAAATTATACAGTGGCTCCCTGCCTGCTTGTTATTGGCATGAAATAGATTTGTAAAACCAGCTTCTGACATCCAAATTATTTCCCTGTCTTTTACACACACACACACACACACACACACACACTCAAAGCTACCCTTCTAACATAAAAATTAAAAATATATTTAGATAGGAAATGTCATAGTCAAAGAAAGCATAAGCAAAAAACTTGAGAAAATATTTACAATATAATGACAATCACAAGGTCTGATTTCCAAAATATGCAAAATGTTATTATAAATTATTAATGCATATAATTTCAATATAAAGTGGGCAAAATTTATGAATAGATAATTCACACAGAAGGAAATAAAAATGTCCAGCAAACATAATATTCTCAACCTCAATAATGAAAGAAACTCAGTTTGAAAGGGTCATTTTTTTGAAAGAAAAATTTGTTGTTTTAACAAAGTATAATGCTTCAAACTGGCCTGAAGAATAATATTGGTGTATATTTTCTCTTCCGTAGCTTTTAATCTTACCATGCACACTTTCAAAGTGACTAAAAATACTTTCTCCCAATAAACAATTTTGCCCAATAATATCCATCCCCTCCCTGAGCCCAGTTCTCTTAAAACTCTAGGTTGTAAAGAAATTGGGGAGTATTTTTTCTGAGTAATAGCCTATGCAAGCCAAATTCTTTTTTTTTCTTTTAAGAGACAAGGTCTCATTCTGTTGCTCAGGCTGGAGTGCAGTAGTGCTATCACAGCTCATTGCAGCCTCAAACTCCTGGGCTCAAGGGATGCTCTCATCTCACCCTCCTGAGTAACTGGGACTACAGGCACATGCCACCATGCCTGGTGAATTTATTTTGTTTTATCTTTTGTAGAGATGGGGCCTTACTTGTTGCCTAGGCTGGTCTGAAATTCCTGGCCTGAAGTGATCCCCTCAGCTTGCCCTCCCAAAGCCCTGTGATTATAGGCATGAGCCACTACACCTAGCCTTGTAAGCCAAATTCTGTCAGACTGGGTCACCAATTATTCTTCTTTTTCCCTCATCCCTACTAAAATGCTCAGAGTATTAGATATCATCATCCTTATTTAAATATTTGTTATAAAACTGGAAAGGGTTGGACCACCTTGGAAACTTTTTTCACTTTTATCTCTTGCTTAATCAGTATAATAGAAAGCTAAGAGAACAGGATTTGGAGTCAAACTGAACCTAGCCTTAATCTTAGCTCTGGTATTTAGTATTGTGTTTCCTTGGGTAAGTTCCTTATTCTCTTGGAGCTCAATTTTCTCATGTATCCGCAAAACAGGACTAACCATAGCATCTCTTTCATAGGGTTGTGGTGAATCTTTAAGTGCTATTATGAACGTGAAGCATATAGCAGAGTACCTAACACAGGACAAAATAAATAAACTGCTGAGATAATGATGTCAATGACGATGAAAGCTTACAAAAGTAAGAGAACTGGTCAGAACGCTGATAAGAACTCCATATAGAATCTGCAAATTTAGAAAGAAGAGACTGAATCTCACTTAAATCTCAAGCAAAGAACTTTGCAACTTATTCAGGGTTTGAATCTATGTCTGTTGAAATCCCACTGAGTCAGTACAATGCTGAATGATGTCTCATTCTGGTGAATAGCCAGGCTGTAAAATCCTTCACAAATTTAAATACAGTATAGTGGGGGAAACAGATCAGAAAAGAGTGACAACAGTCAGAACAGTAGGGGAGGCAAACACACACCAAGGTCTATGTCTAATTTTGATACAATATGGGTCAACATCTAATAATATTCCTAAGATGATGAGAAGTAACCTTGACAACCCAGCTGATGCAGGCACTGAAAGAATAAGAGATTCACAGGGAGAAATAGGAGAAAATCTGGGCCATTTTCTTGGTTCAGTGCTGGCTCATACCTTTTGCTCTGTAGAAAATTTCTTATTACTTGTAAACCAAAGTCTTCTAATATTTAATTAACAAACATCTATTAAACACCTGTAATATGCCAAGACAATAGGTTAGGCCTTTGGGGATATAGAGGTCCCCTGCTCACAAAGGTTGTCAGGGAGGACATTACTATTCACAAGCGAGTAGGATACAGCTTAACCCACACAGTCCTGCAAGCTCAATACTCCTAGCGAAAGCAACAAAAGTCACTGATTAATTTTGACTTGGGATATGCTAATAATAGCGATAACAAATATAATACTGGTAATAATAAATAGGCTAGGTTTTGCTGCAGCAGCAAACAGATCTCAGTGGCCCTATACAACAGAATTTTATTTCTTGATCATGCTCCACAGCCATGTATTAGGTTGGTGCAAAAGTAACTGCGGTTTTGCCATTATTTTCAATGGTAGGCAGGGGACCTGTCTCACATAGCCATAGAATGCCACCATTGAGAACAGGCAACCTCCTCAGCTGCTGTGGCAGGGCAAGAGAGCATGGAGAATTGAGTGCTGGCTCTTAAGAGCGACTTGCTATTGCAGCTCACTGGCCAGACCTTGTCACATGGGCTTACCTATCCTGTGACTAGAGTGAGGAGTGAGGTGTGAGGTACCCAGAATATAGTCTTAGGAGGCTCTTGCTCTTGGGATCATGCAGGTATAGGGTTGGTCCCTGTGTGGCTCTGTGTAAAAGCCAGTGGCTCCTTGTATTTTTCACCTTAGAGATCTCACTGGTCTTATCCCAGTCCCAGCCTAATTGAAAGGGGGTTAGGAAATGTCATGTTCCTTATGTTGAGCTAGGGGAGGTCAGTTTTGGGGAGTACTAGAAACGTCTAGTAACCTAGCCTTGAAACCTCGACCTCATCTGTGGCACTTCCTTTTCTCTCCACCTTTCTGATCCAGGCAGTCACCAAATCTTGGGATTTGAATCAAACATAACAAAAGAACTAATATGTCAGTTACTTAACTATTTGCCAAGAATCGTCCTATGCACACTTATGCTCACTGATTCATTTATTCATTCCTCAGACAGCCCTATGAGGAAGTTCCTATCACTATTTCAATTTTTAAAATGAGAAACTTGAGGCTTGGAGAAATTGAGTAACTTGCCCAAGGTCTTCATCTGTAAGAGGCAAAGTTGAGATTTGAACACATATCTGACTATAATGCCACTAATCATTGTGGGAGCTCACACTTATTCAATATTCCAAAAATTTTAAATGAGAGTGTGGCTAGATCAGCCCAACTCATAAGATAGCTGGAGCAAGGAATACTGACTGGCAATTTGTGAGAAGTGTATATAGATATCATCATCAATGATTTCAAGCTTATGCCATTGATAAAAAGGGATGGTTTTGTTTTGTTTTGGGTTTTCACATGAGAATGCAGTGCGATCTGTTATTAGAAGATGTAGGATATAGAATAGGGATCAAAAAATCTTTACTAATCAGATGTGTGATTAGGGCAACTCTCTTCCTCTCAGTTTTGCCAATGATCAAGAAAGGAGCTGAATCAGATCTTTTAAGGCCATCGCCAGTATTGATATTACAAAATTTTGTGATGATGGCAGAAATACAGAAGACAGGGAAGAAATATATATATATGATAGAAATATATATAAATATATATATTAAAAAATATATAGGATAGAAATATACATAAAAATATATTAAAAATATAAAAATATATAAATATATATAAAATATATAAATATATAAAAAATATAAAAAATATATAAATATATAAATATATAAATATATATAAATATACATATAAATATATATAAAATATATGAATATATAATATATATAAATATATAAAAATATACATAAATATAGAAATATATATAAAAATATACATAAATATATAAAAATATAAAAATATATAAATATATAAATATATATAAATATATAAATATACAAAAATATATAAATATATAAATATATAAATATATAAATATACAAAAATATATAAATATATAAATATATAAAAATATATAAATATAAAAATATATAAATATATATAAATATATAAATATATATAAATCTATACAAATATATAAATATATATAATATATAAATATATAAATATATATAAAATATATAAAAATATATAAATATATAAATATATAAAAAATATATAAATATATAAAAAAGAATATATAAATATATAAAAATATAAAAAAATATATAAAAATATATAAAAGTATATATAAATATATATAAATATATTTGTTTTGTTTTGTTTGTTTGTTTATTATTATCATTTTTTTTTGAGACAGAGTCTTGCTCTGTACCCCCAGCTGGAATGCAGTGACATGATCTCGGCTCACTGCAATCTCTGCTCCCAGGTTCACGCCATTCTCCTGCCTCAGCCTCCCGTGTAGCTGGGACTACAGGCACCCGCCACCACGCCCGGCTAATTGTTCTGTATGTTTAGTAGAGACGGGGTTTCACCGTGTTAGCCAGGATGGTCTCGATCTCCTGACCTTGTGATCCGCCCACCTCAGCCTCCCAAAGTGTTGGAATTACAGGCGTGAGCCACTGTGCCCGGCCAGAAAAATATTTTAAAAACATAAAAATATTCTATAGCAAAACTGAAACACTGATATCTCAAACTAGACAATGTCTGACTGCTAATATTGAAGCAAATTTATCATACTATTTCCAACATTAACCATAAAATAATCCCTTAATCAGAAAAAAATGTGAGGTTAGTTGGAAATACAGCAAGAATTTTATAAGCTAATTTGGCAGAGATTAAATTTTCTTTGGTCAAATTGTTAATTAAAGTGTTTTTTTGGGGTTTGCTGTGCAGAAAATACAGAAGGAGTATGAATAGAGCTAAAAGTTTGACTCCTCCTGAGGCCATGTGGGACAATCACGAATGGCTGAAATGCTGAGACTGTGAAGATAAAGACAATAGATGCTCTTACAAAGGACCCGGGGGAGAACTACTTAGTTTAATTAAGGAGGAGGAGCATTTGAAGCAGTCATTAAGGATGAAGTCATGTATACGAATGCACACAAAAATCTTGCCTTTACATTTTTTTTTTTTTTTTTGGTGGAAACATCTGGCAAAAACATGTTGAGAAAAGAAAACTTTTCTGTTTTGTGCAGCAGGATCTTGCTGTGAAGAGATGAAAACTTGAGCTAATTACAGGATGTCTGCAAAAAGAAAGGGCTAGCTTTATATTTTAGACCAATTTTTCTCCCTACAGGGTAGACTGTCTAGTATAAAAGCAGTGGTATGCCATGGGAAACAAGTATGGGGTAGGAAACAATGAATTGAATCTAATCTATAATACCATACCATGAAGGTTATTAAAATAGCATTCAGTATATGCTTGCTTTTATAAGTGTGCCAAGCAAAGAACAGACAACTCTGAAACTTATATGATAAAGACTGCAGAACTGTACATTTTCATATGTGTAATATGTTGCAGACTTTTTATTAGAAATGTCCCAGCTATTGTACTATATGGAAGTAAATAATGTATCTTTTGGTATTTTGTTTTACATTTAAGACTACAGCTTCCTAAATCTCTTTCAAAAATTCCTTTCCCAATGTCTCTTTAGCTCCTTTTGCCTTTCCCCACAATCCTACATTCATTTCACCCCTTTTCCAGAGCTCTGTAGACTATTTGACCTAAAAAAGCACAAGAAAAAAAAAAAAAAAAAGAAAAGTTTGGAGTAGCCTGGTCCTAATCTCTCTTGGAGCATCCTGTGTGTGTGTGGCCCTCCTACTAACAGCAAAATGTCAAGACTGGAGTGATAGGCACCCAGGAGGTTAAGCTCATCCCTAGCCAGTTAACAAGTCCTACAGATAACTAACCATTCTAAAAGGATTAGGATTTGATTTAGGCAGAGTAATGTTTAATCCCAATGGCCTCTTCCTGTGGGAACAAGATGCTTAAAATCACTAGGAGGAGACTTTCTTTTTCTAACCATTTTCTGGAGCTGATTGAATAAAAAAGGTGAATTCCTCCCCACCCCCATCTCTAGAATTTGGGTTATTTTTTTTAATGTTTTTTATAAAGGGCTAGGCCAGTCATTACCTACTTCCTATTCGTGTGACATCACCTACACTGTCATGCTGAGGCTTGTGGGCTCAGGGACTCAGAGAATCTGGCTCCTGTAGCCCAGTCTCCTGGGGACCATGTTGCATCTTTCCCATCTCCTGTGCAACTGTCCACCATCCTCTGATCCTTCATGCATCACAAACACTCCACAGTCAAAACTCAGATCTCCTCAGATGGACCCAGAAATCTCAAAATGACTTGGAGGATGTGCCTCTTTATTGCTCAACAGTGACATTCTCTCTAGCTCTCTACCCTTCCCACTGCTCCCAAACTGAGCCATGTCATCTGCCATTTACTATCATTCTTGGAATGTTGGTTTTCTTTAAGTTGAGAACTATTTCTCCATAACTATATGTGTATCATAAATGAAAAAATTATGAAAAGATTGTGTGGCTTTTCTGTTTTCTGCCTGTTCCCAGTCAGTTGTTGATTTGCAGTCTTTGCAATAGGACTATAAACTCCCCAAGGGCCATGACTGTGTCTGCTTTTGCTCAACACCGCTCATCACTGTCCAGAGCCTAGAACTGCTTCTGGCATATAGTAGATGCTCAATAATTTTCCCTGTCAAGCACGGGAGCATAGGAATGAATGCCCTTACTTTGGCCATACACTGTGCTAGGTGCTTTGAGTACAGATATGAATGAGACACAGCTCCTGCTATCAAACCGTAGGAAAATGACTGATCTTTTAACATGCCTGTCATTGCTTTTGGCTTTAAGCAAAGCAAGAGAATTGAAGTTCCCATCACAGATCTGGTTTAGGGATCCTAAAGGAAACTGTTCCCACATGTCCCTCCCATTAGCCTGACAGCTTGTAGTATTTTCTGTATTTATTAACAATGATAACAGCAATGACAAACATAATTTATGGGTACTCACCCTGTAATGAACAATGCACATAGTGTCTTGCATATATTCTAGAATATTATTCTCATAATCGCCCCTATACCCTAGATATTTTTACGATTTTATTGGTGAGGAAAGAGAGGCTCAGAGAAGTTATGTGCCTTAGTTGTTATACCACCTACACAGCTGGTAACTGGAGGCAATTGCTTAGAACTCTGGCCTGTTAGAATTCAAAGACCAGACCCATAACCATGCTCTGTTCTGCCTCCCACTCCTTCCTTATGGCTAAAGTCATTTTGTCAAGAAAAGGCAACACAACAAGCAGTATTAGTGGGTCTGACTCTGTCACTTATAGAAAATGAAACTGGGTACATTTTGATTTGATTTTTCCAACTATTCATTGACATGGGTAGGTCAAATTTTGTACCCCTACTGTATTGAGGAGCTTGAGACTCCCCAGAGGTCACAGAGGTCATAAGGGGCAGATTGCTAGTCTGTCTGGATCACTATACTGTATTCTTTCTACAGGATGGGGAGGGAAGCCTCTAGGGATTTCAGAAAGAGATTTTCTGTTTCATGTTTTCACCAATGGATGGGACACCACATAGCCTTTTTGTGCTTAGGCCAAAGGAGACCAAACTAGTGATTAGAAAAACACCTGACCAAGAAGGCTAATGATAATTTTGCCTCATCTGAAAGATAGGAAAACAGTCTGCCTTCTAGCCTCTTCCTCCCTTTACACCAGGGGCTCTCAACCTAGGGTGTTTTTTGCCTACCTAGGGCAAATTTGGCAATGCCTGGAGACAATTTCTATGGTTATAACTGGGGCTGGGAGGGTGCTACTGGCATCTAGTGGGTGGAGGCCAGAGGTGCTGCAAAATATCCCATCATGCACAGGGCAGCCTCCCACAACAAAGAGTTATCTGGCTCAAAACCCTTGCTTTAAAGCCATGTTCTACCTATCCATTAAAAAAAAAATCCTTATTCTTCCAAAGAATATAGAAAACCCAGACAGTTCAATAGGCAAGATATCTAAATTGATTTTATAAGCAAGTTGTATAGGATCACTGAAGAGAAGGGAGATGTTTTACTTACTTATTTATATGAACATGATATTGTACAAGAAAAAAAGTATTTCTTCTCCTCCCCACTAGGAGAGACTTGGATAGTATCTTAAACTAAAAAAAAATAATAATTGAAAACAAATTATTATACCACAACTAATAAAGTATCAACTGGGGTCCTTTTTCTGTATAAATAATGTGGAACAATCCAAATGATGCAGCTAAGCATTAATGATGCAGTGAAGTCAACATCAAACAGATAGGCATGGAAAATTCAAATAATTTCCTGTAAACAAAAAGAAATATGCAATGAGGTTAATGTAAACCTCTAGTTCACCCCCTCCTTTCCGAGGCTTTCAGAAGCATGTCATTTAGAGATGATTCCGCTGATGTGGCCCATGGTCCATGCTTCTCTCTCTGCTATTTGTTTTGGGGATATATGTGGGTTAGCAAGAGTTCATCATCTTGTTTTTAAGTATCCTGCAGCACACATCAGGACACCAGAGGACTGCTGCTGCTCGGGGTTTGGGGAATAACCAGACCTAAGTCTTCACACTCAGAGATTGGGGTGGCATCACTCCAGGCCCAGCAATGGCCGCCGACCTGTCCTCTGAAGTCAGGTTCTTCTTTTATTTTGTTTTTGAGATGGAGTTTAGCTCTGTCGCCCAGGCTAGAGTGCGGTGGTGTGATCTCGGCTCGCTGCAACCTCTGCCTCCCGGGTTCAAGCGATTCTCCTGGCTCAGCCTCCCGAGGAGCTGGGATTACAGGCACCCGCTACCACACCTGGCTAAGTTTTGTATTTTTAGTAGAGATGGGGTTTCACTGTGTTGGCCAGGCTGGTCTTGAACTCCTGACCTCGTGATCCACCCATCTTGGTCTCCCAAAGCACTGGGACTACAAGCGTGAGCCACCGCGCCTGGCCGGTTCTTCTTTTCAGTCTTCTCCTTAAGCCTATGTCTTGTTTCTTCTCATTAAATCATTCAAGAAACATTTAGTTATTTTTCAGCCTAAGTCAGATTCTGTGTTAATGCTAGAAGTATGTACAGTGATGTGGAAACCAGATAGACACAGTTCCTGCCTTGATGGAGCTGCTAGTACAGTAAGGGAGAGAGGTAACTGATAATCTCATAAATAACTATTCAATGACAGCTGTGGTAGATGTGATGGGGAACATAACCTAGGATTTGATGAGCACACACACAGGGGAGCCTGACCAAGTCTCTGTATCAGTGGGGTGAGGGTGGGAAGTATGAGATGAGGATGAAGCTGGTTAGGGTGGTTTCTTCAAGGCTGTGATGTTTAAACTGCGATCCATAGGATTAATGAGTAGTCCAGGGAAACCATGTTCCAGGCACAACAAGCTACCTTATACAGCTTCTGTTTGCTTATACTTTTTGCCCATATGCAAACTTACCATGCATGTAGGTCTTCACGACTTTTTAAGCTCTTGCTACTTCTGCTTATAGCCTTATTCTCTAATATTTTCTCCTTCACATGTATAACAAAGGGAAGGTGATTAGGTCAGTTTAGTTTTTCACCCTAGCTTTGTTTGACTTTTAAGTTATTCCTGTTTCTGCAGCTAGAGTCAAATTTCTTCACGGGCAGGAGCCAAGGCCCTCAGACAACCTTGCTTTTCATGTTCTGGGAGGCTTCTTGGTCACTGCCACATGAAAATCCTTCTTTCATATGGAAAAAGTGGGGTTTTGAACGGCATGGTAATTAATGCAACACTTAGGCTATTCCACTGTCATGTATTATTTATCCTAGTTAGAATAAGAGGAGGAAAGGAAAGCATGAGATATTCTTTGTCATCTTCATATCTTCCTCTGTTTCAATCATTTTGGGTCAAAAAAGCATGACACCCTTGCCTTGTCCCTCCCACCTGTCATCTTCACTGAGCTTGGCTGTGATGGATCTGCCTTTCTGTGCTTCCTAAAATAGCATACATCTTGTTTGGACTTCTCAAACAATTTAAGGAAATAAACCTTATAAGTAGAATGCTGAGAAACAGTGTGGATAATATCTTATTATTTAATTTTATCCTGAGTAAAAAATAAAAGGGACCTTATTGAAAAACCCTCTTGGATGAATCCTGTATTTAGGGCTTAGCATCTTTTACCCATGCCTTGTAAAAGAATTAATTACTTAATTTATGGTTAACAAGGAGGGAGGAATCTCTTATTTTAGGCCTTAAACAGGGAGGGATGTCAGAGACTACTTCTTTTGCACACACCACCATGCACAGCATGGGCTGGGCAAATGGTGATGCCAAAGATCACTGCTTGAATGTTTGTTTAATGAGTGGAGGAGGAATATTATTAAGTCTTAGTCCTGCCAAACTCTTTGGAATCTCACTGCCTTACTCCCCAGCGTACCCTTTTTATTCTTCTTCTGTTGTAGCACTTATCACATTACACTGTCATCATCATCATCATCATTGCCAACACTTGTTTTGAGTTGCTTACTAAGGGTTGTTATCAAAAATAACATTGCCAAACTTTCAGAAGCTTGATTGTTTGGGCCATTTGTGTGTCTGTCCATCTGTCTATGCATCTACCCATTCATCCATTCAAACATCCAGCTCTCTGAATAAGAGAGTCTTGGTACCTAAGTTATTTAAAGTCTAGTAGCACCATTTTGACCACAGACAACTTCTTCTTGGAGGTTTGAATTCTTAAGCTACATACAAGTGGCAGAATGAGGGTGGAATGGGATTGAGTGGGGACAAGTGAGAGAAAGAAAGAGTGAGAAAGATACAGAGAGAGAAAGCATGTGCCTGTGCGAATGTGAGTACATATAGTAGCAAGGAGGTACAGATTCGTTCAGCAGCTATTTTTGAAATAAGAGACTAATAAGTATATAAAACAATTTTACATATGAATATGTATGTATGTATGCACATATATATAGATTTCCCTAGAAAAATCCCAAGGTCTTAAACAAAGATCTTTTGTGAGAAGCCACAGATATTAAAAGCCACACTCATTTAAGGAGAGCATGCACAAAGAGGAGAAACTAACTCAAGGGAAACACTGAGAAATAAGGAAATGCTGAGAAATGCCAAAGGACCTTAATGAAGAGGAATGGGGTGGGAACAGGGAGAGCAAGCAAAGCCCACCATGCTGAAAAAATCAATGTAGCTATCTCACCTCTTTGCCAACCACAGTCTCAGGCATTGAAGCAGAATGGGGAAATCCAGGAAGAGTGACCGTGTTTCTGGCCCTAAAGAATTCCTTGCAGTTCCTTCAGACTCCCCCAACTCCCACCCCAGCACTCAACAGCAGTAAATCTGCTTTTGCTTCTCCATGAAGCCCTCCTTGATTTCCCAAGGCAGTGTAAGGCATAACCTCATTCTCACACCCGTATCCCCCACACTATTCATCCTTCTACTAAGAATTAATGTTTTATGACATGGTATTTATTTGTCTGGATTATTAACCTGGCTATGGACTTGTGGGCAGGAATTTTGCTTAGGTTATCTTTTAATTTCTAGTGCCTAGCCCAGATACCCTGTTGATACCTAGTAAGCATTTGAGAAATGGAGGAGGAATAAAGGAACAGTTTGACAACACTATTATAATTCTTAGATAGAAAGACACATTCAATGGGACTTTAGACAGTCATTCATTCATTCAACCACCCAATCTACAAATATTAGTATTTACTACATACCAATATGACATGATCCCAATCCTTGAGGGTTGAATTCCCACTAGGGGGACTCAGACTAGTCAGTAGGCTGGTAAAATGAAATGAGCTACAAAGAGGTAGACGGTGGTGATGGTTGCACAACATTGTGAATGTAATAAATGACACCAAATTGTATATTTAATAATGGTTAAAATGGCAAGTTTCATGTTATACATATTATACCAACATAAAAAACTTCAAAAAAGAGTGCGTATTGTATGTTATATTTATATGAAGCCCAATGATAGGCAAACTAACCTAGTGCTGGAAATTAGAAAGTTTATGCTTTGGATTATGGAACTTTTATTGTAGAGAGGTAGGGAGAAAGTTACTTGGCGGGAGAAACTTTCTTGGCAGAAGAAATGCTTATGTGTTGTTTGGGTTGGTGATTACCTGAGTATAAGCAATTGAAAAAACTCATCAAGCTGAATATTTTAGATTCATGTTTTCAATGGTATATTAGTTATTTTTCAATAAAAAGCAAAGTGGGAAAAAAAGAAGTAGAAGAGGAATTTATGTGAGTAACAGGAGGAACACCAAAACTCACTAGAAGATGAGATGGGGGGGTCAGAGAAGGCTTCTTTTCTTTTCTTTCTTTTTTTTTTTTTGTTTGAGATGGAGCTTTGCTCTTGTTTCCCAGGCTGGAGTACAATGGTGAGATCTTGGCTCACTGCCTTCACCTCCTGGGTTCAACAGATTCTCCTGCCTCAGCCTCCCAAGTAACTGGGATTATAGGCATGTGCCACCATGCCTTGCTAACTTTGTATTTTTAGTAGAGATGGGTTTTCACCATGTTGGCCAGGCTGGTCTCAAACACCTGACCTCAGGTGATCTGCCGACCTTGGCCTCCTAAAGTGCTGGGATTACAGGCATGAGCCACTGTGCCTGGCCAGGGAAGGCTTCTTAAAAGACAGACAACTAAATATGTGGAACATCAAGGAGAAGTCTACACATTTGAAAGAAGGGAAAAGAGAATCAGAGGAGGGAAATGACATGTCCAAGGACACACTGCTGGTTGATGGCAAAGTTGGAAATAAGACCCAGTTTTTTGATTCCTCCTTGTATTAGTCCATTCTCACTCTGCTATAAAGAACTACCTGAGACTGGGTAATTTATGAAACAAAGAGGTTTAATTGAGTCATAGTTCCACAGGCTGTATAGGAAGAATGGCTGGGAGGCCTCAGGAAACTTAAAATCATGGTAGAAGGCAAAGGGGAAACAAGCATGTCTTACTATGGCAGAGCAGGAGAGTGAAAGAGAAAAGAGGGAAGTGCCACACACTTCATCAAGAGAACAGCAAAGGGGGAAATCCGCCCCCACCAGGCCTCTCCCCGGACATATGGGGATTAAAATTCAACAGGAGATTTGGGAGGGGACACAGAGCCAAAACCATATCACTACTCCAGGGCTCATTCCCTAAAGCTGTTGTGCTGGTTATTTATCTAATATCTTTCAATCCCAAGCTCACTTCTCCAATGCTGCATTTCCCAGGCATTTGAACCTCCTGTTAGACACTGTCAATGGGAGGCAGTGGTGGAAAATTGGAAGGCAGGAGGCAGGAAGGAAGTGCAACATACAGCTCTGGTTTTGTTGTTTTCTGGTGTTCCAAGTGTCAATCACCCATTAAAGGTATGGACACCAGCCACACAGTGTCCCCTCAGAGGTTTAAGTACTAGCCACTTAGGGATCCCACCTAGAGATCCCTGTGCCAAGCCTCCAAACTCAGAAACACAATTTCAGGCCACATAACCCCCTTCAGAGGTCTGAACACCACCTATAGGTACCACACTTTAGAGGTCTGAGCACCAACCACTAACCTGAGCTGAAATGAAAATCAAACTCATGATCTTTTCCCTAAACCATGTCTTCTTTCAGTGCCTCCAAGCTCAGTGAATAGCACCAGGTTATCCAAGGACTTATCTGACACCTCTCTCTCCTTCACTCCCTCCGTCCAAAACCAAGACCAAGTACTGGCAATTCTGCAACCTAGAAAACCCTTAGATATGTCTACTTTATCTCTATGCTATCACCCTACCATCATCCATTGCCTGGACTTTTGTTTTGAGAGAGGGTCTTGCTCTGGTTGCCCAGGTTGGAGTGCAGTGGCCTGATCTCAGCTCACTGCAACCCCTGCCTCCCGGGCTCAAGCTATCCTCCCATCTCAGCCTCCCGGATAGCTGGGACTGCAGGCATGTGCCGCCATACCCAGCTAATTTTTATATTTTTAAAATTTAATATATAGATATATTTTTTAGAGATAGAGTTTTGCCTCAGCCTCCTGAGTAGCTGGAACTACAGGCATGTGCCACCACGCCCAGCTAACTTTTGATTTTTGTTTTTGTAAAGACGGGGTTTTGCCATGTTGCCCAGGCTGTTCTCAAACTCTTGAACTCGAGCAATCTGCCTGCGTCAGCCTCCCAAAGTGTTTGGCTTACAGGCGTGAGCTACCGCATCTGGCTGCTTGCCTGGACTTCTATAATAAACTTCTATAATTACTGATCTGGCCTATCTTTGTTGACCACCTGTTCTCCTTTGATTTAATGCAGTTTTCAGACACCTAATAGGGATTCAGGAGACTTGATGTCTAGTCACATCTCTGTTGGTATCCAAGAGTACAGTCTCAGGCAAGTCAGTTATTCTCCCTAGCTTCTAGTTTTCCTGTCGTAAAATATCAGGATTACTCTGTCTCTCTCTGTGCATGCATACAGATGCCTGTTGACTTAGGATGGGGTAATGTTCTGATAAACCCATGGTAAATTGAAAACATTCTGCATCAAAAATGCATTTAAAATACCTAACCTAGTGAACATCATAGCTTAGCCTGGCCTACCTTAAATGTGCTAAGAACACACTTACATTAGCCTACAGTTGGGCAAAATCATCTGGCAATGCAGATCACTGTAGAGTATCAGTGATTTACCCTTCTGATTGCGTGGCTGACTGGGAGTTGTGGCTTGCTGCTGCTGCCCAGCATTGCAAGAGGGTATCATACTATATATTGCTAGCCTGGGAAAAGATCAAAATCCAAAATCCAAAGTATGATTTGTATTGAATGCATATCACTTTCACAGTATCATAAAGTCAGAAAATTGTAAGTTGAACCACTGTGTCAGGAAACATCTCTCTCTCTCTCTCTCTGTGTGTGTGTGTCTGTGTGTGTGTGTGTGTGTGTGTATTTCTGAGCATTGTAATGATCAAGGAACATCGCACAGAAGATGTAGCACTGGTTCTAGACACTGAAGGCTGAGGATCATGATTTCAAGTGAAAACCATGGCCCAAAGAATAGGCAATGTGCCCTTGTGTGTTTAGTAACAGCACAGACGTGACAAGTAGTGACAACCATATAATAAAGTTGATTTCCCGGGATTTGTGATGAGATGGGCTAGAACAATGCTCCTTCTCTAGTCTTCCTCATCTTATTCAATGGCATACCAACCATGACTTGCTCAAGCCAAAATCTAGGCATTATCTTTGATCTCTCTGTTTTTCTTCACCAACCCACATTCAACCCATCAGCAAGTCTTGTTGACAACATGCCCAAACCAAGTCAAATCACCTCCCACATCCCTCCTGTGCTACCACTTAGGTCCATATCACCACTGCAGTTGACTCTTAAATGCTTTTTCTTCTTCCAAACTTTTCTAATGAAAACATAAAACAGCCAGACTAGCCTTTTTATATTTTATCTTATTTTTATTTATTTATTTATTTTTGAGGCAGAGTCTTGCTCCGTCGCCCAGGCTGGAGTGGAATGGCATGGTCTCGGCTCACTGCAACCTCCGCCTCCTCGGTTCAAGCAATTCTCCTGCCTCAGCCTCCTGAGTAGCTGGGACTACAGGCGCCTGCCACCATACCTGGCTAATTTTTGTATTTTTAGTAGAGACAGGGGTTTCACCATGTTGGCCAGACTGGTCTTGAACTCCTGACCTCATGATCCACCTGCCTCGCCCTCCCAAAGTGCTGGGATTACAGGCGTGAGCCACCACGCCTGGCCTAGACTAGCTTTTTTAAAAGGCCAATCAGATCATTTGGCTTACTTGCTTAAAATTCCCCTTTGGCTTTCTCCTGCAGTTGGAATAACATTAAAATTTCCTACCATGACCTAAAAGGCCCAGAATGATTTGACTTGTATTGTGAGTGCTGTGTCTCATTGCCCAGATTCCCCTTTGGACAGAAGGACTTATTTTTCCCACTTTTGGGAGTGCTGCTTCCAGACAGCCCTCACCTCTCAGCCCTGGCGGTCAGAGAGCAGCCCACATCCAGGGAATGTTCAGTTTGGGAACACAAAGGCCTTTCTCCCTTGTCCCAGCTTGGAACAACCCTGAAGGGCCATCCCAGTTCACAGCTCCCCGCAGGGTTGACTGAGGCTGTCGTGACCATACCATAGCTCAGCTTTCCCCTCTGCCCAATCTTACCACCTCCCTTACTCCTGTAGTTGGTGATCTCAAGTGCTAGGGGACTCAGCCAACAGCAACCTCTATCTAAGTCTATCCTATGTCCTCCTCCAACCCAGTAGCCTCACACTTCGTTCAGTTCCTCTACTGCACTGTGCTCCTTCTTGTCTCAGGGCCATGGCTCTTGCTGTGTCTTCTCACTGTCTGGAAACCTCTTTCTAATCTTCACCTGGTCAGTTCCTACTCATCCTTCAGAGTTCAGTTCAAAAAGACTTCCCCAGGGAATTCATCCCTGACCTGTCAGACTAGGTCAGGGGCCTTGTTACAAACTCTCACCCCATACTTTTTCCTGGCCCTTACTTCTGGTGACTAATAAATGATGTAAGTGGGCGTTTCAGATCTGCCTTTCCTGCTGGACTATCAGTGTCAGTAGAGTAGTGATTTTGTCAGCTTTTTTTCCCACCCTGTCTGCTTAACATTAAGCAGACTGCCTTATATATATAATAGATGTTTAATAAGTATATTTGTCGAATGAATCAATGAATGATTTAATTCCCTTGTCTTGACCCTTAGTGATAGGCAGTAAAAGGCAATTATAAGTGTCTCTGAATAATTGTGGCTGACAACTTCTTTCTCTGCTTGTGAGACTACAAAACAGAACACAACAGAAGAAACTAGCAGCACCTTAAAAAGGAAAGGTGTCTGGACCATCTCCAGCTAGAAACGTGAGTTTTGGTTAGAGCCTCAGTCAGCTGAGGCTTACTGATAAATATTTCAGCCAGTGAGATAATGAAAGGATAACGATCTCAGGAGAGACTAGCAAAACTCCTCTGTGTCCAACATGGAGTTAAGTGTTTTTCCAAGCATTCAAAATGTGGCAATTAAATTAGACTCAATTCAAGTCAAGAAGTATCTGCCTTTTCTTTTAATACTCCTAAGGCTTCATTTTTTTACATGGAAATTTTCAACCTTTGTGGAGTGCTATCTGGTATACAGTGTAACAGCTAATCTTTTTTTTTTCTTTTTAACCATATGAAGGCCTTGCTAACTATGACTCAAAATCTAGAAGTTATAAAATAAAAGATAAATAAATTAGAGTACATAAAAATTAAAACAATTTTGCATGACAAAAACCTCACAAGTAGAGACAAAATCAAGTGATGCCTGGAAAAACATAATTGCAATTCATATTACAAAGTGTTTATTTCTCCGATATTTAAGGAATGCTTTAAAAATGATAAGAAAAAGACCAACAACTTGATAGAAAAATGGGCAAGAGAGTGGTATAGACAATTCGCAAAGAAGGCGAAACTAATGGCATCCAAACATATTATAAGATCACCAACCTTACCCTTTATAAGAGAAGCTACATTGAGATGCCATTTTCTTCTTATATTGGCAAAAATACAAGTGTTTGATTACTCATTCATTAGTTAGGCTATTGGGAAACAGGCACTATCATTTACTGCTTGTGGATATATAAATTGTAAAATTCCTAAGGAGGACAATTTGACAATTTCAATTACCAATGCAAATACTCTTTATCCCCCATTTAAGAATTTATCCTACAGTTGTACTGGTACATGTATAAGGGACCTATGTAAAAAGCTACTCATTATAGCATTGTTTGTAACAGCAAAAGATTGGAAATAACCTATAGTGTGTTAATCAATGGCAAACTGTGATTTTTTTTTGTATTTTCTTTTTCTTTTTCTTTTCTTTTTTTTTTTTTTTTGAGACATGGTCTTGCTCTATTACCTAGGATGTGGTGCCTTGGCACGACCTTGGTTCACTGCAACCTCTGCCTCCCGGGCTCAAGAGATCCTCCCATGTCAGCCTCCCAAGTAGCTGGGACTATAGGTGCATGCCACCGTGTCCAGCTAATTTTTGTATTCTTTGTAGAGATGGGATTTTTGCCATGTTGCCCAGGCTGGTCTCGAATTCCTGAACTCAAATGATCTGCCCACCTCAGTCTCCCAACTAGCTGGGACTATATGTACATGTCACCATGCCTAGATAATTTTTAAATTTTTTTTTGTAGAGATGGGTATTGTTTTGTTGCCCAGGCTGGTCTTGAACTCCCGGCCTCAAGCAATCCTTCTGCCTTGGCCTCCCAAAGTGCCAGGATTACAGGCATGAGCCACTGTGCCCAGCCTAAAGCTTTCTGATTGATTTCTAAGTAGTTATTAGCAAGGAAGTTAAATATATACTGTTAGTTGGAAAAAAACCCACAAAGTGCACAGCAATGTTATGGAAGCTACCTTTTATGTAGCAAAGAGAAATAAGAATGTATATATTTTCACAGAGAGATATGGGGAGTTACAATTGTCTCTTGGGGTGGGGTGGGGCGGGAACCAGGTAGAAGAGAGACTGGGAGGATACTCTTCACTGAATACCTTTTGTAATTTTGTATTTTTGAACATTGTGAAAATTATCATTGAATACTTAAAAAAATTGTGTATTACCTAGTCACAAATTAAATAAGAATTCAGAGTAGTACCTGTGGAGTTTGACCTGGGTACCGCACATTCTTCCAGTGCTCTCTCTTTGTGGAGCTAGCAAAGATCACTCTTATCTCAAGGAGCATGCAATCTACCGTGGATATCATATTGAAACATACGAAGAGGAGGCGAGTCCTAGGAAGATAATGACTATATCAAAAGTGAGGTGAAGAAACAAAGTGCTGAACAAGAGGATTAGGGACACAGGGAGAGGGCTAGAGCTTAAGGGATGAAGTTCATAGAAGAGATATTATACAGAGAACTAGGCCAAGACTGAGTCAATTTTGGAAGGAAGGTCAAGCCACTCTTTTTCAGGGGTCACATTAAAATTCTCTCAACAACCATATGAGATAGGTTTTATTTTCATCTCCACTTAGACTTGGATTGTGGATTTTTGGAAGGAAGACCACAGAGGTGAATTGTTATTCTCATTATATCACATCAAAGGTACATGCTAGCAACATTTGACTTCATGCTATCACCACTGTTGGTGTTCACCTTGATGACCTACCTAAAGAGGAGTTTATCAGTTTTTTCCATTGTAAAGTTCCTCTTTTTTTCCCTGCCTTCTATACTATACTGAGGAAGAAAAGAAGGAAGGAAGGGAGGAAAGAAGGGAGTCACTATGCACATCTGACATTTAAGGGGTAGGAGCTAAGCTCCTCTTTCTTAAGGGATGAGTATCTAAGTTATTTTTAATTCTTCCGCACAGGATATTTGCCTATTCTCCCCCATTTATTTATTTATTCCAATATTTATTTATACCAATAGGGATTAATGGATATTTTATTTTATACTTTGGGTTATAATTCAGTAGTACTTTATTTTCTTGGTCAAATTGTTCTGACTTTGGCCATTGGGAGCTCTTTCAGTTGCTTCCTATGCTCCTTTGACATACCCCTTCAATGGTGTTTGCTTTTTAGCACTTCCTTACTTTCTCATACTACAAGATGCTCCAGGCTTATCTTGTATATTCCCTCCCCCCATTTCTAGAACTACCTATTTCTCCAAGAAGTTATGATTCCTTTTAATGGGGAGTAGTATAAAGATAAATTCTGGAGACTGTATCTGTTCATTGCTGCTGGGGTATCATTGCTCCTAGACTCTCCCAGCTGACAGAGCAAGGAAATATATGTATGCATACTAACCCAAGTATATATACAAATCTATAAATACTTCTATGTGTAACCATCTATCTATGGTAAGCTAAACATCAGTTTATACTGAGGTCTCCAACTCTAATCTAGTACTACATGGATTTCTCTAGCTACTTCTTCCCCTTGCTTGTCTATAACCTCCCACTGTAATAGTGAGAAAGCTGGCTCCCACCATCCACCACCCATTTACTTAATTGTTAATTCCAGTAGACATGTGTAGTAGTTTCAGATGTGTTAACCTGTGCCCTCATGGGAAACAACTTTAACAACTATAGTATGGCACCTATAACAACTACAAGCTCTCTTTGCCTTTAGTCTTATATATTCCACTCATTTCCAAAGTTACATAGGTCAGCATGTTTCCCCCCACCCCTCCAGTGAGGTTATTTCATGCATTTATGATAGAGCTAGATTCTTTTATCACAGCCTGGATTCCACCCTGGGATCACCCCATCTTCCTAATTTTTTTTTAAATTTGCATATACTAAGATTCACTTTTTGGGCTGTAAAGTTCTATGGATTTTGACAAATATATACTGTCATGTACTTACAATTACTGTATCATACAAACATTTTAACCTCCCTAAATAATCCCTTGTGTTTCACCTATTGAAACCTCTTCCCTCCCCAAACCCCTAACCACCACTAATCTGTTTACTGGCTACATAGTTTTGCATTTTTCAGAATGTCATATAATTTTTGTTGTTGTTGTTTTTGTTTTTTAGAGACAAGATCTTGCTCTGTTGCCCAGGCTGGAGTACAGTGGCATGATCCTAGCTTGCTAAAGCCTCCAGCTTTTGGCCTGAAGCAATCCTCCCTCCTTAGCCTCCCAAAGTACTGGGATTACAGGTGTGAGCCACTGCACCCAGCCCCAGAATGTCATATAAATCTGCATGTAATATTTTCATATTTTCAGACTGACTTCTTTCACTTAGCAATACACAAGATCCATCAATGTTTTTGCATGGCTTGGTAGCTTATTCCTTTTTTTTTTCATAGAATAGAGTTATATTGTGTGGATGTACTGAAGTTTAACCATGTAATTTCTTTCTTTCTTCCTTTCCCTTTCTTTCTTTCTTTCTTTCTTTCTTTCTTTCTTTCTTTCTTTCTTTCTTTCTTTCTTTCTTTCTTTCTTTCTTTCCTTCCCTTCCTTCCTTCCTTTCCCTTCCTTCCTTCCTTTCCCTCCCTCCCTCCCTCCCTCCCTCCCTCCCTCCCTCCCTTCCTTCCTTCCTTCCTTCCTTCCTTCTTTCTTTCTTTCTTTCTTTCTTTCTTTCTTTCTTTCTTTCTTTCTTTCTTTCTTTCTTTCTTTCCTTCCTTCCTTCCTTCCTTCTTTCTTTTTCTTTTTTTTTGTTTTTCAGATGGAGTCTTGCCCAGGCTGGAGTGCAATGGCGCCATCTCAGTTCACTGCAATCTCTGCCTCTGGGTTCAAGCGATTCTCCTGCCTCAGCCTCCCAAGTGGCTGGGATTACAGGTGCCTGCCACCATGCCTGGCTAATTTTTTGTATTTTTAGTAGAGAGGGAATTTCACTATGTTGTCCAGGCTGGTCTCAAACTGCTGACCTCGTGACACGCCCACTTTGGCATCCCAAAGTCCTGGGATTACAGGTGTGAGCCATGGTGCCTAGCTGTAATTTCTTTTAAAAATATATTCAACTTGTATCCTGCAAATGTGTAAAATTCACTTATTAGTTATAGTAGTTGCATTATAGAGTCCTTGAAGTTTTCTATGTAAGTAACTATGCCATTTGTAAACAAGAATAGTTTCATCTATCTTTTCCAATCTTTATGTCTTTATTTATTTATTTAGGCTCCCATGTTGCATTGGCTAGAATATCCAGTATGATGTTGAATAGAAGAGGTGATAGAGGACACCATTGCTTTGTTGCTGAACTTTGGGGAAAGTGTAAAGCTAGTTGCAGGTTTTGTAGGTCCTGTTTCCCAATTGAAGAAGTTCCTTCTTTTCCTTACTCACTGTGAATTTTCATTATGAGTGGTTCTGACTCTTGAAAATGCCTTTTCTGCATCTATTTAGTTAATCATATGATTTTTTATTTTTATTAACATGATGAATTGCATTATTGATTTACAAATGTTAAACCAACCTTAAATTTCTGGGATAAACCACACTTAAACATGATGTACAATGTATATATCTTACTAGATGCAACTTGCTAATTTTTTTCTTTTTAAAAATTCACGTTTATGAAGGTACATTACATATAGTAAGGTCTACTTTTTCTAAGGTAAATTTTTAGACAAACGACAAACATATATCATTGTGTGATCATCATTATAATTAAGATACAGAGTAAATCATCCACCCAAAAAAGTCCTCTCAATTTCCTCCACCCAAACCCAGCCCTGGTAATAATTAATTTGATTTCTGTTTCTATAGCTTTTCCTGACTCAATATGTTTTACAAATGAAATAATGTCTTCTTTACACTAGCCTAATACCTTTAGGATTCATCCATGTTTTTGCGTGTATCAGGGGTTTGTTTCTAATTATTTTTGAATACTATTCCATTATATGGATATACCACAGTTTGCTTATTCATTCACCAGTTGGTAGACATTTGGGTTGTTTCTGTTGTGAAGACATGAATAATGTTGTATCTTAGTCTGTTAAATGTTGCTCCAAAAGAATATCTGAGACTGGGTAATTTATAAAGAAAAGAGATTTATTTAGCTCATGTTTCTGAAGGCTAAGATGTTCAAGGGCATGACCCTGGCTTCCGCTGAAGGGTTTTTGTGCTGTGTCACAACATAGCGCAGAAGGTCAAAGGAGAAGTGGACACATATGAAAAGAGAAAAATCTGAGGAGTGACCTGGTTTTATAACAACCCATTGTCATGAGAACAAATCCATTCCTGCTAACAGCACCAGTCCATTCATGAGGGATCTGCTTCCATAATTCAAACACCTCTCATCAGGCCCCACCTCCCAACACCACCATATTAGGGATCAAATTTCAATATGAGCTTTGATGGGGACAAACAAACCATATCTAAGCCATCACATTCTGTCCCTGTCCCCCAAAACTCATGTCCTTCTCACATGCAATGTATAATCATTCTATCCCAATAGTCCCAAAAGTCTTAACTGTCCCAGCATCAACTTAAAAGTCCAAAGTTCAAGGTCCAAAGTCTCATGTGATATTTAAGGCACACCCCTTCCACCTATGAGCCTGTAAAATCAAAACAAGTTACTTACTTCCAAGATACAATGGTGGTACAGGCATAACAGACATTCCCACTCAAAGAGAGATGATTAGGAAAAAAGAAGGGAGTAACAGGCCCCAAACAAATCCAGAACCCAGCAGGGAAGACGTTACATCTTAAAGCTTGAGAATAATCTCTTTTGATTCCATGTGCCACCTCCTGGACACACTGGGGTGGGAGTTGGGTCCCCAAGGCCTTTGGCAGCTCTGCCCCAATGGCTTTGCTGACCTCATTTCACCCAGCTCTCCCAGGCTGGCATTATACACTGGTAGCTCTGCAATTCTGGGGTCTCAGTGGTGGTACCATTTCCACAGCTCCACTAGACATTATCCTAGTTGGGATTCTCTGCAGTGGCCTTGTTCCTATGACTCCGGTAGGCAATGTCCTTGTGGGGACACCCTGTGGCAGTTCCAACTCCACATTTCCACTCAGTACTACTTTAGTGGGGCCTCTCTGCCGTGACTATACCCCTGCTACAAGTCTCTACCTGGGACCCCAGGCTTTCTTTTCTTTCTTTCTTTTTTTTTTTTTTTTTTTGAGACAGAGTCTCACTCTGCTGCCCAGGATGGAGTGCAGTGGTGTGATCTCAGCTCACTAAAACATCTGCCTCCCGGGTTCAGGCAATTCTCCTGCCTTAGCCTCCTGAGTAGCTGGAATTACAGGTGTGCGCCACCACACCCAGATAATTTTTGTATTTTTAGTAGAGATGGGGTTTCATCATATTGGCCAGGCTGATCATGAACTCCTGACCTCAGGTGATCCACCTGCCTCGGCCTCCCAGAGTGCTGGGATTATCAGGGTGAGCCACTGTGTCTGGCCAGGACCCCAGGCTTTCAATGATGTTCTTTGTAATCTAGGTGGAGGCTGTCAAGCCTCCATAGCTCTTTCTTTCTGCAAGCCTGCAGAATTAGCATCATGTGGAGGCTACCAAGGTTTATTATGACTTGTACCTTCCACAGCTAGAGCATGAGCTGCACCTGGGGCCACTTGACCTGGGGTGCCCTGAGCCTGTTCCCAGAAACCATTCTGTTCCCCTAGGCCTCTGAGCCTGTGATGGGAGTGGCAGCCTGTAAGACTTCAGAAATGGCTTTGAGGCCTTTCCCCCATTGTCCTGACTATTAATGCCTAGTTCCCTTTTAGCCAGGAAAATTTCTTTAGTAAGGGGTGGCTTGGCTGTACCCTTGGAGTTCTCTCCTGAAAACACTCTGTCATTCTTTACCACATGGCCAGGCTGTGAATTTTCTTATTTTTTCTGCTCTGTTTCCCTTCTCTCTATCAGTACACTATAAGCACTTAGAAGGAAACATGTAGCAGCCTGAACACTTTGCTGCCCAAAAATTTCTTTTGCCAGATACTCTAGCTCATCACTCTCAAGTTCAGCCTTCCACAAAGCCCTTGGGCATGGACACAGTTCAGCCAAGTTCTTTGCTAATTTATAACAAGGATGGCCTTCACTCCAGTTTCCAAACTTTCTTACTCAGTTCCATCTGAAACCTCATCGGAATGGCCTTTATTGTCCATATTTCTATCAGTGTTCTGGTCTTGACCACTTAACTAATCTCTAAGGAGTTCTAAACATTCCCTAGTCTTCTTGTCTTCTAAGCCCTCACCAGAATCTGGGCTTTTTCTACCCTGCTCCTCCAAATTCTTTTAGCTTCTTCCCATTATCCGGTTCTAAAGTTGCTGCTACATTTTCAGATATTTGTTATCAGCAACACCTTCCTTCTCAGTACCAATACTTTGTTTTAGTCCATCTTATGTTGCTATAAAAGAATATCTGAGACTGGACAATTTATATAAAACAGAGGCTTATTTATTCACGTTTCTGTAGGTTGAGAAGTTCAAAGGTATGTCCCTGGCTTCTGGTGACGGCTTTCCTGCTGCACCACAACATGGCGCAGGTCAAAGGGGAGTGAACGTGTGTGAAAGGAAGAAAGCCTGAGAGGCTGTCCTGGTTTATAACAACCCACTCTCATGGGAACTAATCCATTTCTGCAAGAACTGCTCCAGTCCTGGAGAGTGAGAACTCACTAACTACTGGGATAACAGCACCAAGCCATTCATGAGAGATTTGCCTCCATAACCCAAATACCTCCCACTAGATTCCACCTCCCAACACCATCACATTGGGGATGAAATTTCAACATGAATTTCGATGAGAACAAACAAACCATACCCAAAGTACAGCATGTTGCTATAAATATTTGCATACAAGCTTTTTTATGTCCATATGTTTTAATTTCTTTTGACAACATACTTAGAAGTGGTATTGTTGGGTGATATATTGTGTTTAACTTTATAAGAAACTATAAAAAATTAGAAACTTTTCCAAAATGGATATACCAATTTGCATCCCCATCAGCAATGTAAGAGGGTTCCAGTTGAACCACATCCTCGGCAATATTTGGGATTGTCAGTTTAAAAAATTTTATTTTTCTAGCAGATAATTGTATCTCATTCTAGTTTTTATTTGCATTTTCCTAACAATTGATGATGTTGACTATCTTTTTATGTGATTATTTATCATCTAATTTGCTAATATTTTATTTCAAATTTTTATATCTGTGTTTATCAAATATATTGGTGTATAGTTTCCTTTTCTTATAATTTCTTTTCCAGCTTTTGGTATAAGGTTTATTCCTTGTAAAATGAGTTGGGGTAAATTCTATCCTTTGTTTTCTGAGTTTGTTTAGTGTTTGAATTGCTTCTTTATTATTTTATAGAATTTTCCAATGAAATCATCTGGTCTTGGAGTTTTCTTTTTCTTATAAAATTTGTATAAATTTAAAGGATACAAGTGCAGTTTTGTTCCACAGATATATTGTGTAGTAGTGAAGTTTGGCCTTTTAGTGTACCCATTACCTGAATAGTGTATGTTGTACTCATTAAGTAATTTCTCATCTACCACCCTCTTCCCACCCTGCTGCCCTTCTGAACCTCCAATATTGATCATTCCACAGTCTATATCCATGTGTACAGATTATTTAGCTTTTACTTACAGCTGAGAACTTTTGGTATTTGACTTTATTTCTGAGTTGTTTCACTGAAGATAGTGGACTCCAGTTCCATCCATGTTGCTGCGAAGGACATGGTTTCATTCTTTTCTATGGCTAAATAGTATTCCATTGTGTATATATACCACATTTTCTTTATTCAGTCATCTGTCAATGTACATTTAGATTGATTCCATATCTTTGCTATTGTGAATAATGCTGCAATAAATGTATTAGTGGAGTTTCTTATAAAGAAGTTTTGAAAATGAATTTAATTTGTTTAACTAAATTCTGATAGGATATATTCTGAGTATATCTGAGTCTGATAAGATATAGTCATAACAGGGAGTATTCAGATTTTCAATTTTTTCCTGTGTCAGTTATTGTAAGTTGTATTTTTTAAGGAGTTTGTCCAATTAAGATACATCAAATTTTATTGGCATAAAGTTGTTAATTACAGTCCCTTATTATCATTTTCATGTCTGTAGGAGCTATAATTACATGTCATCTTTCATTCTTGACATTGGGAATTTGTGTTCTCGTTCATTCATCCTTAGTCTTGCTGGACGTTTATTAACTTTATTAATGTTTTCAAAAAATAGGTTTTGTTTTGTTAAAATTTTCTATTGTTGTTCATTTCATTAAATTTTGCTCTTATATTTATTTCATTCTATTTTCTTTTGTATTGATATACTATTCTCTTTCAAGCATCATAAGGTAAAAATACAAAATTATTGATTTTTTGCCCATATTTCCTTTTCTTATATAAGCATTTAAATGGATAAATTCCCTTCTAAGTGCTGCTTTAGCTGCATCCCACAAATTTTGATATGCTGTATTTCCTTTATCATTCATTTTGAAATATTTTCTAATTCCCCTGTAATTTCTTCTTTGATCCATGTGTTATGTCTTATTGCTATTGATTTATAATTTAAATTCATTATGGTTGGAGAATATATTCTGATGACTTTAATCTTTTAAAATTTATTGAGATTTATTTTGGTGCTCAGAATATGGTGATTTTGGTGAATGCTCCATGTGCACTTGAAAATAATGTATTTCTGCAGTGGTTTCATCTGGTCTATAAATATCATTTAGGTCAAGGTGATTGATAGTGTTTGGATATTCCATATAATTACTTGTTCTATCAATTACTGTCTGCTTGTTCTATCAATTACTGAGAAAGGAAGGTTAAGATCTCCAAGTATAATTGTGACTTCGTCTAATTCTTCCTTTAATTCTGTCAGCTTTTGCTTAATATATTTTGAGCTTCTGTTTTTATGTTAGTACACATTTATAATTGCCATGTCCTCTTGGTAAAATGATGCTTTTTTCATGATAAAATGTCTGTCCTTATATCTGATCTTACTCCTTGTTAAATCATTTTTGTTTAATATTAATTTAGCCACATTAGTTTTTTTATGTTTACAGTTTGCTGGAAACTGTATTTTTTGTCCTTTTGTTTTCAACATAATATTATATTTCAAGTGTGTGTCTTATAGACAACCAATAGTTAGGTCTCGCTTTTGTATGCAGTCCGAAGGTTTCTGCCTCTTACTAGAAGGCTTAGCCTATTTATATTTAGTGTAATTATTGATAAGGTTGGGTTTAGGTCTATTATCTTGCTATTTGTTTGCCGTTTGTCTATCTTTCTTCATTCACTTATTTGTCCTTTCCTACTTTCTGTTGGGCTAATCAAATATTTTTAAATATTTCATTCAGTTCCTCTATTGCGTTTTAAGTCTTTTCTCCAGGGATTAAAATATGCATTATTTATTAATGGCATTCTATTTAGAATTGATATTGTACCACTTCATATAAAATACCTAGAAAAGTAGTCCATTACCTCTGTGTCTTTTGTGCTACTCTTGTCATATAACTTCCTTTAGGCACATAGTAGAAACATGGTAAATATTCCCTGAATGCATGGATGATGGGTCAAGTAAAGGGAAGTGCCACATTAGAACTCTGATCACAGTTAATCCTGCTGTGTTCCCCAAGTCAAGGGTTAGTGGGATTTCTATGGCTTTGTTGAGATCATCATTTTCAATTAAATGCTTACTGAACATCTAGGAGCTGTAGTTTCGGCAGAGTAGAAAGAATGGTGAACTTAAGAGTCAGGATTCCGTTGCAAGTTAGAGAAATGCAAGTCAAACTGGGTTAAGCTAAAAACAAAGGAAATGGGCAGGTTTTATAAATGAGAAGTTTAGGGATACTGTATTCAGGGACCAGAACAATGTTAGTAAGCCTCTCTACATCTTTCTCTTCCCTTCCACCTCTATTTGTTACTGCTTGTCTTTGTGGGTTGACTTCATTTTCTCTGTTGGAGGTAGACTCTCCCTACATGGCAGGAAAGACAATTTTCTAGAAGCTCCAGGCCTATATTATTTCAGCTCAGCAAAATAACAAGATTCTGATTGGCTCAGCTTGGGTCACGTGATCTTCCCTGAGCTAATCATCATATACCAGGCAATGTACTACATTTGACAAAAACTGAGTCATGGGCTCTGGCGATTGGTTAGGGAATAACTGACATCCCCAACAGGGTCTCATGGAATGAAGGAGGAGTTTTTCAAAGAAGTCTGAAGAAAGTAAATGCACAGTATCCTGGGAAGAGAACAACTGGCTGCTCCAGGCTACTCTAATCTCTTTGAAAGTCCTGGCTCCACGATCTTCCATATGATTTTAGCCAAATAACTTCCCTTCTCTAGTTGTATTTTCTCATCTGCATGTCGATCTCTGAGATTTCTTCTATCTCTAACACTGGAAGCAATATAAATGTCCCTCAACAATGGGATGGGTAAATTAAGAAATATTTATATAGTGCATATATGACATGGTAATGAAATTGAATTAACTCAAGTCACATAATTTAACATGGGTAAATCTAAAAAAATGTTGACCAAAACCACAACTTGAAAAGGGCTATGTACAGTATTATATCACTTAAATAAAATTTTAGAACACAAAATAGAAATATAAAGGCATGACTAACACAAAATTTGGGATTGTCACCACTGCTATAAAGGGAGGGATGGGAATGGGATATGGAAAGGGTACACAGAGGGCTTCAACTCTATCTGTAATATTTTGCTTCTTAAAAGTATGAAAAAGTAAGGCTTTATGTTATGATGTGATAAAGTTGAGTGTTTCAGAAGCATAGGTACTTGATGCTTTATATGGTAAATTTTTCTGTATGTTTAAAATATTTCAAAATAACAATAGCTATCATTATAGTACTATTTAGCATGTTAGGTACTATTAGGCCTCATCTAATAACTTTACATGAGTTTCTTCATTTATTTTCTATTAATTTTCTAGTGGAGGGCTCAGCTCCTTGTATGTGGGCCTCTTCATAGGGCTGAGTGTCCTCAAACATGGCAGCCTGCTGAATGAGTGACCCAAGAGAAAGAGGGAGGAGGAAGTCACACTCTGTTGCTTCTGTTACATTCTAGTCATCCACGAGTCAGTCAGTACAGCCCACATGCAAGGAGAGGAGAATGAAGGGTCCATCTTTGAAGGAAAGAATATAAAATAATATATGGACATATTTTTTCAGTCATCACACTGTGCATTGTATTTTACTTTATTTAACTCTTTAAGACTTTATCTTTTTAGAGAAGTGTTAAGTTCACAGCAAAATTGAGGGAAAGTTACAGAAATTTCCCATATACCTCCTATCCTGCACATGCATAGCCCCCCCACTTGGCCTCATTATTGACATCTCCCACAAGAGTGGTACATTTGTTACAATTGAAAAAACTACATTAACACATCATTGTCACCCAAAGTCCATAGTTTACATTAGGGTTCACTCTTGGCAGTAAACATTTTTATGGGCTTGGGAAAATGTATAATGATATGTATCCACCATTATATTTTCATAAAGAGTAGATTCACTGTCCTAAAAATCCTTCATGCTTCACCTATTCATCCCTTCCCACCCCAACCCCTGCCAACCACTAATCTTTTTACTGTCTCCATAGATTTGTGTTTTCCAGAATTTCATATCATTAGAATAATATACAGCCCTTTCAGATGGGTTTCTGTCACTTAATAGGATATATCCTATTAAGCGTATGTATCTTAGTAAGATACATATTTTTCCCATAATTTGCATTTTCAGGTTGCATTATCTGCAATTTATAGAAGACACGGGCAACTTGCTCAAGTTGAGAGCTAGGAGGTGGCAACTCAACCCCTGGCAATCTGGCACTGGGGTTGGTGCTCTTAACCACTGTTACACTGTCTCTGTAATAAGTCACACATTGAACACATACCCAGATAACTATGTAGTGAGGTGCTAGATACCATGAAGCATAAAAATAGTATGCAGAGCTACAGGATTTAAGATGAAGATGACCTTACTTCTTAGTGAGGTGATGAGGCAAGGTTTAAAGGAAGGGAAACCATTTATTCAAGGCTCTGAATAAGAGGTGGAGACTGGCAGGGATCCTTGGTGAGGATCAGGAGAGGCAATTTCCAAGTAGAGGGAACAGCATAAACAAACAGCCTGGGAAATTCTGAGTCACTGCACAGGCCATTAGTGGGGACTGACTCTAGGCTATGGGATGTAGTGTGGTAATAGAGGCCAAGAATGCTAGCCCAAGGGTGAAGGAAGCCCAGGAAGATTTCAAGGAAGAGACGAACACCTCAGAGCTGGGCTTTAGGAAGGGCCAGGGGAAAAGTGGTAGATTAGAGGGAGGAGCCTAAAAGTGGGGAAGCAGCTATGAAATTGTCCAGCACAAGAGGGAATGAATGTGGTGGCTGAGAGGCGGACAGGTGGAGATGGACTGGCCGTGTAGGAGCACCAAGCTAAGTGCTTTTGCATTCGCTATCTTGCATATTCCTCCCATTTGGTTGATAAAGAAACTGAGTCTCTACTGTCTACTCTCTGGGGCCTGGTTCCTGTTGGTGAATCCTCCTGCTCTGGAACGAAAACAAATCCATGACATTCACCTTCTGTTGATTCTTCCCAACTTGCAGTTTATGAGAACTTCCCAGCAATGACCTAAAAAAAAATTTTTCCTTGCTGCTAAAAATAGACCAGTGAAATTACTCATTATTAGATAGTTCTTGCCTTTAAAATAAAAATCTACAGATAGATTCCTGGGATGGCAGAGTAGGGAAGAAAACAGCCTAATTTCTTTTAAAAATAAATGGGACTGTTAGAGGTGGCTAATGCATTCAAGTTTCCCAAGGAGAGCTAACCCCAGGTAAAACAGTGGAGTCAGGAAGTTTGCTTTGATGGTGCTGTGCCTCTCTGCCCAGGGACCCACAGGGAGAGAGATGGTGCTTCCTAGTGGTTTCCCAGGCAGTGAAAATCACTATCCACTTTTAGTGAGGACTGGCTGGAGGCCAAGCCCTGTATGTGGATGAGTGGAACGGGGTCCTCGCCTCAGGCCGCTATCAGCCTAGTAAGAAGCTAAAACCTTCACCACGTGTCTTGACAAAATTAAGGTTCTGTCCATTTGCCTGTCATCACATCACAGGAAACTTTTATGGGTAGACTTTTGTGAAATCAGCAGGGTATGTTTGGGATAATCTGACATAAAAAGCAGGCTCTGTGGAGCACACAAAAATGAACTTCGGAGGACCGAGAGGGCACTTCGAACAGATGGGCAGTTGCCCTCCAGTGCAGCTGAGTAGAAATAGTCCATGGTACCACCAGCTTGGCATGGCATACTATGAAGAATAGCTGATGTTTTTTGAATGTTTACTGTTACATGTATTAAGATGACCTGGGCAGACAACAAAAACAGTGGTTTTATACACAATCCTCAAGAGGAAAGTGACTGAGGGCAGATGCTTCCGATTCTTGACACTTGGTAGCAATGATCCAGCTGCCTCTCAGCAGAGCAAATATATGGAGCATTCCAGGGTGAGTAGCAGCAGAAATTTATTTATTTTACTATGTTTAGTAATTCTCCTGAGCAATGTCAAGGAGGCCTGTTACTTCTGCTACCACCATTTAATAATAGCTACCACTTGCCATGTGCTTGCTACAGGGTAGCAATGAGCTAAGTGCTTTTATGTTGGATTATCTCATTTATTTGCATAACAACCTATTAGGTAGGTTACAATGATGCCCATTTTATAGAGAAGAAAACTGAGGCTGCGTACTAAACCACTAACTTGTGCTAGACTGCCATAGTAAAGATAAAATCTCCTCAAACTCAAAGCAGACACATGGGTTGAGAAAAGATTGCTTGAACTCCAGGCCTCAAGTGATCCTCCTGCCTTGGCCTCCCAAAGTCCTGGGATTATAGGTGTGAACCACAGCACCTGGCCAGACAAAAGATTTCCATGTGATTTATGCATCTGTAATAGTTTTAGTAAGGTATAAAAATTCACATACACATTCAATTAATAAATCAACTTCACTGGAAATACTAAAATGATATCAAATTAGCATTTTCCTCAGAAAGTCTGGGTTGGAGGGCTACTGGTTTGAGGCACAAAGTGGGAAATCCCCCCTGTTAGCAGTGGATCAGGTTTTGTTTCTCGAGTCCTCCGGGTCCCACCTCTGCCCCATCTAAGCGTTTCTGTCCAGAATTCTGTGGTTCCATAATTCCAGCCTCCTTCCATTGCCAGTCCCAAAATTCGATCTCCTCCCACCCCCCTTCCGCTGTGAATCCTTTAGTGGCTCATCATCTTCAGAATCAAATCCAAACTCCTTAATACAGCTTCTGGGACTCTTCATAGTCTCGGTCACAGCCTACATAATCAGCGATCATTCAATCTCATACCAAGAGTAATTTTAAATATTTAAAAATAATTTAATAGCAAATTAAAAACATTTTAAAATAAAAATAGCTTCATTTAAATAAAATAATATTTAAAACTTTGTATATTTGTGATGTGCACCATAGTTGAGAAAGTATGGTAATGCCAAACCTTATCCTCAGCTTTGCTTTCCAAGGTTTCAGTTACCCAACCACGGTCCAAAAATAAATGAATATAGTACAATAAGATATGTTGAGAGAGAGAGAAAGAGAGAGAGACTACAGTATAACTTTTTATTACAGTATGTATGTATGTATTTATTTAGTACAGACAGTGGCTTGCTATGTTGCCCAGGCTGGTATCGAACTCCTGGGCTCAGGTGATCCTCCTGCCTTGGACTCCCAAAGTGCTGGGATTACAGATGGCCACCAAAATTTTTCTGTTTTATTATTAGTTATTGCTGTTAATCTCTTACCGTACCTAAGTTATAAAGTAAACTTTATCATAGGTATGTATGTTTACGAAAATACATAGTACATATATCATTCGCTACTATCTGTGGTTTCAGGCATCCACAGAGGCCTTGGAACCTATTTTCCATGGACAAGGGAAGACTATGGTACATTCACATACATTACATCATTTGATATGCATAACAGCCATATGTGGCAGGCAAGCAGGTGTGATCATTCCTACATATTTTAAAATAAACTTTTAATTTAAAAATAGATTTAGATTCATAGAAAAGTTTAAAGACAGTACAGATTTCCCAATATGCCATATCTGGTTTGCCCTATTATCAACATTTTGCATTAGTATGGTACATTTTGACACATTGATTAACCAATATTGATACATTCATTAGTATTAGCTGAAGTCCATACTTTATTATTCAGATTTCCTTAGTTTTAGCCTAATGTTCCTTTTCTGTTTCAGGATACCATCCAGGAAAATGCATTATATTTAGTAATGTCTTCTTGGGCTTCTCTTGGTTGTGACAGTTTTTCAGACTTTCCTTATTTTTTAAATAACTTTTATGGTTTTCAGGGGTACTGACCAGGTCTTTTGTAGAATGTTCATTAGTTGGGATTTTTCTGATGATTTTCTCCTGATTATACTGGAGTTATGCATTTTTGGGAGGAAGACCACAGAGAAGAAGTTCCTTTCTCATCACCTCATACCAACGGTATGTACTGTCTGGATGGCTTATTACTGTTGATGTTCAAGTGGATGGCCTGGCTGAGGCTGTGTGTCAGGTTTCTCCATGACCAACATACTCCTTCCTTTCTATACCATCCTCTCTAGAAGGAAGTCACTATGCACAGCTCACACTATAGCAGTGGAAATTATGCTCTACCTCCGTGACAGCATCTACATAAATTATTCCAAATTCTTCTGCGTGGGAGATTTGTCTCTTTTTCACATTTGTGTATCCATTCCTTCATTTATAGAAGTATGGACTTATGCATATGTGCTTTATACTTTGGATTATAACTCAATACTACTTTATTTTGTTGCTCAAATTGTGTCAGCCTTGACCATTGGGCGCTCTTTCAGATGTCTTCTGTGCTCCTTTCACAGGCTCATTTTGTATATTCCCTGTTCCATTTCTAGGATCAAACATTTCTCCAGGGAACCCTGGTTCCCTTTATTGGAGAATAACACCAGGCACTGGGTATCATTGTTGTTACTGGGATGTGATTGCTCCTAGGTCCTCTCACCTGAAAAAGCTGATCATTTCTGATTTATGTATGAGAATGGTGAGGTTCCAGGAGATTTTTACCATTTCTTGAAGACACCTAAAACTTCCAAAAGTCTCACTGCCTTTGAACATGCCTTCCTCTCTTTTCTGTGTAGTGAAGCAGCTTCTCTGGTCCCTCCTGTGAGTTTCCTTTTTGGAAAGGTGCCTCCTCTCCCATCAGAATGAAGGTTTTTTCCCTATGCTTCCACTGTACTTTGTTAATATAGGTTGAATATCCTCCATCTGAAATGTTGGAGGCCAGAATGTTTTGGATTTCAATTTTTTTTTGGACTTTGGAATATTTGCATATACATAATGAGATGTCTTGGGGGATGAAACTCAACTCTAAACACAAAATTCATTTGTGCTTCACATATACCTTATACACATAGCCTGAAGGAAATTGTATACAATATTTTAAATAATTTTGTGCATGAAGCAGAGTTTGTGTACATTGCACCATCAGAAAGCAAAGGTGTCCCTATCTTGGCCACCCATGTGGACAATCTGCAGTTGTTTGGCATCACCGTCATTACTGACTGAATTTATATGATACCAATAAGTATTCATTTTCTCACACTCTTTCACACATAAGTACTTAACATTAAAAAATATGATATACCGGCTGAGCGAGGTGGCTCACGCCTGTAATGCCAGCACTCTGGGAGGCTGAGGTGGGCGGATCACTTGAGATCAGGAGTTTGAGAGCAGCCTGGCCAACTTACCAACTTGGTGAAACCGCATCTCTACTAAAAGCACAAAAAATTAGCTGGGCATGATGGTGCATGCCTGTAGTCTCAGCTACTCAGGAGGCTGAGGAACGAGAATTGCTTGAACCTGGGAGACGGAGGTTGTAGTGAGCTGAGATTGCACCACTGCACTCCAGCCCAGGCGGCACAGTGAGACTCCCATTTCAAAAAAACAAAAACAAAAACAAAAACAAAACAAAACAAAAAAATATACCATTCATACAGTGAAGGAATAATATGTTCAGAATAACTAAGCAGCACAGTGTCATCAGCAGAATGCCTGTATCAGATGTTAAGCAACAGCAACAGTAAACGATGCCAGGCTTTCAGTCTCTACTTATGATGCTGTGTTTTGATTAAAAGGTTACTATACACTGTATTTTATATAAGGTGAGCAGAAACACCAGAAGTAGTTAAGGGACCAGGAAGGGGCTCTCTAGTGAAGAGGAAGCATTCTGCTGGATGGCTTTTTAAAATGTTTCCTCCAGAATCAATCTTCATTAAAAATGGTTTTTGTCTTAGAAGTGCCTCTGATTTTATAAACTGATGTGATTTCTTTTTCTGTTATGAATGAATGAAGACATATGGAAGCACAAGGGAGCTAAGTGGGTCTTTTCCCCTTGGGGACAGTAAATAAACTGTGTGCTGTGGACCTGTGTTTTGACTTTGACAGGTCACATGAGGTCAGGAGTGGAATTTTCCATTTGTGGCATCATGTCTACACCCAAAAAGTTTTAGATTTTAGAGTATTTTGAATTTTGGACTTTCAGGATCAGGATGCTCTACCTGTATTACCAGGAAACATTCATCACAATGTGATGTGTTAGAGTTAGTTAACATATATATGCCTGCTCTTATGACTTGCTCATCTAGCACAGCTAGTAGGTGCTCAGCAAATGTTTGCTGAATTGCTTTCACATGTACAGGCAATGTTTGAGCTGGAAGGTATAGAATGAACTGAGATATGAAGGGCATGCCTTGCAGGATGCCTGGTATCTTTCTACCTCCACCCTCTCCTCTTCCCATTTACAGTTCTTCCTGTGGGTTAAGATTTTATGGCATTGTGCATAGAAGACAGGGTCCACGAGAATCATCTAGGCAAGTGTTCCTAAACTTTACAACACATCAGAATCACCCAGAAATTTGTTAGTACACAGAGTCCTCCTCCCAACTTCTACTCCAGAAATTGATTTCAGGATGTCTGGGATGGGGCTGGAGATCTGAATTTAATAATTTTGCCTGGGCCCTGGAAAAGAAAGGCAGTAAAGCCAAAGTATGCAGTCTGAAATCTGATATTTGGGAATTTCTGAAATACAACAACTCCAATCTAATCTGTAATAACTGAACTATTAAAAAACTCTACTAGAATCTATGTATCCTCTCATTGTGGACATACAGGGGTAACTAAAACATATAAACTTAAGTGTGAAGAGAGATACTGCCTCGAAGGAGTCTCTTGGGGACTTTTCAGTATTATAACCTTAAAGCTGTCTTTACAAGGTTAAACTGGGCCAAACCAAGTGTAAAAGTGACAGTTTAGAGTTTGATAACTGGGCAGCCCATCCCTCTTAATGCTCTAGATTTATTAGAGCACTTTCACATTGTGCTGTGGGTCTGATAAATATATTGCTAAGAACAAAAGACTCAGTTAGCAGGATAGGATATGTCAGTCATCACAGCTTTTCCAAACGTGCTTAGTTAATGCAGCCTTGTTCATTGTCTACAAGCAAAGACTATTCTACAGTAAACCCATTTTCCAGTAGCCATCTTCTTTACAAGTACCTTTATGAAAGACTTTCTTTTTTTCTCCCTCTTTCCTCCTCCTCCCTACTCATCCTCCTCTTTCCTTTTTTTCCTACACTACCAAACATTTGTTTGAACTAAGTGCATTGGTTGAATAGAGTAAAACCTACATTTTAGAATATATTAAAAATAATTATAGTTTATGGATTTCAGCTATATTTAGTGACACAAATAAATCTGAAAATATACTGACAAAAATATTGATAAGATGAAATTTTTCAAAGTTAAGGATGAGAGAAGAACAAACTTGTAATTCGTTTGAATGCACAGTTCTGGTTGTTTCACAAAAACTAAGGTTGCTGATACCTTAGATTTTTTGTGTTATAAAAGTATACCCCTTGCGACTGAATGTCCTGTCCAAAAGTCATGTTGAAATTTAATTGCCATTGTGATGGTATTAAGAGACGGAATCTGTAAAAAGTGATTAGGTCATGAATTTGGTTTAGCTGTGTCCCTACCCAAATCTCATCTTGAATTGTAACTCCTACAATTCCCACGTGTCATGAGAGGAACCCGATGGGAGGTGATTGAATTGTGGGGGCAGGTCTTTCCTGTGCTGTTCTCTTGATAGTGAATGAGTCTCATGAGATCTGATGGTTTTAAAAATGGGAGTTTCCCTGCATAAGTTTTCTCTTTGCCTGCTGCCATCTGTGTGAGACGTGACTTGATCCTCCTTGCCTTCCTCCAGGATTGTGAGGCCTCCCCAGCCACGTGGAACTGTAAGTCCATTAAACCTCTTTTTCTTCCCAGTCTTGGGTATGTCTTTATTGGCAGCATGAAAATGGACTAATACAGGTCATGAGGGGCTTGGCCCTTATAAGTGGGTTAATGCCATTATCATGGAGGTGGGTTAGTTATCATTGAAGTTCAGCTCTCTTTTTTTTCTCTTTGTCCTGGGCACTCATGTGTCCTGACACTCACCAGATGTGGTACCATGCTCTTGAACTTTTCAGCCTCTAGAACCAAGGGCCAAATAAACTCTTTTTTTTGGAGACAGAGTCTCACTCTGTCACCCAGGCTGGAGTGCAATGGCATGGTCTTGGCTCACTGCAACCTCTGCCTCCCAGATTCAAGCGATTCTCCCACTTCAGCCTCCTGAGTAGCTGGGACTACAAGCATGTGCCACCACACCTGGGTAATTTTTGTATTTTTAGTAGAGACGAGATTTCACTATGTTGGCCAGGCTGGTCTCGAACTCCTGACCTGGTGATCCGCCTGCCTTGGCCTCCCGAAGTGCTGGGATTACAGGCGCAAGCCGCCGCGCCTGGCCAACTTCTATTTCTTTTCTTAAATAAATTTGCTGGTCTGTGGTATCCTGTTATAGCAGCAGAAAATGGGTTAAGACACTTCTTTTCTCATAACCTTATTATTTTGCTGAACAGGATGATTTTTTTCATAGTCAGGAAAGGTAAACATTTTAGTTATGCAGCATGTAACCACATGACATACTAATTTTTATGATAATGATGATGATGAAAATCTTAAGAAGTCAGTGTTTCTGAATGCTTTCCATATGCCAGTCACTTTATATGCACTGTCTTATCCAACCCTTGTATCAACCTTATGAGGTTGGTAGATATTATTATTCCCACTCCTAAAGAGGTTAAAATAACTGGTCTAAAGTCTAACTGCTAATAAGTGGAAGACTTCACTTGACTGTAAAGTACAACAGGCCATGCTTTTGATGATTACACAATAGCATCTCTCTCCAATGACTCATATAGGTGCTTGATACATATAGGTGCTAGATGATGATGATGGAAAAATATTTGTTTTCTGGGAGGCAGGGTAAACATCTTATATACAAAATGTTTAATGTTTTCTACATTTTTTAATGCTACATTAGTGAATTTAAAAATCTTGAATTTTGTAGACTCGCACTTAACTAAAATGTGTTTATCCTCCTACTTTTCTAAATCAAGCTACCTTTAGAGTAACATTTGCAAATGTGTAGTTAATTTTGACCAAACATGACTGCTCCTTGCAAACCCACTATTTTTAACCAGTCATAACTCTTGCACTAAGTCACCTTAAGGCTGTAACTTTCCATTCTGTGAAACATCTTTTTTTTCCTCCCAAGTTCTGGTTTCAATATGCTTTTGAAGGGTTCAAATAACTCAGAACCCCAGAAACTTGGCAGGACCTTTTCTGGGACTCTGTTGATTCAATGGGAAGGAGGACAGGAAGCCAGTCACACATAAAGCACCTATGCACTGCTGTCTCCCTATCCATACCAGCATCTTCTTTCTTATCTAATACACTCTTTGAGGAATCCACCAAGGTGGTCACTTTGCAGAAACACGTTTTCCGTGTTTGGTTTTAGATATTTCTGCCATGAAAACTATTTCCATTATTCATTTGGCTTCCTCTTGACACAAAGCATGTTTCTCTTCATTTTACATTGAAGAATGGGGTAGGGAGAAAGCTATAGTCTAACAACATCATTGCATCAAACTTCTTTTATAGAAAAGAGAACATGTTTACCAATAACGAGCTTTTCTCAATGCTACCTGATTATGGGAATAATTTAAAAAATTTTTTTTTTTTTTAAGATAGAGTCTCACTCTGTCACCCCAGCTGGAGTGCAGTGGTACGATCTCAGCTCACTGCAACTCTGCCTCTTGGGTTCAAGCGATTCTCCTGCCTCAGCCTCCCACGTAGCTGGGATTACGGGTGCCCACCACTATGCCTGGCTAATTTGTATTTTTAGTAGAGATGGGGTTTCATCACATTGGCCAGGTTGGTCTGGAACTCCTGACCTCAAGTGATATGCCCACCTCGGCCTCCCATACTCTAGGATTACAGTGATTATGGGAGTAATTTGATAACATGTCTTTTTCTATCTCACATGCAATTGTCATTCTTTTATCTCATTGGTTCACAAATATTTATAATGTATTTCATTATGGTGTTAATCACTGGTGAATAAAATTGACAAGATCCTTGCCTTTAGGAAGTTTATAGTCTATCAGAGAAGTATAAAAATAGAAGAATAATTTTATTTAATTTTCTTTACTGACACATGTAATGATTTGCCCTATATAAAATAAATCCATGAATAATGGATTTCTGGGGGGCCTTTGTAAGGAGACAAAAGTCATGGCCTCCATCTCAGCCTAGTCTAGTTGATTTCTGTTTTTCCATGGTTACAGAAATAGATTTCTCACCTGCCAAACTTTTTTCAAAATACATTTTATTGATCACAGGAGGTCTGAGTAACACAATTTAGATGGATGAATCTACACTTATCCTGACTCTTAGACCAAGAAATCAAAGAGTGTAACCTATGGACTGATTGATAATGCATCCAAGATAGCCCATCTATCATCAAATGTCACTGGATTGCCTCTTTATCATGCCTTTTGAACATTTGCTAATAAAACAGAATTAAGCATAAATTTAACACGGAGAAATACATAATCTCTACGTCTTTTGGAGTTAAACCAGTCCCATGCAGAGGCTTCAAAGTTCAAAAGAGAAGACAGTTTATTTTAGTGTTGAAAAATGAAAAATTTTAGTGTGATTATTAAATAATTACAGTGTTTTATACTGAAATAATAGAAACTAAATATTCATTCACTCATTTGCTCATGCATTCATTCTTTCCACAAGCACTTATTACCTGCCTATGATGTATCAGGAAATATACAGACACTGCCGGCAGGGACATAAATAATATTTGGTTCATAGCTTCAGGCATCTTGCAAAGTGGGACAAAGAGGCAAACACAGAAACACAGAATGAGATCGGGCATTATATGCATGGGACCAGAAGCCCATACAGGGGCTTGCTATTTAGTCAAGGCCTCAGAAAGAAAATCAGACTTTAAAGGAATTTGGAAAGATGTACAGATTTTTGCCAGTGAAGGGAGGGAATTAGGTGAAAATATTTCAGACGCGGAACAGCAGTGTGTTCTTGAGAAGCTGTGATCAGCTTTGTGTGGCTGCAGCAGTATGCAAGGGAGATGAGTAGGGAGGGTAGCCAGGGAGGAATTTGCCAGGTATAAGAGTCTCCTGACAGTAGTAGTAAAAAATGGCCATACCGCATATGTTCAGATTAGAATTTTGTGACCTGCTGTCTAAAAGAGTTCTCTTAGAGAGGAGAAAATTTATAAAAGTAAATTCATATTTTTTCTTGCTGTTTGCAGAAACATCAGACTGTTTTGGTTCTGTTTTGTTTTCACTTGTACAAACTTTCTCCTACATCATGATGCAATCTCATTGCTGTAGTTTTAAGTTCTTGATTGTAACCATTCCAAACAGGGCAGAAGTACTATACCAGGAAGGAAAACTTACACAGTCCAGGAACTTTGTACCTCAGATCAGAGAGAAAATTCACTATGGAACAGCCAAACTGGCAGTTTTCCTAGTGCTGAAATCAGTGTGAATTTGTCAAACTTAAAAAAAACAGAAATTATGTAACTTGGCTTTGAGAAACACCTTTCTTCTTTTGGGGTATTGAGCCTCCCTTCTCTGCCTATTGTAAAGACCCATGACCATCTAGAGCCCAGCCCAGAATAGGCCTCATACCTCATGGCTGGCCCCTCACCCATGGTAGAGCTTTCTGATTGATCATGGTTCTCTTACTCGATAAGTGGGATGATCCAGGCAGCTGTTACCAACCAGTAATAGGATAAACCTCTGTGACTCTCATCTCATTGTGAGCCACATATGTAATTTGAAAATTTCTAGTTAATACATTAAAAAACTATTAACAACTGAAATTAATTTTAAGCATATATTTTATTTAGCTAAATATATCCAAAATATCATTTCAACATGGAATCAATATAAAAATCATTGAGAAATTTTGGATTCATATTTTCATACTAAGTGTTTGAAATCTGGTGTGCATTTTTACACTTGTAGCACAACTTAATTTTCAGTAGCCACATTTCAAGTGCTTATGAGCTGTGGGGATACAGTAGCTATTATATTGGACAACTTGGGGCTAGATTTGACCTCAGGCCTCAATGGGGTAGCTGAGGGAATGGGCTCAGAAATACTCTTCTTCCTTTGAGTGGCCAAGTCCATCCCATCCTTATATGCACATTCCCTGAGGAGGAGGCCCAAGTCGGGGTGAGACTAGAGAAAACCCACTCTGAGGCTGGTTGCTACAGAGCATGTCCTTGTAACAGCACGAATTGCCCTCTCCAAAGGGAGAATATCTTTACATTGGCAATTGACAGAGCCTGTAAATATTCTCACATATTTCCTGTGGTTATAATAGAGGAAAGATATGTGGCCAAAGTGAAAAACACTCTTTTAATGTAGTTATTGCTTTCTTTTAACAATACTTTAAAGTTGGATATCTTAAAAGGACTATGAACAAAATACTGGGATTTAGAGAAGATGTTCAGGAGAGATCAAAGACTCCAGAATGTTAGAGCTGGAGAAGACTTTGACATCAAATTGACATGTTTGGAAACTGAGACCCACAGAAGTTAAGGACCATTATCAGCTACACATCTAGGTAGAGACAGTACCAAATCTAAAACTCAGTTTCCTAAATCTCATTTCTCATTCAGATGTGTTGGCCCTGTATTTGAGGCCAAATGACATTAAGGATGGAACATTATTTGAGGAATATACAACTAATTTTAAGGCTACATCTACCTATCACAGAGTGAAGACCTGGATATCATCTGCCTAATGTCATTTATGGGAACAAATAAATAAGCAAACTTTTTTTGAGGGGAAGATAGAGGTGAGGATGGGCTTCCTTTCTCAAATGTGCTCGTTTTTATCCTGGTCAATTCACCAGGCAACCGTTAACTGTACTCTACACTATGGAGATTAAAAAAAGAAAAGGGAAAGAGAGCAAGGTGTAAGAAAGTAAAAGAAAGAATGAGGGCAATTATTCGGATAAATGAGGCCAAATAAAACTGTCACGTGAAGACTGGGGTTGGATTACAGCCAGATAGCCAGCCCTCCCCTCATCTCCATTTCGCTGAACCTCACAATATGGAGGGTTCCCTTTAACCTCAAAGGCCCAAGAATCTAAGCTCTGTTTGATGTTGCCTCACAGAACTATGTGGAAAAAAGATTTCTGGTTCTGAGTGATTTTTAAAGAGAAAAAAATGTAAGCAGATATTTTAATTACTAGCCCTTGAGCCAATTTATTTTCAGCAGCAACAACAAAGTCATACAAACCAGTGACACGAGTCAAGTGATTACTCTTTAAATGTGGGAGATGAAGAGGAGAGAGAAAGAAAAGAAAAGAAAAAAAAAAGAAAAGAAAAACAGCTCTGATTTCACATTATGGCTTCCAGCCAGACAGCAAAGATGAAATCTGTGAAATTCAAGGTCTTCAAGTATATTATTTCTTTGCTATTATTTCTGAAACAAGACCTGGGCAAAATCAGTTCAGGTTTAAAAAGAATATTACTTTAATTTTCTACATAAGATTGTCACAAAGTCTTAGTCAGAAAAGGAGAAAAGACAGATAACTATCACTCAAAGAGAAAAAATGAATAAATTAAATGAGGCAAAGTACATTTATATTACCAAAACTCTGGTCATAGACAAAACGTATCTTTTGGCACGAACTTATACAGTTTTGAAGAAAAGAAAAGAAAAAAAAAACCCAGCAACACAAATGATGAGATAATGCCCCTGAAAATGAACTCCCCTAAGTGTTAGGAAATCAATCAAGGCTAGGTCCATCAAACAGAATTAATTTTATTTTTATGCAAATATATACTGAAAGCTCTTAGAGTTCATCCTAAAATATGTGATTTTCATAAAAATTTAATTCATATTCCTCCCTCTTCAAGGAACTAACATACAATTTTTGAAAATTGAGGAAGCTCTTGGAAAAGTCATCTGCCCAACAATGATGAAACATTGACGTTTTTGTCCTACTTGCAGAGTATATTTTCCACTAACCATAAATTCAATCTGTCTCTACTACAATCTCTACCAGATGTTGAAAGAACAGCAAAAAAATCCAAAGGAGCTGGTGATAACATTTATATGAGTCTTCCCAGCCAATATCCAAGTGGTTCACAGTCTGGTAGGACAATTTAATTGCTATTAAGCTTTTGTCATTTTAAGGGACTTTAGTTTTTGTTCCTCAAGTATTTGTCCCTAACTCTTGGTTAGTAGAAGCCCTTTGAGAGGTTTTTCAGGCTAGATTGCTTGGACATGGCAAGAATCAGTCAGAATATGGCTGTTTGTATGATATCGACATGTTTCCTTGACTCTCCCCTGACCAGGTGAATGCCAGTGGGGAAGGAGATAGAGCTGGTATTTGGCGTTCAATTCAGCATAATCATTGAGTCCTTCCGTCTGGCCAGGGCTTGCTGGACACTATGTCTGTGAGTGTCCACATGCCCTATGTGGTGAGCTTACCATGGGAGATCCAATATTTCTCATCAATTTTTTTTGACGCACACTGACTGCTTTAGTTCATTTGTATTGCTATAAAAGAATACTTGAGGTTGGGTAATTTATAAAGAAAAGAGGTTTATTTGGCCCATAGTTCTGCAGGCTGTACAAGAAGCATGATGTCAGCATCTGCTTCTGTTGAGGGCCTCAAGATGCTTCCACTCATGGCAGAAGGCAAAGGGGAGCCGACGTGTCACAGGGTGCAAAAGGGGGCAAGAGATGGGGAGGGAGGTGCCAGCCTCTTTTCAACAATCAATTCTGGTGGGAACTAAAAGAGCAAGAGCTCATTCATTACAAGTGCAGCAATAAGCCATTCATGAAGAATCTGTGCCCATAACCCAAACACCTCCCACTAGACTCCAATTACAAAATGGGGGACCAAATTTCAACATGAGATTTGGAGAGGACAAACATCCAAACTATGTCACTGACCTTACTCCATCTTAAGTATACAGAATATATGGGCTATCCAATTTGACTATGTATATCTCCCCTTGGTTCAGACTTACTCTGAATTTCTACCCCCCAAATAAAAATTTACCTTCTCTGTGTCTCATTCCCTCCTGACATTGCTATCTTGTAACAAGGACTAGTCTGGGCTGGGTGTGGTGGTTCACACTTGTAATCTCAGCACTTTGGGAGGCCGACACGGGCTGATCACTTGAGGTCAGGAGTTTGAGACCAGCCTGGCTAACATGGTGAAACCCCATCTCTACTAAAAAAATACAAAAACAAAAATTAGCAGGGTGTGGTGTAGTCCTGGATACTTGGGAGATAGGCAGGAGAATTGCTTGAACCTGGGAGTTGGAGGCTGCAGTGAGCCAAGATCTCGCCAGTGCACTCCAGTCTGGGCGAAAGAGTGAGACTCAGTCTCAAAAAAAAAGGACTCGTCTGATCCATGACCTGCCAGAACTGAAAGGAATCTCACAGCTCATGTAATTTGATGGTCTCATTTTATATATGGGGAAAATGAGTCCTAAAATGTTCAGTTTAATAAACATTTAATAAGAGTCTGCTCAGGTCCAGGGAGTGTGGCAGCACCTGGGGCTGTACCTCATATAATTAAGACAGGATTCCTACCATGATTATTTTGCGGGAATGTAATTGGAGAAGGTAATTAGGATCCTTGAAGTGCAAAGATAGAAGTATGCTTAGGGAATTATGGTGCTTATGGGAAGATCACAGCCCAGGAGAGGGTGGGGTGGGGACAAAAGAGAGGAATTCTTGGAGATGATCTTTGGGCCAAGTCGTTAAAACGATGAGATGGAAGATGAGATGGTAAAAATTGAATGAGGAAAGGAAAGGGACACTCCAGGCAAAGGCATGAGTAAAAGCCTGAAGAGTAGACTCAGCTTGGTGTGTGTGCATGAGTGTGCACTGCAGGGAGCTCAGTAGCTGAAGGTTGCTGGGATGAAAGTGTGAGACCAAGGGGTATGGGGCTGAAAAGCAGGAAAAGCACCTTTCATGTCAATCAGGGACCTTAGATTTGATCCCGCAGGCAATGGCAGTGAGGTGCAGAAGCAGGTGAGTGCAATGAAGAATTCCAAGCTGAGACATGGTTAGATTTGCATTTTAACCAGATCACTATGGGAATGCTGTGGAAAATGGATTTGAGGATACACTAGAGGCAGGAGAAGTAGTGAGTCTAGAACCCTGGTCTTGTCCTTCTGAGCCAAGTGTCCCACCTACTATACCAAGTTGATGCTATGGATCCAGCCAGAAGCAAATGCCTCAAGAAGACCCTAAGAATCCCTTGGCTTTGTGAGCATCTGCTGCTTCTGGACCATGGGGATCCATTGCTTTGTCTGATAGTAACACCATTTCAATTTGCTTTTTGGGGAGCCATCCTGTCCCACAGTTAATCTGAGCTTTCAGGGTAGGCTAATCTCTCCCTCAGGCTCCAGGAGTTGGTATCTGACTTTGGCCTAGCTAATTAATATATTCTATCCTCATAGGAAGGTGGCTGTTCAGTGATTGGAAGATTCTTGACAAATACATCGAGACACATTTTTGGATGTTTCCAACGCCACAGGCATTGTTTTAGATTAGACTCTACATGAAGATTCCAAGTATCACAGCAGGTATGTGGGCCAGGATATCTGGGGACATATATCTAATGCATGTATTAGATATATGTTTTCTACTTTGCCCAACCCTGAAAGCCAACCCTGACTTCAAGATCCAACTGACTATGGCAATATAAAAGTATTAGAAGATTCGCCTTGTAAAATGACCAGCTTCATTGACCAGACTGCAAAACATACATAGACGAGGCTTAGGGGACCCCAGTGGCTCAGTCTCCTTCTGTGGGTGGTAACCCATCTCTCTCTATTTTTTTTTTGTTTTTGAGACGGAGTCTTGCCCTGTCGCCCAGGCTAGAGTGCAATGGCACCATCTCGGCTCACTGCAACCTTGGCCTCCCGGGTTCAAACTATTCTCCTGCCTCAGCCTTCCAAGTAGCTGAGATTACAGGCGCCCGCCACCAAGCCCAGCTAATTTTTGTATTTTTAGTTGAGACGGGGTTTCACCATGTTGGCCAGGCTAGTCTCGAACTCCTGACCGCGTGATCCGCCCACCTTGGCCTGGCAAAGTGCTGGGATTACAGGTGTAAACCACCGCACCTGGCCCCATCTCTCTCTTTATATCTGAATCACAATACCTACTCTGAGGGAGCCACTCAGTAATTACTGATTGATTAAAAAGATGGCTAAATGAGACCCTGCCTCTGCCCTCTGTGTTGTAGTTTGAGATCTAAGATGCAAAGCAGTTATCCAGGAGGAAATGGGTCAGCAGGGGCTGAGTTTTCTTCGTCAGATTGCCCCAAGTGGAAGTAATGCTGAGCAAGGGTGTTTGGGAGCTTGAAGACCAGGAGGAGCAAGACCAGCCCCAGCCAGTATCTCGAGGAAGGAAGCTGCAGTTTTTTTCTTTTCCCACTCACTCACAGGTTTATGAGAGAAAAATTCTGGAAAACACAGTAAGGCAGAAAGAAGAATGAAAATATTGCCAGAGTCCCAATATGCAGAGCTAACTACTATTAATGGTTGGTTTTTGTGTACTGACTTCCAAGCTTCTTTCCCTGCAAATGTTTTCAGGCATACCTACAAGCGGGCACACATACAGAACCCCAAGCATGCACACATACAGAACCCAGGGCAGAGGATTCTGTCTCCCCAGCTTTGTCCCAGGCTTTCTCCAGGGCAGTGTATCATGGGCATTTCCCTCACATGCATATCACTCTGAAGTAGGCTAGGTTAACGTCCAAACAGTTCCAAGATGTCCTTATCTGACTCCCACATTTCTAGGTACATGACAGCTGCCTAAGAGCAGTTTTCTCTTGGCAACTGTTCTAGGGAACATCTGCCTGCTGCCTCTTTCTCCTCCTGCAGACACCAAGTGATCCATTGCCCTCAGAAAAAGGACACGGCCAGGATCATGGACAAACCCTAGGGATAGGAGGATGGAAAGTGCTCTCATAACTCTTAACATGTATACACTGTTAAGAGCAATACTATTTGTATTATTGTTGATGATGCAAATATAAACCTGGTCTCACCATCTACCCCTTGCTTAAAAATGCTTCTTGGCTACCTGTTGCTTTTAGATTTTTAGAATTTTTTTATTAATTCTATTTTTTTAAGAGATAGGGTCTTGCTATGTTGCCTAGGCTGGTCTCAAACTCCTGGCCTCAAGCAATCCACCCATCTCTGCCTCCCAAAGTCCTGGAATTACAAGTGTGAGCCACCATGCCTGGCCTATTGCTTTTAGAATAACTACTTGCATTCTTATCAAGGGGGGCCCTGGGTGGCGTCTCCCCTACATGTAACAGTGTATACATGTTAAGAGTTAGGAAAGCACTTCCCCATCCTCCTAGCCCTAGGGTTTGTCCATGATCCTGGCTGTGTACGTTTTCTGAGGTCAATGGATCACTTGGTGGCTGCAGGAGGAGAAAGAGGCCTGCCCCTCCCCCCATCTTCCCTGCCTACCCTTGTAACCTGGCCTTTCTTCTTTGTTCTTATAACACTGTTAGTCCCTATCAGGCCTTAGGGCCTCTCTTCTGCCTCTTTCTAACCCTCTTCCCAATCCTCTTTGACTATTTCAGTTCCTAATCATACTACTGCCCCTTTTCTATCAACACTTCTCAGGGAAGTCACCTTAGGGGTCAGAAGACGTCCTCCATTTTTTGTTCCTTGCCATTGTCCTTCACTGCACTCATCATTTCTGCAAATGCATATCAGTTTATATGACTGCTTGCTTGAATGTCTGTCTTTCCTGCTAGACTGCAAGCTCTATCAGGGCAGGGGTGGTGTCCGAGCTGTTCACTGAGTAATCCACAGTGCCTAGGTTGGTGCTTAGCACATAGTAAGGTCTCAATAAATAGTGAAAATAAAGAATGAAAATATTGCCAGAGTCCCAGTATGCAGAGCTAACTACCATTAATGACTTTTGTTTATTGACTCAATAAATAAAAATGAAGGAAGGAGTAATGTCATTATTGTAATTTGGGTGGTGAGTGGGGAGAGGAAGGGAGGTACACAGAGAAATCCACTTCATTGCGTGTCCTCTTTCTTCTTGCCTTTCTTCTGCTACCGAATCTGCTGACTCCTCCAGTGTCACCACGCCCTGTTCAGCAAAATCCCAGAAAAGATCCCAAACCTCTTTATCTTGCTTTCCTCCTCCATTTATCTGCTAAAGAGAGGGAGTTTGAGAAAGAGGGGCCAGGGCCGTAGCATTTCTAAAAGGCATAGAGGTGAATCCCTGCCCTCTCCATGAGTCTCCACCAGAGCAAGCAGAGATCTCATGCTCATAAAATTCACCCAGGTTGTGGAAGCAGAACTGATGAGGGCTCTGCTATGGGAACTCGATCAGCTCAGCCCCTTGGACCTGGTACAGCTCATCCTTATGTAACACACCAAGTCAGAAATTACAGGAGTAAAGTGGTTACTGTCTTTCCACTTTCTGCCTGGAGGCTCTGTTTTTCTACTCTTCCCTTTGGGGAGATGATGGCTGGTCCATGATAACAACACCTCTAAATAGTGCCTCCCCTGTGAGTTTCCCATCCAGGAGCTCACAGGATGGTGTGACAAATCTGCCTGCTCTAAGGAGTGTTTTTGTCCTTTGCTGCTGAATCTCACCTTGAATTTGTATTTTTGAAGTGTATGCCCAACCCACTTACTAGGAAAGATGGCATCTCCTGTAACCACTAATTTCTCTCATGGCTTTATACAGTCGTTTGTAGGCCCAGAAACCCCAGATGACCTTTCTGTGCTAGAGAGGAAAACCCAAGTTCTTTGCCAGGCATCCAAGGCCCTAGTGGCCCAGATTTCCTCTCCAGTATCCCCTTCCAGAAGGTTACCATGTAGGGAATATCGACTCCCACATACAATGTTCCCCAGCCACTACTCCATTGTTTGGGTTTTAGGTAGTGTTGTTTCCTGCCCAGCTGCCTTTCCTCCTTCTCTCCATGTCTGAGCACCATCCTCTACCCCATTCCTCTGGGATCAGCACAAGCTCTGACTTCTCCACCAAGTTTTTTCCAGATCCCTCATGCTAAAGCCAACAGCCCCTTCTGTGTCCTAATTCACTTGGCCTCTCGGCGGCATTCAACCCTGTTGTTGCCCTCTATTGTCCCCTTAGTCTCTGTGATACCCACCTGTCCTTATCTACCTTCTCTGTGGATACATCCTTTTCTACCCAGACATGAGATGTTGGCATTTCTACAAGCCTGGCCTTAGACTTCCTCCTCCTATTTCTTACCTATATGCAAATGGCTCCCAAATTTGTGTCTCCACCTTAGATATCTTATCTGAGTTCTAAACTGTTATATTCAGCTCTTAGACTCTCAATGGTATCTCACCCCCAATATGCCCAAGACAGTCATGATTTCTCCCTGTCCTTCTCACTTCCCCCACCTTCAATCTAGCTCCTTCCAGTGTTTCTTCTCTCAGTAAAGGGCATCACCATCCATCCAAGCATGTGAGCCAGAACTCTGGAAGTCATCTTGGGACATCTTTGTTACAGAGACACTTGTGGATGCTTACCGTGTTCCAGACACGGTTCCAGACATGAATATTCATGCATGTCATATTGTCTTAGTTCTCTGTATACACGTGACCTTTCTCTCCAATAAGATTGCAAGTCCTTGGAAAATAGAGAGTCTATCTCTTACACATCATGCCAGGCCCTAACTTTAGCAGAGTGTCATATTCCTAGCAGGCACTCAATACATGCTTATTGACTGCTTAAGTAGCCATACAGCAATCTATGATATCCAAACAAGATAGATATTTAGAAAGTAAAAGAGGACTGCTCTTCAATTCTTTAGTGCTGCCTAATATTAGATTCCTGAATCAGGTAAACGTAGAGGATTTTATGGTCTCTTTCTGCTTTTAAGTCTGTCACTCTGGGAGAATGCATGTGTTTTTAAATCAATGGAAAGCCTAATTCCAAGCTTTTACATTTTCATGTGCACACATGGTAATGGAAAGGCTGGATTCAGAGCAGTAATTTTGTTCTTTGCATAGCTTTGGGATGGGAAGCAAATATTTCTTCACTGTTTTCTCAAGTGTGATGGTGCAATACATTAGGTCATCTGCGTGAAATAAAAGGTTGAGTCCTTTCTGTCATAATATGAAGGGTTAGATAAGGTAAAAGGGTTGTAAGGTAAATTATTTATGAAACTAACCACATGCAGAAGAAAGGGTCAGATACATGGCATTTGGGCAAGCGATTATAGGCATTTTAATATGAAAATCATCAGATGGATGGATGTGAGTTTTATACATAATTATGGGGGATTTTTAAAAAAGTGTTGGTTAACTAAAATTTATGTATTTTATGAAATTTTGGAGAATAGAGGAGGACTTTTCTAGTCCAACCTCTTGTCTAGTGCTCTATTCCTTAAACAATAGGCCTGCCAGGTAATCAATGGGACTGTACTTACATACCCTTAGTGATGGGATGCTCTATGTTTTAACAAATCTGATAATAAGAAAGTTTGTGTTATGTTTGAGCTTAAGTCTTGCCATGTAGCTTTTACCTGTTTATATTCACATTGCTCTCTAGAGTACCTGGAATAAGTTTGAGGACTTGTCCACAAAAAGGCTGCAGAGGACAGCTCTTATGTACCTTCAGAATTGTGTTTATTTATTTGTCAACAAATCTCTTTATGTGCCAGATATAATAAAAGAATTTTAAAGACATAATAACATCTCCATGGCCTTTGCCATGTATCTTCAATGCTTCTGTGGTATCTGGCACATACTAGGCATTCAGCAGATATTATTGAATGAGTGGCGAAGGCCATGATTCTTGACTAGAGATGCTCAGTCTCACTGGGGCAATCAGACATAGAAAGAGTTGAATGATAAGGAAAAGACAACAAATCCATTACAAAATGAGCAAATAATATCAACAGGAAATTAATGGAAGATGAAAACCATATAGCCAAAAACATCTGATATAATGCTTAATCTCATTAGTAATCATGGAAATGTAAATTAAAATGACACTGAGATACCATTTCACAGCTATGCAATTGGCAAAAATTGAAAAGTCTGACAATATCAAGTGTTGGTAAGAATGTGGAACAATTAGAACAATAATACACTGGGGTGGGTGGATAACTGATAAATCAGTTTGGAGAGCCATTTGGCAATATGTTGTAAAATTTAAAAGTACAGAACCTGTGACTCAGCAATTCCATCTCTGGGTATATGCCTTAGAGAAATTATTCCACATATGCAGAAAGAGGCATGTACAAGAAGTTCATTGAAGCATTGTTTTAGCAGCAAAGAACTGTAAAAATCTAAATGTCCATCAATGAAAGAATGGATAAACAAATTGTATTATATTCATCAAAGCAATATTTTTACAGCAATGATATTGAGTGAACTAAATCAAATGTGAATAATTCTCAAACATCAGAATTAAATTTAAAAAAGCAAGTTGAAGAGGGCCAAGTTACAGTATGATACCATTTGCACAAAATTTTAAAACCACTTAAGCAATATTATGAAAATAACCATACAAAGTAAAAATATGTATGGGAATGATAGATGTCAGACTCAGGATACTATGTAATTGCTTACTGGGCCAGGGTAAGGAAATGTAATTGAGCAGGAATATATAAGAGGCTCCAACTGGATTTGTGATGTTTTATTTTTTAGCCATGTATGGTTGTATAGGTACACATATGACAATTTTTTATAGTAATGAACCTTCTACAGCCAGGCTTGTATCTAAACGTTAGCTGATTCGATCAGGAGTGGGTGGACATCTGATAAATCTAGACCAATCCTATTCTTTTTCATGTATGTGAAATATTTTCTTTTTCCCAAAAGGGAAAGGCAATAGTGCCAATTGTGGCAGACAATGCCCTTTAGCTGAAATATTGCAATTATTGTTCTTCCTTGCCATCTTCTGCCCAATACTCATCTTTCTAGCCTCAGCTGCAGTTGATGGTGTACTTGAGACACAGTTCTATGAATGAGATATAAGCAAAAGTCTTTTGGAATTTTTTCAGAGAAAGTTTTTGTATTTCTGATAATATGAACAAATCAAGCTAGTAACAATCTTCCTCTTCTTTTTCCTGCTTTGAACATTGATGAGATATCTGGAGCTCTGACAGTTATCTTGCAACCATGAGGTCAAGAAAAGGTCAAGAGAATCACAGAGATGACAGCCTTAACATCACTGGACCACTCACTCAGTGCCAGAAACTACCTGCCTCTAGACACCTTGCTATGTAAACACGAATAAATACATTTTCAACTGTTTAAGACCGTCTGGATTAGAGTTTTTTAAAAAAGGCTTTTGAACTGATACAATGGCATGTTGTAAAGAGAGATTAAGTTCCACCACCTGTTCCAGTTTGCCAATATTCCTGTTAATGAGGCACCTCAGATCGAAGGCTCTATTCCAGGAGAATCAGATTTTTATCAAATGGAGGGAGGCTGTCATTTTTTCTCATTTTAATGTATACATGTATATTATTATGTCCCAAGATCAAGCTTGCTCATTTGGTAGCCTTATAACACTGGTGAGTCATCTTAAACTTACTGCCAACTCAGGCCCCAGCATCCTTGACTAGCAGTTTGGTATTTATAAGGCAGTGTTCCTTACAGTAAGTAGAAAGTATAATCCATGACTGGTAAGCAGAGGCTCATACAGGCTAAAGTACTTTCCCCAAAGCCATGCAAGTCACAGAATTCCTTTGACCCTTCTTTCCCCTAAGAACTTCTCTTCAGTCTGCCCCCGTGGGCTCCCATGCACCCATGTTTGCATTCTTGGTCCTACCTGATTGGTTCAAGTGTGGATACCTGACTGAAGCTGTACTAGTCCTGTTGTCTCTCTGCAGTGCTTTCAAGATTGGAAAATCATTCCGATTTTTAAAGAATTCATTGCAATGGATGTGGAATGAGACTCAAAGTCCCAACATTATTTCAGAAACCTGTTAATCTTGAAGAGCAGGTATATGTAGGTCATTAGAGATAACAGTCAAAAATGTCTCCTGCTGAAATTGGTGTGTCCCCCTCATACTGTGTTGCCACCTTACCTGACTCATCCTGCTCAATACTACTGTGGATTAGGTGCTCTATGCCTTTTAGTTTCTGTCTCTCCACATTCAACCTAATATACTTCTTCCTAGGAAGAAGTGTGTGCTACCACATTATATTATGGAGTAAGAAAGTAAACATTTTTTTCCAAGTAATACATGCTTATGTCTATGTATCTGTCTCCTTATAGTAAAATCTACAAAAAGAAGGCAACAGAAATAAAACATTGTTAATTTCAATGTAAGGAAAGATTTAAGACACAAATTGACTGCAAGCTGTTAGGGACTGATTGTACCTTTGCTCCTGTGGATACTGGGAATTTTAAGGCAGTTTTCATAAATGAGAGAATTCAAGCATTAGAAAGATTTTAGGGAAGGGTCTCTGAAAAAAAAGGATAGCATCTAAAGGTTGGCCTTCTCTATATTTGCATGGGGTTAGCCTTGAGCATTTTGGTTTACGCAATAACTTGGGTGGATCTTGTACTTTCATTCCTGAAGAGTGCAGTGAACTTTTTTTTCTGAGACAGCCTACAGTTGAGTGACATGTTTTAGATTACCAGAGCCCTCAAATTTCAATTTTAACTAGCTGGAATGAGCAGACATTTTATTTTTATTGTTTGGTATAGGAACTTTGAAGAGTAATGATTCTTCTTTGCCACCGGAGTAGTCTTTAGGAAAAACAAAATAGTTAAGGTAATTTCCATAAAGAATCCTGCTCATGGCAACAGCCCCCATTGATAATTAGTCCCATTCAGAGAGATGGGTATGGAATTCAACTAACATCTTATTTCTCTACAGGAAATGTTTAGGTATCCCCCATGTTCTTGACTGTCACTTGGGACTAAGACTATTTTAGAATGTAAGGGGAAGATAGAAGAGATTTCTTGGAAGCAAAGAAAACAGCCTATTAGGGTCAAAACAATTATATGAGGAGTCCCTGTGGGTTTTGCGCTAAGTAAGCATGGCCTTATAGAAAATACAGATTGAGGCAATCAGCTCCTTCCAATTTTATGCAAGCAGTAGCAATGGGAAGTATGCCAAGAGAGATGATTAAGGATTAAACAACAGCATGGGAACTTGCTCAGAAGCTCCAAAATGTTGTCGCCAGCACCTGATATTTCTACATCCCTAACTTCTGGATTGTGAAAGGTGGTGCCCTTCTCCCAAACTCCACCCCTTAGCCCACTTACAGCTCCAGGGAAAGTTGAGGAAGAGAAAGATTCTGTCTCTATCAAATCCTAATAGGGAGCAGAGCCAAGAGAGACAGGAAGAGGCATGCTCATTTCCAACCTTTTTTGGCAAGCTCAAGCGGGAGCAAAAGCCATTGCCAATTCTATTTTTTAATACAGATTTAAAAAGGGTTGTGTCTACACATGCAAAGGGGAGTGCACAGTGCACTGTGTTAATTTAAGCAGCACAACAATTTTTTTAATAAAAAGAAAGGCTGACTATTCAGATATTTGTTTTACATTTGGTAGATCCAAATTGGGGGAGGAGACCAAAGTGCAATAATTTCTCCTCTAGTTATGCGTGTGCTTTCCAGCCCTACATTTATCGCTCTTCCAGTTCCAGGCTGGGCCAGCCAGAGACCATCCCTGGGACTTTTCAGTTTGAAGTGAGGAGAGAGAAACTCTTTCCTTTTGGAGACAGAATTGAGTTGCTAGATGTAGTGGACCATGATGTGAGCGCACTTTGGTAGTCTGAGTTGGATAACTATTAGGAGAGAGCAAGAGGCCAGGTGCGGTGGCTCACACCTGTAATCCTAGCACTTTGGGAGGCTGAAGTGGGTGGATCACTTGAGATCAGGAGTTCGAGACTAGCCTGGTCAACATGGTGAAACCCCGTCTCTACTAAAAATACAAAATTTAGCTTGGCGTGGTGGCGGGCGCCTGTAATCCCAGCTCCTCAGGAGGGTGAGGCAGGAGAGTCACTTGAACCTGGGAATCGGAGGTTGCAGTGAGCTGAGATCATGCCACTGCACTCCAGCCTGGGCAACAGAGCAAGACTGTCTCAGAAAAAAAAAAAAAAGAGATTGAGAGAGAACAAGAATGATAGTGAAAGCTAGAGAATAAAAGAGTGATTCCAATTGTATAGTTTGATGAAATGAGAAGTGAAGGAAATGCGTGTAGTTTAAAGGCAAATACACATGCTTGGGCCTGAAAAGTTAACACAAATTGGAGTTGTTTGGTAAAATGGTAGTTGAGTAATTTGGAAAAAAAACCTCATGGTATGTATAGATGCCTTTCCTGGAAAGTCATAGGTTCAATGAATTAACAAATGTTTGTGGAGGACCCTCATAGGATTAGTCATGCTAGGCTATTTGCAGGGGATCCTAGATTGTTTGATGAGAGCAGGGACCATGGCTATTTTGTTTTGGTCTGCATAATCCCTTATGGGTAGATATTGTTATTACTTTTTTTTTTTTGAGACAGGGTTTTGCTCTGTTGTCCACAGTGGAATGCAATGGTGCAATCTCGGCTCACTGCAGCCTCTGCCTCCTGGGTTGAAGTGATTCTCCTGCCTCAGCCTCCCGAGTAGCTGGGGTCACAGACAAGCACCACCATGCCCAGCTAATTTTTGTAATTTTTAGAGATAGGGGGTTTTGCCATGGTGCCCAGGCTGGTCTTGAACTCCTGGGCTCAAGTGATCCTCTCACCTTGGCCTCCTAAAGTACTGGGATTACATGTGTGACCCACTGCAGTTGGCCTGTTATTAGCATTATGTAAAGACTCAGAGAGCTTAAAACTTGCCTAGGGTCATCAGCTAGTTAGTGTGACTGCAAAGCTTGCTGGTACTGCTATTACAATGCTATCTAGACAACAGGTATAAGACTGTTGTTCTCTGGGCTGATAGAAGAGAGAAAGGAGGACAAAGGAAGAATGGTTGATTTAGAACCTTTTTAGCAACATCTATCTATCTATCTATCTATCTATCTATCTATCTATCTATCTATCTATCAGTCATCTACCTACTTCCTTATCAGGGTAAATAGCTGTAACCATTTATTGAATGCTTGTATGTGCAAGACTCTATGGTATTTTATCTCATTATATCCTCACTTCAAAATAGATAATATTGCCCCATTTTATGGATGAGGAAACTGAGACTCAAAAGATCACACAGTGGATTAGTGTTAGACCCAAGATTTGACAGTGGGTTTGTCTGACTCCAAAGTCACCACTCTCAACTATTTTCTACACTGCTGCCCTGACAGAGGAGTTTCTAAAATAGTCTTGCTTCTCTCTTCTAGTCAGTGAATATTTCCCACAGTCTGTTTCCCCATCATATTTTAAAAGGCAGTTTTACATTCCCCATGAAAAATTTGTGCTCCAAAGATTATATATAAAGAAACATTCATTTATATAGTCAGTGTTACATTTAACAGCCTTTTTATATTCTAGTCTTTTAAATTGAAAAGTATCTCGGTCAAAAATTCAAACAGTCAAAATAGAGAAATCCAGCAACACAAATCTCCCTCCTGTCCAAGATACCGAGTGCTCTTCTCCAGAACCCACTGCTGCTAATCTGCTTCCTGAGATCCTATATGGATATATAAGTACAACTATGTTTTTTGGTACCTTATTTTTCTTCTAGCTTCAGGACTTGGGGATCTTTTACTTTAATACATATTGCTCTTCTTGGTTTAATAATAGCATAGCAGCCACTGCATGAATGCAGTATACCTTACTTACTGAGCCCCTAATTGATGGGCATTTTTGTTGTTTCTGGTATTATGTAATGAGCATCCGTATACCTATTCCTTTATATACTTGTTCCAGTTACGGTCAAGTTCTTGGAAGTGAAACTGTTGGTTAAAAGGGCATCTTTGTCTATTTTGAGAGTCCCACAATGCCCAGCCATACTCAGCTGAGTAATAAACACACAGCATATGCTAAGTAAGAGGCAGTGAAGTACTGTGGTTAGAGCACCAACTCTGCCATCAGCCTGTTCCAGCTCTGCAACACACAGTCGGTATGCCTTTGGGTGGGTTATTTAAACTTCCAGAACCACAGTTTGCCATCTATTAAACAGAATAATAATAATACTTTTTTGAACTAGCTATGTAGCAGGCACTCTTTTAAATGCTAGGCTCACACTATCTTATGATGTAGGTGCTATTAGCATCCCCCCTTACAGATGAGGAAACTAGGCACAGAGAGGTTACTTACTTTGTTCAAGGTCACACAGCTAACAAGTGGTAGAGCCAGGATTTACCATCTAGGAAGTATGGCTCTAGAGCCCACCTTTTAAATACTTTCTTGGAGGGGGAGTTGCATGGATTAAATGAGACAGGTAGGTAGGTAATAGATGGGGGGAGTTGGGGAGAAAGAGAGAGAGAAGGAGAAAACAAAGAGTAAGAGAACATGAATATGAATGTAGCATGGTGTGCGGACCTCAAATTATGGGATATGGCTACAACAGAGATAAAATCCCAATCCTTCTTCCTCCAGTGCACATCCTTTAAGGATGAACAAGCTGGTCTGATGGATTTCCTTAAGATTTCATTTCTATGAAAAGGAAGAGTAGAAACGGAGAAGCATGTGACTCTGGAGATCTGCTAAATCTTTTAGTCTGGAAGCCAACAGGACCATGGGAATATATATAATGCTGAGACAGGGAATCAAGTGGTACTGATTAAAAAAGCTTTAATGAGTATAAGCCATTAGTATTTTATCTGAGGAAGCCTAAACGTGGGGTGGACATGGGCAACTAGTTACGGAGTATGACCTTGGCTGTGAACAATGGATTGTCAGGCTAGACCACATGGAGAAATTCTTCCTGATAAAATGAAGTGTGATATTCTGGGAGAGTTAGGCAGGGTTCCTAAAGGGTGAGGCAGTGCTCTACATGCATGACCTCACTGAATCCTCACAACAGCTGTCTGAGGTTGATGGGATTATTGCTCCTGTTTAACCAATGAGGAAATGGAGGCAAAAAGGGGTGATATGACTTGCCCAAGCCTCTGTATTCTTATTCATCACATTTAGCCTGAAGAGGTGGTGGCCATTTCTCTCATAGAGAGCACAGTTAAAATGGCAGAGACATGAGTTTGTGTCTTGTGTCTGCCACTAGGTGGGTAACCTTGGGCAATACACCACATAGTTCCAAGCCTCTGTGTTCTTATCTGTCATATGGGGGTGGGATAGTATCTAACTTACAGGTGGAAGGTTAGATGAGGTAATTCATGTGAAATACAGCACAGTGGCTGGCACATGGTCAGCACTCAAGAAATATATTAAGATCTGGAAAATACAGATTTTCAAAAAATGGATGTCAAAAATCACAATGTTTAAAATTAGGCTTTTTTTTGTCTAGATTATAAATACTTTCTAGAGTAATGAGTATCAAAGTGTCTCTTACACAGGAAATAGAATACATACAGCATAGATCATATGTCCTTAGTTCCAGTGAAACCAAGACTATTGTTACGGATTGTTTTTTATTGGTAATTTGCTGGATTCCACATGGCTTTGGACATGCCCTCTGTGGGACTGAACTGTGTTGTTTATAGTGTAAGGATACAACTATAATTCATAAATTATTAATAAAAAGGAATAAATAGAAGAAAAATTTACAAAAATAATTACCCTAACACATAGAATAAATTTTTGCTTGGTTCTAACTATGAACTTTGTCCTAGTTTTTGTTTTTTTGAGATGGGGTCTCACTCTATTGCCCAGGCTGGAGTGCAGTGGTACAATCTCTGCTCATTGCAACCTCTGCCTCCTAGGTTCAAGTGATTCTCCTGCCTCAGCCTCCCAAGGAGCTGGGACTACAGGCATGCACCACTACGCCTGGCTAATTTTTGTATTTTTAGTAGAGACGGGGTTTCACTATGTTGGCCAGGCTGGTCTCGAACTCCTGACCTCAGCTGATCTGCCTGCCTCGGCCTCCCAAAGTGCTGGGATTACAGGTGTGAGCCACTGTGCCCAGCCCAAAATTTTTTAAAGAAGAGAAATAGTGCCTCATGAAATAATAATAATTACTATTTCTGAGCTCTAACTATGACTCAGGCACTGGGCAGTGTACTTGACACACATCAGTTTAGTTAGTCCTCTCAACAGTCCTATGAGGGCCATAGCATTATTTATCACCTTTTAACTAATAAGGAAAATGAAGTTCAGAGAGAGAAGTAACTTGCTGGACATATCAGATTACCTGTTATCTCCTTCTCTTCCAAACCATGGTAATAACAGATAAAAGTGTTATAAAGTCCCTGTGAATAACTGGACTAAACAGCCAAGAAAGTCCTATAATAGATTATTTAAAAATTATTCTACATATAGTTATTGCTTTTATTACATCACATGATGACAGGTGGCAAGTAGTTTCCCGGCATAATTCACATCACAGGATTTCTCAATTATGTGCTATAACAAAGCTTTACCAATTTCGTGTTGTGCTTCTTTTGAAATTGTGAAACAAGAATGAGAAAATAGAGTTGATGACTCCCTGAGCCCCTATCAAGCAAGTGTCCCTCTATTGCAAAGCTGGCCCAGGGCCATACTCCGCTCCAACAGCCTCCAGAAGTCTCCTTCCAGGAGGCCCATCTGCCAGCATCCAGGCCCACAGGACAGTGTTCATCCTCCTGCTTGCAGGCAGCGAGAGGGGATGAAAAAGCTGCTGTACTTAAGTGGTTAATAGAGAAAGCACTTGGGGAGAGATCAGCCTGCAACAAAGAACTTTAGTGCGAATCCCAAGTCAAAGTCAGCAAGTTTTCAGAGAAGCAGGCTTGGTTGGAGGCTTTAAGCATGAATTGCAGATCAGGATAGGCCTGCTGTAAATAGGAAACAGATGGGGGTGAAGCTGAGGCTCCCTGTGGAAGCTTCTTCACCCTGAGATGACAGGCTATGGAGTGGGTGGCAAGAGGCCATCTCCAGAGAGCCACAACAGTTACTCTGGCCTTAAATGGGCTTCAATTATGTACAATTATGCACAAAATTTCCAGTTTCCTCCCTTACATGTCCATGAGCACCCCAGGCTCTTCCTGCCTCAGAGCCCTTTGGCACGTTTCCTCTGTGAGGAAATTTCTTCCGTCAACTCCTTGTGTTTCAGGTCTCACCTCCTCCGAGCTCTTCCCTGCCATCTTATCTGAAGAAGGCCTTTCCTACTATCCTCCCTCCCTTCTGGTGCTCATCATAATTCTAAAAGACACAATTCCAAATGCCAGAACCCCGAATGTTGAAATCCCAAAAGATCCAAATTTCTAAAGTCTAAAATCCTGAAAATCACAATTCTGAAAGATTAAAATCCTGCAAGCCGAGTTCTGAGGAAGGCAGCTGTGCATTTTTGATCGTATACAGCATAGTTGCCTTTTGTTTGTTGCAATATGTTGGCAGAACGATAAAAGACAAGAAATCGTCTTTACTTGCAAATCAAGTATGGCTTAAGGAGATATCTGTGGGTGCCAAGTTGACAAAAGGTAGACTAGTGGACTTAGTTTTACTTGTCAACTTGGATGGATTAAGGGATATGTGGAAACCTGGTAAAGCATTATTTTGGATGTGTCTGTGAGGGTGTTTCCAGAGGTTAGTGTGTGAGTCTGAGTGGATTAAGTGGGGAAGATCTGCCCTCAGTGTTGGTGGGCACCATCTAATCAGTCAGGAACCCAGAGAGAACCAACACAGAAGGTGAGTTGGTCTCCTCTGAGAGCTGGCACACTTTTCCTCTCCTGCCTTAGACATCAGAACTGCAGGCTCAGCAGCTGTTAGTCTCTAGAATCTACACAGGGTCCTGAGGCTTTTGGCCTGGAACTGAGAGTTAGACCATCAGCTTCCCTCCTTGTCAATGTAAAAACATCAAAACTTCTTCAATCAATAAAGAGATGTCCTTTTTGTACATCTATCTAAATTTGTGAAAGAAAAAAATTCTTGAGATCTCAGCTCTTCAGGAGATTGCCTATTTGGTAGTGATCTGTTGTAATGTTTGACAAATCTTGTCAAAAGCCTTAAGGTGTCGGTCATGGTATTTCAGATGACCACAGTTAAAAGCTAGGTGCACACAATTACCAACCATAGTGATAGGCATTTATACATTTTGCTTTTTGACCTATTTATTTGTGAATATGGTTCATCTTCTCATAACTGTTATGCTCATGTGACTGTCATTAGTATACCTGAGTGTTTATGCTTGCAAAAATATGTTATTATTGCCTATTTTATTCTGTGAAGGGGACTATGAGTGTTTGATTGTGGGTTTATGTTTCTAAAATAAATCCCCTAATATAAATAGATGTCTTAAATTTTTTTAAATTATTTTTTCCAGAATTATGTTTTTAGAATTTTGATCTTTCGGGATTGTGATTTTGGGATTTTAGACTTAAAGATTTTGATCTTCTGGGATTTCAACATGTGAGATTTGGGCATTCGGGATTGTGTCTCTCTGGATTATGGCCCAAACTCCTTCCCTTCACCCTGTTTGTTCCCCTCATAGCATGTGGCATGAGCTTAATTCCAGGTTCTGTTATTTATTCATCTATTTATTGCCTGTTTCTGCCATTAGTCTACAAGGCCCAGAAAGGCACATGTGTCTGACTCTCAACATTGATCTCAGTGCCAAGCACAGAGCTGGGAACAGAGTAGGTGTTCAGCAAATGTTTGCCAAATAAATGAAGGAAGGAATGGAACTCTCAACCACCCCCTGGGCAACATATTTGGAAGAAGATTTTAATAAATCCATGGAATAAGGAAGTATTAAAGGCCTTTGGAAAGAGGTTAATTTGATTTTAAAAACATTCTCAGAGAAGAACCTTGGGAGAAAAAGAAACATAAATAAGCTGGTTCATGGTATTTCCTGGAAATGACTTAATGACATTGCCTATCTGACATCCAAAAGCTGTGGGAACATTGTCCCTTTTATATTCTGTCTCTTCCCAGTTGTATTTCTAACAGGATTACAATGATAAAAGTACAGAGAAAGTACCAGAAGAGTTATATTTTCAGCTATGCTAAGATTACATTTATGGACATTGAAGTGCTGTCATAGCAATGTTGACATTTTGGCTGTTTGACTACTCTTTAGTGTAAAGAAATGAGTATGAAATCTGTATATTTATTAACAGTTCTTGTAAAGATATAAGAGGATGTAAGTTATTGACCAGACTAAAGTTTATATTATAATAAACTTACTTAATAAATTTCACTTATTTAAGGTATTCCTATGCCCCACGACCATAGTTTAAGACTGGAAGTACTGAATCATAAACTCAGCTCCACAATCAGTTGAGCATAGATAGCAGTGGCTGTGGCTGTGAGCAGCTGAGACTGGGCCTGGGCCTGGTGGAGCCAGTTGCAAGTTGCTGTACTGACCTGCTGGTTGGGGAGCTGAATCCCAGCTTCAGGGATATTATTAGAATTATAGAGTTAATGTGAGCACAGACCAGGTCTACTCTTTGGGATATGGGCCAAGCATCAAGCTAGAGGAAGAACTACAGCAAATCACAGTGGCTGGGAAAGGAAGAAAATATCTTCCTTCATTCCTAGTATTTGAATATAGGTGAAGCCCACTTAGAATTCATTCATTCATTCACCCAAACCTAAACTTATATTCTTGTGAGCGTGTAGTAAGTTACTATGATGTACCAGACGTAGAATTGATGCTCAATATATAGGCAGTCCTTACTTTGCATGTGGTGCAGGACCACAAATATTACCATGCAAGCTGAAACTGCGCAAAGTAATCATCATCATAAATAGGAAAAATTATGACTGTTCCATGACCTTTAAAAACTGCCAGTGATAAATATATAGGGAAATGAAAAATGTAATAAAACTATTATTTACTTAGTGCATGATAATTGAAAACATTAGAAACACTGAGAATTAGTGTAAAACACTCATCCAAAGTAGTCTGAACAATGCCTGCTCGCCTTCTCTTATCATCATATATCTTACAACATGGAGCAAACATGTTTTCTATGTAGCAGTAAATTGTCATATTCCTTTCTAAGTATGGATCAGTTTCTAATATTTTCTCCTTTGTTCTTTGTATGTTGATGTGAAATATCTCTGAGAGTTCTTTCAAGGTGAAATGGTTGGCCGGCATCACTTTCTCTGGGACATCTTTATCCTTTTTGTCACAGCCACTTTGCTAAGTTTCTCTGACTGCATATCTAGAGTAGATGCAATGGTAAAGGATGTCAACATGCCATAATCAGTTACTTCTTCTATAACTTCACTTACATTTGATTCGAATTTGACTTCCAGGTTATCACTTTTCATTTTTTGGAGTACTTTCATCTTTTTCAGCTAATTTCCAGTTTTGATTATTCATGTTTGTAAACTGTCACATGGGTTTATTACTGGGAGACAAGGAAGCAACACAACCACTTGATTTGCTCTTTGTGTGTCAACTGAATAACAAATGCACAGTGGAAGAAGTGATGTGATCGGTTTGGAAGAAGTGATGTGATTGGTTACTGATCATGATGTGAATCTGTTAAGAAGTGATTTGTGGACCAAAGAGCAAGCAGCTCACAGTTTATAGTTCATATATCATGGTTACTGAAATTTGAACTGTGTTGTTGAAGGGCTGGTGCTATTTAACTAAATTGTGGTCATTGAAGTTCATGCATAGTGGAACTGTGTAAAGCAAAGTGTTTTACTCTGTTTTATGCTGCCATAACAGAATGCCACAGACAGAGTAATTCATAATGAAGAGACATTTACTTGGCTGATGGTTCTGGAGGGTGGGAAGTCCAAGAACATGGTCCCAGCATCTGACAAGGGCCTTTGTGCTACATTATCTTATGTAGAAGGCAGATGGGCAAGAGAGGGTGAGCACAAGAGAGCAAGAAGGAGCTCAACTTGTTTTTATAACAGACTCTCTCCCATGATAACTAACCTGCTCCAGTGATAATGATCATGACCTAATCACCTCCCATTAGGTCCCACTTGCCAGCACTGTCACATACGAGATTAAGTTTCCAACACATGAACTTTGGGGGACACATTCAATCCATAGCACAAGGACTGCTTGCACATAATAGGGATAATTTGAGAATGTCGTGGGGGTACATGATAGAGATTCCCACTAAGTCTGTGGGTCAGAGAATAAATTCTTAGAGAGATGACATATAAGTTGAGACTTGATAAATGAGTAGTAATTATCTTATTAAGGGGGAAGTGTAGGAAAGATTGTTCCAGGCAGAGGGAAGGGTATGTGTAGAGCCCCAAATGCAAGAAAGTGCATGGGACTTGGGGTGGTAGCCATGGTTGTTTCAGGCTGACTGTGGGTGACAATCCAATTCCATTATCTTGACTCCCTCCAGCCATGCAGGCTGCTGCTTTTAGTTACCAGGCAGCACTGACTGCTGTAGCTGGGGACCTCAAATGCTCTGTTTGGGACATTCACCTGAAGAAGGTGAAGTGCAGTCTACTGCCTCTTCTATACCAAGAGTCGCAGTTGGGGCAGCTGGGAAAATCACCAGGAAAATAAAACCAAATCAAACAAAATTAATTTAGAGGATAGTTTATATACATAAGATAGGGAATACTAACGATTCAGATGCAAACACTCTAAGTACAGAATGGTATAAGACAGGAAGAAAATCCCTTTCACGAGTCACAATTCAGAAGGTCAATTCAAACCTTTAAGTGATAAACCACATTTCTAGTCAAGCTGAATACAGAGTACAGTATTTTATTTGCTAAAATCTGAATGGTTACTACGAGCCACCCAGCTTAGGTAACATACCCAAAATAATCTCTATGAATTCCCACAACACTCTTATGGGATAGCCATTATTATCTCAATTGTATAAATGAGAAAACAGTGGTTAAGTCACTATAAGGTCACAGAGCTTGGATCCAAACCTAGTGCTTATTTTACAGCCTGTGCCTTTAGCAACTATACCACCAGTATATTTAATCATAACTAATAGAAACAAACACAAATATTGAGTGATTACTTTTATTTTTTATAAGATAAACAGACCAAGAGAAATGCTAGTTAAAAGCATTTATCTTTAGAGCAAGAATGCTCCATCCTTGTAGAAACATTGAGACAAAAAGAATGCATAAGAGCAGCAGTTTTAAGAAAAGTTTGGTGAAACTAAGTGAAATTCCAGGCATGAGCAATCAATTTAAGATTCTATTAGGAAAGCAAAACAATGAGATTATTTCAATTATTGAGTTAACAATGAGATTTCACCATCTACATTCTAGCCATGAGTAAGACATTTATTTGAATCAGATAAGGAGATATAATGTCATTTGAAGGAGGCCCAGTACATTTAATAACAGAGATAAATGAAACTGACAATGATCTCATACTTTATAAATCTAAACAAAGGACCAAGGTTAGACACAGGGATCCTAGTGGTTGATGAGTTAGTTAAAATGCCGCTTTTTACCCTATCTATTGGAGACCAGACAGGATTTTTGTTTTCTTCCTCTAAACAAGGAGGTTAAGAAAGAATTAATCCAATTGCATTTAAAACAAAGTGCAGGAGCAAGAAACAACCTTGAACCTTCCTTACTCAAATAGCAGCTCTGTTGGTAATTTAATCACTAACTGAGTTGTGTAACTTGCCTATGACAAATGGTAAAATACCTACAATGTGGAAATCTGCCAGAGTAATTCCTTCACAGGAATGGGAGGGAAAGGCTCAGCCAGCTCACACTCATACCCTGCCTCCCTATGCTCAGTGTCTGAAATTGCTTCTGTATTAGGAGAGAATATGGGAACTGTTCTGGATCTCAGGAGAATGTGAAGTCACTGAAATGTTTTTGAATACCCACTTCCCTTCACTCCCCTTCCCACCCTACTTGGTACTTGCTGGCATGTGGCACCATGTGAGCTACAGGCAGTGCATAATGAAGTCTAAATGTTAGCAAGGAATGGACAGGAGATCCTGTGGTGTGTGATCTGGCTTGTCCTTTCTGCCTTCCTTGCGCTAATGTTTAGTTTCAGACACGGAAATTTTGAATGGGATCAATCTGAACTGTTCCTTTCTTTGCTGATAAGTACAACTTTTCGTTCTCCAGTCTCAGCTTAAGCTTCATTGTCTCTTGGAGGCTTTCCTAAGTCACCTGAACTACATTAGGACTCCTTGGCACACACTTCCACAGCTCCCTATGCTTTCTAGTACTAAACACACTTCTTCCATCTTCTCCAGTGCATCAGAGGGTTCACTGCAACATTTCAACACCCAGTCACAATGTCTGGCATGTTGCTTGCCTTTAGTCAATGTTTGCAGAATGAATGGTTGCCTTTGTCATTTTCTTTTTAAAAAGGTATTGTAGACAAAGGCAGTGGTTCACGCCTGTAATCCCAGCGCTTTGGGAGGCTGAGGCAGGCAGATCACAAGGTCATCACAAGGTCAGGAGTTCAAGACCAGCCTGGCCAGCAGTGAAACCCCATCTCTACTAAAAATACAAAAATTAGCTGGGCATGGTGGCACACATCTGTAGTCCTAGCTACTCGGGACGCTGAGGCAAGAGAATTGGAACCCGGGAGGCGGAGGTTGCAATGAGCTGAAATTGCGCCACTGCACTCCAGCCTGGACCACAGAGTGAGACTCCATCTCAAAAAAAAAAAAAAAAAAAAAAGGTATTGTAAAATATTTAAGACAAACACAAATGTGTAAATAAAAATATTACAAACCCCCACATATTGACTACAGATTAAGAATGAAAACAATATTGATACAAGTTTAAGTCCCTACTTAGTCCTCTTTGATCACATTCTGCTCTCTAGAGGCAACTAGTGGTCTGAATTTGGTGACTACTATTTCCATGCATTTCTTAATACTTTCACTACACATATATGTAAACTTATTGTTTTGCATATTTCTATAGTTTGTACAAGCATTATACTATATGTATCCTTCTGATATTGACTTCTTTCAAACTGTGTGTGATTCATGATTCATTCATGCTGTTGTATTTAGCTAGAGGTTATTTGTTTTCACTGCTGTGTATTTCATTGTATAAATGCTTCATTATTAATCTGTTTTCTTGTTGATGGGTTATTTTCTAAATTTTTGCTATTGCAAAATATTATGAATGTCCTTGTACTTGCAACACTTTTCTTCTTTTAGGTCACATTGTGGTTTCCAATATACTAGACCTTTTCATTATTCACCTGTCAAAAGTGACCTGCACAGGATCTCTGAAAGCTGTAGGAGAGATAGGTGATAAGCAAACCTATGCTTGTATGAAAATGGGTATCATTGGATTTACAAGAAGCAGTGTGGAACAGTGACATGAACATTGATCTGGGAATTCAACAGACATGGATTCCAGTAACCACTCAACTTCTTAGCAGCCACGCTGCACTGGGAATACAATGCTTCAGTTTTCATACTGTATAACTTGAATAATAGTCTCCTATCTGCCTACCTCACAAGGTTGTAACTATGATCAAATGAAATAATATTGCTAAAAAGATTTTGAAACCTGATATATTATGCAACATTGGAACATCAACAACCAAAATGTATTACCCAAGTGTAATGTGGCAAAAGAGGTATAATAAAACAACCATACAAAAATATAAAATAATGTGTTATTGCCTTCTACATTTAAACTTGTTATTGTCTACAAGTTGTTATCCTTTATCTACATTAAATTGAGGTGTTCTAGAAATGATACTTTATTCCCAGAGGAAAGATTGGAAGAAAATCAGGCTTTTGAGAGAAATGGACTTTGGGTTTCTACTGCCTATAAAATCCTACTGAGAACATCATTGAAATGAATTGAATTGGTTCGAAAAATGGTACTTTTGCCAAGGTTCTGTCTTTAGGCTTAGGTGTACGTTGAAGTAGGAGAGTTGTAATGGTTAAAATGAGGATTTTAGAGTGCAAATGACCTGGGTGCAAATCTTGGCTCTATTTTCCTTCTCTTTAATGAGTATAATATGATAATTTAACAGGATTGTTGGGAAGATTAAATGAGCTAATGTAGGTAGAGCTGCATATTTGGCCCTTTGAATATGTGGCTCAAATCCAGGCTTAGCTGAGATTTCCCAACAGGTGAGGCAAGGTTGCTGGGGTTTTGTTCCTGTCATATGATCTCAGTTACCTCAGTTTAACTCCTTCTCACTTTAAAAAAAAGTGTTGGTACAGCCATTATGTCAGGACGTGCAGCTGTCGTATGTCTACTGATAATTTTGAATGAATGACTGAGCTAGCTATGTTCAGTGAACAAAGAATGCTGTCACTACTAAAAAGAGTTTCGGATGTGTCAAATGTTTTGCCCTGAAGTGCTGACTTCTGGTTTGGAAACTGAGAAAGAGTAGCCTGGTTAATCTGTTTGACTAACCAGCAAGGAACCAAAGAGAGGGTTTCAAAGTAGTTGAAGACTAATTTTAATCATGCAATCTTTTTCTCAAGCAAGAGCTAAGAACAGATAAGACTGAGGCCTAGTATCAGAACTCTGGGTTCCAAATAGCTATTCTTGAAGCATTTTTTTTTCTTTTGAGACAGTTTCGCTCCATCCATGTGCAATGGCACAATCTCAGCTCACTGCATCCTTTGCCTGCCAGGTTCAAGTGATTCTCCTGCCTTAGCATCCTAAGTAGCTGGGATTACAGGCAAGCGCCATGACACTTGGCTAATTTTTGTATTTTTAGTAGAGATTGGGTTTCACCATGTTGGTCAGGCTGGTCTTGAACTCCTGACCTCAGGTGATCCATTGCCTTGACCTCCCAAAGTGCTGGGATTACAGGTGTGAGCCATCGTGCACAGCCTTCCTGCATTTCTGGTACCCACATCTGCTTTACCAGAATCCTCTTGTGTTATTCTTATGGTCATAATGAGTCAAAGACCAGACTGACCTGGTGCATTTGCGCACGGATGTTTGATTTCTTGGGAACTGGCTTGCTTTGCAAGTACATATTTCTGTAAACACATTTACTATAAAGGTCTCTCCACATCTAGGAGGAGGTGAAAAAGAGTAGGAAGGAGGGACAGAACAATGTCCTCTCCATTCTAGTAATCCCGGGAGGCTTCCTGGAGGGATGTGGCTGGAAAGAATGGGTGGAGATGAGTAGATGCAATTTTGCTGTCATGAATTTCTTTTGTTGCTCTATAACCTCTACTTGTTCACTCAAGTAGGTTTATTAAGCTCCTCCTATCAAACAACATAGCATAGTGACTTGGGAACTAAATTCCTGGGTTTAAACCCCCAATTCTGCCATTTACAAGTTGCATAATCTTGGGCAAGTTTCTTTTAATCTCTCTGTACCTCAATTTCCTTATCTGTAAAATAGAAATAATAAGAATACCTGTCTCACAGGGCCACTGTGGAGATTAAGTAAATTAATTATCTGTATCTATATCTACATCTAGCTTTAAACAGTGGTGGGTCCATTGTAAGAGTTTAAAAAATTTTAGCTGTTATTATTACTTCCAGCTGTAATTGCTGCTAAAAGTAGTAGTCCTATAAAATTTTGGTAAGGACAGGGCTCTTCTGATAAGTTCATCAGTTCTTCAGGGTTAAGAAGATACTTAACAATTTTGAGGTTATTAATTTTCTTGGGTATGACAAATAGCTCCAACTTGGTAAACTGATGTCCAGAACTGGTTTGGGGGGTAAAGACTCCAAGCTATGTCTAATAGTAAAGAAAATAAATACCATTATGTACCTGCTAAATAAGCTGTTCTTTCCAAATGGAAAACATTGCAGTCATTTCAGTTTGCTACTGAGTTCAGCCAATGCCATTGGAGCAGCACAAATGGAACATAATATAAAAGTATACACACAATGTACTGTTCTAAATTCAAAGAGTGCATTTCTCTTACACAGCTATTCCCCGAAATTTTCAGAGAGATGATGCATAGAATGAGGTGGTTATTAAGCTGAAAATGAACAACAGTAAAACAGAGGAGGAATTGCAAGCACTGATAGAGTTGAAGGGAAACCATTAAATATTATAGATAACAGGAATGGAGGGGGATTGTAAGAAATCTCATTAGCCCTGTTACTTTTTGGGAAGACTAAGGCTACTATAGTTTGAAATTAATGGACAAAAATCTTTAAAGAAGCTAAAAAGAAAAAAAGATGTCCACAGATGGAAAACTTACTTGTTTGTGCAATAGCCTATTGTTTAGTAATGCTCCTAAGAAAGTGACTTTTGTGCAACCTAAATTCCTAACACTGCTAAGTCTGCCTAAATGATGCTGCTGCCACTGTAGGAAAAAAAAAATACATAACTAGTATTCTTGAGAAATGGTTGGTCCTGTTGTTACTGTTTTTGTTGTTCTACTTAGTTTAACAAAATATATTTCAAGCTTTCTGTTTATATACATTTTTGCAGAGGGGGCTTGTGCAAGGCTTAGAAGTACAGTAGAATGGAAATATTTTAATCTTCCTTAAATAATTCACAGGACACTACAGGGCCTTGGGGCTCATTAGAAAGATGATTATGACTGGGCAGGCAGATGTAGAAAGCTGAGAAGACCTGGCTTAATCTTTGTTCATACTATACATATCTTGGAAGTAATACTTTTTATGGGGTGTGGGGTGAAAAGGCAGTCAATGTCAGAGCCTTTTCTGAAGAGAGTGAAAACTGAAACAAAACAAAATAATGCAGTTCCAGAAAATTAGAAGATTGTGACACTAGTTCTAGTTCATATAATTTTTAATACTTTTATTGAGATATGTCACATACCATGAGATTACCCATTTAACATATACAATTCAATGGAAGGTTTTCATTATATTTATAGGGTGGTGCGACCATCACTACAGTCAATTTTAGAACATTTTCATCATCCCCAGAAGAAACCCTATACCCATTAGCAGCCACTCTGTATTCCTGTTACCCACTTCATGCTCCAACCTCAGGCAACCACTAATCTACTTTCTATCTCTATGGGTTTGCCTATTTAGTACAGTTCACATAAATGGAATCATACAAAATGTGATCTTTTGTGACTGGCGTTTTTCACTTAGGATGATATTTTCAAGTTTCACTGATATTGTAGGATGTGTCAGTACCTCATTTCCTTTATTGATAAGATTCCTTTATATAAATATCGCACATTTTGTTTATCTTTTCATCAGTTGATGACATTTAGGTGGTTTCTACTTTTTAGATCTTATGAATTATGCTGCTAGGAATATTCATGCATAAGTTTTGTGTGGGCAGATGTGTTTCTCTTAGGTCAATACCTAGCTGTGGAATTGCTGGGTCATATGGTAACTCTATGATTACCATTCTGAGCAACTGCCAAACTGTTCTCCAAAGTGGCTGCACCATATACTATTCCCACCAGCAATATATGAGGGTTCTAATCTCCACATCCTCGTCCAACATTTGCTATTATTTGGCTTTTTTATTATAGCTTCCCTAATGGGTATGAAGTGATACCTCATTGTTGTTTTCATTTTCATGTTCCCAACGACCAAGGATGTTGAGCGTCTTTTCATGCACTTATTGGCCATTTATGTATCTTCTGTGGAGAAATGTCTACTAAAATTCTTTGCCAAGTTTTGAATTGTGCTATTTTTAATTGTTGAGTTATAAAAGCTCTTTATGTATTCTAGATACAAGTTCTTTGTCAGATATACATGATTTGCAAGTATTTTTCCATTTTGAGGGTTTTAAAATATCAATTTCTTGTTAGTGCCCCTTGAGGCATAACCATTTTCAACTTTGATGATGTTCAATTTGTTTCTTTATTTTTAAATTGTTGTGCTTTTGGTGCCATATGTAAGAAACCATTGCTTAAGCCAATGTTACAAAGATATACACCTATGTTTTCTTGTAAGAGTTTCAGAGTTTTAGGTCTTAAGTTTAGGTCTATGATATATTTTTGAGTTAATTTTGTGTATGCTGTAAGAAAGGGTCAACTTCACTGTTTTGCATGTAGATATCCAGTTTTTCTAGCATCATTTGTCGAAAAGACTATCTTACTCCGTTAGCTCATATAATTTAAAAAGCCATAGGGAAATATTTAAAAATTCAGCTATTAAACACATATCTGTGTGATACCAAACATTGATTTTGTGGATTTTTCTTCCTTACCAATACATTGTTTGACTTTGGACCAAACAGCTTTCATGTATTTGTCCATGTGTTTCATTAATTTATCAGTGGTATGTTGAATGCCTATTAGGCAACACTGGGCACACAGTGAAAAATTCGATAGTGGGTGCATTGAACCTGAGGCCAGTTCCTTCCTCCATAGAGAAGGGATGGGAACAGTAGATGATTCTTGCATCTTCTGTCTCTCTTCCTCTCCAATACTCCAGTCTTAATATGCAAGGGCCGTCAACATGCTATTTTCCCCTATCTTCAATGCTTTTCTTATTTGTTCTCTCCTGATGAACTCCTACTCACTTCAGTTCTCAACTAACCTTTCACTTTCTCAGGGAAGATTTCTTGTTCCCCCAGGTCAGTTCCTCCTTGACTTCAGCTGTGTAGGACTTACATGATGGTAATGAATGAATTAATTGGTAATTGTTGGCTTGATGTCTATCTCCACTGTTGGTGCGATGGCTTCTCCAGGATGGGTACTTTGTCTATCTTTCCCTGCTCCCTATTGCATATTGCTTGAGAGAGTAGGCGCCAGAGTCAACAGGCTGATCTGGTGAGACTCCTAGCTGTACTTAGCCACTCTGAATCTCTGTTTCCTCATCTATAAAATGGGGATAATAATGGTACCTCCCTCACAGGGCTCTGTAAGTATTGAAGAATAATAGTATGTGAAGTGCCCAGGATGGTGTTTGGCACATGGAAGCTGGTTAAAATCTATCAAATGAGTGAATGGTGCAATTTGCCATGTCCAATGGATGCATGTGGCCAATGTACACTTCCCATGGAGGCTGGAGGAGAAGGTTGAATGACTGAATGGGCACAATGAATCCCTAATAACATACTGGAATCTCAGGCAACCCCCCAGCATCCTGGATGGAGGTCAAACATCCTGAGAAGGGGGAGATGATGTCTTTCTGAGCCATTGTCTCCAAAACCACTAAAAACAATTATTAGCCAAACTACTTTTCCACAGAATACCAAGTAACAAGTTTGGCTGATTTAAAGAACAGATTTTTTGTGCCAACATTACTATAGCTTAGTGTTTAACATAGTGCTTAAGAGAAAAGACTTGAGTCCAACTGTGTGGCTTCTCTACTTACCATTTAGGGAAGTCACATCACCTCTTTGTGCCTCAGTTATGTCTGTAAGATGAGAATATTAATCATACCTTCATTGCAGAGTTGTTGAGAAAATTCAGTGGGACAATGCACAAATAGCACATAGCCTAGTGCCTGGCATAATTCCACTGGCTCAAAGAGCATGAGTTACTTTCAGTTGTTAGTGTTGGAGAGGCTCTGATTTCTGGCTATGAGAGATCTAAAACCCAAAGTATTAGTTTCATTAAACTCTTGACAATCTTCCAAGGAGAATGAGAAACAGAGGGCTTATAAAACACCCATTCTTGCTATTTTATTGTAAGCTACAGTTAATCAGGTTGCCAAATTTTCCATTCAACCCCAAGAAGTCATAATTGGGAAAACACACACACACACACACACACACACACAGTGTGTGTGTGTTTGTAACAATTTGGGGATGGTTGAAATTCAGCCAATTTATTTTTGTCTGGGTTCATAGAACATGAAACAAGTCAATCTCTTGAGTATTTCAGTTTCAAATTAAGGTAAAAAGACAGTTTCTATTCATCTTTTGTTTTAGGCCTTCCACAGTCATTCTATCATTTATCCCAGAAGAAAGCTGAGCTTGGGATCTCTGCCCTTTTCTTTCCTTCTTCCCTTCCTTTCCCCATCTCTCTCTCTCCCTCCCTTCCTTGCCATTCCCTTCCTTCCTTCCTTTCTTCTCTCCCTTGTCCTGTAAAGTGACAGCCTTACATCTCTGTGTTAAATGGGAAAAATTAAAATATTTACTTCATGTAGTAGGCACTGATTACATGTTAGTTATGATTCTTATTACTATTTAGAAAAGGCCCATTCTCTATTATTCCTTTTCTCTTGGTTCTTCTGAGTTTGTCTCTTCAAACTCAAAGTCTTGGGAAAAATTTGCCTATATTTCTTTCCCTAGATCTTTCATTTGAGCCTGGCTAGCAGCTGTCAGTAATGGGAGAGCATCAGAGTTGCTAATAAATGGTTTGTGTATGAGACTCCTTAGGAACCAGGCATCAGGCCAGCTTCTTAGATGAGGATTGATTCCTCGCTGGGATGTGCTCATGGCATTGGTTAGTGTGTGCATAGGTCCTGGCTGCTGCTGTCATGTTAGACCTGTCCCAAGGGTGCTGGGGCAATGACCTTTACTGTGCAGTGGGCGGGGAGAGACAGGCTCAGACACAAGAAACCGTTTCCATAGGGACCAGTCAATACCCTCACGGTCAGTTGTGAGTGCCTGCAGCCTTGCACACCATATTAAGTAGCATCGCATGGATCTCTGAGGTTCAATGTTCTAAATCAATGCATAGATTGTCAGTTGGCCAGCCTATTGGAAGGATTTCTTGCAGTCCATTTCTCTGGCTCTGGGGACTGAGGCAATATGAAAAGTAGGAAAGATGCTGGCATTCTTGCCTGATTCTTCCCTGAGGCCTAGCAGGGAGGGCCATGGCTCTTGCACTTTAGAGGGCAAATGACTCACTTTGTTAAATGCAGATTTCCCCTAGAGACCCAGATAGATTCAGTTAAGGGTAGAGACCAGGAAATGGCATTTTTAGAAGCACCTGGGGCTTAGAACTTAGTTGTAATCATTTTCTTATTTGTGGTCTGTTTCCCTTCCCTCTACCAGTGTGGAGGCTGATGAAGGCAGGACCTCGTCTATGCTGTTTACTGCTGTAGCCTTGTGGCCTCACCTTGGAGGACAGGAATGAAATGTAGCATCTGTCAAACTTCATTATGCACACTTTTGTGCATAATTATCATAAATGCAAATTCTCATTCATCCTGTCTGGAGTAGGGTCCAAAAGTCTACATTTCTAACTATCTCCTCCTGGGAAATGCTGCGGGAGGTTGCCCCTCTGAGTAGCAAGGGTGGAGTCTTTAAGAATACGACTTTGGAATCAGACTACCTGAATTTGAATCCTGATTCCTCCCCTTTCTAGTGGGGAGACCCTGAGCAGGCCCCTGCCCCTTAAAGTGGGGCTAGTACCTCCGTCACAAGGTTCTTTCGGGGTTTTCATAATATACTGGAAGCAGTTAGGCCAGTATATTGGGAGTGATCAATAAATGTTAACTCTTATTATAATTATTATGAATACCACCAAGAAGTTTGTTCTCAGATCACAACTTAAGAGACACTGGTGTTGTGGGTAATGCACAGAGTTCAGTGACAGACTGCCTGGGCTTACTTCCTGGCTCTATCACTTACTAGTTATATGGTCGTGGGCAAGTTTTTTAACCACTGCTGCAAATGGGAATAAGAGCAGCACCTATTTCCTATGTTTCTGGGAATGCTGGAGAAGGTAATGCATCCAAAGTTCTCATCTAGTATCTGGTGTCTTGGAGCCTCATTTATGTTACTATTATTATTGGTCAGCTGTAGCTATCTTTATGGAAAGTTTGGTATGAGATTGTAAATTACTGGGACCTCTGCTCTGATTAATCCAAACTAATAGTCAGTTCCATTACATATCCTCAACTAGCCATAAGTCATCAACATAGCCACCACTCTTCAGCTATTTCTTAAGAATAATCACAACTTCATTTATTAGCTGTGTGCCTTTATAGAGTTATTTAACATTGGTGTACTTCACTTTCCTTATTGATAAGTAGGGGAAAATAATAGATTATATAAAGCATATAATAATAATCACATACTAGCATTATAATCACATTTTAATAATTAACATTACTTATGTGGCGGAAAATGTCTTTGTTTTGCCTTCATTGACATTTATTTTATTAAAAAAATTTTTTTTAACTTTTAATTTAGGTTCGGGGTACATGTGTGCGTTTGTTACAGAGGTAAATATGTGTCATGGGGGTTTATTGTATAGATAATTTCATTACCCAGTTACTAAGCCTAGTACCCAATAGTTATTTTTTCTGATCCTCTCCCTCCTCCCACCCTCCACCCTCAAGTAGGCCCCAGTATCTGTTGTTCCCTTCATTGTGTCCATGTGTTTTCCTTATTTAGCTCCCACTTATAAGTGAGAACATGCAGTATTTGGTTTTCTGGTCCTGTTTTAGTGTACTAAGGATAATGGCTTCCAGCTCATCCATGTTCCTGCAGAAGACATGATTTCATTCTTTTTTTATGGCTGCATAGTATTCCATGATGGATAGGTACCACATTTTCTTTAGCCAGTCTGTCATTGATGGGCATTTAGGTTGATTCCATATCTTTACTATTGTGAATAGTGCTGCAGTGAACATTCACATGCATGTATCTTTATGGTAGAATGATTTATGTTCCTCTGGGTATATACCCAGTGATGGGATTGCTGGGTTGAATGGTAGTTCCGTTTACAGCTCCTTGAGGAATTGCCACACTGCTTTCCACAATGGCTGGATTAATTTACACTCCCACCAAGAGTGTATAAATGTTCCCTTTCTTCACAACCTTGCCAGCATCTGTTATTTTTTGACTTTTTAATAATAGCCATTCTGACTGGTAGGAGATGGTATCTCATTGTGGTTTTGATTTGCATTTCTCTAATGATAAGTGATTGAGCTTTTTTTCACGTGCTTGTTGTCTGCATGTATACTTTCTTTTGAAAAGTGTCTGTTCATGTCCTTTGCCTACTTTTAAATGGGATTTTTTTTTCTTGTAAATTTGTTTAAGTTTCTTATAGATGCTGGAATCAGACCTTTGTTAGATGCATAGTTTGAAAATATTTTTTCCCATCTGTATGTTTTCTGTTTACTCTGTTGATGGTTTCTTTTGCTGTGCAGAGCTCTTTAGTTTAATTTGATCTCATTCATCAATTTTTGCTTTTGTTATGATTGCTTTTGGCATCTTCATCATGAAATCTTTGCTGGTTCCTATGTCCAGGATGATATTGCCTAGATTGTCTTCCAGGGTTTTTATAGTTTTGAGTTTTACATTTAAGTCTTTAATCTGTCTTGAGTTTATTTTTGTATATGGTATAAGAAAGGGGTTCAGTTTTATTCTTCTGCACGTGGCTAGCCAGTTATCCCTGCACCATTTATTGAATAGGGAGTCCTTTCCCCTTGTTTGTTTTTGTCAGGTTTGTCGAAGATCCGATGGTTGTACATGTGTGGTCTTATTTCTGGTCTCTCTGTTCTGTTCCAGTGGTCTATGTATCTGTTTTTGTACCAGTAGCATGCTGTTTTGGTTACTGTAGCCCTGTAGTGTAGTTTGAAGTCAGGTAGTGTGATGCCTCCAGCTTTGTTCTTTTTGCTTAGGATTGCTTTGGCCACCCAGGCTCTTTTTGGTTCCATATGAATTTTTAAAAAGTTTTTTCTAGTTCTGTGAAGAATGTCATCGGTAGTTTGATAGGAATAGCTCTGAATCTGTAAGTTGCTTAGGGCAGTAAGGCCATTTTAATGATATTGATTCTTTCTATTCAGGAGCGTGGAGTTTTTCCATTTGTTTGTGTCATCTGTGATTTCTTTGAGCAGTGTTTTGTAATTCTCATTGTAGAGATCTTTCACCCTGGTTAGCTGTATTTCTAGGTATTTTGTTCTTTTTGTGGCAATTGTGAAAGGGATCACATTCCTGATTTGGCTCTTGGCTTGGCTGTTGTTGGTGTATAGGAATGCTACTGATTTTTGTACATTGATTTTGTAAACTGAAACTTTTCTGAAGTTGCTTATCAGCTGAAGGAGCTTTTGGGCCAAGACTATGGGGTTTTCTAGATATAGAATGTCATCTGCAAACATGAATAGTTTGATTTCTTCTAAATAAATTTAAAACACTTATTTACAAATTTTAAATTTATATTTGTTATAAATTTAAGATTAAAATATAAACTGTATTTTAAAAAATGTTAAATACATTTTGAATTTGAAATTTATTTAAAAAATTTAAAATAATTATAAAATATGTATAACATTTACCGTCTTACCTATTTTAAGTGTGCAGTTCAATAGTATCAATTATATTCATGTTTTTCTTCAACCACCACTATCATTCCTCTCCAGAGCTCTTTTCATCTTGCAAAATGCAAACTCTGACCTCATTAAACAGTAAATCCCCATTAATTTCTTCTAATTCCTTGTAAATGCCATTTTGTTTTCTGTTTCTATAAATTTGACTACTCTAGGTACCTCATACAAATAGAATTATGTAGTATTTGTTCTTCTATAACTGGCTTATTTCTCTTAGAATAATATCTTCAGGGTTCATCCATATTATAGTATGTGTCAGAATTTTTTTCCTTTTTGAGGCTGAATAATTTTCCATTGTATGTATATACCATGTTATTTATAGTTTCAAAAATTTTTATTATCATTTTTGTGTTCATCCATTATCTATCAACAGGGACTTGGATTGCTTCCATCTTTTAGTTATTGTGAATAATGCTTCAGTGAACACGGATGTATAAGTATCTCTTCAAGGTCATAGACATTCTGTCAGTTCTCATGACTTCTCACTGTAGTCAGAGATGTCTCTCCTTACATTATCATACCTTACCTTGAGGAGAAAGCCAAGAAACAAACAAGTAGGAACTTCCTTCATTCATTTATTTAGGTTTTATGTATGCTTTTATTTGTAGCGTTTCTTTGATTACCTGCTATGTGCAAGGTACTGTGCTAGGTGCTGTAGGGCTTAGTGGCAAATATTCTAGTTAGCTATTTGTGTGTAGAAAAGTTATATATACATAGCGACTTTTCTTCTTTCCCAAGTCACCACATAGAAGCTCAGAGTTTAGGTTAAAAAAAGTTCTGTTCACTGTTGTTTGGATAGAATTCCAGCTTCAGGCATACTCAGAAACTTGGTCTAAGTCAAAAATGGAATAGTCATCTCACATGAGGCAGCTTTTCTACCCAAGGGATTTCAAAATAGTCTCAAGACTTTGCAAGAACTGGGAATCTGTAGAGGTAAGACCTGTGTAGAAATTGTATAGAAGTACAAACATGTGGTTATACCTTCTATTGCTCAGAAACATATTTGGAAAAGTTTTTTTATTGCCTTTTTTTGTATATGGACAGGTTATTTCACACTAACTTTAGGGAAACCATAAATGTAAAGCTCTATACAAAAGCCCTTTCCTACCCCCTGTGTCTTAAAAGGTGAGCTGCCATGGTGGCTGGCGGTGCAGTGGGATGTGTCTTTGGGGAGGTACAGTGGTTAAGGGTGTGAGCTCTCAAGCCAGGCTGTCTGGCTAGAAATCCTAGCACACTTATGAGATGTCAGACCTTGGACTCAGAACATCATATCTTAATCCTAACTTCTCTGATGATTCTCAGCTTCCCCACAGTAAAATGAGGTGAACAACAGTTCCCAGCTCGTAGGATTGTTGTGCAGATTTCATGAGCTAATACTCCTAGTGGGCCCGCTTGTCACAGGGCCTGGCACAGAGAAAGTAAAAATTATTGTTGACAATCCATCCTAAAATGAACATGCTCCATGTTCCCTGCTGCAGCTGCACAGACCATCTTTTAATCCCTCAAATATGCTGCACTCTCAGTCTTCTATTGGCCCTTTGCCCATGCTCTTTCCTCTGCCTGGACCTTCTTTTCTACTCTGGCCCCCTCTGCCTTTCTAATCTCGTTCATTTTTCATGTCCCATCACAGATATTTTCTCTAAGAAGCCTCTTTAGCCCCAAGACTGGTTCCATGTCTTTTTCGTGTGCTCCATAAATACCCTGCCCAGACCTCCGTCATGGTAACCCACCACCTTGTGTTCTCATCCCCTCACTGAGCTATGAGTTCCATGAAGCCAGGGCCTGTCTATCTTGGTCTCTGTAGCATCTCAAGCAAAAGAAATTAATGAAACATAGACCTGTGTGTGGTATGAGCTTCCACTGGAAGGACCTCTACTTTGGAGAGCCAATCCCAGGCACTGTGGAGACCCCCGAGTATGGTGCTCCGTGTGACCCTTTCTCATAGACTATCTTGGAAAAGGTCCTAGTCAGTTCCCAAGTGGAATGTCTGTTCCTCCAAGCAACATTTTGTTGGCTGCCAAAGGGCAGACACGTTCTTTAGCTTTGCAGAGCTCCGATTCAGGTTTCAGATACAGCCATAAAGATTTTCCAAGGATGTTCTTGCCTGGGACCACTGGCCAAGGCTCTCTCCACAGCACACTAGATTTACTTGCCTCTTTCTTCCTCAGACCACTGTCTCAACCCTCATTAGCATTTCTCTATCCTGGTTCTTACAATGGCATATTTGTCTCCGTTTCATTCCAAATGAATTGCAATTAGCTACTGGGCTTGCCGGTTGGCTAATTTCTCAGAAAGGCTATGTTCTTGGTGATGAGACACTTTTGTGCTATTTCTATTCAACCCATCAACCTTCCTGTCAAATTAATTCCTCTCAGATTAATGTAAGAACCACTGCTATCATAGTAAACATTTATTAAGTGCTTTTCTGTGCCAGATGCTGTGTGAGTGCTTTACATGGGTTATCTTATTTAATTTTTATAACACCCTGTAAATTATTAGCATCCCCCTTTGCAGCTAAGGAAATTGAAGCAGGGAGAGATTAAGTCATTTGTTCAAGGTACACAGAAAGAAATTGACAAAACAGGAACTCAAACTCAGGTCTGCATAACTTCAAAGGCTGTGCTCTTAACCATGAGGCTCCATCACTGCCCTATAATTTTCAGTTATTATAATGTCCCCATTTGAAAGTACCAGGTACACTCAAAAATATACACTTTGTACCCAAAGTGACTTAGCTATCATGATCTTACTAAACCCATGCTTTTTGTGTTACATTCTAGCTTCCATTTTATCTTTTGTTTGAAGGGTAAATGGGATGGAAATATTTCATTTTCTCCTCTTCTTTCTTTTGGAATCAGGCATTGTTTTATTTGTTTTGGATTTAAGATTGAAGGTTATGAGATTGTCAATGGATAGATAGCTGGGCTAGTGTCCTGCCAGCAAGATTCATTTGATGATTTTGTGTTAATGGGAGCCACGTTTCTTCTCTTTGAGGACTGGCAGGCTTCACCCATCTGCAAAAAACGATCTTAGTTACGAGAGGTATTGAAGCGGTCATATGGACAGCTCTGCAGGCAAATCCACTCTTGTTATTTAACAAAATACTCTAAGATGTTCTCTAAACTGCCTCCATTGTTTGTGTGTGTGTGTGTGTGTGTGTGTGTGTGTGAGCACGCACGTGCAAGCATGCTGTGTTTGAAGATTAAGAATAGAGGGAGAAGAGAGGTTGGAAATCAGTAACTCCCAGTTTTGCTTTCAAAGTAAGTCCTTGTGATTCACCAAATTTGGAAAATGAAGTTTGATAAATATAGCAACTTGTTCATTCTTTTTCAAATTGCTTTTATATAAAAACTCCGGTAGAGGAAGAACTTAATACTTCTCAGGAGGAAATAATTGTTTCAATCTCATCTTAATTCATTTATCAAATACTTATTGAGTGTCTAATATTTGTCAGACATGCTGAGCACTTGGGGTGTGGAGGTGAATAAGAAGTCAAAATCCTTGCCCTCACTAAATTGAGAGAATGAATACAAATACTTAGATAGTGAACAAAATTAACTTGGCATTGGAACATGAGAAAGGAAGAACTGTCTCACAGGTATTGTTAACACATGGTTGGATGAGACTCTTGGCTGGAATATAAAATGGAAGAAACAATCTTCTCTTGCCTTTGATAATAATCTGTTATTAGGAAAGCATTTTCCACATTTTTGACCTAGCCTGCTGTTGATAGCCACCACAGTTAATATTCTATTGCCTCTTCTTTTCTCTAAGTAGCTTGATAAATTCTTGATTTACTGTGGTTTTATTGGTCAGAATATGGAAGAAACCACATGAGATTACTATTGTTTCTCCTATGAACAACAGACCACTGATTGGTGATGAGGAAAGGATGGGAATCTTGCAGAAAGTGACACTCCATTAAAGCTAGGGGATTCTGGGCATTTACATGTGTGTCCCAGGTTTTGGGAAGCTAGCTTTCAAATGACTGAGGCAGGTTTGTTATGGGCAGAAATTGTAAAACAGATCTAACTCAAGAGAAATTTAGGCACCAAAGAAGGTGATTCTGACTGCCCGCTTGTGGATAATTCTAATGAACAGAAAAGAGAATGTCTAAAGCAGGCAAGGTGAATAGATTTAATCCCAAATGCCAACTCAGACTGAATGGTAGCAGAAGCTGCAGCACTAGTTGAGAAATATTCTGAGCCTAATCTAGAATGCCACTGATAACAGATTAAACCTCAAATACACAGACGTTAGCCCCAAATCCCACAGTATAACTCCCTGAGGGTATGATTGAATTAGGATCCAAAATAATGTTAATATGCTAAACAGTGAATCAAAACCAACAAGAAAGCTAGTGAGAATAACTATATGTATATATATGTATATTTTTTTATTTAAATTCAAAATTCAGTGGTGGGTTACATTTTGGGATTGAGGAAACTTGATAGTGGTTCAGGAAGAAAGATTTGACCCTAAGTTCCACATAAATCATAGAATTATGGGCTCCAAAATATCCTAGAACCATAGTGGGCTTTCTAGGGTTGTACAAGGTAGCTCAACATTAGCCACTCCTCTGTAACTGAATTTTAAAGTGTCCCCTCCTCCTAGCCTGCCGCTTTGCTTGTAGACTGGAGTGTCTGCATAAGCCCTAGATTTCAGGAGTTGGACTTTTCTGTCTCTGAGACTAGGAAGGAGCATGCTCATATAGAAACAAAGGGGGAAGTTCCCTAGAAAAGACCAGTAACTCTTTATTTTTGAAAGAGGCCAGATTTGGAATCAGTAAAAAATAAAAATGCATCAAATGATTTTGCAAATGCATGGGTTTTTGAAAAGCTGGAAATGTGTTTTGCCCCACATGCTCTATCCTTAAACACACCCACATGCACTTCAGGAAGAATTTCATCCATATGGTACATTCATTGCAAGTTAACTCATCAAGATCACTATTGTGTCAGAACCATTTGATTTCCAAGTTGCCATTTAAGTTGTTCCAAAAAAGCTCCTGAAAGCTTATTTTCTTGAGCTAGGATATGGAGTTTGGTAAAAGAAATCAAGAGAATGTGGATTTTTCAGTTTGATCTTAACACGGAGGGAACTCAATAATTTTAAGCTTGTTAGAATTCGTTCTTCTTAAAACCAGGTTGACCTTTGCCACTCCCTTTTAAGGATAATGATAATGATGGCGATGATTGATGATGATGGTGATGATGATGATAATGATTGTGGTTATTTGACTCATTGGATTTAAGTTATTTTTCTGATTGTTCTTTGAGCAAACTTTTTCCTAATAATTATGACTGCAAAAATACAGCAGTTGTAAAAACTAGAAAGGAAAGTTAGAAAATAGCCAGAGTAGTTAGGCTACAAGCATTGGCATAGATTAAGGACATTAAGTTTGCAGGCAGAAAACAGTCTGGGAATAGACTTTCTAAGTAGAAAGCATTTAATTAGCTCTCACTTAGTTTTTCTTCATGTAGGAAGGCAAATTCCAGGGTTAGGAAGCCAACAGCTGGTTTGGTAACCAGCATCCAGTCACCATCTGTTTGCCGTCCAACTAACAAGAGAGGATGAGGACCTGGCCTAACTTAACATAGTGAGTGCAAGTTGGAATACAGGTTTCCAATCTCTGTGTAGTGGGCATTTGCTTTTTTTTTTTCACTAGTTTTCATAGTCTTCTTCTTTAATTGCCTTTCCACTAAAGACAGGGAGAAAGACTACAGCAATATTCTCTGGCATCCTACATAAGTAAGTAAAATTAACCCACCTGTAGATTTAAACTCACAATTTCGGTCTTATGAAGACATGGTCTCATGATTGGTCCTAGTTCTGTTTTCAGGTGAATGCCCCAGGTGTTGTTTGACTCAATGGGTGATGACTATTGATTGAGGGGGTAAACAATTCTACTTTATAGTCTTTGGTATATTTACCTTTTTTCAGTTGATATTTGAGGAGAGGGGCATGAAAAATTTTAGCTAAATTGAGATTCATAATAAGAGAGATAGTATAGGTACCACGTGTGGGTGATTGCAAATAATCTCAACTCAGGTATTTTAGTGGGTGCAATGAAGGGCCATGGATAATATTTAAGCAGAGAAGAGAAGAGAAGTGGATTTAGCATCTCTCATTTTAATACTGGCAGCCTCTGGAAAGCATTATTTGTTATGCACTGTATTATTATTCCAGAGAAATAGTTAGCGTCAAACAGGTCTTCCTTCATCTCCTTTGCCTTTTCTAGCCAAATAACTTTGAACATTTTTTGGTGACTAGAAATCATCAGTGTAGGCTGTAAGTTATAACAGGTACAGATAAGTTGCACATTCATGGGTGCTAGGTGTTTATTTTCTCAAGGAGGTCATAAAAAACGCACATTTACCCAAGCAACCCTTTATAATATTCTAGTTCTGGGCTCCTTTCGAGATTCCAATACTTTCTCTAAGGCCAATAGAACTGTTAAATTGGTGCCAATATTTTATAAAATAGCAAGGATGGTGTTGATTTTGAAAACAAAAATGGAAATGGTGCTTGTCCAAGGAAGGAAACAAGACAAATTTAGATGTGCGAAAACTCACTGTCTCAGGAAGAAACTTCCCAGGTAGCTGGCTGACCAGATTTGCTGCATGAACAGTTTCTAAGAGCTTTCAGTTCAGACTCTTAAAAAAGCCTGAGTGGCCGGGCACGGTGTCTCATGCCTGTAATCCCAGCACTTTGGGAGGCTGAGGCGGGCGGATCACCTGAGGTTGGGAGTTTGAGACCAGCCTAGCCAAGATGGTGAAACCCTGTCTCTACTAAAAATACAAAAATTAGCCAGGCTGCGGTGGCATGTGCCTATAATCCCAGTTACTCTGGAGGCTGAGGGAGGAGAATTGCTTGAACCTGGGAGGCAGAGTTTGCAGTGAGCCAAGAATGTGCCGTTGCACTCCAGTCTGGGCGACAGGGAGACCCTGAATCAAAAACAAAACAAAACAAAACAAAACAAAACAGAACAAAAAAAAACAAGGCCTGAGTTCCAGTTACAAACTGTGGGTTCTCTCATTCTTCATTGTTATGGTTCTGATTCCAGCCCTTTTGGGGCAAAGAGTGGTAAGTAAATAGAGGAAAGGTGAAGGTTTTGGGTCAAACATTCTATCCAAACATAATAACCATATATTAAAGAACTGTTTTTTCCCCATATTATCTAATTCATTCTCTGACCAACAAGGAAATATTCTATGAATAAAAAAAAAAGATTATACTGTTTTAAGGAAATTAGAAATTGTATCACCATGGTAGAATTTAGTTTTATACGTGATTAAAAATTATCACTTCTTTGGCAAGCTCTTTTTTTTCTTTTAAATGTTCTAAGGGTTTGCCTTATTTTGCTTCAACTTATTTTATTTTTTCCTATCTCTGTTATTTCTAAATCCAATTTAAAAATCTCATCATATATTGAGAACACATGAACACACAGAGGGCAACAACACACACTGGGGCCTACTGGAGGGTAGAAGGTGGGAGGAGGGAGAGGATCAGGAAAAATAACTAATGGGCACTAGGCTTAATACCTGGGTGATGAAATAACCTGTACAACAACCCCCCACGACACATGTTTACCTATGTAACAAACCTACACATCTTGCACATGTGCACCTGAACTTAAAATAAAAGTAAAAAAAATTCATCATATACATCTCCTGGTTATTGCTTATTTTTACTTCTTTTTAAAACATTTGTTTTAGGTTCAGGGGTACATGTGCAGGTTTCTGATATAGGTAAATTGCATGTCAAGGGGGATTTGGTGTACAGATTACTGATTTTTACTTCTATTTGCATTAAATCACTCTTTGAAGTACACATATAGCGACAGAATAGAAAACTACAATATATTCCTGAAGAATACATTAAGTGCTCAGTAAAAGTTTGTTCTATTAAGTAGCAAAAATAAGGTCTAATGGAAGATTCTCATTGCCTAGAACCACTTCATTGATTCTTGCAAATTCATATTAATTCAGCAAATATTTGTTGATTACCACTTATCTATGTGCCAGACACTGCTGCAGGTGCTGAGGACCTCTCTGAACACATTTAAGCTGAGGTTTCATTCTACTTACTGTGGCTTCGCTATGAGTCACCCTTGAACTCAGTGGCATAAAACAATGTATTATGCTCATGGATTCTCTGGGTCAGGAATTCTAACAGAGTATAGTAGAGACAGCTTGTCTCTGCCACACAGTGTCTGGGGCCCAGCTGGGAGGTGCTTGAAGGCTGAGGCTTGGAACCATTTGACGGTCTGCTCCCTCACATATCTGGTGGTTGTCACTCGCCGTCAGCTGTGTGTCTGCACTCCTATACAGGCCTTTCCATGTGACCTGCTCTCCTTACAGCGTGGTGGCTGGGTTCTGGGGGTTAGCCTCCCAAGAGAGAGTCATTGAGCCAGGTGGAAGTTCTATTGTTTTTTATCAGTTAGCCTTGGAAGTCACGTAGTGTCGCTTCTGCCAGACTCTTTCAGTTAAGACGGTTACAAAGACCCACTTCGATTCAATGTAGAGAAACATAGACACCATCTCTTGATGTAGGAGTTTCAACATATTATAAGAAGAAGAGCAGAAGGGATAAGATATGTATTGGTGTGGTCATCTTTGAAAAAATCCAATCTGCCACAGTCTGAATGACAAGATGCAGTTAGGAATGTGAAAACCAAGAAGAAGAATATTCTTGGAAAGGGCCTTGGTGGAAACTAACCTGGTGGATAGTTGGGCCATAGGTAGAAGGCCAGGTAGCAGGATATAAAGAGAAGGGCAAGAGTGCTACAAGGTAAACTTGGAGAGTTGGGCAGGGGCAAGGCCACGGAACACTGAGAACTGCCTCTGCTCTAGGCAAAAGGTAATGAAGACCGGGTTTGTCTTGGGGATCATTCATACCTTTGCGGGAATCTCTTACTGTTTCTTTGGTCAGTTTGACAATTGGGGCCTATATTTCTCTAGATTCTCATAGCACTCTTCTTAGCAGTGCTTTCGTTTGAAATTCCTGCCGGTCTAAATTTTTCCCTTACTAGACATTGGACACTGTGGGGTAGGGTGGGGAATATAAAGAATCATTTGATTTCTCCAGCTTTTCAAGGACCTTTTAATCTATTTGAATAGATTCACACACACACACACACACACACACACAAACACACACACACACAGATGTAAATTTAAATATGAGTTAGTACAAGTTTTGTCAAATATGCAGTAAGAACCACATGTGCTTCAGAAGTCAGAAAAAGAAGAGATAATCAAATATCTAACTAAAAAGAATTCATTGCAGTAGGTCTAAAGGAAAATATTGTACATCTATCTACATCAATGCTTAAAACTTCTATTTTTAGAAGTAGAAAGAAATGCCATAGACGAAATAAAAAGATGAATGATAAACGAGAAAAAAATTCACTGCACACATGACAAAGGCCACTGTTAGACAGAGATAGCTTATACCAGTCACTGCACAAAACAGAAAAATTAAAAAATGAGCAAAAGTACAAAGCAGAAGTTCACAGAAAGGAAAATATAAGCAATAATCGTGAAAAGATATTCAACCTCATCAGAATAAATAAAATAAATCACTTTCACCAAATTGACAATGTTGACATTTGGTAAAACTCAGCATTGGTGAGTATGTGGGGAATATCAGCACTGTTGTAAACGATTGGTATAAACTTTTTCAATGGAAACTTGGCAATATTTAGCATTTAGCATTTAAAATGAGTATTTTCTTTGCTTTGGCATTTCAAGGTTTGAAAATAATCTTATGGTTATACTTACTCCTATATGCACTAATATACATTTGAAGATATAAATTTTTATAGTATTTATTTGGTTATTTTTATAATAGCAAAAAATTAAAATTACCCAGATAACCTTCATTAGGGAACCAGGTTTATAATTGTGGCCCATTCAGAGGAGTATGAACCCTGAAATATCATGCAGAGGGTGGAAAATTAAACAGTGCTGAGAAAGAGAAGGATAAACGCCAGCCAATTCATAGACTATTAAATAGAGCAAGAAAGTGGGGGACAAAGGAAGAACATGACATCACAGTGACGAATTCTTCACAAAAGGTGATAGATTTGCACTAAAGAGCAATGGGATATTTGTAAAGAAGATATCATGTTATTAGTGACCTATTTGTATCCCATTGGTTTTCTAACCTCAAGAACATTTAAAATCTCAGACTTAAAATTTCTATCTAAACATAACAATTGTAAGCACACTGTTCATGATACTTGCTCCCTTCGAAATGCAGGCATAGTTGGAACTTTGTAAAGCATGGGAAGGCAAAAGATAGAAGTCTACAAATCTTGAAGGCCCAAGTAGACCCCAAGTAGGAATGATCATCTTTTCTTGCTTAACTCAGTTCTTTCCATCCACCCTATCCTCATCCTTTCATATTCCCAACACCCCCACAACTCTGATACCAACTCAAAATGAGGGAGGAGCAGACTTGTGAGGTGTCTGCCTCACAATTCAGTGATGAATTCAGCCTGCCTCATTTCAGTGATGTCTGCTACTGAAATTAGGGTAGAGTACTTTTGCAATTATAGCTTGGAATAGAATTTTCTCAAAGGTGGAAATTTTTTAGATTTGATATGAGGAGTCAAAGAGGTAAAACAATGTTTTATGACTTTTTGACTTTAAACTGAGAGTATTATTTATAGCCTATGCTTTGGCACACCCAGCCAGCAAGGATGACAAACAGTATAATTTGAGGGGCACCAAAGAACCTAAGATATGACAGCATATCAGTGCTTGACATTCCCACCAATAACTTCATTATCTAAGGACCTTGTAGAGACATGCTCGGAAGACATTTAGTATTATTTTTTAATTTTAAGATTAAAATAAGTGAACAAGATCTTAAAGGAAAAGATCAAACATGATAGAAGGTATATGATAAAAACTAAAATTCTTTCTACTCCTTTCAGCCTAGAATTCTATACTTCAAAGGCTACCATTAACGTTTCAGAAACTGTATATCCTTCCAGAATTGGATTATGTACATTTTATATATTTAACAGTATGTGAACTGGTGGTCATTTACCTACCTCTTTCTCACTAAGAAAGTTTTTAGGACCGGGCGCGGTGGCTCACGCCTGTAATCCCAGTACCTTGGGAGGCCGAGGCGGGTGGATCACCAGGTCAGGGATCGAGACCATCCTGGCTAACCCGGTGAAACCCCATTTCTACTAAAAATACAAAAAAGTAGCCGGGTGTGGTGGCGGGTGCCTGTAGTCCCAGCTGCTCGGGAGGCTGAGGCAGGAGAATGGCGTGAATCTGGGAGGCGGAGCTTGCAGTGAGCCGAGATCGCGCCACTGCACTCCAGCCTGGGAGACAGAGCCAGACTCCGTCTCAAAAAAAAAAAGAAAGAAAGTTTTTAGTTGTTGTTTAGTTTTCCTATTTAAAAAAAATCAATGATAAAAGTCTGTCTTCCACACGCATATGCATGCACATACTCATTCTATGGCAGTTAAGAGCAAAATTCCAAGTTAAACAGAATACCAACGACAGTCTGGAAGGGAAAAAGACAGCACACAAAGGTAGAAGGCAGCTTTTGGATTGAAAAAAAAAGGATCCATGGCTTTAGTCTTTTCTTTTTTTTTAATTTTATTTTAAGTTCTGGGATACATGTGCAGAACATGCAGGTTTGTTTCATAGGTAAACATGTGCCACATGATAGTGGTTTGCCACACCTATCAACCCATCACCTAGGTATTAAGCCCTGAGTACATTAGCTATTAATCCTGATGCTCTCCATCCCCCTGCCCCCAAGACAGGCTCCAGTGTGTGGTTCCCATCCCTGTGTCCATATGTTCTCATTGTTAAGCTCCCACTTATGAGTGAGAATATGCAGTATTTGTTTTTCTGTTCCTCTGTTTACTGAGGATGATGGCTTCATCCACATCCCTGCAAAGGACATGATCACATTCCTTTTTTATGGCTGCATAGTATTTCATGGTGTATATGTGCCACATTTTCTTTATCCAGTCTATCATTGATGGGCATTTGGGTTGATTCCATGTCTTTGCTATTGTGAATAGTGTTGCAATAAACATTCACGTATATGTATCTTTATAGTAGAATGATTTATCTTCCTTTGGGTATATACCCAGTAATGGGATTGCTGGATCAAATGGTATTTCTGGCTCTAGATCCTTGAGGAATCACCACACTGTGTTCCACAATGGTTGAACTAATTCTCACAGGCTTCTCCAAAGCAGCTAGCGTAACCACCTTCTTCATCCTCTTTTTTACTTCCTTGAGCCATTGTGGAGATTTCTTCCCTTGGCTCCTTTACAGATGAGAGTTCTTTACTCACATCTTGGCAGCATCTATTGAAAATAAAATTTCACCCTGTGGCCCAGCAGTAACATCTCTAGGTATCTATCCTTGTAATCTTTTGCCTTTGCACAGGGGACCATGATAAGGACATTCAGTGCTGCGTGGCGTTTAAGAGGCCCAAAGTGGAAATGACCTTTAGATCTTACAGAATGGGAATAGCTAAATAATTATGGTGAAATGATAAGAGGAAATGCCATACAGTACTTAAAATGGATGACTAAACATATATCAATATGATAGATGTCTCAAAACATATTTTGCACTGAAAATAGCAAGTTGCAGAACAGTATGACACCATTAATGCAAAAAATCCAAACCCATATTATATGTTTTATGTGAATTATGAATATGCATATTGTGTGCATGTAAAAGTGTGTGTATGTGTGTGGGGGACCTCACTACCTCTGGGAATATGGGGAAGGGATTAGGATGAGGATATTGGTGAAAGAGGACCTTAGCTATATCCATAATATTCTAACTTTTAAAAGTAGAATTGAGTCATACGAATTACTTGTGGAACTAAAACTAAAGTTAAAATATCTAAAGAATTATTAGACTTCTGCCTTTAAAGAATGTCTGGATAGGGTAAAATAATCAAGCTGGGTTCTGTGGAACACTTGTGCTCTGTCAGATAGCATTGGGCATTTGTTGATTTCTAATGTCATTAATCATACAGAGGTCAGAGAGTGAAACAGAATTGGCACTGGACTCAGAGGGATCAGAAAACTCAGACTTTGCTTCCATCTTCACTTTCTGCCAGGGAGCTTGTCAAGGATGAAATGGCTCTAAATGGCTCTATAATGGCTTTCCTTTTAGTGGTGTTATAATATTTTGTTAAATATATGTCTTTAGATTTTAGGACTTTGTTTCAGGCCTTGTAAATAAGAGGATAGGTGGGAGAGGTAAAGAATGTATTCTTTCTGCCATCTACATAGAAACTCAGAATCTTTGCGATCTAGTAAATGTTCAAAGGAGGCTGCCAATGGCCTATTTGCAATATTAAAAGATGAGATGAGACCTAACAGGACCTAACAGACGACATCTATCGTCTCTCTTGATAAGCTCCTCTCTGTTCTCTCCCATTTCGTGATATAGGAAATCATGTTGTGTGACAGGAGTAGGTTGGAATTGGAGGAAGAGATCTCAGGCAGTTGTTGTCAGTTTGGGGCTCTGTAAATTCTTTGAGAAAACTTTTCTGGGTCAGGTTAATTCCTGGACTCTCAAGGGCAGGGGAGGGAGGATGCCATGAGGTCAATGAAATCCCTTAAGATTCTACTGGTCTTAGCGTTCTATATTTTTAATTTTATGCCCCAGAATCGAGGGGACATGGTCATGGGAGAATGTGGCTTTATAGCCATAATGGTAATCTCCTCCTCGAAAACAGTTGGGTGCTCAAATAGGGAAACACTGGGTAAAACAAAGTTAATATGTGTCTGTACTGCAGGACTCTTCAGAGCCTTTAAAATGTCTGTCCACACAGGGATTCTCCAAAATTAGGGTAGCATATGCAATGGGTTTCTACATGTGTTTGGCTTTTTCTCTCTTCCCTCCTTACCTACACCTGTAGTAGATAGCATCTATAGAATATTGGATGGTAAAAGGCAGAATGAGAAAGTGCTACCTCATCTTAGTGAAGGTGAAGTTCTCAAATTGCTATGATGGTAAATTTTATGTGTCAACTTGACTGGACCATGGGATGCCCAGATATTTGGTTAAACATTATTTCTGGGTGTGTCTGTGAGATTAGCATTTGGATCAGTAGAATGAATAAAGCAGATTGTCCTTTCCAATATATGTGGGCCTCACCCAATGTGCTGAGGACCTGAATAGAACAAAAAGGGTGGAAGAAGGGAGAATTCACTCTCTTTGCCTGACTTTTTGTGCTGGGACACTGGTATTCTGCCCTCAGACAGGGGCTCACATTATCCTTTTATGATCAGTGTTCCTGGTTCTCAGGCCTTTGGACTTGGACTGGAAGGTCATCACAGGTGTTTCTGAGTCTCCAGTTTGAGATGGCAGATTGTGGGACTTCTCAGCCTCCATAATTCAATAAGCCATTTCCTTATAATAAATCTTATATATATTTATATTTTATTGCTTCTGTTTCTCTGGAGAACTCTGCCTAATACACACCAACTAAAAGTGATGCTTACTGGACTCTGTACTGGGTTCTCACACTTACTGTAGCAAGAAAAGAGTAGAGATTATGAGTAGCTTTGCTAGTAAGAGCCTACAATTCCACTTATATAAAGCCTACTGTCAATTCAAGCTGAAGTACCATGCCATTGGTATGTGCTGCCACCACCAAGTTGGCTCTCACAGGGACTGGCACACAGCCATACACATCCCTGCAATCATGACCTTTGATAGTGAGGTGAGGAGTCGGATAACCAGGCGACATCTCTGCTCCAGCCAGAGATGACTGGAGGCAATTCATGGTGAAGATGGATGAAGATAAAAAATTCAGGTTTGGGGAGTTTGTGGGTGTTTTGCAGAATTCTGTTATCCTCTTTCTTGATTTATTGGGGGACAGTGTCATCTTAGCCACAACCGACGTCTGTCTGAGCTGCTTGGGAGCCCATGATGATAAATTACTGAAAACACTGAAGCAATTATCCAGTTAATTTAGGTTGAGCACCTATATTATCTTCAACACCACAAAAATGTTCTTCTTCTGGCAGGAGAGCTCCTCTATTAATATTATGGCTGCCTAATAAAAAATGTGATGTAAAGCAGAGGGCAGCTACGTCTACATGTGCTTGCTGATGAGGAACAGTACACATAAATGGTGACAGGTAATGATTAACTTAAAGTGTCTAAATACATCTGAGCCCTGCTGAATAAAATGCTTAAATCTAAGAATGGCTGTCAGTGCAGGAAAGGCGTGTGGAGTATTTCCAATGTCTCCTTTCTCTTACGGTAGCCTATGCTAGATGAAACTACGCGTTCAAGATTCCACTGCTGCAGCAGTGCTGTGACATGGTTGGGAGCACAGGCTTTGAAGTCAGGAGCCCAAGGCCAAGTCTCAGGTGTGCTGTGTCCTAGTTGTGCACGTTTTTTTGGGCACTGGGATTCTCGTAAGAATCAAGAGTAAGTGCGAGAATGTTAAGCGCTAAGCAAAGTGCTGGGCATGGAGTGAGTGCTCAGTAAATTAAAGCTGTTATCATCACCATCACCATCATCATCATCATCACGTCATCAATATGATCATGTTTACACCCGACAGCTGGGATAGGTGCATAAGAAATAATCTGGCTTCTAGTTTGAAAGAACTGTGAAATAGGATCCATATACAGATGCATCCTAGTTAACTATGGGAAAGTGGCTTTTTCCTTAAAAGTTTCAGAAAGAGTTCTTCAAAAAAGTTGGGCTTTGGTGGTTTAGTTGTGGAATGGTGGTGAGAGGGGAAAAGACATAGGTTTTGCGTTCACAAACTTGGGTTTGAATCCCAGCTTCACTCCTCATCAGGTAAATGTCCTCAGGCTTTACTTTCTTAAGCATCAATGGCTTTATCTACAAAATGGGATAATGGGCCAGGCGTGGTGGCTCATGCCCATAATCCTAGCACTTTGGGAGGTCAGGGTGGGAGGACTGCTTGAGGCCACAAGTTTGAGAGAAGCCTGGGCAACATAATGAGACCCTGTTTCTACAAAAAATTAAAAAGTTAGCTCAGCATAGTCCCTGCTACCTGGAAGGCCAAGGCAGGAGAATTGCTTGAGTCTAGGAATTTGAGGTTGTAGTGAGCCATGATTACACTACTGTGCCCAGCCTGGGTGACAGAGTGAGACCCCATCTCTAAAAAATAGAAATAAATAAAAAACAAATGAACGAAGTTCATTTCCTGGGCTTCAGGGAAGATTGTCAGATAACATTTGAACAGCATCAGTCACATACAGGTTCAATAACAGCTGGTTCTAATATCCAATAGGGACTGGACAAGCTCATGTGAACTTTAGGGGAGCATTTTAATCTGCCTTTACAACATAAAACACCCAGCTAAAAGGTGGCTGGATCTAGTATTTCAGTTAACTTAACCAGCACAGCCAAATCATAGCTCAGTTGCTGGGTGCCATGGTGTCAAAAAACCCATAATGATATAACAGAGCTAAGAAAATCTTCTGAGACATAGACGTCACTCTGCCAATACAAGGTATCATTATAGAGGTGAATTCCTAAAACAGGCCAGATCTGTGACTCCCCGGTGCCCCTGCCAGAATTGATCTCGAAATGGTGGATTACAACAGCCGTGGTACATCCACAAGCTGCCTGGGAGTTTCTTGTCTTCTCATCACAGTCAAAATGGCTTACTGGCTTGGTTCCACCAGTCTTGCCTTCATTCCTACACCAGGAGTCATGACTGCAGCATGCCTTCAGGATGACTGTTATCATGGGCTTTGGCTTCCACATCTCAGCTCCTAGCCAGTCCTCCCAGGGGCTTAGGAAGTCTGCTCCAGCTTGGCCAGCCTGCTTGGGGAAGGACTGAGGAAGAGGGCAGGAATGTGGAGGTGGCCTGCAGGGGCACCCCTATCTGAGGAAGTGTCTTGGGAGAGTGGCAGTTTCTGAGCAAATGGGGAAGGGCAGAACTGGCTGCCTTGAAGTTCTGAGGGGGACAAAGAGGTTGCTGTAGCATTTGTAAAGCCAAAACCTGGAATCAACCAGAATGCTCATGAACAGGGGAATGGTTGACTAAATGGGGATGTATCTGTGCTATTGTAGAATTACCTGTTACAGAGGGAGTTAGAGCTCAGTCCTTACACTCAGAGGAATGTCTGTGCTACTAGGAAAACAAAGTCCAGAGCAGTATATGTAAAACCACCTCCATATGTGTACAAATAATAATGGCTTCCATTTATTATCTATTGTATGCCAGGGACTGTGCTAAGTGCATCTAACTAATGCGTTAACTAATTTGAATCTCACAACAACCTGATCTATTTATTAGACATTTCCCTGGAGAACTGAAGACATTTAGTAGAAGAGGCAGACGGTAAAAATCTCTCCCTATACATACTCTCTTTCATTTGCTTTCAAGTGTATGTGAACTAGTTGAACTTGTTTGGCTGTGTCTATACCATTACTGGATTTAATTTGTGTTGCCTGACAGCTTTTCAAAGAAAACAGCTTCATTGAATCCTCAGGGCCCACACATAATACACACTAAAAACCAAACAGAAATAAGGTCCTACTCACCACAGACTACCAAGAAGAGCCTTTTTCTCCAAAAGTACATTTTCAAGGCCTTAGGTGAAATATACACTGCTTAATAAAACCCATACTTGAGTGGAGGGTAAAGGCAGGAAAAAGACAGGCAGAACAAACAACTCATGTTCCAAGAGTTCAATTGCAAAATTTTAAAATTGTACCCATAGGTGGCTATGTTAAAATGTCCTTTTATGTAAAATAAATTGGTATAAATCCAAAATGGTTAGACAGTATCTGTTAATTATTATTCTTTACAAAATATTAGAAGTACACAGGGAGCTTCAGGGCCATGTACAGGTTACGATTTCTCCCTTGAAGGGTTCTACTTGTTTATAGATGAATTCAGCACCCAAGAAAGAGGTCTGCCTGTGGATTTATCAAATACCATATTTCAATGGGGCATGGGAATGTGACAGTAATTTTGAACTTAGGTAAGTTTTATAGATTAATTTCAGTACAAAAGAGAAATAGTTTAAGTTACTCCTGATGATAGAAAAGCAACATTTTGTCTGTGTAAAACCTTCAGACTATACAAAAAAGAATGTACAACATGTTAGAACATAAAAATTACCCTTACTACTCTTGGAGATAATTTCTAATATTTTTGGTAGATTTCTATTCATCGGATAGTGCCTGTTAATTATTATTATTATTTGTAAAGCATTGAAAGTGTACAGGGAGCTTCAGGGCCATGCACATGATATGATTACTTCCTTGAAAGGCTAGACTTCAAAGGCTTTAAGCAGCTACAGGACAGTAAGTTTGAAGATCTACTTAAAGTGGATAAATTCCTAGAAAAAAGATTAAATGCCAAAACTGGTATAAATAAGGTATAATAAACTGGTATAAATAAGAAATATATATATATATTGTTTTTGAGATGGAGTCTCACTCTGTCACCCAGGCTGGAGTGCAGTGGCGTGATCTTGGCTCAGTGCAGCCTCTGCCTCCTGGGTTCAAGTGATTCTCATGCCTCAGCCTCCTGAGTAGCTGGGACTACAGGCATGAGCCATGATGCCTGGCTAATTTTTGTATTTTAGTAGAGATGGAGTCTTGCCATGTTGGCCAGGCTGGTCACGAACTCCTGACCTCCGGTGAGCCACCTGCCTCGGCCTCCCAAAGTGCTGGGATTACAGGCGTGAGCCACCACGCTTGGCAGAAATATATAATTTGAATATATCAATGAATATTAAATAATTTGAAATGATAAACAAAGATCCTCCTTACTCATAGAACTCTAGACCCAGATGGTTTTATTAGAAAGTTCTACTAAATTTTCAAGGAATATTAATTCCTATGTTATACAGGTTGTTTTTGTAAAACAGAAAAAGGGCAAAATCTATACACATCATTTTATGTGTAATAAGCATGGCCTCATTCCAAAATTAGATGAGGATAATACAATGAAGAAAATAATAGCTCACTTTTTAATGTATAATGTTATACATAAAAAAATTATACATAATATATTAGCTAAACTAATTGTAGATTTAAAGAAATACCTTAAGATCAAATAGGGCTCATTTTGTATTTTTTTTTTTGAGACAGATTCTCACTCTGTTGCCAAGGCTAGAGTACAGTGGCATGTGATCTCAGCTCACTGCAACCTCCACCTCCTGGGTTCAAATGATTCTCCTGCCTGAGCCTCCTGAGTGGTTGGGATTACAGGCATGCACCACCATGCCTGTGTAATTTTTGTATTTTTAGTAGACACAGGGTATCACCATGTTAGCCAGGCTGGTCTCGAACTCTTGACCTATTAGGGTTTATTTTAGACATGCAAGGATGGTTCAATAGAGAAAATTCATTTATGTATGTTAGTGTATTAACAGACTAATGGAGAATAAAACTATATGATTGTATCAGTCAACCCCCAAAATATAAATTTGATATGGTTCTACACAAATTTATGATCAAAACTCTTAGGGAATTAGGAAAAGTAGGGAATTTCCTTAACTTGGTAAAAATGATTTCTACTAACAATTTATAGTAACTCTTATACTTAATGGAGAAATTTTAGACTCATTTTCTCTATGCTAAAGTTAAGACAAGGATGCTTACTATTACCATTAGGGGTTTTGGTTAAAGCTAAGGGAAAGACAAAGAAATAAGAATGAGAGTTAGAAAGAGTAGTAAATTATATTGTTATTTCCAATTATCCCCTACCACCTTTCCTGCAAGAGTTTTGCACTTGCTTGCCCATTGCCTTGTGATTTCTAGAGCCTTCCTCTGAGAAGAGAACACTTTTTACCCTACGTCATTTTATTTAACCATGGGATTTGTTTTGGCCAATGAATATGAATGAGTTTGACAGTGTGCTAGTTGTGAGCAGAAGCTTTAAAAGTCATTGTGTAGATCTGCTGGTTTCTTTGCATTTTTCCTTTGCTATGAGAATACTGTGTTCCTGACCAGGGCTGCTTCTTCTGTTCAGATCCCAGAATAAGAAAATATACAGAGGAAGCTGCAGCCAATATATATTCAACATGTTACATAAGTGAGAAACAGATGTTTGTGGTTATAAGTCACTGAGTTTTGGGAGCTATTTGTTATCACAGCATAACTTAGTGAGAGCTGACTAATGCAGAAGGTAAGAGAGAAAACTTTCCTCATTTGCATATGATATGATCATTTATCCAGAAAAATCCAACAGATTTCAAAAACAAAGTGTTAGAACCAATAAGAGAACTGGATAAAATTGTTGGATACATCAATCCTTTTTTTTTTTTAGTGCTAGCAATAGCAAATCAGAAAACATAATAGATAATAACATATCATTCCCACAACTAAGAAGTCTATTAAATATATAGGAGCTAATTTTATTAATAAAATAATATAAAAGCTATCTACAGAAAAGATGATCTGAATAAGTGAAGAAAATTACTGAGCTTTTGGATGAGGCAATATTATACTGGAAAAAAATAACATTTAATCTGTAAATTTGATACAATCCCATCAAAAATTCTACTTATATATTTTTGAGCAACATGATAAAACTTACTCTAAAATTTATGTGGTAGAATAAAAGTTTATAAACAGCTAAGTCAAGCTCAAAAAATATAAGTAGAGAATGGGCTAGTCCTACTAGACATGAAAACATATGACAAAGTCACAGTAACAAAAACAGTGCTACACTGGTGCAAACAAAACAAAACACAAAAAAACCCAAATACCCTAGATAAACAGACCAATAAAATAGGACACAGAGCTCAGACACAAACACATATATATATATAGGTGGAAACTTAAGTATGATAAAGAGAATATCATAAGTATCTAGCAGCTTACATTGGGAAAATTGACTCACTATACACAGAGTAAACTAGATCCTTACCTCACATAACACACGAATGTGGCCCCCACTTGAATTAAAGATCTAAAAGGAAAAGGTACAACTATACAGTTAATGGAGTATGATGTAGGAGAATATCTTAGTGACTGAGCTTAGGGCAGGGAAAACCTTTTTAACAAAAGTTTAAAAGGCATACTCATAAGGAAAAGTGTTGATGACTTTGAGCATCAACATTATGGCTTTCTGTTTGAAGAAGACATCATGAGCAAATTTATTACACAGATGTCAACATGGGAAAAGTATTAGAAATGTCTAAAACCCAAAAGGGCCAAATGAATAACACAAGTAACTGCTGCAAATCAACAAGAGAAAGGCAGCAACTTCAGCAGAAAGATAGGCAAAGGATACCAACAGGCAATTTACAGGAGAGGAAGCTCAAATTACTACTAAACATATGAAAGAAATGATGCCCAAATTCTGAGTTATCTGAGAAATGTAAATTAAAATAACAACAAGTTGTCTCATGTTTTACTTTTTAGACTGGCAGAAGTTAGAAAGATGGATAAGGCCAAGTGTTGGTGGAGATGTTCCCACATACAGGAATTTTACCATTGCTGATGGAGTCACTGTGTCATTACTGCAGCCTTTTTGGAAAGCATCTGTCACTACTTAGCCAATTAAGAAAATGCATATTCTATAACCCAGCAATTATACCTCTGGGTATGTATTTCAAAGAAAATATTGTATGGATCCTTCAGGGGATGTGCATGAGGATATTAATTACATGTTACTTGTAGCATTAGAGACTTGGAAGTAACCTATGAGTCCAATAACTGAGAGAGCAGATAGATAAAATGTTGAGGACACACATTCTGGAGTACTAAGCAACATTTAGAAAGAATGAATTAGAGGTACACACAGCAACATATTGTGAATTGTGGATCTTCAAAACATAGTGCTTAATGAGAAAAGTAAGATCAATGAGATGTATGATAGTTTCACATAATTACAAAATATTGTATAAAACAATAATTATTTTGCAATATACATATACAAAAAAGCACATGTTAACACATTAGAGTGGTTGACGCAGGTGGAAATGGAGCCCAAAGAAGCACAGAAAAAAATTATTCTTAAGCCCATACCCAGAGATAATAACTATCGACATTTTGTATCATCTCATAGGTCATAATAACAATGGCCATGGTTTACAGATCACCTACTGTGGGGCAGGAACTATGCTAAATGCTTAATATACTTTATCCATTTAATCCTCCTAGCAACCTCAGGAAGCCAATTCCATTATTATTTTCTTTAAAGAAGAAAGTGAGACTGAGAAAGATTAAACAATCTGTCCAAGTTCATCTAGCCAGGAAGAGAATGGATTTGAATCCCTGTCAATCTGACACTAATATCTATGCACTTAATCATTGCCCAGGTTTGCTTGCATCCAGACTTTTAGCAACGTGACACCACAAGCTCACATTTCCTGTTACGAGAATGAGATCGCACCACACTACTGCTTCATAACATGCTGCTTTAAAAATTTAACATTTAACCATATAATGAATCTCCACCTTAGTAAACATTATCCTCAATCTCATTTTAAAAGGTAGCATAGTATTTCACTGTCTAAATGAATGATGGAGGAATATAATAGAATAATGGGGGATGATTCTATCTCCAAAAGCTAAACATTTAACAGGCACTAAAAGAAAGACTCCACCTATGTCAGACATGTGTTGATCGAAGAGGGGTTCTTTTGTGTGTGTGTGTGTGTGTTTGTGTGTGTGTGTGTGTGTGTGTGTGTGTGTTGGGGGTGGATTTCTTCTTCTTTTTGTAAAACCCCGAAGACCTGCTAGACAAATTCAAAAAGAGCAGTAACGCTGAGGAGAATTCTTGATAACTATTAAGTAGTGAGGAAAACAAGAGCTACTGGATAATCTTTCAACTTAATTGGACCCTGGAAATATGTGGAGGATGCATTTTGATGATTTGTTACACTGAAAACAGTGCCACCAGATAATGTAACCAATACAAACACAATTATATTTATTTAAGGCAGTGGTTATCTTTTAAAATATAGACTTTTGGATGTTGTTGAAAGATGCTGAAGGAAGATGATAAATTTCACTAGTGGATTAGTCTTAGCTGTCTAAACCAGTGATTTTCTCAATGAACTTTCTGGGCATGCCTCACAGAGCTAATTCTTTAGATAACAGCGTCAAAGGATTCAAGCTCACGAGAAGGGAAATGTTGTGTCAGTTTCTGCTGGTTAGTCTCAGTAATAATGATAGCACATGGCATGGGAACAGAGCTTTACACTTCTTAAACTCAAATAGCCACTGGCATATTTGATTGCCCTGTTAGCCAAATGAGCTATATTGGGTAAGTGACATTATCACCTCCCTGAAGATGAGGAAAAGATTTAGGAGATTTCGCCAATTCCACAGTAGTATCTTTTTGGGAATTCCAAGTTCAGTGCTCTTCCTCCTACTTCATACTTTCTCTGAACCTGGAGGAAAACATCATTATTTATTCTGAATTGTACAAAATTATTAATTTTTAATGATATAGAGAGAGTACAGCCACAGTAAATATCAAAACTAATTTTTGTGCATGTCCGGATGAGCTTGTTTTGTTGCACACATGCAGATGTGCAAACTAGCATTTTAACCAGCAGAATAACTTGCTTTTATTTCTACACTGGGAATTTTGTTTAGAGTGGAGTGAGGTGGGAGAGGGGAGATTATCCATGTTGTTTTGAAGTACACAGGATGGAGTTTATCCAGAGGCCAAGTTTTACAGGTATTGTCTTTTGGTCTCCCTGTGGGTTAGACAAAGGCCATTCACTGTGATGTCATGTAATAAAACAAAACCAACAACAACGCAGATTTCCTTCAGATCACAATCTGCTCCAAGGAACAGCTCTATAGAAGCCCTTAAAATGAACTGTTTAAATGATAGCCCATTTAAAACACATTTGCTGAGGGCCCACTCAATTATTAGCTTGCTGTTTTGCTAAAGTAGTAGAAATATTTGAAATGCTGTCTGGTAAACAGAAGAATGCAGCTGGCATTCCATTAAAATGAGAGGTGAAAAGTGTCCTCAGGAAAGAGTGGGGAGATAGATCACAGTGTTTAGGGATAGAGGAATAGGGAAAGCAATTTGAATTAGACCTTCAAGGACAGGAAATAGGTTAATAGAGATGATGGGAGGCCGCAGGATGGGACAGTCCAAGAGTTCAGAGGTGAGGCAACTGATGGCATTTTCAGCACATCCTTGTTGAGTGGGTATGGCTGTGAGAATAGGGTTCTTGGAGTGTTTTACACCTTTTCTTATCCCCATTCTGCTCCCTCTGCTTGGTGAGCCTTGCTTACTCCCTCTCCCTTTTTGCTCTCCTGGAAAATTCCTACTCATCCTCAAGAGTCAACACAAATATTTCCAACTTTGTATGCCCTTTTACTGACTCTCCCAAATGTGACTCATCCCTGTTACTGTATCCAGTACCCTTTAAATAGCTTTTCAACTTTTCTACCTAAAGGTTTACACATCTTTTGTAGGATGTTTTTCTCATTACCTTATATCTTTAGTTGCTACCATAGTGGTATCTTTTTTTTTTTAAATAAAAATTTTCTCACGCTTATGGATGAATAACTAGATTTGCAATGGACTTTTGTATATTAATATATCTAAAAATTACTAAATTATCTGAATTTTAATAATTTGTCTGAAAATGTTTTTGTGCTATGTAGATAATTTAGCAATTGCTAATGCTAGAGTTTTATGTTCTCTTTTTAAATGCTTATATATTTAATTTTTCCCTCTTCTTGTTATTCTGGCTAAGATTTTCAATGTATTATTCAATGGAAATAGTGATAGAGGGCTTCATGGTCTTAATCTTGATTTTAATAGGCATGCTTGCAATATTTCTCCACCAAATATGATGATGGTTCCAGGTTTTCTATAGATACCATTTATCCAGGTAAGAGGCTTATTTCCTACTCCTAGTAGCTAAGAAATTTTGTCAGGAATAGTTGTTGAATTTTATGGACTCCTTTTTCAAATATGTTGCAATGGTCATATGTATTTTTTCTACTATTCACTGGATGATGTGGTGAACTATATATTAGTCAGTTCTCATGCTGTTATGAAGAAATACCCAAGACTGGGTAATTTATAAAGAAAGAAGGTTTAATTGATTCACAGTTCCACATGGCTGGGGAGGCCTCAGGAAACTTACAATCATGGCAGAAGGCACCTCTTCACAGGGCAACAGGAGAAAGAATGAATGCAAGCCAGGGAAATGCCAGACACTTATAAAACCATCAGATCTGGTGAAACTCACTCATTTTCAAGACAATAGCATGGGGGAAACTGCCCCCATGATTCAATTACCTCCCTTGACACATGGGGATTATGGAAATTACAATTCAAGGTGAGATTTGGGTGGGACACAGAGCCAAACCATATCAACTACATTAACAGATTTTGTAAATTTGAATTAAACTTGCATTTTGGGAAAAAGCCCAAAACCCAAATTATGAGTCATATTTCTGTACATTGCTTAATTTAGTTTGATAATATATTATTTAGGGTTTTTGCTTCTATTTTCATGAATGAGACTAGAAAATAATTTTTTCTTCTATTTTTCTTTTTCTTTTTTTTTTTTGAGATTGAGTCTTGCTCTGTTACCCAGGCTGGAGTACAGTGGCACGATCTCGACTCACTGCAACCTCTGTTTCCTGGGTTCAAGTGATTCTTCTGCCTCAGCCTCCTGAGTAGCTGGGACTACAGGCATGCACCACCACCCCCAGGTAATTTTTGTATTTTTTGTAGAGACAGAGTTTCATCATGTTGGCCAGGCTGGTCTTGAACTCCTGACCACAGGTGATCTGCCCTCCTCAGCCTCTCAAAGTGCTATTTATCTTGTTAATTTTCTCTATCAAGTTTTATAAGGCTGTAAAATGAACTGGAGAGTGTTATCCCCAACTTTTTTTTTCTATTTTTTTTGAATAAGTTTAAGGTTGAAATGATCTCTTCCTTGACTACTTGGTGGAACTCACCTGTAAAACTGGATCCGATGTAATCTATAAGGAAGATTTTAAACCACTGATTTACTTTCATTAGTAATGATAGGATAAATTAAAATTTTCTATTTTTCTAAGATTGGTTGTGGCAATTTTCATAACAATTTTATCTACATTTTCAAGTTTGTTGACATAATGCTGTTTATAACATTCTCTTATCTTGTTTTATTTTTCACATCTTAAAGCTTTACTGTATAATTTAAGTGCAATAAAATGTACCCACTTTAAGTGTAAAGTTCAATGAACTTTGGTAAATGTATTTGGTTATGAAAACAACACTACAATATGCTTTAGAATACCTTTCTCACCTCAACAAATTTCTCATGCCCTGTTGTACTCAATTTCTGCTTCTAGACAACTAAATACCTGTTTCTGTTCCTACAATTTTACCTTTTCCATAACTTAATATAATTGAAATCGTGATATTTCATCTTTTATACCTAATTATTTCCATTAGAATGTTTTCATCCATGTTGGAAATATCAGTAGTTTGTTTTTCTTTATTGTGGAGTAGTATTCCATTGTATGGATATACCACATTTTGTTTATTCATTTTTCACTTGATAGACATTTAGATTGTTTCCACTTTTTGGCCATTACATGCAATGACTGCTATGAACATTGTGTACAAATATTTGTGTGAACATATGCTTTCATTTCTCTTGAGTAGATACCAAGGAGTGAAATTTGTGTATTGTACAGAAAGCATGTCTTTAACTTTTTGAGAAACTACTAAATTTTGCTCCAAAGTGGCTGTACCATTTTGTGTTCCTATCAGTGATATATGAGAGTTCTAGTTGTTCCATATCACTTTGTCAACACTTGCTATTATCAGATTTTAACAATGTTAAAGAATTTTAGCCATTTTAATATATGCATAGGCATATCTCATTGTGGTTTTAATGACCAATGATATTGAATACTGTCTCCTGTACTTCTTTGTGTATCTTCTTTTGTGAAGGTTATGTTCAAATCATTTGCTCATTATTTATGCATATGCCCATTTACGTTTTTACTGGATTGCTTTCTCGTTTTGAATTGTGAGTTCTTTACATGAAAGGTCTTCAAAAAGTTCATGGAAAATGGAATTAAAAGATAAAAATAAAAAATAAAATTCATTTCTTAATTTAAGCTCTAGCAAGGTCAAGACACTTTTGTAAGCAATAATACCAGCCATTTAGTTCATCTTAAAGAACTGAGGGTCTTGGGAATTTAACCACATCAATGCAGTCTTTTTTTTTTCTTTTTTAAGAGACAGGGTCTCACTATGTTTCCCAGGCTGGTCTTGAACTCCTGGGCTCAAATAATTTTCTCACCTTAGCCTCTCAAAGTGCTGGCAATACAGGCATGAGCCAATGTGCCTGGCCCCATAAATGCAGTCTTTTTACATTACTAACTGAATAAAAATGGGGGCTGTTTACAGATTTTTTAAAATTAGGAAACAAAAAGAAGTCAGAAGGAGCCAAAGGACTATAAGGTGGATGCATAATGATTTCTCGCCCAAACTCTCATAAAATTGCCCATGTATGAGAAGAGGAATGAGCAGGAGCATTGTTGTGGTGGAGGAGGGCTCTCTGGTAAAGTTTTCCTGGACACTTTTCTGCTAAAACTTTGGCTAGCTTTCTCAAAACACTCTCATAACAAGTAGATGTTATCTTTCTTTGTTCCTCCAGAAAATCAACAGCAAAATGCCTTGATCATCCACAAAAAACTGTTGCCATGACCTTTGCCATTGACAAGCTCACTTTTGCTTTGACTGGACCACTTTCACCTCTTGGTAGCCATTGCTTTGATTGTGCTTTGTTTACAGGATTGTGCTAAGTAAATGCTTCAGGATCTTGATCCCACTTGTATACATTTGTATTGAAAGCTCTGCTCTTGTCTGCAGCTGTTTGTTCTTGCTTCAATTTTAGCTGAATTCATGTTTCTTTGATAGGGGTTCTTTTCAAATTAATGTCTTATCCTTCTCAGTGTCTAAAACTAGGTCCTGTTCAGACATGTTACAACAAGTTAGTATGAGTTTATTCTGGTGCAGAAAAATTTTGAAATCCATGGATACTTTTTTTAATAATATGCCTTTTCCATGAACTTTTTGAAGTCCCACAATATATTCTGGATACAAATCCTTTATCAGACCCTCTTATCTTTTTCTTTTTTTTTTATTTTGGATATGGAGTCTCACTATTGTTGCCCAGGCTGGAGTGCAGTGGCACGATTTTGGCTCACTGCAACCTCCACCTCTGGGGTTCAAGTGATTCTCCTGCCTCAGCCTCCTGAGTAGCTGGGATTACAGGTGCCCACTCCCATGCCTAGCTAATTTTTGTATTATTAGTAGAGATGGGTTTTCATCATGTTGGGCAGGCTGGTCTTGAATTCCTGACCACCGGTGATCCACCCATCTCGGCCTCCTAAAGTGCTGGGATTATAGGTGTGAGCCACCTTGCCCAGCCCCTCTTATCTTTTTAATGTCTGCACCATACATATGCTAATTATATTTTCTTTTTTATTTCTAGAATTATTTATTTGTGCTTTTTTTATTTTTACCTTGATCAATTTTGCCAATTATTATCCTATTATAAATTTTATTAGTCCTTTTAAATAACAAATTTTTGGTTTTGTTAATCATTTCTAATGAATGTTTATTTAATTGACTTGTAGTCATACTTTTTTTCAGCCTTACTGAGGCATAAATATTTGAGATATATCAAATCCTCACATTGTATACATTAAATATTTCCAATTTTACTTTGTATTTTTTGTCTATAAAATTGACAAATAAAATTGCATATATTTTGTGTATGTAATCTGATGATTTGATATACAAATATATTGTGAAATGATTACCACAATCAAGTTAACTAACACATTCACCACTTCACATAGTTACCTTTTTGGTGTTATGAGAACTCTTAAGATCTACTGTCTTAGCAAATTTCAATTATACAATATAATAATATCAACTATAGTACCCATGCTATAAATTTCTCCTCAGAGCTTATTTATCCTATAATTAAAAGTTTGTACCCTTTCACCAATATCTCCCCATTTTCCCTACCCCAGAAAGTCCTGGTAAGCACCATTCTACTCTGTTTCTATGAGTTTAACTTAAAAAAAATTCCACATGTGAGTGATATTATACATTATTTGTCTTTCTCTGCCTGGTGTATTTGACTTAGCATAATGGCCTTCAGATTCATCCATGTTGCAAATGGCAGGGCTTTCTTCCTTTTTTATGACTGAATAATATTTCATTGTGTGTATATATGCCACATTTTCTTTATCCAGTCATCCACTGATGGACACTTAGGTTGTTTCTATATCTTGGCTATTGTGAATAGTGTTGCAGTGAACATGGGAATGTAGATGGTTCTGAGATACTGATTTTCTTTCCTCCAGATATATGCTCAGAAGTGGGATTGCTAGATCATACAGTAGTTGTAGTTTTACTTTTCTGAGAAACTTCTGTACTATTTTTCACAGTGGCTGTACCAATTTACATCCTCCCAACAATGTTCAAAGGTACCGTTTTCTCCACCTCCTTGCCAACATTTGTTAGTTCTTGTCTTTTTGATAATAGTCAACCTATCAGGTATGAGGTGATACCTCATTTCAGTTTTGATTTGCATTTCCCTGATGATTAGTGATGCTGAGTACTTTTCATGTACCTATTGGCCATTTGTAATATTTTTTGGAAAAATACTTTTTTTTTTGAGATGGAGTCTTGCTCTGTTGCACAGGCTGGAGTGCAGTGGCGCGATCTCTGCTCACTGCAACCTTGGCCTCCTGGGTTCAAGTGATTCTCCTGCCTCAGCCTCCTGAGTAGCTGGGACTGCAGGTGCATGCCACCACACTGCGCTAATTTTTGTATTTTTAGTAGTGACGGGATTTCACCATGTTGGTAAGGCTGGTCTCAAACTCCTGACCTCGTGATCCACCCGCCTTGGCCTCCCAAAGTGCTGGGATTACAGGCATGAGCCACCGCACCCGGCCTGGAAAAATAATCTTATCTTTACTGCTTCTTTTCTTCTACTATACTTTCCTTTATTTACCTAGCAACCAAAGTAGTTAGGTATATAACTTACAGCGTTTCTTATTTTTCTAATGTAAGCATCACACTTTCCTTTAGCTGCTGCTTTAGTAGTTATTGTTGTCAGGGATTTTAGTTCTATCCTGACTTTTTAAATTTCATGAATTAGGCATTTTTCCTTTGCTTTCAGTTATGCAGTAATACTATATGTTATGTCTAAGGATGTATTTTTTTTTCCATTTGTTCTTTCTCCTCTTCCCTATTTCTCCATTTGGAATTTCTAAATTTGAATTGTTTTATCAATTTTAGAAAATTCTAAGCCCTTTTACTTTTCAAATATTTTTGCCCTTTCATTCTCTCTATGAGCTCCTTCTGTAACTCTAATAAAATGTATATTAGATTCCATTAGTTTCCTTTGTCTCTTATCCTTTCTTTTAATATAATTTTTTTCTTTATGCTTCTTTCTGGATATTTTCTTTTGTTCTCTCTTCCACTTCATTGATTGTCTCTTTAGTTGTGTATAATCTGCTTTCTAATCTCTTCTTGAATTTCTAATTTTGATTTTTATGTTCTCATTTCTAGAAAGTGTTTTTTTTTATATCTGCCTAATATAGTTTGATAGTTTCTAATTTCTTTGTTATAATTTTAGTGCCCTCTTTCTTTCAATATTTCTTCAAGGCTTTTTATGTTTTGTAAGATATTTTGAATGTAAGTAGACTTATTGGTCTGATTCTATAGTTTGTAGTTTTGACCATCTCTTGCTCATGGTGGTTTACTTCAAGTGTTTATTTTTGATGGTGAATTCATTTTTTTTTGCAAAGACATCTGTGAGATGTTTTTGAGGCTTGTGTTTGAAATAAATTTTTTTTCCAAGAGGATTTGTGTTGGCAGAAGCAGATTTGGGGGAACTCCTGACCCCATATTATTTTAAATTTCCTTACCCTCCCTTACCCCTCCTCTTCCTCCTTCTTTTTCTTGCCACAAAGATTTTATAAATTATCACCCCCAAACTGTGTTTGCAGTACTATATACCTTAGGAATTCTCAGAAAGACACTCTCTCTCCTTTTTTAATACACCACCTAAACCCTTAATCCAAGCAGGCATTTATTTCCATAAGCTCCCTCTGTAGGATGGTTTTTTTTTTTTTTTTTTGGAACAGTGAGGTGTGATCTCTGAGTTCTATGACTTCATGAATAGTCTCTGATCTGGTGTCTTACTCTGTCTGCTTAGATTTCAGGATTTACCTCCTATCTCTCAGAAGAAAGGGCTTTTAAAATTTAGATTCAAAGTCACCAGAAATTGGCAAATTATGCTATTGCAAATGCTACTCTAGTGCTTACTAACCTCTATGGAATTATATTTTTGGCCTCCAGAGAATTCCCTACATTTGTGCCAGCTCAACATACATATGTGTGTGTGTGTATTTGTGGGTGTGCATATTTGTGTGTGTGCACACAGTTGCATGTACGTGCAACACTTTTAGGCATGCTGTATCAGAAAGGGGTTCTCTAAATATCTAGTCTACTTTTGACTCAAAACAGAAGTCTTTACTCAGATGGTTTTAATGTTGTTTGGGATTGTTTAACCCAAAGTTTCATCGGATCATGCCTTACTCAAAAGCCTCCAGTAACTTTCCATCACACTTAGCATGATATCCAAAGTCCTACTCATGGCCTGCAAAGTCTGGCAAAATCTGACTTCTGCTACCTCTCCAACCTCATCTTCTCTTCCTTTCTTTCTCACTGATTTAAATATACTGGCTTCCTTGCTGTTCCTTGACTATGGCCACACATGCCTGCTGATGCCTCTGGCACTTTGTGCTACCCTCCTCTCTATCTGGAACTGTCTCCAAATATTCATACGCCTTACACTGCCATTCCATTTTGGTCTCTTACTTGAGTGTCACCTTTTCTGAGATATCTTTTACCCTTTGTAAAATTACATCCCTCATCACTCTCTCTTCTCTTTTTCTTCATAGCACGTAACATACTATATATCTGTTTATTTATGTATTTAATCACACCATTAAAGCTTGCCTGCCTTGTTCACTGCTGCATTCCTATTGCTTACAGCAGTACTGAACATATAGTAAGTACTCAAATATTTGTTGAATGCATCATTATCATTTTAATACAAAAATGAGTTATTCCCTTTTATTAAGGGAGCTGTTTTCTGGGACATGTGGCTTTGAAACTAATGCTAAAAGAATATCCTGTAACACATGGAATCATTTATTTTTATTAACAAGTCAATTCAGTTTTTTTGCAAAATGCACAATTCCCAAGCAGCTGCTTAAAAACGAGACAATTCATTTCCAAGATGTTTCCTGCAAGTACCGTTGATGGTGCTAAATATTTATTAAGTGCCAGTGTGCTAAATTAGGTGCTGGTGGACAGTGACCACATTTTAGTCCAGCCCAGTGGGTCCAGAGAACACAAGGAGGGAAGATGTGGAGTTGGCCTGGTCCCCTTCCTCAGAGCCCTCAGGATTCACTTCCCAGATGAGGGGAGGTGATTTTAGAGAAGGTGTAATTATTATGTGTTAAGTGTTACAATGGCCCCAAGTGTTCAGGTAATTTAGATAAGAAAGTAGAAGGGGACCTTCTCCTGGGTGACTTGGTTGTTCCTGAAATGATTAGGTGCTCCTAAGTTTTAACTGAACTGGCTCAATAAAGAGTTGTTCAAATACGTTTTTGGGTCTGTGCTTTAACAATTGCTCTCTCACTTCCTTTAATTCCTCTGATTCCTGATTTAGCTTGAGCCATAGTTGCCTGTTCATGGCCAACTGTAGGTCATCCTCCTAGGTTCTAGTGATGTTTTCTATCGTCTTGATATTACTGCATAAATTTCCTAAATCCCCAATTACCTGCTGACCTTAGTCCTCAATTTCTCAACCATTTCCTTGAAAACACACTGAGCCTTCATAAATATGGTATTTTAGCATTGTGTTTTAACTAAAACTGGTATGTTAGTATCATCCTGTTGCTTCTTTGTGGTAAGTCCAGCTCTACCATCTGCCGTCTTTGTCAGCCATTGTGGGTCAGAATTGTCCACAGAGGCTTAAATGAGTGGCAGGAGGAAGCCATTCATGTGAGGTAACAACCCACAATGTAGAAGCACATGCAGCTCAGTGGGACTCAGTGGGGCACTTCTTGGCTGAGAAGGCTGTGTGGTATAGAGAACTTACTGGCTGAGGCTGGGCATGCTGTTTCTAGTACTGGTTTGAGGTTAAAAGTATATATAAGCTATATACAGCAGTGGACTGTGTTATCTATTTATTTAGGAACTGTTTGAGACAGTATTATACAAAATTCGTACTATACGGGGAGACTTTAATCACAATAGGCACTTACTAGATGGAATTCTGTAACACAACTGACTCTAGCTGTGGTCATGCACAAATGAGCATGATGGGCTTTTAACATTTGGTGTATTGTAAGACTATGGGCACAGCTTGTCCTTTAAAGATGTCTGCCTACAAAGGATATTTATATACTATGTATACACGTATAAACATATGTTACAGATATGTGTAAATTTTGTAAAAATCCAATTTAATTTAATAACAATTTACTGAGCACCCACTATGTCCAGACACTTTTCTTAAATACAAAGGTCGATCAGAAATAGATCCTGCCCTCAAGGAGTTTAGTGCCATCAAATGAAATACAGACTTATTCCCTCACTCCTTCCTGGCAAGGGTGGGTACAGTTTCCAAGACCCAAGAGGCGTTAAACCATTCATTTATTGCTTTAGCAATCACATTACTTTCTAAAGTTGTCATTTGGCTTGGGTTGGGTGGTAAGATACAGTTTGTTTTTTTCTCCTACTTTTTTTTTCAATAAGCTTTCAACTAAACCAAAAAACCCAAAAAACCCTAAACGTTGCAACTAATTTCAATAAATTATCGTTTAAGGTTTCTTCTATTTTGGCATATAACGTGGAAACTATTTTTATTATGTGAAGAGAACGACAGCTTAGTATTAAGTGTTTAAACTAGACTCAACCCAGGTTGGTTTTATTCATGAAATATTACAAATAGTTAATAAAAGCCGGGGAGAGGGAGAACAAAAAATGCAGTTGAAACAATGAGTAATATGTCAATGAACTGATGACACTTCTCATGTCCTAAAGATAGTTTTCGAAGGTGGAATATGAACTGAGAAACACATTTAGCATAAACGAATCTCTCTAATCTCTTCCTTTGTATAATGACCTTTCATTCACTCAATAAACAATGAGGACTGACTATGTGCCAGGCATTTTGCTAGGCACAGAGGAAATGGGAATAAACTAGCTATAGTCCCTGTCTTCAAGGAACACATAATTTAACTGGGGGAGCTAAGTGTGTAAACACATATGTATGGGAGGTGAGGGACTTCTAAAACTTAAATATGCCCATATGCAAAGCTATGACTGGTCAGAATTTTTATCTCCGTATCATGGACACTAAGATTTTTTTTAATCTTGTTCATGGCATTTCATATTAGTCACCTACTCCATTTGGCAAAGCAGAGTACATGTCATAGACTTGAATTCTGGTCAGAGTCCTGCCAACTTCTAGCTGAGTGGCCTTTGGCTAGTCATACCATCTCTCTGAGAATATTGCCTCATCTGACAAAAATGGAGTAGGTTTACCGCAGGAGGATGTTGATATGAGAAAGTACTTTACAAAATGAGAAGTGCTGTAGGGTATGGCTGCATTCTTACAGCTGATGTTTCATCTGGATGATCTCTAAATTTTCCAGTTTCCCATCTTGCACTTCCAATAGACCAAGGAGTCCATGGATTAATAGTTGGCTTCCAAGGTTAGGATTCTAGCTGAGATCATTTGTAAAGTTTTGGGTATATATGCAGATGCATATTTTTCTAGTTCCTCAGGTTTCATCAGATTCTTAAAGGGGTCCATGGCTGTAAAAGAACCCAAGACTACTAATCTAGACAGTCTCGGAGTTTTTTGTGGGGTGCAGAGAGTGCCTTGTTTATCTTTATATCCCAATACTTATATCATAATGCCCTGTGCAAAGTAAGGGCTCCTAAATTTGTTACATTAATAAATATCAAAATGGATAAGTGCTATGATGACAAATATTAACATTCAAAACAAGTCTGGCCTCATCCCAGGGATGAAACATTGAATTCTGATGAAGCCTGTCATTGGTTGTCACACAGGGAGAGGTGCCAAATTCAGACTTCTTTCCTTATGTTTTCAACCAACTTGGGGAAGCTCCTTCTCTGCTCTTTCTTGAATTTGCGGATGGTTTTGTTCGTTTGACTGTGTCAAGGCTGAAGGTCACTCAGTCATACAGGCCTCCTACAGACTCTTTTCTGAGCACATGGGAAGGATCTGGTGAACACACGCATCCCGCTGGAGAGGGCTTGTTTGAAAAGCTGAGCAACTTTGGAGGAGTAGACACAAACCTTTCAGGCATTTGCTTATGTCTACTCTGACTAAATGTTTCTTACACAAATGCAAATATTCTAGTACTAAGACTTTCTTGCACAACTACTTGAGATTGTAAAGTCTATATATGTGCCTCAAACATAAACATTATTGCAACAGGTTAGGAGATTGGCCTGTCAAATTGCATCACAACTGGAGGCAAAGTGCAAGGTTGTCCATTGCATCATGATAGCAATATTGAAAAGCTGAAAAACAATCTAAGTGTCCATCAAAAGGAGGCTTGCTAAAATAATTATCATATAACTTAACAATGGAATGTCAGTAACCCATTCAACAGAGTGAAGTAGTGTAACGTTCAGTATTTCATTGTACAATAAACAATGATTTTTTTAAGTGAAAAGTTTATTGCTTTTAAAACACCTTTTATTTTAAAATATTTGTGTACTCACTAGATGTTAAAAAATAATACAATAATCCTACGTATCTTTTACCAAGCCTCCTTCTATGGTACATTTAAAATATATCTTAAAGAAAAATATAATAGGTTGCAGAATGGAAAATATGGTAGGATCCTATTTATGTAAAAATAAAAGTATGGCCGGGCGCGGTGGCTCACGCCTGTAATCCCAGCACTTTGGGAGGCCGAGGCGGGCGGATCACGAGGTCAGGAGATCGAGACCATCCCGGCTAAAACGGTGAAACCCCGTCTCTACTAAAAATACAAAAAATTAGCCGGGCGTAGTGGCGGGCGCCTGTAGTCCCAGCTACTCGGGAGGCTGAGGCAGGAGAATGGCGTGAACCCGGGAGGTGGAGCTTGCAGTGAGCGGAGATCCCGCCACTGCACTCCAGCCTGGGCGACAGAGCGAGACTCCGTCTCAAAAAAAAAAAAAAATAAAAAATAAAAGTATACCAAACTGTTGACACTGGATATCTCTGTGGAATGGAAAATAACATGCAGCAGGAAAAGGAGGAAAATGAGAGATTTTAATTTTTTTCAAGACTGAGTCTCTCTCTGTCACCCAGGCTGGAGTGCAGTTGCGCGATCTCAGCTCACTGTAACCTCCACCTCCCGGGTTCAAGTGGTTCTCCTGCTTCAGCCTCCTGAGTAGCTGGGACTACAGGCACACACCACCACACTTGGCTAATTTTTTGTATTTTTAGTGGAGACGGGGTGTCACCATGTTGGTCAGGCTGGTCTCGAACTCCTGACCTCGTGATCCGCCCCTCTTGGCCTCCCAAAGTGCTGGGACTACAGATGTGAGCCACCATGCCCAGCCTTAATTTTCTTAATTTATAAATATCTATACTATTTAATGTTGCTGTCATTATCTACATATTTATATAGATGCCTATATATCTATATGCAGATATAAATACATACTTCAAAAAGGAAGTATTACTTTTATTTAGAAAAATACCTCAAATAGCAAATTTAGGAGAATAATTTCTATGATGGCAAATCCAGGCTCTAAAAAATTAGTTATTCTCAGCTTGACAGATTTTTTTTTTTAAAAAGGAAGCTATGATGCAGGACTATATTATGAACATTTGATGCCTATTGTCCTAGAACTCAACACTGCAGTGCTTAGACAATATGTCCTGTAAGACGGTACTGTTTGTGAACTACAAGATATATTTTCCATGATTCCATGGATTGTTGGACCCTGTAGCCAAGACTAGAACACATACTTGGAATCCAAAGTATAAGGTAATTCTAAAAGGCCTTGGTTTCTGTATTATAAATATAACTGTACTAGCAGAATTATGTTTTGACCATTTCTCCCTAAGCCACCATTGAATGGGCAGGAACCACTGAGAGCTAGAACTCAAATCTGGCCTTGGTATGCAATCTTGACTATTTTAAGCTCTCTGATTCCCCATGTGCCTTTTATCAACCTTTCTCCATTCTGCAACTATTTTAATTATCTGGTACATGATCAAAAATGCATTCTCAGCTGTATTGTACCAGTCAGTAGTGGGTGACAAGGCCTTCCCACAGCATTTATCTTTAAGCTTCAGCATACGTATTTGTACTCTTCATCCTATCTATTTGGAGTGGTCTCAAATTCCACAGGCTACTCCACGGTGTGGAGGTGGAGCAGGAAGAGGAAAATGAAGAAGGCAACTGCTGCTGGGTGTGTAACATAATACCCAATAGGTCACTGCTGATGTATTTAAACATTTATTTGTTGAGTAATTTATCTCTGGCACATTAGGAGATTGTTAATGGTGTTAGAGAGGAGTAATTGCTATTTCTGTGATTAAGTTGAAAGGAACACAGACGCATAGTTAACAAGACACAGTATTTATATGATATTTGTAAGTCATATAAATAGATTTTTCCTTGAATGGTAACCAAAGGCACATGAATCATTCATGGTGTTTATGTGACTGAATGAATGCTGATTTCTTAAGCAGAATTAGCAAAGAAGTTGATTCATATGAAGAATACTGTCATTTCTACTTCCTGTTTAATAGAATAGCCTGAATTAAAGAGAACAGAAAAATTCCCTCTGCAAGTTACATTAGTAACATTCTCATTCCCTGAAAGACACACACAGACATGCATACACACATACACTCATGTTTATTAATTCATGCATGCATGCATCCATCCATTTTCTCACTCAATTTTAATTGCAAGCCAGTTATGTGCCAGATTCTATGTGCCAAGCTGAGGAGATGATGGTGAGCAAAAACAGATCCAGTCTCTCTTCTTATAGGGTGTAAAAAATCTATGGTAAATAATGCCATTAATTAAAAACTACCCAAATGATTATATATTAATAATTACCAATGGAGTCAAGTGCTCTAATGGAAAAGAATAAGTTCTATGAGAATATGTAAGACCAGATACCTGATTTAACGTGGGAGGGTCAGGGTAGGCTTCCCTGCACATGTGGTGCTTGTGTGGAGATCTGAAGGATGACTAGTAGTGCTGGGTAGGAGAGGATTTGTGCTTGATGAGTGTGTGGGGTTTGTGAGTATGTTTGTGTGTGTGTGGTGTGAGTTGTCCAACACTCAGAACTATATGTATGAAGGCTCTGGGGTGGGAGGGAAGATGAATGTGTCAAGGATTGAAAAAAAATGACAGGTAGATGAACTGCAGAGAGAGAGGGTCAAGTGATTAAGAATGAAACCAGAAAAAACAGGACCCAAAACATGCAGGACATTGGAAGCCAGAGCAAGAAATACAACTTTGAAGAAACATGATCAAATACACTCCCTTCTCCCATCCGTAACATACATTATACACAAAATGAACAAAAAGGAAACACATGTCCAAAAGACACTGGGGAACTGTGTTATATTTTAAACAGTAGTATAATAAAACTGTCCCATATTCGTATTCAGGGTCCTGTATACAACCATGCCAGAAAAACTCCCAAAGAGATTTAATAAAATGAAACACATTTATTTTCATGGTCCCTTCATTGAGCTCTTTATGAAACTGAGACAATTACACGTATATGACCACCTTGCAGACATCAGGAAAGTACAGAATTCCCAGCTGGGTCCATAAGGCTGTACTACTTGACAGTGCCTGGTTTAGGCTTTCATTGTATTTATAGAGCTACTAGAAACTCACACACTGGAGACAAATGGGAACAATCAATAGAAGCTGGATACTTTGCACATTGAGTTATAACAATGGTAATTAATGTGGACATTTCTGGGACCCCCAGAACAGTAACTTTGGTGTAAGAGAGGCTGCTTACCCTATTATTTGACTCCCAAAGAATTTTGATGATTACGGTGTATCTTATGTGTCTACCACTTTGCAGAAGCATTTGGCCTGAGAAGATACCACACCCTCTCCATCGTTTTCATAAGAATTGCCTACCATCTACAGATGAACCCACCCAAGCAAAGCCAGCATGCTCTGCATAGGAAGCCTGAGATGATGGAGTCCACATGCTGTTTATTTAGTCATCATAGCTTTATGACTTGAAAATGTTGACAGAGACATGCATCTACCAGTCACCATGGCAGGGATTCAATAGCCCACTGTGCCACAGAGGGCATGCCTTGGATGTAGAGAGTGAAGACTTTCCACAACTTGTGAATGAGCCCTCTGTGAGTTTAGCCAAAACATTCATGTCAAAGAAATGGAAATCTCAAATAAAACCCATCGCAGGCCAAGCTCAGGAGGGCTGGCTAGCCAACAAATCCTGAACAAGGGGGTTCAAGGGAAAAGGAAAACATGTGTTTCATAGGCATGTATGAAAATAATCTTTTCTTCTATAGCTTTTGAAATGAGGATAATGAAATATCAGTTGGTCTTTGAGGATGATGAAAGGAATATTTTTTGTAAGTTATAAAACAATAGCGTCTGCCTTTAGCAAGTAATCTCAAGAGAGTCACTTTCAGAGTCCAGACTGGAAGAACACTTAACTTCAAAATAGCTCTTTACAAATACTAATCAGATGGTCCACAAAACTCTCTGCCATATGAAAGTTATCTTAACCCAAGTAGGGAAGTCACAGATAGCTGTAAATATCTGTGTGCCTAGCTCTGTGTTAGAAGCAATGGTGAATGTGTGTGTGTGGGATGGGGTGGAGTCAGTGGGTATGTGTAGGTGTGTTGGTGGGTGGAGAAAGGCTGCATTCATTTAGGTGCAGGAAAAGGCTTTTTTTTTTTTCTGACCAATTAGGTTTTTGACTGAATGGACCAAACTGACTGTTGTGGTGTCATGGAAACCTAGCCATGGAAACCTTATAGAAATATCAGGAGCTGAAGGGAGGGAGTGTTGAAGAAAGCATCACAGAGAGATTGCTACCAACTGATTCCCATAGATACTATAAAAATAACTCCTTTTATCTTCCCATTTTCAGTGAGAGAATCTCGCTATTTGGAAAATCATGCTTGCTATTCTGCAGCTTTTCTGTACAGATAACTAATAAACAACTTGGAAAACACTCACTCATCTCAAATGGAACTGAATTGAATCAGATGTTCAGTTTGGAGGGCTGAGGGAATGAAACTTACCTTTATATCTAATGCAGGCCCCCAGCCTTCATAACTAGTACATCAGCAAGTCCTATTAATTTTATGTCATAAACAGATCTTGAATCCACCTCTCTTTACCCTTACCACCAAACTACAACATTTATCACCCCTCCCAGTCCCCAAAGTCCCCTCTTATATGTTTTCATGGCACTCTATGCTTTTTTCAAAGCACTACCCTTTACATGTTCATTTATGTGATTACCACATTCATTTGTTGTTTTATTAATTCATTCACTTATTCATTCAACAAATATTTATTGAGGGCCTGCTCTGGGCCAAACACTGTTTCAGCGACTATTGACACAATAGTGAAAAAAATAGACAAGCTTCCTACTCCCATGGAGCTGACATTTGAATGGGCACAGACAGGTATAAGCAAATAAGTAACAAATAAGAACAATGCCTACTGTCTAATTGGGAAGACAGACATTCAATCCATTATTCCCTCAGCACCCAGTATGAACTTCAAACACAAATCAGACCAGGTCAATCTCTGCTGAAATCCTTTCTATGGCTTCCTATTGCACTTAGAATAATATGCAACCTCCAAACATAACCTAATCATGTTCAGCCATTGAAGGTAGTATCTTGGTTTTAAAATATCATTAAGTAAACAAAGAAGGTATTAGGCCTACTTCATGAAAAGCAAATGAACTCTCAAAGGAATGGGTGTCCTCCTTAACACCTTCATTTTCAACATCTGCAATGCATGAGTTGCATTTTGTTTTATGGCATTTTTTTCTATTTATACTCAAATAGATAATTTTTAAAAAGGTTAGTTTGATTATCATACCATCTCTTAGAAAACTGTTATTTGATGAGTTATGTGACCTCCCCAAGCTTTAGTTTTCTCCTATATGAAGTGGGGATGGTCATATTTTATATCATACATTTGCTTTGGTGATTAAGTGAACCAAAGGGCATAATACCTGAAACAAAATAAATGTTTAATTAGATGTTTTTCCCTTTGAGCAAATGAATCAGCACTCATCATTATTGCTGTAAATAAACAAACTTACTGACATGGGAATGAGAATGTCACTGAAATGAAAATAACATAATTGTTTACTTCACAGCAGGGTGATGGTTGGGGCAAGAAGGCATCTGCAGCCTGGGTCACTGGTAACCTGTCGTAGTGACTGAGCTGACACCAAGCCTTGCTCTGAAGCAGGTATTTTTATGCAGTTAACCTTCTCTGGGCTGGTGATTATGCAACATGTTTGTTCCCTGAGCACACATTGTTCTCAGGCGGCCGGCACGGTCACTAAAAATCCTACCTGTTTTAGAATCTTCCTATTAGTAAATACCAGGCAATGTCACTAAAAAGGCTTACAGGCTGAGAAGAGGAACTGAACAAATCTTGGAGCCAAGATGCATCTCCTTTTCAGGTGGTACTTCTCCAGGGAACGATGTCCTTATCTGTGAGACCTTGAACTGAATGTAAGCTCATCCCCCATCATTTACCCCTGAATAGCCTCACTCCTACAGACCTGCTCTTTAACCGCTTTTATAGCTTCATCAACTTTTTCTGATCGTAAAATAGAATATATAGCAAGAAGAAAGAATAAAGATCACTAGTCATTCTACCCTCTCTCTACCTCCAAATAACAACATAACTTTGGTTGACATTTGATTATAGCCTTCCAGGATTTTCCCCCTATTTCTCTATATAGACATATTAACTGGTTTAAGAGCATGGACTGTGGAATAAGACTTCCTGGCTTAAATCCCAGCTGTGTAACTTATTAGCTATGGAGCCTAAGGGAAATTACTTTTAGCTTCTCTGCCTCAGTTTCTTCACCTATAAAATAGAAATATTCCTGGAGTATTGTGAGGATGGGTAATACATATAAAATGGTTTGAACAGTGTCCACTAGGCACTCAATAAATGCTATCTAGATGTATAATTATATGTAAAAGTTGAATAAGGAACACTTAACTATGTGACTTAGGAAAGAGAAGAAGAATGTCTCTACTTCACAGCTGATTTCCCCAAATAAATAGTCGGTACACAAGAAACATTTGTTCAATGAATGACAGTGTGAACCCATAAATGAACTGATAAAACATGGACGAGTGGATAAATGATGAGAATGGATCAATGTAGTGTAAATGCAGAGGAGCCCAATGGAAAATTTCTGGCTGAGGAGAATCTGTGGATCTTGGTGATTTTTCTAGGAATATTTGTAAGACTTCCATTAGGCACTTGAGGACTTCTTGGTGGGAAGAATAGAAACCCACAGAATTACTCTGGATTGCAGGGGGACGAAGGGAACTGAATTGTTCAGCGGGACTGTAACTGACAGTGGAGCTCCTGGTTTCCTTTGTTGTCAGATCTCCTCCTACTGCTCAAACACCATGCTTACCTTTCTGCGGGGAGCGGAAGGCTCCGTTCCTGAGTCTCCCTCCTACTTCTCCACGTGCTTAGGAAGAAGATCCTGATCAGCAAATGCTAGAACTCTTCTCTGAGTCCCAGAACCTCATTACCTGCTGGGTTTACTTGGGTTTATTTATAGACTTGAAGAAATAACAGAAGTCAGTCACTCATCATGAGGTTTCCGAAAAATCTCTTCAGAACTTCTCCAGGCAAAGTGCCCCATCTTACCTCCCAACTCAGACCAGGGAAATGTATCTAGTTGATAAGCAACTCTAAGCTCTTGGTGAAAGGCAGCACTCTGGAATGAACCAAATGTTAGTATTTTCCATCATGGAGTTCTTAGAAGAGAGGAGTCTCAAGGGGCCTTGAAGAGGGGGTGTGAAGGGGTGTGTGTCCTGTTAATGCATGGTAGAATGGGCTGAGAGCCTGTCTGAGGCCTGGCATAACACAGGGTGGTTTCACACATGGCTCATGGTGAGGCCTGTCTTCCACCCTCGTCGAATATCATTACATCACTCTTTTCCAGTTACAGGAAATCCAGTGAGTGCTGGCCATAGTATTTCCCTGAGATCCAAAGCAAACAAACCCGCCTCTCCTCAGTCCCAGAGGCTGACGACATGTGAAGGAAAAGCCAATTCATAGTATGTTTCTGTTGGGCCTGAGCAGCTGAGGGTGAACCCACTGGGCAGGCAGACAGTGGGCAGCTTTCTAAGCACATATACAGCCAGAAAGCAGGGACGCACATGCCCATCTTTTTCTTTTTTTCCTTTTATAAGAAACATTATTTGAAGTCCATTTTTGTATTTGACAGACTACCAGGGCTGGAGTCCCAGCTCTTCTACTTACTAGCTGTTTGAGTTCAGGCAAGTCCCTTGAGCTAGCAAAGCCTCAGATCCTTTATCTGTAAAATGTGGATCGTAGTAGGACCAGTCTTCATGGGAAACAGGGGCATTAAATGACAGCTTCCATGTGAAGTGCTTAGCACAGTGCTTGATGCGTATTACATACTCAATAAATGTTTTCTATTCTTGTTATCTCCAGTTAAGATAGATGATCAGTCCATATTATTTAGGATATTTAGTGCCATTTCTCCCTCAAATGCAGTACACAGTACTTTTTTTTTTAAAAAAAAAGTAAAAGCTTTTTAGAAATAAAAAATTCACACTGAAATCGGCAGAAGCCATAAGCGAGTAGCTTGAAGAACGTGTATAGAGTGAGTGCCATGTAACCACACCCACATCAAGATGCGCAGCATCAGCAGCTCACAGAAGTCCACTTATGCTCCATTCACATACACTATTCCCACTTTTCTGACCTCTGTCATGACAGATCAATTCTTTAAATGAAATCAGTGTCCTAACCACCATCCAAATAAGGAGATAGAACATTTTCAGCAACCCAGATGAATTCCTATCTCACCCAAAGAAAACTGCTCTTTTGACTTCTATTACAATAAATTTTGGTCTTGAGTTTCTATAAATGGAATGATGCAGATGATATAGTATGCACTCTTTGGTGTCTGGCTTCTTTTATTATACTTACTCAACCATATGCTTGTGAGATTCATCCATGTTGCTGTGTGGAGCAGACATTTCTTCTTGTTGCTGTATATAATATTGCATTGTATAAATATTCCATAATATATTTGTCTGTTTTATTGTTGATGAATATTTGTGCTGTTCCCAGACTTTTGCTATTACAAATAATGCTGCTATGAACATTCTTGCATATGTTTTTTGGTGCATGTATATATACCTTCCTGTTATTTATATATTTAAGAGTGAAAGTGGCTACATCATAATGTCCATATGCATTAGTTTTAGTAGGTAATGCCAAACAGTTTCAACATTGTACCAATTTACATCACAGCAGTATATGAGAGTTCCAGTCACTATACATTCTCATCAACACTTGTGATTACAAGTTCCTTTTAAAAAATTTAGCAGTTCTGGTGTGGTGGGTGCATTGCATTATCTCATTGTACTTTTCATTTGCATTTCTCTGATGAGTAAGATGTTGAGCTCTTATATTGGCCAGTTTCATATCCTCTTTTGTGAACTAGCTGCTCAAATATTTTTGCCCATTTTTTTTATTGGATTATCTGACTGATTTAGGTGAATTTAAAATGTAAATATGTTCTGGAAACACAGAATATATAGATATTTGTATGCAAATATCTTTTCCCACACTGCAGGTTGTCTTTTCATTCTCTTGATAACATTTTTTGATGAGCAGAAGTTTTAAATTTTAATATAGTTCAATTCATCAATCTTTTTCTTGTGGTTGGTACTTTTAATGTCTTATTTAAGAAAATATTGCTTATACTGAAGTGATGAAAGTATTTTCCTATGTTATCGTTTGAAAGATTATTGTTTTTCTTTTCATATCTGAAGTTGATTTTTATAAATCGTGTGAGGTGGGTTCAGTACTCTTTTTTCCTTCTTTTTTTTTCTCATATGGGAATTCAATAGACTTGACACTGTTTGTTATAAATATCTACTTTCCCTATTGCAGAGTAATAACACTATTGTCAGAAATTTGGTGACCATATATGTGGGGGTCCTCTTGGGATTTTAATTAAAAAAAAACTGTGCTTTTTACCCCTTTAAAATATTTAACTTGTGGGCCAGGCAAAGTGGCTTATGCCTGTAATCCTAGCACTTTGGGAGGCTGAGGCAGGTAGATCACTTGAGGTCAGGAGTTTGAGACCAGCCTGACCAACATGGTGAAACCCTGTCTCTACTAAAAGTACAAAAATTAGCCAGGTGTGGTGGTGCACGCCTGTAATCTCAGCTACTTGGGAGGCTGAGGCAAGAGAATTGCTTGAACTCAGGAGACAGAGGTTTCAGTGAGCCGAGATCGTGCATTGTACTTCAGCCTGGGTGACACAGCAAAACTTCGTCTCAAAAAAAAAAAAAGTTTAACTTACGATTTTGTGATGTTGGATACACAGATCCATGTCCCCAAAGCAACACCTTCTTCTGTTCACAAAAAAATTTAGGTTTGAGATAAACTCCCAAAGTTCCTACACTGAAATAATTTTTTTCTTTTTCTTTTTACCATACTGAGGTGGACACTAGTTTCAAAGGATAGAAGTACTGAGAAAGTAATTACAAGTTTGCATGTGCATCAGCAGGAATCAGCCCATAGTGCAGTGATTTCATACAATTTATGATTGGTAAATATTTTTGAAAACACATTATTTTCTACTCAAATGTAATTGGATGCTACATTCAATATAATGATCAATATCAACTGAGATTCTAACACTTAAGAGATAGTAAATATATGACATGATCCTCCTGTGATCATGGCAGACACTGCTAATTATGACATTCTCCAGCACATATATGGTAAATATATGACATATGGGCCCCCATGCCTGCCTGTGATCATGGCAGACACTGCCAATTAATCGTGGCATTCTCTACTGTATAGCCCAGAAGTGGCATCAGAATCCTTCTCAATGTAGAGCCCTAGGCATTCACTACCACCAATTGATTAGATTTGTCACATAAAATGAAACCTACTTGCCATCATTAACTTAGAATTTCTGGCTGCATTCACCTCTACTATATCCTTAAAGCTCCTAGATTCCTGCTTCTTCCAACATAATCATCCTACATTTTTCTCTGAATTGTCTGTATTATGTGAGCTGTGATTGAATCATTTACAGTGGTATGAAAGAAGACAACTGGCTGGCTGGCTGGCTAGCTGCCTCCAGCGGGCCTGCTTGGGTAGGCAATTCCTTGGTTGTGTAAGCTCAGGACAGAACCTAAGCCTCACCTTTGCAGCTTATAAAGCTTCATTCAATCAGCTGTCCCTGAGTTTATCAGGCTACCAGGAACTAACTTATAAAGAAATTAACAGGCGACAGATTTATAAATCAGAATGCTGACTGACTGATTGGTAGTGGGGTCACAAAACTTTCCAATGGGTAGAATATTGGTTTCTACTACTCAGGAGAGCCACTCTCTTGTATAGAGCTACCTGAAAAACTGAATTAGTAATTGGAGGTTTAGTGGTTCAGAGCGCAGACTCTGCACTAGGACCTCAGAGTCTAGGTCTTGGTGATTTTAGGCAAGTTACCTTTAGCTTCTAAATCTCAGTTTTCTCATCTTTACATTGGGAGAGGGGGTGATAGTAATTACTTCTGAGGATTCAGTGCACAAATGCATATGTATCATTTAATAGCTTAGGATCAGGCATGTAGTAAGCAGTCAATAACTGTTAAATTATTAGTATAGATTCAGCACAAAGGGAATGGGATATTTTTAAGTGCTGTTTTGTCCAGACTATGGAAAATCTTTGAACTCCTTTGCTCCTTCTTTTCTTTTTCTTCTTTCTTTTTTTTTCTTTGAGAGAGAGTCTTGTTCTGTCACCCAGGCTGGAGTGCAGTGGTGCGACCTCCGCTCACTGCAACCTCCACCTCCTGAATTCAAGTGATTCTTCTGCCTCTGCCTCCTCAGTAGCTGGGACTACAGGCATGTGCCACCATGCCTGGCTAATTTTTTGTATTTTTTAGTAGAGATGGGGTTTCACCGTGTTAGCCAGGATGGTCTCGATCTCCTGACTTGGTGATCTGTCCGCCTTGGCATCCCAAAGTGCTGAGATTACAAGCGTGAGCCACTGCACCAGGCCTACTCCTTCTTAGAAGCAAAAATAAGTCAGTTCATGTGATAAAGTATCTGTCACACTTTCTTTCTTTTGGATAGTTTTGGATGAATAAAAATTCTTAAACACAAAATCCCCATTCACTAGATTTCATGCTCATTTCCCTCTTCTTCCAAAACCAGTCATCATTAGATTAGATAAAATAAAAGGACTAGGTTTTCCCATTTATATTGGTCATGTTCTAATCCCGAGCATAAAAGCTGGCCACCTTGCTTGGACAACAGGCAGAGAGATAATTTGGTCTTTTGATTGGCCTCAGGAGATCTCCTATTTCCTTGATAAAGACTTGGGAGAGTTAAGGAAGAACATCAATGTGCAGCTGAGTATATTTTTATTGTAATTTTACTGGAGGTGGGGTGAGGAGGAAGATGAGTATGTTTCCTGAGCGGCTACTGTATGTCACAAGCACTTCCCATGTGCTACTTCACTTAATCTTCATAACAACCCTATAACACGGATGTCTTTATCTATGCTTTATGGGCAATGTCCAGAAGGTGAATAATTAGCCTAAGATCCCACAGCCAGCAGGTGGTGGATTTGAACATTTGATGAACTTGAACCCAGAGCCATCTGATATCAGAGTTCATGTTCTCTGAACTCATGACACCTTACTGGCTACTTTTAGCTGAATTTTCAGAGGCTGACATTTCTTCTCACCTCATATGGAAGATTATAGTTTGCAGACTCTATTAGTGTGATTACAAAATATTTGTCCATTTATATAAGTATGAGAAGATAGATACCAGTAAGGAGATCTAGAAGAATAATACCCAGTGGAAGGGAGAAATTGTTTAAACCAGTGGTTCACAGTCTTGAGTGTGCATCAGAGTCACATAGAGGGCTGGCTAAAACACAGAAGGCTGGGCCCCACCCTGAGTGATTCAGTGGGTCTGGGGTGGGGTCTGAGAGTATGCATTTCTGACAAATTCATATATGTGAATATATATATATTCACATATATATGAATATATTCATATATATATTCACGTATATATATGAATATATTCATATATATATTCACATATATATATGAATATATATATTCACGTATATATATATGAATATATTTATATATATTCACGTATATATATATGAATATATTCATATATAGTCACGTATATATACATATATACATATATACACACACACTCATATATATATATATATATATATATATATATATAGTATTAACTTACACAATCACAAGGTCCCACAATAGGCTGTCTACATGCTGAGGAGCAAGGAAAGCAAGTCCGAGTCCCAAAACTGAAAAACTTGGGGTCCGACGTTTGAGGGCAGGAAGCATCCAGCATGGGAGAAAAATGTAGGCTGGAAGTCTAAGCCAGTCTCTCTGTTTTCACGTTTTTCTGCCTGCTTTATATTCGCTGGCACCTGATTAGATGGTGCTACCAGATTAAGGGTGGGCCTGCCTTCCCCAGTCCACTGACTCAAATGTTAATCTCCTTTGGCAACACCTTCGTAGACACACCCAGGATCAATACTTGCATCCTTCAATCCAGTCAAAGTGACATTCAGTATTAACCATCACAATGCTGATGCTGCTGGTCCAGAGATTACATTTTGAGAAACACTGGGTGATTTAAACAGGAGAGAGAGAAACAGGTGGGAGTAAGAGTGGAAAAGACAGTGGGCTAGAGGGTTAAATATCCACTAAAAGCTGTACTCTCCTATGGCCACATATGCTATGTTTTACAGGATTTATGCTCTTGTCTATCACTTCCAGCATCACTCCAGTGTACGCATTGATTCTGGGAGCAGTAGAGATGTGGTTGGACAGGGTAAGGACAATGAGGGCCGAGTAGTAGAGAAGGAATGAGGTGGCTGTGAATTGGGTGGATTAGATGGCAGCTCTGTTACCTGCCAGCATCCAGATTGCCCTTTCCCGAGGGGAGAACTGACTCTGGCTAGGCCCTATGCAGGGAGGGGTGGGCTAGAATTAGAGCCGTAGCAGGCAGCAGATCCTCTTGGGCCATTCCAGAGTGAAGAGTGTGGGCAGCCAGGCTTCCAATGGGGAAGGTTCAAACCACAGAATTTGTTCTTGAGTCACTCCCCCTTGTTTCTGTACTGATATTGGAACCAAACCAAGCCATAGTTTTCCGATCAAACTGCTCCCCACGCACTCCTCTGTTCCCACCAAATTGCAACATAGAAGAAAAATTGAAGAGGAGACTCTTTGGACCCTTGCCATGCTAGGCTTGGAAACTCAGCTGGGGAAAAGGAGCATGAAAAGGTTAAGCAACTTGCTTTACTACTTACTATCCAATATTGGACTTTGGGTTTGGAATTTGGTTTGAGGTAGATAGGGAAAAATATTTCCTCCTTAACTGATTGTTCTTGGGCAAACAAGAATGTCAACGAATGTAAGAAAGAAGCTTTATCTGCAGTTATCTTCCTCAGCAGAGGTGTTTGTTTTATATCTCTCTAGCTTCATATGTGGCTTTAGGTGAAAATAATAGTGATTAATTTCAGGCATTGTTGGCTTTTACTGAGCAAGAGGTGTGAAAGATTCCTGAGAGGCCTGTTTTCTTGGCCTTGAAGGAGAAATGTTACGTTAGATGTTTCTAGTCATTTTCAGAGGCAGTGTGATGGTAATTTATGTTTAGGATACATTTCTTGAGCACCTACTATGTGCCAGGTACTGGTAGGTGCCAGTAGTAGCAGTAATGAAAAGATCATTGTTAAGACCAGGTTTGAATCTTAGCTGTATGCTTCCTAGCTGTATGTCACTTTGCTTTTCTGAGCTTAAATTCTATCTATAAAATGGCTGTACACTCAGCACACAGGGGTGCTGCAAAATGGCTTTGAAAATCATAAAGAGCCATGTGAGTACAAGGTGGCAGTATTGTAGCGTTTGAGCTACCTTCTCTCGGCATTATACAGTCAGACATTATGGTGTCACCTGGGATTCGCACAGTGCTTGACACATAGGGGTACTCAATAGCCACTTGTAGAAGGAAGGAAAGAGGTAAGAAGTGAGGAAGGGAAGTCCAATGAGTAGGTCCTCAGCAGTTGCACTTCAGTTTCAGTTCTTCCAGAGCAAAGGTCCCTGATAAAGTGGTAAACTATCTATGGTTAGGTGAGAGCTGCATTGTACTTGTGGTGATTCATTCTGGGTCAGGCTAAGCACTAACCCGCATTCTCTTGTCCACTGATCATTGATCCTTGAATGTGGACTTTGGTTCTGAGGTGAAATCTCCTCTGAAACATAAACATCTTACTTCCACTCTGCCATCTCACTGGTATGTTTGGGGGATCAAATTAGATAGTAGATGTAATTGTGCCTTGAAAATTGTGAAGTATGATACAGAAAAGATATTTTCTTCTATTTTTATGCACAACTGCCTCACACTAAGTTTTCAACAAAGGGCTTAAAGGGAGGTCTCATATTTATTTTCATGGCTTGCTATGGTCGTGCTTTCTCATGAACTTGGGGAACTACTGTGGGAAGTTGAAAACAAGGTATTTTTAAGTAAGAAAAAATAACTTTTTTGAACACCTTTAACAGGAATCCCACAATGAAAACAATAGGTGGTAAGAGAAGTGAGTAAGAATCTTGCTGTACAATGGAGAGAAAGGAACTAATGATCAGCAGCTAGCAAGGAAGGCAGGAAGGAGAACTGGCAATGGATGGTCAGGAGTTCATGGTGGATGGTGGAACTGCTCAGAGAAAACATCTGCTGACGCAGCCACAGACTGATCTTCCCTGGGTGGAGGTGGCCTGGTCCACATGAGGTCCAGGATCTCCTCACTTTCTCCAGTGGTAGCAACTACTGATCAAGGACCTCTGCTTTGCTAACTACAAGCTGAAATATGCCCTAGTCCTGTGCGTGAGCCTCCACAGGAGGTTGCCCTTCAAATATCTACGGGGGCCAGGCAAGGTGTATAAACAAGTGAAGTTTGCAGGAAAAATAAACAGGGAGTTCTGAGAACTGGGCAAACTGAAGAACACACGCGTGGGCTGCAGGCAACAGTGGATCCAGTTCATTAAAGTCATCTGGAATATGATCCAGTTTTTCTAGATCATCAACTTTTTAAGAAAAGGAAGAAATCTGTATCTGTAAAATAAAACCTCCCAATCTTAAATGTTAGATATACTGTGTGGGACTGGCAAACTATCTCCCTGATTTATTTGTTTGCCATCTCTGGCGTAAATCCTGATATGCATCTCAAACATGCTTTTATTAATTTGTGTGAATTTCTCATAAGAACCATAAGCACAAGCCCTACGTATTCACCATCTCAGAGCACCCTGACCTCTTCCCTCTTAGAATAGTTACTGTACATCTGGTGGGGACGCAGGCAATACAGTACAGTGGTTATGAGCTTGGGGTCTAGAGTTAGATGCTCTGGACTCGAATCCCTGCTTTAGCTTTTCCCAGCTGTATGACCCTAAATCGGACATTTACAATTTCTTTCTTTTTTCCAGAAAAAATATTTATTGAGAGCAACCATCATACCAGCACTGCCTTAGGTCTTCTGGGAATATGGTTGTGAACAAGTTAGGATGTCTGTTCTGGAGGGATTAATAACATGACACATTCTGGATCATAATAACATAGCTTAATGGCACTGAAAATGAGCACATCAGAATAAACCGTAAATAACACCAACCACTAATGCTTACATTTAAAAGTAATAGCGGCATCTAAAATAACCTTTAAAATAAAAAAAAAGTCATTTTCAACATGTACTCAGCTATGTTTTTTTTTCTTCAGACAATAGCAGGGATGACATATGTTAGAATATAAAATATATCAGTTTAGGCTTTTAGAACAGTCTTGCATCACTCCGTGCCATTTATTTTTTTGTCAGATGAGGATAATAGCACCTTCTCTACTGATTTTAATCCATTACTGTAAGCATTGAATATTATTGACATTATAAAGAACAGCGCCCTTGCAAGATTTATTTTATGAGCAAAAATATATTTAAGATTTGCCTCTTTCTCTTAAAGTATAGCAAGATTGAAGAAATAACCAGTGCTATGTATTGCAGAGGCAGACAGAATCACTATTCTTCAGGGGCTCATCAGTTACAGTTAGTCTCTCTTGCATATTGCTTGCCAGGAACAAGGGGGTACCCAAAAAATCGCAAATTGATATGTGTAGAAGATGTTGACAGTGATCCATTGTTACCATAGGGTACAATGCACTCTGTGTTTTGATGCAGTGGTAGGAGTCAGCGATTCTCAGTTTTACTAGAGAAGATGGGAGCAATTGCTTTTTTATCCAGAACTTCACCTTTGTGAGTCCTGGGTTTCTAATCTGACACAGAGCTAATTATCCTTCGTTCTTCAAAAGGGTTTTGTGAGGATTAAATGAAATATATATAAACTACTTGTGGCCATTCCTGGCACATAGCAAACACTGAATAAACATTAAATATTCTCATTGTTGTTAATAACAGTTAAATAGTTAGGTTTTCAAGCATTTTAGTTTAATCTCACTGTTATTCTCTTTTGAAGCAGCAGCTCTGAGACTTCCAGTTTATATCCCACAGAGTCCGGGGCCCAGCACAAGTCCTCAAATGCTGGATGATGACATTTGCACCACCACTGTCATCAGCATTATTATTACCACCTGTGTCTGTTACCGTCACCATCATCGTCACCACTAGAGCTATTGTTTACTGAGTACCATCATGTCCCAGTTCCTGTGTTGCTTCCATGTTTGTTCTGTTCATATTCTCACAGCAACCCTATGAATTTAGGAATTATTTCCTCCTTTCCCCACGTTACAAATGAGGACGATGAGGCTCTCAGGAATTAAACACCCAGCTCAAGGCCACCACTAAAGAACATCAGAGACAGAATTCAGACCCAGACCCGTCTGACCACAAAGGCTGAGCTATTTTCCTTACATCACGCTCCAGATCCATTTGGGAAATGGAGGTGGTGGGAGTTACAGATTATGCAACTGGTCTTGGATAGCTTGGCGTTCTGAGGTGCGTGTCCCTTTGCATTTTGGTACACTGCTATCATTTTGTCTCTTTCAGATGGCTGATAGCAGTTTATTTATAACTGAGAACTGACAGTTTGTTTATCCAAATAGCTCTTTGAAAGGTTCCAATTATGGTTCCGCCACATCTCTGAAGGCTAGTGGTGGAAAGGCAAAGTGATGCTATCTGTGCTGCCGGCTTAGGTACAAAACACAAGAAAATGCCATTCTTTGAGAGGAGGCCCTGACTGGGGCAGACACGGCCATGTCCCGAGAGAGATCAGCACCAAGCAGACCTCCAGAATGGATGCTGACTACCTTCCAGTTCATGTCTTTAGTTGTAATTAATTCTCCTAGGCAGGTCCATGTGTCACAGATATAACTAGGAAGTCCTCTGTCTTGTGTGACTTCCAGAAGGTGGTTTCTTCCTAGCCTTGATTTACAACCTCAGCCATGTGGATATAGCTTCCTTTCTCACTCTGCCTACCATCAAAGCGAGATAGTTAATCCCCAGTGGCCTTTTAGTCCTCAGTCCTCCGTGATGGAGCAGCTCCTGTGAGCAAGACCCTATACTTAGCACCAGAGAGACACTAAAGAGAGATTCAGAAACTTCAACATGTTGGAGGAAGCAATGAGATCAAATTTGTAAATTTGTAAACTTGATATCTGGGTGCCCATTGTTCCAGCATGATTCTGTACTTTTGAGTGCCTCTGCATGGAAGTGAAAGAACTTACTCAGCAGAGGCAGCGTAGCATAGAGAGAAGCTTGTCAGACATCTTCTGTCACAAACTTGCTATGTAAGCTTGGGTTCACTGCTTCATCTTGAGTCAGATTTTCTGGATTCACTTCCCAGCCTTGCCACATATTGGCTGTGTGACTTGAGCAGGCTGGTTAATTCCTCTGTTTTTCAATTTTATTATCTGTAAAATGGGGATAACTTTCTCACATAACTGTTATGAGAATTAAAAAAGATAACGTATGTAAAGTGCACTGTGTGCCTGGCATATAGTGCCAAGTGTTAGCTGTAAAAATAATAATAAAAAAGAATAAATCTTACTAATATTATTAGTGTGTTTCAGGGCTCAGTGCTAATCTTGCTCTTTTATAGCTGTGCTCACTCTGTGATGATCTCATCCTCTTATGACTTTAAATACCATCTCCAAATTTGTAGCTCAAGCATCAGCTCCTCTCCTGAGCTTCACACACGCACATGCATCTCCATATGTATCTATGTATGTATATGTACTTATATATTTTTTGCATAGACATTTAATGGACCTCTAAAGCTCTACAAGTCCCTAAGTTAACTCCTGTTTATCCCCCTACTCCACCAAACCTCCTCCTCTCCCAAGCTCAGTAATGTCTGCTGCATCTCTCCTAATGTTCAGGTCAACAAGCTTGGCGTCACCCTTGACTCCTCTGTCTCACTGCCCTCTAGCTCCTCCATTGGCAGAGCTTGTCAGTTCTATGTTCACACATATCCAGAATCTGATGGCTTCTCACTACGCCACCACTTCCATGCTGGCCCCAGCCATTGTCCTCCCTCCCCAGGATGACTCCAACAGCCTCCTCCCTGGTCTCCCTTCTTTTCCCCTGGCCTCCCTTCAGTCTATTCTTGCACAGTGGCCAGACTGATCTTGTTAAAATATACATCAGATCATGTCACTGCTCTGCTCAGTACCCTGCAATGGCTTCCTATCACCCTGAAAATGAAATGCAGTGTTCCGCTAAGCCTGCAAGGCTCTTCATGCCTGGCCCACAGCTTGCCTGCTGCTTTCATCTCCTATCATCCCAACCCTCTCTCATTGAGCTCAGCACCAAGCATGCTCCCCTTGGGGCCCTTCGCTTCCCAGCCCTTCAGGCTGGAATGTTCTTGCCCTGGAAGTTCACATGGCCAGTCCCTTATCTCCTTCAGGTCCCTGTTCAAATGTGCCAACCAGAGCAGTCTTTCATGTCTACCATATAAAGGATAAATTCCATCTCTTGCCCTCCTCTACTGTCTTATTTTGCCTTATTTTTTTAATAGCACACATTCCCTTCTTACCTAGCATATGTTTTTTGTTGTTGATGTTTATTGCCTCTCTAGAACATAAGCTCCATGAGAGCAGAATATTACTTTGTTCACTGTTGCATTCTCATCATCAGAACAGTGCCTAGTACTTAGTAGGCAATCAAGCAAATATTGTCTTGTTATGAATGAAAGGAAGGAAGGAAGAAGACTCATCATGAGACTACTTTTTCCTATCTCTAAAGTACAGTGGCTGAGTTAGAGGCTTTGTAAAAGGTTCCTTCCAGCTTAAAAACTTTATGACTGTGAGGTCCACTGAATTCTCATGTATTGGATTCAGCTCATATCTCTTAGCAAGGCCAGTTCACTCAGAAGGCAAGAGTGCTTCTTCACAATAAATTAAGCCATTTACCACCCCCCCGCCAACACCAAAAATCTCATGAACAGAATTAGATTGGCTAAAAAGATCATCTTCAGCAAATTTCAGACCTGTTCACTCTTAACCCCAGCATTGGTTATTTTTCATGCGCCCACTGCAAGCATCCATTCCCTGGGCCATCCACCCCCACTGCCTTTCTCTGTGCCTCAGGAGGCTGATCTGTGGACTGCTTTCCCTGGGCTCCTTCACCTGCCAACTTTGCTGGCTGGGTTTGGCCAATGGAAGCAGGAAATTCAGAGGAGGAAGAGAGGGGCCAGAGTGTTTTGTCCCTACTCCCTCTCTGTCTTTCCACTGCCATCTGGCCATGAGCTGTGAGCCTAGCTCCAGCCAGGCAGCCCTCGCTTCTCAGCTCCAGCTCCCACAGGGCTCCCACAACACTCTTTCCTCCCCTTTCTTGTTAGCTTAAGGGGTGGAAATGTCTTCTGGCCGTTGCTGGCCCCTGAAGCTTCAACATTCCTCATTGGCTTCATTTACCCTATTGATAATTCCTTCATTAAAGTCTCTTCAGTTAGACTCCATGCATGGAATTCTGTTTTCTGCCTACCAGGATATTTACAGGATATTAATTAAGTAGAGAGTGAGTCTATTTCCTTGGTACTTTAAAAGGTGTATAAGGGTTGGGTGTGGTGGCTCACACCTATAATCCCAGAACTTTGGGAAGCTGAAGTGGGAAAATTGCTTGAACCTGGGAGTTTGAGACCAGCCTGAGCAATGTAATGAGGCCTCATCTCTACAAAAAATTAAAAAAATTAACCTGGCATGGTGGTGTGTGCCTGTTGTCCCAGCTACTTTGGAGGCTGAGGCTGGAGGATCACTTGAGCCCAGGAGTTTGAGGCTGCAGTGAGCTATGATTGTGCCACTGCACTCCAGCCTGGGCAACAGTGAGAACTTGTCTCAACAAAACAAAACAAAAACAAAAACAAAAACAAAAACCACACGCTATGGAAAAAGACATAAAATATGAAATATGTAGGGCTTTCTGAGTAAACACTTAAGACTATGTGTGTTGGCTATACATTTGTTTAGAGCTGGACTTAGAGATCTTTCACAATCTGGGGAGAAATCAGTAAGTCTTTTTCACTTGGTTCAATTCCCAGACCCATGAAACAAGGACTTCTTGGGGAAACTCATGGGTTGACACACAGTGGAAGTTCCGCTGATACATACTTTAGATTGGGGGTAGAAAAATCTGGCTGAGTATTATTTAATTTGAATATTCTCACTGCCCAAAGGAAATGCTGTACTCATCCTCTGTGTGGTACAGGTATGAAAATATCCCTCTGCATGCCTTTCTTGGAAGAAGAGTTTCAAATTCTTTTACTTTTTTCAGAATAGTTCTGCACATTCTTGAAGAAACAAGCCTTAAATCCAGAGAGCTGGGTGACAGGGCAGTGGCAGAGTGCCAGGAAACATATTATAATGTGTGCTAACCCTGTTTAAGAAAACAGATCATTTTAAACTTAAGCAGGTTACATAAAAAATGAAGTGAAGTATGACCAAGGGGCCCTTGCAGAGAGACTGTAAAATGAGACTTTAATACAAGCCAAAAAAAGAAAAAAAAAAGAAAAAGGAAAAGTGAAGGAAATAATACAAATACGTGGGGAGGGACAAAAGAGTTAAAGGAAAAGCCATGTTAGTAATAAAGTAAACTATTGTATTCCTTTACCTCTGTACTTTTGTTAGGGATAGAAACATATCACTGAAAAAAATATATACATTTAAAAATAAAAATTTTCAGCTAATTTGTGCTATCCAGCCATCACCACAATAAAGAATGAGCTAGACTTCCCCATATTGTGAAGGGCACTAAATTCACAAATGTGAAGTTGCAGATAGGAAAGGTTTTATAAACTGCAAGGTAGCAATGATTTGTGTGTGTTTATTTCACCTTTGTAGGATACTGAACATGTGCATTCTTCCAAGTATGAAGGATTTGAGTTCACTAAATAGTAAGCCCTCTCATTCCTAGTGGAGAGAGGAGAAAGGAGAGCAGAGGCTCAAAACTGGGATGAATGCCTGATGAAGGGAGAGTTGCTCTCCCAGCCAGATCCTTTGATTTGCCAGCTGCTGAGGCACCAATCAGAGCTCTTAGCTGAAGCTCACAGGAGATCTGTGACTTAAGACCTGGCCAGGACATGCATACTTTCAATGGGGCCCTAAAAGAAGCCTGTATTCTGAGATGAACTCCTTATCTCCCTCTAGTTCCATAAGCAGGGCCATTTGAGAATCTTTCTGAATCTTCTGAATCTACTGTAGCTCACTAGGTCCCTTTTTTGCAAGATGGCCCCTATGCCTAGGACACTGCGCTAAGGGGTTTCCTCTCCCAGCAGTCTGGTAGTCCTTCTTTTACCAGCAAACAAAAGCCATGTGACATATTATGTTTATTCTTTATTTTCTCTTATGAGTTAATATAATTCATCATGTTTCTCTTTTTGGCTCTGTGGACAGAAATCTTAGCAAATGTGGTAACATTCTTTGTGCGTGTGTGTGTGTGTGTGTTTCAACAGCAAAATCTTTTCTTCAATGCAAAGCCTACACAGGAGTTTGATATATAAAAGAATTAACAGGCCAGGCGCGGTGGCTCACGCCTGTTATTCCAGCACTTTGGGAGGCTGAGGCGGGCAGATCACGAGGTCAGGAGCTCGAGACCAGTCTGGCCAATATGGTGAAACCTGGTCTCTGCTAAACATACAAAAAATTAGCTGGGCATGGTAGACCCGAGATTGCGCCACCGCACTCCAGCCTGGGCGACAGAGCAAGACTCTGTCTCAAAAAAAAAAAAAAAAAAAAAAAAAAAAGAAAAGAAAAAAAAATCTAACAAGGTGCTATTATGAGTGGCACAGAAACAGAAAAGTCTATAAGTTTGGCCCCTTCGTACTGTCCGTCTTCCTTGGTGGGCTCTAAGTCACCTCTAAGAATCCTCTTAAGGCAGGGAGGATTTCTCAAACAAACAAGACCCAGAAATCACACACCACAAAAGAAAAGATCGATACGTGTACTATGTTAAATCAGTTGCTATATTTTTAAAAAATGGCACCCTAAGTGAAATTAAATAAATAAACAATCAACTGGGAGAAGATATTTGCAACTATTGTAACAACAATGAAATTTGTTTATGGATTATATAATGAATTGCAAATGAACCAGAAAAGACAAAACTTCCAATTTAAAAAAATGGAGAAAAGATATAAACAATTTCCAATAGTGGGAAAGTGACCAGTAAAGATATGAAAAAATGGTCAACCTAACTAGTAATTAGGAAAGTATAATTAAATGAACAATTTTGGACATATCAGACAGGGAAATGTTTTAAAAGTCTGACCATACCTATGTGAGGATGTGGGGAAACTGACATGCTCCTGATGGGTTTGTGAACTGGTCAACATGTTGGTTCCCATTTACAACACCCCACTTTCTGAAAGCCTTTCTGCAGGAATATGTGAGGTATATAAACAATAGAAAGCTACTTGGTAGCCCTTCATTTTCCTCATCATCAGCATACACCCATTTTATTATCTCACAGTGCTGTAGACCAGAAGTCCAGGAGGCTGGGCTGCTTTCTCTGCTCTGAGGTGCACAGGTCAAAATCAAGATGTAGGCTGTATTAGTCTGTTCTCATGCTGCTAATAAAGATATACCTGAGACTGGGTAATTTATAAAGAAAAAGGTTTAATGGACTCACAGTTCCACCTGCCTGGGGAGGCCTCACCATCATGGCGGAAAGTAAAGACATGTCTTACATGGCCACAGGCAAGACAGAATGAGAGCCAAGCAAAAGGGGGAACCCCTTATAAAACCATCAGATCTTGTGAGACTTATTCACTACCATGAGAACAGTATGGGGGAAATGGCCCCCATGATTCAATTATCTCCTACCAGGTGCCTCCCAAAACACGTGGGAATTATGGGAGCTACAATTCAAGATGAGATTTGGGTGCACAGCCAAACCTCAACATATCTAGATGAACTCTTATTTTTTTCCCTCCCCTCATTCCCATCCCTATGAAACCTGTTATACCTTTACCTTAGCCATGTCTTCAGTCTCCCCAAGGTCTAGGGGGAATCTACTTTCAGGATCATTCAGGTTGCTGGCAGAGTTCAGTTGCATGTGTATATGAGGCTTTGGTCTTGTTTTCTTGCTAGTTTTCTGGTCAGGGTTGTTCTTCACTTTCTGGGGCTTCCCGTATTCCTTGGCTCATTGCCCCTTCATTTCCAAAGCCAGCAATAGTAGGCCGAGTCCCTCTCATGCTTCGTGTCTTTCCTGCCTCTTCTGACTGACTCTTCTGCCTCTTCTGCCTGCAAGGGCTTAGGTGATTACACTGGGCTCAATCCGATAATCCAGGATCATCTTCCCATCTCAAGGACTGTGACTTCAATCACATCTGCAAAGACTCCTTTTGACATGTCAAGTAACATATTCATAGATTCCAGGAATAGGATGTAGACTTCCTTTGGGTGCTGTTACTTTCCCTACCATGCCTCTTATTCAACTATTTTGGGAATAATAACAACACAACAAAAATGATTAAGATAATAAGGCCAGTGTCATAGGTGACAAAATGGAGGTCTAGTCAATCCTGGTTCCAAGATAAAAAATCAGGCAGCCTGACTCCAGAACCCACACTCTTAATGACGATACCACTGCAAAAATGCCTGGCCTGGAAATTCTAGATTTGTAGAGATGCCAGATTACTGTGTGGTTCTGATTCCCATTATCCCTTGTGAATTTTCCTGCAGTGCTCTAATATGGGAATGATGTTATGGGGAGTCTAGAGAGACAGGGTTTGAAAGTTCTTTCCAGTTGAAGAGTAAATATGGATCTTTTTATTCACATATTAGTGACATAGTCATGCCTCTTTTGTATATGGATCTTATGATCTATACATATGAATTCCATGGCAGTGGCATGGATCTTATTATAGTGACAAAGTCATGTGTCTTATGTATGTCACATATACATGTATTATGGGATGTAGGTAGAATCAAATATAAAAGTAATCATCATAGAAAATACTCACGGTTTATAAAGTGAAAACAGTTTATTATAGCACAGAAATAAGTTAGTATTTATTGAGCACCTAGGAATTACCAGGCACCGCATTAGGCGCCTGGGGTATAAAGTGAATAAAACAGACCAAAAGAAAAAAAAAAAAACCCACAAGGGCTTACATTCTAGAGGCTGCTGGGAGACTGACAATAAGCAACACGTATTACGAATTAGTAATTATATAATAAGTTAGAAAGTGGTAAATGCTTTGGAAAAAATAGAACAGGATAAAGATCACCAGTGGTGGAGGGAGAGCAGATTTCAGTTTTAAGTGGGGTTCTCAGGTAGGATTCATTGAGAAGCTGACATTTAAGCGAAGATTTGCAGCAGGTAAGGGTTGTCATGCAGATATCTGGGGAATATTCCAGGCAAGGGGAATATTCCAGCCAAAGGCAATAATCCAGGCCAAAGGATATCCAGTGCAAAGGCCTCAAGGTAGGAACATGCCTGGTCTGCTTGAGGGGGAGCAAGAAGGTCAGGGTGGCTGCAGGGTAATGAAAGAGGGGAACACAGAAGGAGAGGAGTCAGAGAGTAATGAGAGTCAAATTATGTGGACCTTGGCTTTTACCCTGAGTGAGTCATTGGAGTTCCATGATCTGCTCATGTTTTATGTAGATTGGCGTGGCTGTTGTGTTGAGAACAGGCTACAGGGGCAAGAGTGGAAGCAGGTTGGCCTGTAATCCTGGTGAGGTCTGCATCAGGTAGTAATTACTGGAGAGGCTGGACTCTGGCTCTGTTTTCAAGATATGGATATGCTGATAGATTGGTTAGAGTCTTGAGCAAAAGAGAAGTTTCGGGTTCCATTCGCTGAGATGGCAAGGACTAAGGTAAAGGTATAACAGGTTTCATAAGGATGGGAATGAGGGGAGGGAAAAAAATAAGAGTTCATCTGGATATACTGAGTTTTAAAACATTTATTAGACATTCAAGTGGAGGTGTTAGGTTTGCCATTGGTTATGAGTCTGGGGTCCAGGAGAGAGGTCTGGGCTGGAGATAGAATCCTTGCAGTTGTCAACATAGGATTAAATTCATGAGATGAATGAGGTCACCAGTGGAGTAAAATGAAGACTGATGGAGCTGCTGGGGCACTCCAGCTTTGCAGGGGAGAAGAGGAGGAACAGCAAAGGAGACTGGGAGGAGAGTGAGGGAGGGAGGAGGAAAACCAAGAGGGAATGCTGTCCTACGAATCGAAGTCAAAGTGAGAAGTGACCATTGAGTTTAGTAATCTGGAGGCACAGGTGACCCTTACCAGAGCATTTTTGCTGGGGAGGGGGAGTGGGGGAAATCTGGCTGGACTGGGCTGAAGATATCATGGGAGGGGAGGAACTGGAGTCTCTGAGTGCAGCTCTTAGTATTGTGAAGGAGAGCAGTGAAATGGGGAGTAGCTGTGGAGGATGTGGAGCTTTTTATTATTGTTATTTAAGATAGGAGAAATAGCATCATGCTTATTTGCTGATAAGAATGATCCGGGAAAGAGGGGAAAGTTCTGATAATGTAGGAGAAGGAGGCAGAATGCTGAAGTGTTGTCTTTGATTGGCTAAAGGGAATTGGGTCAAGTGCACATAAGAGGAAGAATTGGCTTTAGATCAGAACACGGTATAGGAGTACTGCCCATCAGGGGGGCTGAGGGAAACGAACTCTTAAGTAGCTCTTACATTTCCTGGTCAAAGAAAGGTAATTCTCTCATCCTGTGGTCATTGCAGCAGCTGGAGCTTTCAATATCTGGGAGGCTGGATTCTTTAGTTGACCTCAACGTTGGTTTTGCTAGCACCAAGTTACCCTAAGGCTTTCTGTTTTTTTTTTTTTTTTTTTTTTTTAATGGCAAATAAGTTCAATCAGCAGGTTGGAATAGCGAAGCTCACTGGACAAAGCAGCTTATTGCCTTACAAACCTGGGGCTGAATTATTAATAATACAGAACAGGTATGCACTTAAAGTCCCACCAGCAAAACAGGGGCTCTAAAGAGAGATGCAGGGAGGGAGAGGAGAGAATAATTCAGTTAATTAAACATATTCAGAAATTTGCCACCTGTAAAGCCAGAGTGAAATTACTTTCATTTCTGTATGCACATACATTTTGTGTTTTACAGGTAAGCATTGTTTTCAATTACAGAGAGGAGAGCACCATCAACTGTCAATGCTTATGGTTTCTAAACATCTTAACCCAGTCCAGTTTAGGTCAGTTTCCTTTGAGTAGAAGAAATCCTGATCCATGACCAGAGATTATACCCTAGACTATACAAACAGATCTCTTGCAAGTGCCTGTCTCAAGGCGGATTGAGAAAGAGCATCTGCAGCTCAGCGTTGACTCGTCATCTCTCAGTGAATAATAAAGGAAATGCATATCCTATAATAGTGGGCCAGAGTCTCACCTCTTCATGTGACAAATGACACGTGCTCAGTCTAAATAAAGCTCTTTACTTTATGAAATACAACGGCACCAAAGCCTTATGCAGCTCTAGGTCTGCCCCACATTTCTCCACAGGCAAATGACATTTAAGTCCATGGATGGATGCCTTTTCTTGATGTTCACACAGGAAACATATCATTCCCTATTCGACTCTATTAAGTTACTTCACTTGATCACATGTTCAAGCTTTCGTGGTCTTTTTTTCTAAAAATTATATTCTCCAGAAAAGGGGTGGTGATCTTGCCTTTCCCTTATTCCAGACTTTAAGGAGATGAAAACCAGGTGTAGGAAAGAGGAGGGTAAACATCAGGATATTAACAGAAAGAGGAAGAATAGAGGGGACAGTCAGGTGGTCCAGGAGACTGGAAGTAAATTCAGTTCACGTTCACCACATGCCACAGCAACAAAGATAACACACTTCCTGGTTTGAGTAGCTTATGCCTTAGAGCAGAGGTTCTCCATCTTTTGAGTCATACCTGATAGATAATATTTCATATGTTCAACCCACTTGCATTACTAATATGGACACTTCTGGACTGTGGCACTCACTGATTAAATACTCTGCAGATTGTATATAGTTCTGAGCTCAGGAACTACAAATCCTCCTCTTTCCCTATGTTCCCCTGTTGCACATGTTGTGGCTGAACTCCCTGTCTCTATTTCCCACCTTCCCCAATGAGTAGCAGTCATGGGGTAAGGGTGATAGTGACCCATTCCTGGCTCTAGGAGTAGGCGTTGATGAACTTAAGCAAACCAGTTGTCCATTCTTTTAGATTCAGGGGAAGGCATTTGACCTATGATTTCCTGGAGGGAAAACCAGGACTGTGGTTTGACTGTTGGTTGAGAAGAGGTCTGTGGGGAAGAGAAGATCTTTCTCCTAGATGTGGTACAGTGTGGATGTGAAACCTAGAAGTGCTGCTGCCATTTTGCTACCATGTGTGAAGTCAGCATGAGACAAAGTAGCAGAACAAAGAGAATTGCAGATCAAAGGAGCTAGAGCCAAACAAAACTGTATCTAAAGTCCATATAACACACACAAACCTATATTTATTGGTGTATTTTAGTTATAGGAGCTAATAATTCTCTATTATTCTTATTTAAAAAAATTATTTCAATAGGTTTTGGGGAATAGGTGTTTTGGGTTACATGGATAAGTTCTTTAGTGGTGATTTCTGAGATTTTGGTGCACGTGTCACCTGAACCGTGTACACTGTACCCAATGCGTTGTCTTTTATCCCTCAACCCCCTCCCATCCTTCCCCTGCCAAGTCCCCAAAGTTCATTATATCATTCTTATGTCTTTGCATCCTCATAGCTTAGCTCCCATTTATAGGTGAGAACATATGATATTTGGTTTGCCATTCCTGAGTTACTTTACTTAGAATAATGGTCTCCAACTTCATCCAGGTTGCTGAAAATGACATTATTTCATTCCTTTTTATGGCTGAGTAGTATTCCATAGTATATGTATACACCACATTTTCTTTATCCACTCATTGGTTGATGGGCATTTAGGCAGATTCCAAATTTTTGCAGTTGCAAATTTTGCTGCTATAAACATGCATGTTCAAGTATCTTTTTCATATAATGACTTCTTTTCCTTTGGGTAGATACTCAGTAGTGGGATTGCTGGATTGAATGGTAGTTCTACTTTTAGTTCTTTAAGGAATCTCCATACTCTTTTCCATAGTGGTTGTACTAGTTCACATTCCCACCAGCAGTGTAAAAGTGTTCCCTTTTTACCACATCCAAGCCAACATCTATTATTTTTTTATTTTTAAATTATGGCCATTCTTGCAGGAGTAAGGTGATATCACATTGTGCTTTTAATTTTCATTTCTCTGATAATTAGTGATATTGAGCGTTTTTTCATGTTTATTGGCCATTTGTATATCTTATTTTGAGAATTGCCTATTCATGTCCTTTACCCACTTGTGGATGGGATTATTTGTTCCAGTACTTGACAAGTGGGCAAGGGACATTATTGGTATAAAATCTACCAATAAATAAAGATATGTATTTTGCTGATTTGTTCGAGTTCCTTGTAGATTCTGAATATTAGTCCTTTGTCAGATGCACAGTACCTTCTCTTTATTGTTTAATTCAGTTTGAACTGGGTTTTGGGAACTTGCCACCAATAGCACTGATCCATATAAATGACTTTTCAACACTGTGGCTAAGAACCTCTGGGTTAGAGGAAATTCAAATAAGTTACTGACAAATGAAGTAAATAATAATAATGATAATATTAAAATCAGAAAGTGAGTGACAGCATTTAGAAAGATGTCCTTGGGTTAGGTTGGTAGTAGTTTTGGAATGCAGCCAAGGAGACAGAAAACAGCAAAAGTAAACCCCAGGTAAGGAAATACTTATATTTCTTAATTGGTTCTAAAATATATAGAGTTATTCAAGAGGGTTTCCAATCATAAAGCTATAAATTCAGAAACTGTAATGGTAGAGGTACTGCTAGAATAAGAGGCCCCTGGGAAAGCAAGTTAAGGCAGGTTGGAGTGGGTAGGCAGCTTTCAGGATGTCTGGAAGGTGGTAGGAAGGTTTGGATGAGAAATGCTAAGATTGCTGGAGTAACTAATGAAGCTCATGTCTGATGCTGCTGATGTATTACAAAAATCTCAGAAGCCCGGAGTATTGAAGCCAATGGTAAATTCAATAAGTATTTGATCACTGACAGAAAAACAAGTGTTCCAGGCATATAGGCAGCTAGTTTGTGTGAATCCGTAGTGTATTTAAACCAGCATGTTAAAGGGGCCTATAGAGAAGGTAGTCCCTAAGAATCTATCACTTTGTTGATTCAAATAAGACATAGCATCTTTTGCCATGTCTTCAACTACAGTGTTTGTGTCTTTCTTTTAAGATTGTTTTTCCTCCTTCCCTCCCTGTTCACTTTCTTTCTTTTTTTTTCCCTTCCTTTATCTTGTATGTGGATGCTGACATTTATGTATAGATCTCCCTCATACTGAGATCACTAATGCTGGTGGCTTTAGATATAGACTGTGCAAGTTCAGCCTGAGTGGTTCTAGACAGTTCCTTGAACTTGACTGCATTCAGGAAATGTTAAATATTTCCTGGAAATTGCCTGAGTCAGTGCAAGACTCAATGATAAAGCATATCCTGCAAGTCCTGAATGCCACATGTAGGCAGAGAAAAGGCAAAGCAATTTTCCAGCTGTTTAAATAATGAGCACAGGAGTCCCTTCAGGGGGTTCCTTTGAGTAGAAAAGCAAGTTAAGGCAGGATGGAGTGGGCAGGCAGCCTGCAGGATGTCTGGAAAATTAAGTGGGAAAGAAGACAGTGTGGTGGTACGAAGTCGTTTGAGCTCTAAAAGGACAGGTCCTGGGAAAGACTTAAGGCTGGAAACAAACCAGAAACATCCTTCATTTTCATCTTTCCAAACACAGCTTTGTTATTATCTAAGACAGTTGAAGAAAAAGAAAAAATTGACGTGCCTTTGGAAAATTCAAAATGTGTCATTTCTGTCTCAAAAGTCCTGTATTTTGTCTTGCAGTTCAGAGACTGGAGATGGGCAGTGTCACCCATATCAGGTATGTGGTTGAGTAATGTCTTAGAAACAAAATATGTTCCTCTTTGGTTCCAGATGCTTGGGTTTCTAGAGTCTGGCAGGACTAGTAATCTTGAATCTGTCTACTTCACACAAAGTTTGACCAAGTCTCACAGGGTTTGGGACCCTCACAGTTTTGTCAGGAAACCAGCCTACCTTTTTTCCCTACTCCTCTTCCCTCCCTCCCTCTTGCCATTCATTCAAACAGTGGTACAAAGAACACTAACAGGTGTCATACACTGAGGTATGTGTTGGGAATAGAGATGAGTAAACATGGTGTCTGCCTGAGGAGCTTATTCCCTAATAAAGGAGTCAAACATGAATAGATAAGTTATAATATGGAAAGATGAGTGTTATGAAGAACCCAGAACTGTGGGAGCCTGAGTCCAGCTGCAGTTCCCTGGCAGGGGAGTGTCAATACCCTTCCAGTTAAGGTGGGGTGGAGGGAGCTCACCAAATGCCTCCAGAGAGCCAGGCGCCAGAGTTTATCAGCTATCAGGAAGTTCTGATACCAAGAATAATATTTTAGATGGAAAGAAATACTTTCCTGCAGTGGTTTGAGGAGATGGTGTTGCAAAATTTTCACATTTTCTTTTATATACTGTAGTTTAGAGAGGAAATTATCCTTTTCTTCTGGGGGTGGGGGGTAAGTTGGCAGATTTTTCTGTCAAAATTAAAAATAGACATAAAAATACACATCCTTGGACTCTGCAATTCTATTTCTAGGAATATTCCCTCAGATACAGTCAGAAGAATATACAAGGATAAATGTACAAGTAAGTTGATTATAACATTGTTTGTAACAGTAAAAAACTAAATAATATAAATATCTAATTATAGGGGAATGGCTAAATAAGTTATGGTATACTATGGAATGCCATGCAACAGTTTAAAACAATATTATAGAGCTCTATATACTGAAAAGAAAGGGATTGTTAAGGAAAAAAGAATGCTGCAAATAATTGATATAGTCTGATGTCAACTATGATTTAAAAAAATTCTACACACATACATATACATCCATCTATCTGTCTGTCTGTCTGTCCGTCTGTCTGTCTGTCTGTCTATCTATCTATCTAAATATATGGAAAAAAAGCACTGAGGGATGTGCACTAAGCTGATAAAAGCAGCTATTTCTAGGGAGGGGAATAAGGTTGGGAGTGGGGAATGGGATGGGTAAAAGGGATATTAACTTGTATATGTTGCTATATCACTGGCATTTTTCCTGAATATACATTCTTGTATCACTCAGGCTAAACATAAAAACATTTTCAATTCCTATGGCATCTGAAATGCTACCATGGGCATAAGCTGCATAAAAATGGCCTTTAATGCTTATATGCTGTGGTGGGAACGTAAATTAGTTCAACCATTGAGGAAGACAGTGTGGCAATTCCTCATAAACTAAAGACAGAAATACCATTTGACCCAGCAATCCCATTACTGGATATATAGCTGATATGGTTTGGCTGTGTCCCCACCCAAATCTCATCTTGAATTACAGTTCTCATAATCCCCATGTGTGGTAGGAGGGAATCCAGTGCAAGGTAATTGAATCATGGGGGCAGTTTCCTCCATGCTATTCTCGTGATGCTGGTAAGTTCTCAGGAAATCTGATGGTTTTATAAGGGGCTTCCCCCTTCACTCCCCCTCAGCCCTGCAGAACCATGAGTCAATTAAACTTCTTTTCTTTATAAATTACACAGTCTTGGGCAGTTCTTTATAGCAGCATGAGAACGGACTAATACAATACCCAAAGGAATATAAATCATTCTATTATAAAGATGCATGCATGCGTATGTTCACTGTAACATTATTCACAATAGCAAAGACATGGAATCAACTTAAATGCCCATCAATGGTAGACTGGAGAAAAAAATGTGGTACATATACACCATAAAATACTATGCCAGCACAAAAAAGAATGTGATCACGTCCTTTGCAAGAACATGGATTGAGCAGGAAGCCACTATCCTTAGCAAACTAACACAGGATCAGAAAACTAAGCGCTGCATGTTCTCGCTTGTAAGTGGGAGCTAACTGATAAGAACACATGGACACATAGAGGGGAACAACACACGCTTGGGCCTATTGGAGAGTGGAGGGTGGGAGGAGGAAGAGGATCAGGAAAAATAACTAATGCGCACTAGGCTTAATACCTAGGTGATGAAATAACCTGTACAACAAACCCCCATACCACAAGTTTACCTATGCAACAAACCTGCGCATGTACCCTAGAACTTAAAATGAAAGTTAAAAAAATGGCCTTCAACATTCTGAAAGTTCCCCAAAGGGAAAAGACCTCAAACTTGATTTTTCTAAATCATACCTAAGGTTCTAGGAAATGAGTTAGACACACAGCAATGCTCATGCAAATGCGTGACACCTCCAAGCTGAGCTTCTTTGCTCTGCGCAAATGGTACCACAGTGACAATGTGAAAAGAGAAAAGTTTGGTCAATTTAACTAGCTGCTTCAACTACCAAACTGGGTCTCTTCCTCCCCCATACGGCTCATCGACAACATCAGCCAAACCAGTTATACTTGTTGTCATGCAGATAATAAACCCAATTATTAGACTGAAATGTTCCCTTTTCCACCAGTAGCCATCCCTTCTTGTATAGACATAACCAAAAATGTGCACAGTGCTCTCCTGTTATTAAATTGTCGGCTTCTCCTTGTTCAAATAATCTTTGAAGCCATTTCTTGGCAGGAATGAAGGACTTCTCAGCTCAAGAGATAACATCAATCCAGTTTTCAGGAAGGCATACAGGAAAACGGGACTTTGGAGTCTGACAGAGCTAGATCTGAGTCCTGTCTGTCTCTCAAAGGCTCTATGATGGTGAGCTAGTTCCTGGACCTGTCAGGGCTTTACTTTCATTATCTGCAAATGAGAAGAATATTCTCTAATTCAGTTGCTTCCTGTAAAACTTAAATGTGACTTGTGAAGCACCTAGCACAGTGCCAGCCATATAGTTCCTGTATTGTTGTAAACATATTGAAGAAAAACATGTTTTTTGCATTTGATTTAAAAGTAGAATCATCCTGAAATTATCATTTGGTCCAAAGCTTTCCTTTTCATTTGCCTTTATAAATTCAACCAAGGCCTCTCTTCTGGCTTGAGAAATGCCTTGGTCTTAGGTTAAAGGGCAGTTTGGTTTTCAGGTGAGCAGGGTTGGCATAGCTTGGGACAACCTCGTGGGACTCTGTTTCCTGCAGTATATCCATGGCTTCAAAATATCTGGTAATACTAAAAGCAAACTTTTTTAATTGAAAAAAAATTTTTTTTTTTTTTGAGATCGAGTCTCGCTCTGTCACCCAGGCTGGAGTGCAGTGGCGTGATCTAAGCTCACTGCAACCTCTGCCTCCTGGGTTCAAGCAATTCTCCTGCCTCAGCCTCTTGAGTATCTGGGACTACAGGCACCCGCAACCATGCCTGGCTAAGTTTTCTATTTTTAGTAGAGATGGGGTTTCACCATCTTGGCCAGGCTGGTCTTGAACTCCTGACCTCAGGATCCACCCACCTTGGCCTCCCAAAGTGTTGGGATTACAGGCGTGAGCCAATTTTTTCTTTTTATTTTTCAGCTTCATTGAGATAAAATGGACTAATAAAAATTACATATATTTTAGGTATATTACTTGATATTTGTATACATTGTGAAATAATCACTCATACAAGCTAATTTATACATCTGTCCCACAAAGTTACTATCTTCTTTCTGAAAGCAAATTTTTATAAACTGGTAATTCCAGGTGAAATTGGACTTCAGACAATTTACCAAGAAGATACTCAGGCAAGCATTAACTATTTGGTCTGATTATTATTATTATTATTATTATTATTTCAGACTGGGTCTCACCTGTCACCCAGGCTGGAGTGCAATGGCACCATTTCGGCTCACTGCAACCTCTGCCTCCAGGGTTCAAGCGATTTTCTTGCCTCAGTCCCCCAAGTAGCTGGGATTACAGGTGTGCACAACCATGCCCTGCTAGTTTTTGTATTTTTAGTGGAGATGGGGTCTCCCCATGTTGACCAGGCTGGTCTCAAACTCCTGACCTGAAGTAATCTGCCCGCCTCGGCCTCACAAACTGTTGGGATTACAGGCGTGAGCCACTGCGCCCAGCCTGGTCTGATTCTTATGGGCAATTTTACTTCATAGCCCTCTGAATCAGTCTGTTCTCATGTTGCTGATAAAGACACACCTGAGACTGGGTAATTTATAAGGAAAAATAAGTTTTTATTGTACTCACAGTTCCATGTAGGTGGGGAGGCCTCACAATCATGGCAGAAGGTAAAAGACACATCTTACATAGCGGCAGGAAAGAGAGAAAGCTTGTGCAGGGAAACTCCCCATCATAAAATCATCAGATCTCCTGAGACTTATTCACTATCGTAAGAACAGCCTGGGAAAGACCCTCGGCCATGATTCAATTATCTCCCACCTTGTCCCTCCCACAACATGTGAGAATTGGAGCTACAATTCAAGATGAGATTTGGGTGGGCACACAGCCAAACCATATCACCCTCCTATTCTCCTGTCATGGCAGTGAGAAGTGGACAGTTCTGCAGGCAGCAGCAAGCCCCACCTACTTCTTGGTCCTCTCTAGAAAAACCAAATAACCAGGGCAGTTATAAAAAGTATATTCAGCCGGGTGCAGTGGCTCGTGCCTGTAATCCCAGCACTTTGGGAGGCTGAGGTTGGTGGATCACCTGAGGTCAGGAGCTCGAGATCAGCCTGGCCAAAGTGGTGAAACCCTGTCTCTACTAAAAATACAAAAATTAGGGGCGTGGTGGTGGGTTCCTGTAATCCCAGCTATTTGGGAGGCTGAGGCAGAAGAATCACTTGAACTCAGGAGGCAGAGGTTGCAGTGAGCTGAGATCGCCTCACTGCATTCCAGCCTGGGAATGCAGCCAGCAAGACTCTATCTCAAAAATAAATAAATAAATAAATAAATAAATAAATAAATAAATAAATGTATATTCAGCTACTTATCTTCAGTCCACCATGAGGACTTACTTATGTCTGGAAGATGATCAACCTGAGATATGGGGAAACAGTGAACCGCATTAAAAGCCTAACTTAGAACACTGCCTTTATAATTTGGGAAGGTGCGTAATGAAAGAACTGTGAATGTGGCTGTATTCCCAATGAATGGAGCTCCCCATAAATTACAACCCAGTCCCTTGGCCGGGCAACCATCAAGGTGAGCAGAATGCCTCCTGGACGATCCCTTTCACAGAGCTGCTTGGCCAGGCTGGCAAATGAGTGCGTGAACAGAGGAAGGTCACCCAGTATGCTGTGCAGCTGGATTGTAAACTACACCGTTGGACTTCAGAGTCCAAGCTCAGAACCTCTGCAGTAATGGAAAGTCATACAGATTCCGTCATCATGTTCCAGCCAGGTGACCTTGGGCAGGTGCACAACTTCTCTGCAGCCTCAGTTCCCTCATCTATAAAAATGGGAATAATAAGAGGTGCTCCCTCAGAAGCAAGTTGTGAGGATTAAACACATCTCGAGTTTATCACACAATGTCTGGCACATAGTAAGTGCTCACACATTGTTGTTTATTATTATTATTTATGAATCCTGGATTCCTATCATAGCACAAACAGGTAGGCATTATTGCCATTTCACAGTGAGGAAACTGAGGCTTAGGGGTGTTAAGGGGCTTACCCAGATGAGAAAGTGAGTATAGAGTTAGGGCTCTCTGGCTTGATGTGATTAGATTAGTTCCTAAATACCAGTGACACAGTTTACCCATCCCCTGCATGGAGGAAGCTGGGTATTAGTGGATGGTGAGGGAAATAGAACTGGAACTATGGGGTGCTCCTTTTAATGTCAACCCAGGAATGAACTCTTTAAGTGCCCCCCACCAGTCAGGCTCCCCACCAGCCCACTGGGCTCCTGTCCCAGCCAGATTCCCTCGCAGAAAGCCCTCTTACAGCCAGGCCAGTAGCCTTCTTCTTCACCCCATTCCCAGTAGCAGCAGGCATGTGGAGAACCCATCTGTCTCCTTCCCACAGTGGGAGAGGGCAACTGAGGGGCCAGGGCTCAACTGCGCAGGCAGCAGCGTTTGAACCTGTGGACCAGCAGAGGTGGGCATGGGCCCTTTGAGTCTGTTGGCTGTGGCAGAAAACTAAATCTGGAGCCCCTCACGTGACAGGAAGCTGCCTATGAATAAGTCTGTGCTCGGTGTGCAGCTGTGTGGACATCCAGGGCATGAGGAAAACAGAAACCTCTGTCAGGCAGTCCAGCAAAAAAAAAAAAAAAAAAAAAAAAAAAAAAAGAAAAGAAAAGGTCAGGAACAAGAGCCCCTGCAAGAGATTTTAAAACTTTTTGGTGTATTTCATGCACCATGAGGACACATGCTGCTCTCTGGACTGGGTCTATCCAAGTCCACAGAGCTTTCTAGATTAAATCTTTGTTGTATAGCAACTTCTGTCATTTATTCAACAATATTTACCAAGTGCGTAATTGATGGTAGGCACTTGCTGGATGCTGGGTAGAGCAGGGAACACAGCAGACCCCATCATTTCCATCAGGGAGCTTATGTTCTAGAAGGGAGAGTGGCAATAAATAAGTACTTAAAATAACCGTTATATGAATTATTACAGGGATTAGCATAATGAAAGAAAACGCAAAGAATGGAGGAACTCATCTAATTTGGTGGTGGTGGGGCAGTTACAAAAAGCCTTTTGGGATGAAGTGATCTTTAAGTTAAGACTTGAAGTTTACAGCGAAGTTGGCCACCCAAAGAGGAATAGAATGGAGAGAAGATCATTTTCATTCATTTACCCATGCATCATTCATTTATTTATTCAGCAATTACTTATTGCATACCTCCTGTTTTCAGGCACTTTTCTGGAAGGCAAAGAAAATCAGGTGAAAATTGCTATGCTCAGAGTTAAATTCCCAGTTCTTTTGATTATCTATTGCAAGTACTTTAAACTTAGCTTTAGAAAATAAAGGCTAATGTGGGTCATTCTCCTATCTTTCAGCACTAGTCATCCTTTATAGACAGTGGGGTACCAGGGAATGCCCAAGCAGACAACAAGGAAAGGGAGACAACCCAGCGCCTGACTTTTAAAGCGATCCTTTTTTTCTCAGGCCTTGGTGAAGTTATAGGCACCACCTGCCTTGGGAAACAGTGAAACTTTTACTGCAGTTCAACAGTATCGCACTTGTTGAAGCATGCAAATTTGAGAAGAATGAGGTTGTAGGGGCAGGTGGATGGAGGGGGTAGTTGAAAATAGTTTTTGTAAAAGGAGAAAAAGAACGGAGCCGGAATGTCTGTTCCCTTTAGGGGAGCCAACACACCTGCAGCACCTGATACAAGCGTGAACATATACAATAAACATGGCTCAGTGCTTGGTGGACACAGAACTGTGTGAGCTCTAGAGAACCTTGTGGGATTTACATTGTGACAGTTTGTTAAACGCTGGAGGCTGTAATAGCAGATAAAGAACTGGAGCTATAAAATGATTGTTTCACTTCATCTGTTAGGTTAGGCAACATGTGGAGGTCATTGTTTCAAACAATTGAACAAAATTTCAAAGTTTTGTCTTTGTTCATTAAAGAAAATGTATATGACAAATCAAAGGTGTGTTTTATGGATTGTAGATTTAGGGTGATATTAAGAGACTTTTAATTTGGAGAATTGGTTCTTTGCAAAATAAGAAGGACTGGATATAATACAACCAGCTGGATATGGTGCAGGTGTGCTTGATTCATCTTCAATGGGCGTCAGCAAAGTAGTGGCTAAGACCTTGAACTTGGAGTCAAGATGGGCCACCCTTTATTTGCTGTGAATGTTGGCAAAGCTATGTCTCATTTTCTTCATCCATGAGTTGAGAATAATAATGGTAACTCTTCCATGGTTCTGAGGATTAATTAACACAGGTAATATATGTGGTGCCTAGCACATGGTAAGTACATGTTATTAATATCCATTTCTAAGGCTCCTTGGTGACAGTTTCGACCATCCTAGATATTTTAGTGAAGCTACTGTATGTATATGGATATTTGTCTCTCTGGTTGATTTTTCTAACGTTGGTTAAAAATGTATCCAGAAGAAGAAATAAAAATAACAATCATCCTCCAGTTTTAAAAGCAGATGAGTTCTTGAGAAGAGGGCAAATGAGTCTGTATATGGAGCACAGGCCCAGCCACTTTTACATTTTATTTGTTTATTTTAAAAAAGACCACATTTCGCTTTGTTGCCCAGGCTGGAGTGCAGTGGTGCAATCACAGCTGACTGTAATCTTGAACTCCTGGGATCAAGCAGTCCTCTCACCTTGGCCTCCTGAATTATTGGGATTACAGGCATGAGCCAACATGTCTGGCTGACCCAGCTACTTTAGAGATCAATAGTGATCTCCCATCTGCTCCCCCACAGGCATAACCAACAATCTCATGCTGAGAACTGATGCTTCTCTCTGCCTTTGCACATTGTAAACATGGTGCATTTGCTGCATTTTCCTATGATCTTCTGCTAAACTCAGGCCTTTTATTTACAGACAAACGGTGCGACTTTTACACAGGCATCATGGGAGTAAGCCCAAGATATTTTCTCACACTTGATTCCAGGCATGTGGGGTTTGGTTTCTTGATCAAATATCTGTGTTTGCTCTGTTTACAAGTATCTGATGAGCAAAACCAACAGAGGTGCTCCAGACAGGCTGGCTGTGCTGATCCCTTGGAAAAGAATTAAACAAAACCCAGTCTTTGTGTGAGTACTGTCCTAGCGTGCTGACTGATCTATTTGCTGATTAAATTCTTAACCTGTACCTATTTGATGCTTACGTCAGTTTTGCGTCTTTGAACCCTAATTTTGCAGTGCTTTAGTGACCAATTTATTTTTTTCAGTAAACTGCATAAATGACTCATCAGCAGGAAATGTGAATAAATAGTCAACTTAACTGAAAATACAAATAAACATATCTTTCTTTTGTGAGGAGGATTTGCTTAAAGGGGAAAAAAACCTTGGGAGGATGGACTATAGTTCCTAAGAGGGCATAATCTTCTGCTTTTTCTGTGGGATTCTAGCCCCCTTTTCTGGGCAGGGATGGCATGAGCCCAGCTACTAAGGAGATATCTGTCCACATGACATTTATTAGTTTAGAAGTGGTAGCCTCTTCATCAGGAATTTAAGTAATTTTTAAAGAGTTACCTGATGAGTGCATACATGTATGTGTACGTGCATGTGTACGCGTGTGTGTGTGTGTGTGTGTGTGTGTGTGTGTGTTTTCTGGAATCCCTGTAAGTCATCTTTCTGGTCACTCATGTAGCCAGTGCTATGACCTCATATAATTGGAACTCTAATTCTACTGCCTACTAAACAGTCAATAATATTGAGCACTATTAAACATCTCATGAAAGAATAGCATTAGAATTAGCACCCAGATGGCATCATAACCATATGGGCACAATAATGTGGATATAAAGACATTTTCTTGATTACCATATCCACAGGACCTTTGATTCTGGAATTCTACATGGGATTCCTAATTTCCATGTAAATAGTTTTGTTAGCATGGCAATCACAGGCAGTCATTACAAGAACCTGTCTTGTATCTCTTAACTGAGATGAAAGAGAGGCAAAACGGAGGTGGTGATGAAAGCATTGCATAAAGAGTGACTTTCCATATTTCATGTCTGGATTAAATCCAAGTTTCAAAGTTCAGGAGGCCCCCTGAGCATGCTGGATACTTTCACTGATGACTCATGAGAGGTGTACATATTTTTCTCCCTTTGTTCAAGCGTGGTGACCAACTCCCTCTGCCCTCCCATTCTTATCTCCTTGTAAGTGCCCTAGGTGAGTATTTCCCCATCCTTCCCATCCTGTGATATGCCTGGGAACTTGCTGAGACACCACACTAGAAGAAAGGGTGAATCTCCCAGGGACTTTCACGCCATTATGACTTTTTCTATTTTTGTATGGAAAATATGAACCTCTAATGTTCTGATACTGGAAATCCAGAAGCTGGGCAAGTAACAGGTAAAATTCAAGGCAACATAGTATCCAGCCACAATGAAACTGAAAGAATATGGATAGGCTTGTACATGGTTTTGTTTTAAAGTAGTTCTAAATACTAAAGTTACAAATATTTTAAATTTACACATAAATACATAGAATTCTAATGATGGTTACAATCATTTAATAATAATACATCAAAAATTAGCAAAAGAGGAGAATCCAAGACCCTTCCTAAAAACCCTAAATAACTTCAATAAGAGCTAAAATATCAGGATACAATGTCTAAAACACCAGCTACACTCGATTAAGTTTCAGGGAAAAGCCAAAATAGACTCTTGTCTCTCTGACTCTGGGAATTCCAACTCAGGATGACCATGAAGAGATATGGGGACATTTTTAGGAGAGCCGTTTCAGCAGATCTTGTAGGTGAATGGGCAGACACATTAGCAATCTGGTATGAAATTCATCTTGGTTATCAGCCTGGAGTATTTCCACGTATTGATATCCTCTTTACTATCTTTCCAATTTTATTCTATTTAGTATTTATTATATGCATAGTTTTATTCTATTTAATATTTTCTTAATTTTTATTAGATTCAGATCTCTGGTTTTAAGACAATATTATTATATTACTTCTAATAATGATAGTAGTTAATACTTATTTAGTGTGGACTACCTTCTAGGCACAGTTCAAATTGCCATACAATTATTTTCTCTTTAATCCTCACAATACATTAATGAGATGGGTGTTACTATTATACACATTTTACCGATGTGAAAATGAAGGCGCTTAGAGGTGCTATAACTTGCCCAAGGTCACACAGCTGGTGTGGGGTGGCAGGATTTGATCAAAAGAAGTTTCTTCTCTAGCCAATGGATCAAACACATGCTCGGGGTCCAATCTCTACAGCCTCCCTGCACTCAGTGAGATGCTCACCAGTGGAGGGCAAGAGGCATTCTTATCTCACTGACCAAGTGTGGCTGGCCTCTCTCTGCTCACTGTACTCTGACGTTTCTTCTGTAACTCCTTTCACAGTGGTAATTAATGAGGAGTTGGGTGTTTATTGTCTATTTCCTCTACAAAATTATAAGCTTCTTGAGGGCAGGAACTATGCTTATTTGAATCATTGATGAATCCCCCCATTCCTAGCAGTGCCTCATACCTGACAGACATAAAGTACAAATTTTCTGAGTAAACAAATCTTCTTCTATAAAGAGTTATAATATTTGGGTGTCATTAATCTACACCACTAGAAATATTACCCAATGTAATGCCCATGTGACTAGGTAAATTTCTACCCCGCCTTAACTCTGCTCATCTTTAGGGAACAGGAGGCCTGACGTCAAAAGCTCCCCCTCGTGACCAAATCGACTGGGACTTGTTGGATCCAAGATGGCAGCTCACTTGACTTCTGAAGAACCTGGAACTTCATTATAATCAAATTTCCGTGCTAAATGACATTCCCGCGAGCACCATGACAGTTGACAATCACCATGACAATGACAGAAGAAACCATAAAATGACAAAAAGGAAGGCGGCAACTCTGGTTCTGAGTTTTCTGCCCATTTCCAGAAAAGATGTGAATATTCTTCTCTTTGCTTTTAATGCCTGACCCTGTCATTAGAGATATTCTGTATCTGTGACTTCCTGGTTTTCATAAGCTGAGAAGGTGATTTGTGAGCCAATCTCCTGGTTCTCAATTTCATGGCCATTGAATGAAGCTGGTACTGCTTGATGCTCACTTTCTGTTCTGTGTATTGGCTTCCTGGCACTGAAGAGGGAAAGACCTATTTTTGGGGTGGGGGCGGGGGGGACCAGCTTTATCAGTAACAGAAAGTTAGGACAGTCATTCCTTTTCAAGACACCTCTTCATCCTCAAAGATTAACAGCTCTTTCTTAATGTCATAACAATCAAAATTTGGAATTAAGCTCCTTATGGATCACGGGTGAGAGTGAATTTGCTCTTTGAAAGAACAGATGTCACAATATATGAACATATTTTCATTTTATTAAACATGCTAGTACAGTACAGTGGTTAAGACCTCAGAGGCTGGAGCTAGGGGCCCTGGGCTGGAATTCTGACTCTGTCACTTACATGTGAGACAGTAGGCATGTTATCAACTCAACATGTCTCAGTTTCCTTGTCTATAAAATGGGGATAATAATAGAACCTAACTTATAAGGGTGGTTGTGAGAATTAAATGTGTTAATATATGTAAAGTTTCTGAAATGGTGCCTAACAAAAAGTAATCATTATATAAATATTAACTACTCATCTTTCTAATGTGTTACTATTTTATGGTATTCTGTTTTCCTACTATTTTTATTTAGCTTGTTTATCATCATTGAACATTATTTTTACTATTTAATATTTTCTTTATTTAGAAGAATTTATTTTTCTAGGGCAGTTTTAGGTTCATAGCAAAATTGAGAGGAAGGTACAGGTATATTTCCCATATACCATTGGGTCCCATACATGCATGGCCTCCTCCATTATCAACACCCCCCACCAAAGTGGCACATTAGTTACAACAGATGAACCTGCATTCACACATCATTATCACCCAGAGTCCGTAGTTTACATCAGAGTTCACTCTTGATGTTGTTCATTCTGTGGGTTTGGACAAATGTATAAAGGCATGTGTGCACCATTATAGTTTCATATAGAGTAGTTTCAATGCCCTAAAAATCCTGTGTGTCCCTGAACACCTAAAGGAGGTCTGGAGTGGAGTGAGGCAATCAATTGGGGGGTGGGCTGAGGGAGCACAGCTGCAGAGACCGGCCTTGGAGGGCACCCTGAGGGTCCTGTGCTTCCATGGTACATGCAAAGCCAACCTCTCAAGGGCTACAAGCAGTGACATTCCATAAGCAGGTTTCCATTTTGGAGAGATCACCCTGTCCTCTTTGAGGGACGTGGGTTAGAAGATCACCTGGGACTTTAGCAGCCTTGGGAAGGCCCTGAGCCAGCAACCGCTCATACACTTAATTGGATCAATGAAAAAGGTCCAAATTCCTGTTGACGCTAACATCTGATCACCATAGAGCCCTACGACAATTTTAGAATCGGCAGCCTAATCCAGTGGTCTCCACTGTGGGGTGACACACCTCAGAAAGTGCACAAAACAATTCGTTTCAGAGTGGAAGAGAAATACTAGAACTTCTATTTTTAAAAATAATAAATACAACTAAATAACAAATTTCATTATTTCCAAATTGAACATTTCCTTTGTATGTTTTATAATGTATTATATAATATACATTATCTCATTTATAAACAAACAAATATGAGGTGGTGCTAAAGTGTTTTTACTGATTGAGCGCCGTTTCCTTCCATGCTGGAAGTCTCCTATCTGTGTCAAAGGCTATCCTGATTCAACCCCTGAAATTACTATTCCAGGACTTTATTGTCATATATGACAGAGATTTAGGGAAGACTTAGGCCAAAATTTATACCAATATATTAAAACAAATAAACATAATAAAGTAATTTAAAATTTAACATGTGCTTGTCTCTCATGCACAGCCATTCAGTGCTTGGGACAGTGCCTGACATACAGAACACGTTCAGTACATATTTGTTGAATGAATAAATGGATTAAGGAATAATCATTTGTTGAAAAATAAAGTCAATTCTATGATCTAAAACTTACCTACTAACTGTCTAAATTGTTCAATGCACTCATAAATGAATGGCGAAACCCTTGCTTGACTGGGTACAAACATTTCAGACACATATCTTGTTGTTTTTTGGTGTTATTCTCTGGTTCCTCTATGAGACTCAATATTTTCACCAGTACCTTTTCTTCCACCTTGCCTCTTCCTGGCTTTGGCAGTTTCTAGAAGTTGGCTGGACCCCCTGCCTGGCAGAGCTCCTTTATTCCATCTCAACCTCACTGACTCACCTTCCTTCAAGCCGCTCATGTTAAACTCCCGGTTCTGACATCAGAAGCCTAAGTGAGATGTAAACCCACCTATAACCGTCTCATTTTCTTCAGCTAAACTGGGTATTGATTTAGGTTCCCTTCCACAAAGCCAGAGCTGACAAAGCATGGCAAGATAAATGGTACAGGTTCCTACAACATTTTTAGGAGCAGCTCAGGTTCTGGGGTGAGCCTGAAAGCTCAGGGAAATAGTTACATTAGCTCCTGCCAGCAGCAGCTGCTGCTGCTGTAGAACTATCTAAGTCAGAGGTTGCGAAATTCAAACATCTATGGGGACTAGCAGTTAATGTCAATGAAGAGTATGCTTTGAGAGACACAGAGAACAGAGTTCTTATGCTGTACAGAGGGAATGCCTATTCCTTAATTCGAGCAAACGCTCACATCTGAAATCTTTTTATATAAAACATTTCAGTTTTTAAATGTTGGCAATTAATTCAACATTAAAAAGACTCATTGTATTGGCTAAATAAAACATATCCAATGGCCGAAATCAGTCCTCAGGCTACCTTTGAGACCTCTGGTCCAGAGGGATACCACTGCTATTTTCTTCCATAATCTCACGTGTTCTTTATTATTGGTGTCACATTTGTTTCATTTTTTCTTCCTCTCTTCTAAATGGCCTTAAATTCAGATTTTTTTTCTTCTTCATTTCTCAATAAAATAGGAAACATTAAAGATATTTCTTATTAACAACTGTCATTTGGAAAGTTTAAAAAATAAAAAGCAAATCTTCCTTTTATAATGGGACAACATAGCTATGGGTACAGACTTTGGAGCAGAGGAGCAGCGGGGTTAGAAGGAAATTTGGAATAAGAGCCAGGTGGCCTGCTTTCTCTCCTGAGAGCCTCAAATGACCTTGCACAAGTTGCTCAACTCCACATTTATCCTATCTTCTTCTGGAATGCTCTTCCTGCTTTCCTGTTTAAAGGGGCCCTTGTCATACCGAACGAACCCAGGCCTAGGGCCTCTTGCATCCAGGTTTGGAGAAAGTTTAAGTTCTCCGGCACACTGAAGAGCAGTCCCTTGTGGTGGACGTGGGTGGGTTTTACGTTGAGCATCTGTGCCCCTTGCTTAGGTCAGTGAAGCCATGATTTTCCTTTGGGAAATGACCTTTCCTTCTTTGGATGCAGCACAGGTATCAATGAATGGGTCCTGCCCTCCCCTGGCCTTGGAGCTGTGCTTGGGCTATCAAGAGAGGATGGTTTCCCACATAGACAAGGGGGCACCAAAAGAAAAGAGTACATTTGTTGGACAGGCAGAGCTAACTGGTGACCACTATAACCAACACTGAGTGATGTGAATTTGGGGAAAAGGAAGTGTGTAGAGAAGCCCTGGACTAGGTCTCTCATGCTGCAGATGAGGAAGCTGAAGCTTGGAGGTGTTGGGCGACCAGCCAAAAGCATGAAAGATGGGGGCTGCAATCTGTCATCGGCTTCTGATGTAACTTAGGAGACTTGGGCCATATTGGTTTGTCAGTCCCAAACCTCAGTTGCCTTATCTGCAAAGTGATCACAATGGTTTCTGACCAATAAATGTTCTGAGAACAAATAAGGTCTTATCTTCAAAGAACACTGTGCCTTGAAAGTACAGAATGTAACTAGCGAACAGATACCCTGAAGGGTTCACATCTGCTAAAATCAGGCACCACAAAGCCTTGAATATACATGAGGCTTCTCTTTCATCTCGAGTTATGTAACATATCACAGGATCATAACATATACCTAATTCGGCTTCCTGAGCTAAGATTGTTCTAGAGAAGTTTCCAGTTTTTTATTTCTACCATAGAGAAGTGGCATAGTATGGTGGTTGAGAGTGGGCTGACAGACCTGGGTTTTAACTCTGAGTTTATCACTTTCTCATGTGACCTTTGGCACATTACTTTAATTCTCTGCATATCAGTTTTCTCATCTGTAAGTGAATAGTCTATGTTCGTAAACAGTTATATCAGTTTTCTCGTCTGTACCTGAATAGTTGCAGAAACAACAACATGAGTGAACGTGGAAGGAGATCAGGAAAGCAAACGCTTAGGACACAGGGAACTCAGTGGTACAAATGAAGATCTAAGTCAATGCTAACCAAAGAGGATGATGATAAAGCAATAGTACTAGTAGTCATGGCGGTATTGTTCATGAGTGGGATAAGTTCTTGGCTACCTGCTGGTTTTTAGCGGGTAGGAGGAAGGACAAAGGTGAGCATATCACAGAGAATCTGGCTCAAGTGGGTCATCTGCTTTCCCCCATGCTGTTGCAGGCAAGTCCTATGGGACCAATTGTTAGATGCAGTGGGGTCACCCAGCCTTGTACTGCTTGCATAGAGAAAATCACCTTTCTAGTAAAGGGAGTGGCAGTAGAGGGAAGGCGAAGGGAGACAAGACAGGATCAAGGGTTGGCCTCGTGGTGGTTCTTCTTTTCTGTGAGTTTGCCTTAATGCCAATGCAGCATGGCAGTTCTTCCTGAAGAACTGCGCCTGGTCAGGAAGAGCTGCTCCTGCTCTCTCTTTGTCATAGCATCCTGTGCTTTTCCCCTGGATCTCATCACAAAATAAATATTTATTTGTGTAGTTACTTTGTAACTATATGTCTCCTCCATCAGACTCTGAATTCAACAAGAGCAGAGACTATTTCTGTCACATTTACCACTGAATTCTTGCTACCTACCACAATCCTTGGATTTTGTAGGCTCTCAATAAATATTTGTAGAATAAATGAAAACATGCATCTGTCATGGGCTTTCTGTTTCTTCATGTATCTGGGAACCTGAAGAAGCAAGTTGGATCAAGTCTGTGACAAAACTGCCCCTGCTTATCAAAAGTTGTTACTGCTCTGGTAGTCCTGGGTGAATTCTTCTCTTCTCTCTCTAGAAGAAATTTCCAGATGAGGCAGAGATCAAATACACAACGATTTTCTCATTTGGCGTAATGCAGACTCATTCTACTTGAGTCAACAGTCACATGCAGGCTTCATCCATATCTATGAAGTCAGGGATTTATCCAATCCATATCTACTAAGTCAGTCAGGGGTTTATTCAACAGGCTTTAGGAATTCAGTCAAGAGCTAGGCAGACGAGGCTGGGCTCGGTGGCTCATGCCTGTAATCCCAGTACTTTGGGAGGCCGAGGCAGGCAGATCACGAGGTCAGTAGTTCGAGACCAGCCTGGCCAACATAGTGAAACCCCATCTCTATTAAAAATACAAAAAATTAGCTGGGCGTGGTGGTGGGCACCTGTAATCCCAGCTACTCGGGAGGCTAAGGCAGGAGAATTGCTTGAACCTGGGAGGGGGAGGTTGAAGTGAGCCGAGATCATGCCATTGCACTCCAGCCTGGGAGACAGTACAAGACTCTGTCTCAAAAAAAAAAAAAAAAAAAAAAGAGCTAGGCAGACAAGGCCCCCGACTTCAAGAGTTTACATTCTAATGGAGGAAACCAAAAATTAAGAAGAAGAAAAGATAATTTAGCCATGTTGAAAAAAACACCTGGTAACATGATATATGTGATAGTGACTGAAGGGTAGAAGGAACAACATAGATTTGGGTGCTCAAGGAAGGCCTGCGAGATGACTGTTGAAATGAAGCCCAAATGACAAAGGAAACCTGCCATATGAAGATCTGGACGAAGAGCATTCCAGGGAGAGGAAGAAGCAAATGCCCTAAGGGACAAGCTTGTTATGTTTGAGGAGCAGAAACAAGGCATGTTGGGTATTTGTGGAGTGGAATGAGGTATGAGGTAATTCAGACAGGAGGAGAGGCTAGATTCTGTATGGCATTGCTGGTATTAGTAAGGCATTACTTTTTCTTTTTCTTTTTTGAGACGGAGTCTTGCTGTCTTGCTGTGTCGCCCAGGCTGGAGTGCAGTGGCGCAATCTCGGCTCACTGCAACCTCTGCCTCCTAGGTTTAAGCAATTCCCCTGCCTCAGCCTCCTGAGTAGCTGGGACTACAGGCGTGCCACCACACCCAGCTAATTTTTTGTATTTTAGTAGAGACGGGGTTTCACCATGTTGGCCAGGTTGGTCTTGATCTCCTGACCTGGTGATCTGCCCGCCTTGGCTTCCCAAAGTGCTAGGATTACAGGTGTGAGCCACTGTGCCTGGCCAGGCATTTTTTTTCTTAAGTGTGATGGAAGATGGAGGGGTTAGGCAGGGGAGAATGGGTTGCCAGGAATCAAGAATAAAAGCAGGTCTGTTTTAGTAATCCAGGCAAGAGATGGAGGAAGCTTGGACTAGAAGAGCAGCCATGGATGTGGAGACATGTGGCTTGACCTGCTGATGGATTGGATATGAGGAAAAAGATGGGATGAACAAAAATTGTTAGAGGTGTGTATGTGAACTGGGGTGAAGGATGTTACCATTTACTTATTTGAGAAAGAATGGGAAAGAAATGGGTTTTTGGGGAAGAAACCCCCACAAAGTTCTGTTTTGTTTATGTCAAGTTTGAGATACTTATTGGACAATCATTTGAAGATATTAAGGTGGAGTCGGCTATACAAGCTTCAAGCTCAATGGAGATATCTAGGGCTGGAGAGGGAGTTGTGGTATTATAAGGGTAATGATGATGCTTAATTCCATGGTTCTGAATGAGATCACTGATGGAAAGTGTGTAGATCAAAAGTGGAAGGAAGGGAGGAGAACACCTGGAATATAGAATCATGTAATCTGTGCTGATTTATTTTATTTTAGGATCTGAATCATGCTGATTGTTTCTTCAATTCCTCACCATACCTTGCATTTGTACTTCTGAAGAGTCATATGTTTTTATTAGTTAGGCATTTGGTATAAAAATTGTTACTGTAAGCTATCTGTAATCACATTCTAGAAATCAGTTGGCGGGTAACAGATGCACATATGACCACAGGAAATGCCAAAAACCACTTCCCATGGTTGTTCCTCTTGCATGTACACATCTATTTTTAACACTCATGATTGTAAGGCAGAGCTCTTGTCACTTGAGGGAACTGTGTTTCCTCGTGGAGATCCAAGGCCACTGGACACAGAGAGTGGCATCCCATGGGCCAGCATTTACTGCTGCTGGTTTGTTAACAGAACTCCGACCTCATGGACATTTGGTTGCTTGATGGTTATGTGCTGGGAGTAGGGAATGGGAAGGTAAGTGGTTGCAGAAAAGCAATTCTATAGTTCTGAGGATTTCCTAACATGTCAAAATTTCTCAGAAAGCTTTGCTAATTTAGGACTTTTTGTCTAATTATCGGAAGTATTTACTCATCTCTTTCCTAAGAGCCTGTGCTCAGTCAGCTCTCTCCTAAGTGGAGTTGATTCTTTTCTAACATGTGATGGGTTTTGACTCAATAATGTGAGAGAGGAAACTTGAAGGTTCAAACCCTGACAGCTCCCTGCTGATGCACAGGAACTGTATTTACATGGCTCCCAAATACCCAATTGGAAAACTATTGCTTAACAGGTGGCTTGTACTAGCTACAAATAAACGGTTTATTTAAGGGGTCAAAATCAGCTATTTCAGCTTAGTGTCGTTGCTTTAAAGAAGGACTGTTTTCTAGCCAGAGGTCCTTGGCTTGAATCCAGCTTTAAAACTTACTTGTTCTATTACCATGGGAAAGTCACTTTTTTTTTTGTCTTTAGTTTCATCATCTGTAAAATGGGTATTATTGTCATAGCCACCCCAGAGTCCTATAAGGAGTGACATGTTGCTCTCTAAACCACAAAGTGTGAAATAAACTCTTAGATAGGAGAAATCCCATTTTTTCATTTTGTTCAGAAGAACTTTTGGAAGGGAGGCAAGATTGAGAAAAAAATATTCTCGTCTCCAGGGTTCTCCTGAGTTCATAAATTCTCAACCACAGGGGGACTGGGTTTTACTGGTCATGTCTCACCCTACCAGGCAGGATGTGGGTGAATATAAATCTATATCGTGGTGACTCAAAATGGCCCATTAAGAACTCGTTGGTCTTGGTCATATCAGATGAGGAAGCATTGAGCATCTTTTGGCCTGTGTCATACAAAACCATATTCCCTTTCATACTTCAGTGTTCTGTGCTTTATCTGACTCACTATCCCACACCTTTTCTAGTTCTACTTACAGGAGGTTTTAATGCTCCTTTCTTCAGAGTTAGACTCATGGAAGGAGTCAGTTAAACAATATTTATTGAATTTAAAATGCACAAATCATGGGTGCTAGCAATTACAATTTAGGGGTTTTTACTGCAAATAGACTCACAAAAGCACTCAAAGATACATGGGCAAGACATTGCAGCATGATACTAAAGAACTGAAAACAATCTAAGTCCTAGGAGATTAAATAAATTACAGTACTTCCAAACAATGGAATATTATGCAACCTTCATAAATAATAAGATAGATACATATTTTCTGACATGGGAACATATCTTAGGTATATTACTGTATAAAAACCAAACAGCAGAACATTTGTAAAATGATTCCATTTATGTAAAATAAAATATCAATACGTCTATCTGTATCTATATAAACATTTTGTTAAAGATATATAAAGAACTATTAAGGACAGTTACTTAGGGACTGAGGGTAGAGGAAGATTTTTACTTTCAGTTTTTTTACTTGTGCCATGTTCATGCGTTACTTTTTACATATATAAATCAAAATTAGTTAAAACTAGGTTAGCTTCATGGAAGGTTTAGAAGTCACTAATGCCCCTTTCCGAGACAACAGAATGAGAACTTGTATTACTTAGGATTTCTTGGTTGCAAGTGAAAACAAACAAACAAACAAACAAACCAGCTTAAGCTACCCATAAAGGATTCCTTTCATAAGAGAACATGGGTATCCAATGAACTCCAGGGCAGAAAGCACTGCCTGGCCTCAGAAGTATCTGGAAGTGGGAAAGCCATTGTGAGCATAGGGCACATCCCCCATCTCTTGCCTCTGTTTCTCTCTGTATTTCTGTCTCATTCTTACTGTTTGTAGACTCACTTTTTTCTGCTCCCTAGTCCTCATGGCAGAACCTGGGACCCCATGGCTCTCAAATCACCATGTTAGAAGTCTAGTCAAGTGGAGAGATGAAATCGCTTGATTCCAAATTCTTGATCCTAATTTCAAGTTCTCAGAGAAGAGTCTCTGATTAGTTTAGCTTGTGTCCAGTGTCCAGCCCTGTCCAATCAATGGTGGCCACAAGATGGGGTCTTAACTATTGACTGCTGAGGGCCCATTCAGGCTGAGGGCAAGGAAAGTTAATGTGGAAGACACTCCAAAGTGTCTCAAAACCAAGGCTATTGGATGCCTTTGTCTAACTCCAGGGATGCTGGATTGCTAGGTTACAGATGATGCTGTTTTTAATTACCAACTCACTAATTTACTCCTTTTTGTCATGTCACTGATTTATTTTGCTATAAAAACTCACATTGGGGAATTTATAGCAAAGATATATTGACTATAAAACAGAACATTGATATAGTTTGGCTGTGTCCCCACCCAAATCTCACCTTGAGTTGTAACTCCCCCAGTTCCATGTGTCATGGGAGAAACCCAGTGGGAGGTGATTGAATTATGGGGGTGAATCTTCCCTGTGTTGATCTCATGATAGTGAATAAGTGTCACAAGGTCTGATGGTCTTATAAACAGGAGTTTCCCTGCACGAGCGCTCTCATTTTGCCTACTGCCATCCGTGTAAGACGTGACTTGCTTCTTTTGCTTTCTGCCATGACTGTGAGGCTTCCCTAGCCACGTGGAACTGTAAGTCCATTAAACCTCTTACTTTTGTAAATTTCCCAGTCTTGGGTATGTCTTTATCAGCAGTGTGAAAATGGATTAATACAAACATTTTGAGGGCTATAAAGTACTTACTTTAGATATATTTAGTAGTTTGATGATATTAGTGGGTAAACAATTTACAATTTGGACTGCTGCATGGTGACTGAGACAACTCATCTATCACATGTTTGGAAGTGTTGAAATCAAAAAGATAATCCAACATGATCAAATGGGTTTCATACCAGGGATGCAGGGATGGTTTAACACATGCAAGTCGATAAATGTGATACACCACATAAACAGAATTTAAAACAAAAATCACATGATCATCTCAATAGATGCAGAAAAAGCATTCAACAAAATGTGGCATACCTTTATGATTAACTCTCAGCAAAATTGGCATACAAGGAACATACCTCTATATAATAAAACCCATCTAAGACACACCCACAGTCAACATAATACTGAATGGTGAAAAGTTGAAAGCATTCCCTCTGAGAACCGAAATAAGACAAGGATAGCCACTCTTACCACTCCTCTTCAGCATAGTACTGGAAGTCCTAGCCAGAGCAATCAGACAAGAGAAAGAAATAAAAGGCATCCAAATTGGTAAAGAGGAAGTCAAACTGTCACTGTTTGCTGACAATATGATCGTTTACCTTGAAAACCCTAAAGACTCCTCCAGAGAGCTCCTAGAATGGACAAAAGAATTCAGCAAAATTTCTGGATACAGGATTAATGTACAGAAATCAGTAGCTCTTCTATAAACCAACAGTGACCAAGTGGAGAATCAAATCAAGAACTCAACCCCTTTTACAATAGTTGTAAAAAAATAAAATACTTAGGAATATACCTAACCAAGGAAGTGAAAGGCCTCTACAAGGAAAACTACAAAACACTGCTGAAAGAAGTCATAGACAACACAAACAAATGGAAAGACATCCCATGCTAATGGATGGATAGAATCGATATTGTGTATATGAACATACTGCCAAAAGCAATGTACAAATTCAACACAATCCCCATCAAGATACCACCATCATTCTTCACAGAATTAGAAAAAAACAATTCTAAACTTCATATGGAAACAAAAAAGAGCCCACATAGCCAAAGCAAGACTAAGCAAAAATAACAAATCTGGAGGCATCGTACTACCTGATTTCAAACTATACTATAAAGTCATTGTCACCAAAACAACATGGTACTGGTATAAAAATAGGCAATAGGCCAATGGAACAGCATAGAGAACCCAGAAATAAACCCAGATACTTACATCCAATTGATATTCAACAAGCAAACACAAACATAAAGTAGGGGAAAGGACACCGTTTTCAACAAATGGTGCTGGGATAATTAGCTAGCCACATGTATGAGAATGAAACTGAATACTCAACTCTCACCTTATACAAAAATGAACTTAAGATGGATTAAGGACTCAAATCTAAGACCTGAAGCTATAAAAATTCTAGAAGATAACATTGGAAAAATCCTTCTAGACATTGGCTTAGGCAAGGATTTCATGAACTAGAACACAAAAGTAAATGCAATAAAACAAAGATAAATAGCTGGGACTTAATTAAACTAAAGAGTTTTGCACAACAAAAGGAATAGTAAGTAGAGTAAACAGACAACCCACAGAGTGGGAGAAAATCTTCACAATCTATACATCTGACAAAGGACTAATATCTAGAATCTACAACAAATTTAAACAAATCAGTAAGAAAAAAAAACAAACAATCCCATCAAAAAGTGGGCTAAGGACATGAATAGACAATGCTCAAAAGAAGATGTACAAATGGCCAACAAACATCTAAAAAATTGCTCAACATCACTAATGATCAGGGAAATGCAAATCAAAACCACCATGTGATACCACCTTACTCTTGCAGGAATGACCATAATCAAAAAATGAAATAACAGTAGATATTGGCATGGATGTGGTGAACAGGAACACTTTTACACTGCTGGTGGGAATGTAAACTAGTACAGCCACTATGGAAAACAGTGTGGAGATTCCTTAAAGAACTAAAAGTAGAACTACCATTTGATCCAGCAATCCCACTACTGGGTATCTACCCAGAGAAAAAGAAGTCATTATTTGAAAAAGATACTTGCATACACGTTTGTAACAGCACAATTCACAATTGCAAAATTGTGGAACCAACCAAAATGCCCATCAATCAACAAGTGAATAAACTGTGATATACATATACATATGATGGAATACAACTCAGCCATAAAAAGGAATGAATTAATGGCATTTGCAGCAACCTGAATGAGACTGAAGATTATTATTCTAAGTGAAGTAATTGAGGAATGAAAAACCAAACATCGTATGTTCTCACTGATATGTGGGAGCTAAGCTATGAGGACACAAAGGCATGAGAATGATACGATGGACTTTGGGGACTTGAGGGGAGAGGTGGGAAGGGGGTGAGGGATAAAAGACTACAAATAGGGTACAATGTGTGATGCTCAGTGATGGGTGCACCAAAATCTCACAAATCACCACTAAAGAACTTAATCATGTAACCAAATACCACCTGTACCCCAATAACTTATGGAAAAATAAAAATAATTTAGAAAAATGAAATTATGAGAAAGGGACTCTTTATGTCACCACATTGAAGATTCTCATCTTCAATAAATTTATGTACCAGGAACTGACTAAACGATTATTGTTCAAATATATTTTTAAGATATGTCATAAGAAAAATGAAAGAATGTAAGTATCCTACATAGAAGTTGTATATCTGTAGCCTTCCTTTCTTCCATCCCACTAGTATTTATAAAGTACCTACTATATATAGCTCAAGCACTCTGCTAGGCATGAGAATTAAAGAATAGTGATAGTACTTGTGTGACCTCAAGAACTTCACAGTCTAGTGGAGGAGACATTCATGTAAATGAAAAATAACAATATCATGTGTTAATAGAGATAAATACATGTAAGATGATAGGGCTCAGAGGATAGGTGGAAGAAGTGAGCCTCAAGCAGGGTAGAGAATATTTCTACCCTTGTCAAAAGATGAGGAGGAAATGGTAAATGCAGTGTCAGAAAAAGTGAACATACAGAATGCCTTACAAACACCAAAATGAAGGAATAGTCACCAAATGTGACTATTTTTATACACTTATTTTTAAGCTTCAAGATGGGCTCTTATTTGTACACAATTTTTGTTTTTATACAAATTAAAAAATAGCTCATTTAATTCCTTATTTGACTCAGTTTCATGAGAGCAGGGCCCATGGTCTTCTAGTTTATACCATGTTCCCGATATCTGCACCATGTCTAGTGCATCATAGGTACTCACTAAGCATTTTTAAAAATGAATCTATTTATGGAATGGAAACAAATACAGAAAAATGTTCACAGACCATAAGTGTACCATACAATAAATTTTCATGAACTGAATGCTACCACCAAGTTCAAGAAATTAAGGAATTACTGGGTCATGAGTAAGTTCCCAATGCATACATTTGACATTAGTAGGAATTGTTAGTTTTCCAAAGTCGTTACACCAATTTACGTTCTTCTCAGTAGTAGATAAGAGTTTCAGTTGCTCTTCATGCTTTCCAGCAGCTTGGAATTATAGGTCTTTTAAATTGCAGCCATTTTGCTAGATCTGTAGTGGGATTTCATTGTGGCTTTAATTTGCATTTCTTTGATGGATAATAATCTTGAGCCTATTCATATGTTTTTTGTAATTTGAACATCCTCTTTTGTGAAGTGCCCTTTAAATATTTGCCCATTCTTCCCTTTAATTGGGTTATTTATCTTTATTTCCTATGATTTGAAGGAGGGGGGTTCCACATATATTTTGGATATAAATCTTTTGTCAGGTATAGGTGTTGCAAACATATTCTCCCATTCTGTGGCTTGTTTTTTTTCACTTTCTTAATGGAGGCTTTTGATAAACAGAAGTTCTTATTTTAATGCGATTCACTTAATCATTTTTTTTTTTTTTTTGAGACAGTCTTGCTCTGTTCCCAGGCTGGAGTACAGTGGTGCGATCTCGGCTCACTGCAACCTCCGCCTCCCAGGTTCAAGGGATTCTCCTGCCTCAGCCGCATGAGTAGCTGGGACTACAGGCACGTACCACCACACCCAGCTAATTTTTGTATTTTCAGTAGGGACAAGGTTTTACCATGTTGGCCAGGATGGTCTCGATCTCCTGACCTTGTGATCCACCTACCTCAGCCTCCCAAAGTGCTGGTGTGAGCCACCACGCCTGGCCAATCAATCTTTTCTTTTCTTTTATGGCACCTTAATGTTTCCTGTGTCCTGTTTAAAAATCTTTGACTACTTCAAGCTCATGAAGATATTCTCCTATGTTTTCTTATAGAAACTTTATTTCACCTTTCAACTTAGAACTATAACATAACTGGAATTGACTTTTGTGTATATGGAGTCCAACTCAATTTTTTTCAAATGAATTTCCAGTTGTCTCAGCACCATGTATTGAAAAGGCTATGCTTTGTCCTAATTCAAGTGATTCTGTATGCATGGGTTTGTTCCTGTATTCTCTATCTTGTTCTACTGTCAATTTGTCTAGTCTAGTGCCAATACCACAGTGTTTTAATTATTGTAGCTTTTACAGTAAATCTTGCTATCCAACTTTGTTCTTCAATTCCCATGGCATTCATGGCCATTTGCATTTCCATTTAAATTTTATAATCTCGTTGTCAATTCCCATGAGAACAACCTTCTGAGACTTGGACTGAGATTGCCTTCCTCATGATGAGCTACTGAATCTATAGAGTAATTGGGAGAGAGCTGATATCTTTATATGTTAAATCTTCCAGTTGCTGAACATGCAACATGTTTTCATTATTTAACATCATTTTTACTTTCTCCAAAAAATGTAGGCTTTTTTTTTTGTGTGTGTAGAAACTTTGCCCATCCTTTATTAGATTTATTCTTAGGTATGTGACATTTTATTTTCTGCTATTGTAAATGTTATGCTTTTAATTTTCTCTTCTACTTGCTTAGTGCTTGTTTAATAAATATTTAATTGAATAAATCAAACAACTAATCAATTGAACTGAGAAATGGTAAAACTAGTTACTGTGTATCATTTAGACAAAAATAAAGTAGTTAAAATTCTTAGAACAGAATACAGAAAACTAAGTATGTGAGGCGGATATTACTCAGAATGAGAACACAGGTAGAGAATTGAGAGCAGAGGACAGGCCTCCTCCTTCTCTTCCACTTCTAATCACTAGACCAGGGATTTTCATTAGTCAAACCATCTGGCCTGCAGATGGATTTGTTTGATTGTCATGATTTTTTTTTTAAATAAATTGAGTCAACATGGAACAATTGAGAAATTTCAAATACAAATATAGCCGTCGAGATTTTCTTTAAAAATCAGAAATCTAACACACTGGGCTACAACTCCTTTATGGCCACATTAGGCTGAAGCTGATGGAACAGGGGCAGGCTGGGTCTCTAGTATCACCACTGTCTTTGTGACATATTGTCTCTTGGACTGGGCTCATTTAATTCCCAGCCTGGCTTTACCTGAAAAATCCTTAAAAGAGTTATTGAAACAAAATGTTTTCACTTTCTCACCTCCTGTTTTTTCCTGATCCCTCTCCAGTGGATCTGCTCTTTTCAAAGTCTTTGCTGACTGAAATCTTGCCAAATAGTTGGCAATTCTTTGTCTTCGTTGTAGTCAGTTTCTTGGTATAATATTTGCCAAGGTTGACCATATGCCCCTTCTTGAAACTTTAATCTTGAAAACTTCCACGATGCCACAGTCCTTTGTTTCCCTTCTATCTTACCAATTACTCTTTGGTTTCTCTTGCTTGTTGTTACTACTCTGGAGCTTCTAAATGTTGTGCTCCAGAGCTTTGGCCTCAGCCTTTTCTATCTTATCTATCTGCCTTCTCTCTGGATAGGCTTGCCCAGTTTCATTGCTTTAAATACCAACTGTTGATGATTCTTAAATCTGTATCTCTCTCTTTTGACCTTGCTCCTGAACTCTATCTAGATCTGAAAATCTAGTTGCTTACTGGGAATCTTCATCTGGATGTCCAATAGGCATTTCAAACTTAATCTGTTCAAAACAGGACTTTTGATCCTCCTTCCCAAGCAGCCTTCCCAGTCTTTTTCATCTCAGTGAATGGAATCACCATCCACCTGTGCCCAGGTCAAAAACCTGGACATCTTTGATTTCTATTTTCCTATTAAACTTCTACCCAATTTATTCACCAGTCTTGTGGCTTTCCAAAATACATCCTGAATAGTTCTCAGCATCTCCACTGTCTCAGTGCTCGTCTTAACCACCAGTATCTCTTTCCTTCCAGATGGCCCCCCACTGCTTCCTCTCTTGCTTCCCCATGGTCCACTATCCATGAAGCTGCTACAATATTTTAAAAAGGCATATTCTGTTTTTAAAAAACCTTCCAATGGGAGCCCATTACATTTAGCATCTGTCTTAGTCTGTTTTGGCTAATTTAATAACTTAGGCTGGATAAGTTATAAACAACAGAATTTTATGGAATCTGGGAAGTCCAAAATGAAGGTGCTGGCAGGTTTGGTGTCTGGTGAGGGATTGATCTCTGTTTTATAGATGGCGCCTTCTGGCTGCATCCTCACACGGTGGAGTTGGAGAACAAGCTCCCTTGAGCCTCTTTTATAAAGACACTAATCCCATTCACAAAGGCTTTACCCTCAATGACCTAATCACCTCCTAGAGGCCCCACCTGTTAATGCTATTACATTGGGATCATGCTGTTACATAGGGGATTATGAATCTTGGGAGGCGCAAACATTGAGACCGTAGCTGCATCCAAATGCCTTATCCTGAAATAAAAAGCCCTATGTGATTGGGCTGCTGCCTACCTCTGCACTTTTTGTACCACTCCCTACTTTAACTACCATGCACCAGCTATATGCGCCTTCTTTCAATTCCTGAAAAATCACAAGCTTTTTTCTTCCTCAGGACCTTTGCATGGGTGCTCTCTGCCTGGAGTCTCTTTGTCCAGATGCTTGCACACCTGGCTTTTCATTAATATCCAGGCCTCAGCTTAAATGTTGCATTCGGCAAGAGGCCTTTCCTGACCACCCTATTGAAAGTGGCCACCAGCCATTTACTATTACAGCTTTCTTCTTCTTCCTCTTTCTTTCTCTTCTCCTCCTTCTTCTCCTCCTCCTTCTTCTTTCTTCCTCCTCCTTCCTCCTCCTCCCTCCCCCTCCCATCCCCCTCTCCTCCTCTCTTCCTCCTCCTCCTCCTCTTCTTCTTCTTCTTCTTCTTCCTCCTTCCTCCTTCCTCCTTCTTCCTTCTTTCTTCTCCTTTTAAGAAAGAGTCTCATGCTATTGCCCAGGCTGGAGTGCAGTGAGGCAGTGAGTTGCCCACTCATGGCTCACTGCAGCCTCAACCTCCTGGGCTCAGGTGGTCCTTCCACCTCTGCCTCCTTAGTAGCTGGGGCTACAGGCATGTACCACCACACCCAGCTAATTTTTTTTTTTTTTTTTTTTTTTTTTTTTGTGGTGGGGCTTTGCCATATTGACCAGGCTGGTCTTGAGCTCCTGAGCTCAAGCAATCCACCTGCCTTGGCCTCCCAAAGTGCTGCAATTACAGGTATGAACTATTGCACTTGGCCGAACCTTCTGTTTAGTAACCTGCATATCAGTTATCATTGGCTTTCCCTTTTTATTATTACCCTATTATTTGCCTCTTCCCTCAGAATTTAGCTATAGAAGGGCAGAGTCTTCAACATGCTGACCCCTCCATCTCTACTATCTATGAAAATGCCTAACACAGGGTAGGAGCTTGATGATTTTTGGCTGAATGAATGAGTGCAAATATTGCGAATGAAGATTCCTGATGAATTCTTATTGTCCAGTATTGTCAAACTTTCCCCACTCCTTGTACTATTTCTGCGGACAAATGAGCTGTTTAAATGGGATTGAGGATATATGGCTTTAATGCAAAAATTAATTAATTAAAACATGTATTGGGAAACAAAGATATGTAGGAAGTGAAACATTTCAGTTATTGTGTGTCATATATATGGTCATGCTGCTTTAAAATATTGACAAAATATAGTATTACAACACCAAGAAGAGAAATGTAGTCTGGAACCCCTAAATTAGATATGACTCAATAACACTCCTAATGGGGGTTGGGATGTCTGTAGAGATCTTTTTATTTCCATCAGATGTCCTCTTCTAACTTACCTGAGAAAATACTCATATTTTTGTTTACCACATTATCTGATTTCACTAATAATAATTACACCGAAAATGAAATTCAACTTACATTCTTCACCATTACAAAAGTCTGTAGAAATATCTTTTGATGAGATACCATCTCACACCAGTCAGAATGGCATTATTAAAAAGTCAAGAAACAACAGGTGCTGGTGAGGTTGCAGAGAAATAGGAATGTTTTTACATTGTTGGTGGGAATGTAAATTAGTTCAACCGTGTGGAAGACAGTGTGGAAACTCCTCAAAGATTTAGAACAGGGAATACTATTTGACCTAGCAATCCCATTACTGGGTATACACCCAAAGGAATAGAAATCATTCTATTATAATGATACATGCACACGTATGTTCATTGCAGTACTATTCATAATAGCAAAGACAGGGAATCAACCCAAATGCCCATCAGTGATAGACTAGATAAAGAAAACATGGTATATATACACCAATGAATATTATGAAGCCATAAAAAGGAATGCATTCATGGCCTTTGCAGGGACATGGATGAGACCGGAAGCCATTATCATCAGCAAACTAATACAAGAACAGAAAACCAAACACTGCATGTTCTCACTCATAAGTGAGAGCTGAACAATAAGAACACATAGACACAGGGAGGGGAACAACACACCCTGGGGCCTGTCAGGGGAGGGCACGGTGGAGAGAGTGTTAGGAAAAATAGCTAATGCATACTGGGCTTAATACCTAGGTGATGGGTTGATAGGTGCAGCAAACCACCATGGCACACATTTACCTATGTAACAAACCTGTACATCCTGCACATGTACCCTGGAACTTAAAATAAAGAAATATCTTTTGATTATACTTGCAGGGTTTTTTTTTTTTTTTCTTTTTTGAGATAGAGTTTTGCTCTGTCATGCAGGCTGGAGTGCAGCGGTGCGATCTCAGCTCACCTCAGCCTCCACCTCCTGGGTTCGAGTGATTCTCCTGCCTCAGCCTCCTGAGTAGCTGGGATTACAGGCATGTGCCACCACACCCAGCTAATTTTTGTATTTTTAGTAGAGTCAGAGTTTCACCATGTTGGCCAGGCTGGTCTCGAACTCCTGAACTCAGGTGATCCCCCCCACTTCAGCCTCCCAGAGTGCTGGGATTATAGGCATGAGCCACCGCGCCACACCCAGCCATATTTGTAGTTTTCACTACTGCTTATCATGCAGTTTGTTGTGGATCCCAGTATTTTATGCATTTCCAAATCAATGGTCATAATGGACTGAATTTTACCTTTGCCAAGTGTGCCAGTGAGAAGTCTTCCTGAAGATAAATAACTATATTAAGGACAAATGTCACCAGAAAGGTATTATCCCTGTATGCATGCTCTTAAATACAGGGCAAACTGTGCAGCCTTTATTTTAAGCACACTGCTATATGTCTTGGTGATTTATTTGTTTAAAAATTTAGAAGTCAGAAATTCTCTCCATTCTGCTAGTCTTTCTCTAGCTGCAACTTCTTATCCACAGGAGATTTTTCTTTCTATTTAAACAATTTCTGGAGATTTGAGTACTTTCTTGTTGACTACATTTAGATGAGTAGTTTTATCTCAGCCAAAAGCTTCTCTCCGTTCCTGTGTGGAGTCTAAGTAGACTTCATATAAACTACTCCTGCAGCTTTTCGGGTTGCTGAAAGACTGAGACAAGGTCTGCTTATTTTAGGGAGCAAACCAACATGCGAGGACCGTAACAAGGTTGGATGGCTACTTGCTGGGTGTAATTTTCTTTGAGCTATTTTATAAAGATGATTAATGACAGCATGTGCCTAATCACATGAGTATCAGAGTCCAGCTGTCTGGGAGTGAGAGGTAGAGGGATATTAATCAGCTCTATATGAAATGTGATATCCAGGGTGAGAACTATTCTCTATCATTTCCACTGTCATCCCCCGACTGGTGCATTTGATCCTAAGCTCCGAATAATTCCTGCTCTCCGGTATTGTCAGGCTTTCCCCCATTCCTGGATTCTTTCCCTCTGCTGACAAATGAGCTGAAATCACCCCCCTTTAAATGGATTGAGGATATATGGCATTAATTCAATAATTAATTTAACAATATTTATGGAGGAGCAAAGCAATTCTAGGCTTTGTAGATGCAGGAGTAGACAAGACAGTCAAGGTTGCTGTTCTCATTAAAGTTACATTCTAAGGAGAAGGGGGCTGATGGTGGGGAAGACAATAAACAAATAAATGAATGAGAAGCATGGATGTTAGCATCAAGCACTATGTGGGAAATGAAGAGGGTGATGGGATTGATAGTAACTGATGGGGCATGGGGAAGACTGCTCTAGGTTAAGCTGGTATTTGTGTGGAAGTCTGGTGGGACCCACAAAGTCTGTTCCCTTCCTTCATCTTCCATCTTCTATAGCATCTCTATCCATTCGGGCCAAACTTCTAGGAAGTATGGTTTGATCTACTGGAACCTGAATCCCTTCCAGCCACTGATTCCTTTACCTTACAGTCTGGCATCACTAAAACGACTCCAAGCTTTCCTCATAACTATTATGTAAGCCTGGCTTTTGTGGCTCAGACACTGTATTCTCAGTGCTATTCTCATTTACTTCTCTCAACAGTCTAATAAGGCAGGTACTAATATTACCCTTGCTTTTCATTTTACTTATGCAGCCCAGAGACATTACATAACTTGCCAAGCTGTAAGTGGAGGAAAGTGCGTCCTTTACCACTGGGCCAGCTGCCTTTCTGACCTCATGATTTTCCAGGAAGTGTAGCCCTAGAACACCCCAAACTCCCATAGCTAGCTAATAATCCCTCTATCAAGTCTTTTCTGAAACTCCCCACCCAACACTTCCCCTTAGAGAACTGGCAACCTTGTGCTTCCACTATTGCCCGCACACTCTGTTTCACACCACCTGCACCCTTTTATTAACCTCATCTGATCAAGTTGAGTCTGTCCCTGCAGGGTTGCAGGCTCCTCCACTTCATGGCATACCTAGCATATTTGACACCCTGAGAAGATCTTTTTTTTTTTTTCTGAGATGGAGTTTTCTCTTGTTGCCCAGGCTGGAGTGCAGTAGCGCGATCTCGGCTCACACAACCTCTGCCTCCCGGATTCCAGCTATTCTCCTGCCTCAGCCTCCTGAGTAGCTGGGATTACAGTTATGTGCCACCATGTCCAGCTAATTTTGTATTTTTAGTAGAGATGGGGTTTCTCCATGTTGGTCAGGCTGCTCTCGAACTCCCGACCTCAGGTGATCCATCCGCCTCAGCCTCCCAAAGTGCTAGGATTACAGACGTGAGCCACCGTGCTTGGCTGAGAAGATCATTTTTTTAATACCTTCCTCCTCAATATGTTGACATTGTTTTCAATAATAATCATGAAATGAAGTGAATAATAGTGGCCAGAAAAGAAATGTAGAAAGTATAAATTTTCTATTATTATGTTTCATGTATATGGTCATGTCCGATTAAAAAATATTTAAAAAGATAATATTATAATACACAAAAATTAAGATGGCTTAATGTGTTTTAATTATGCCACTGTATGTTTTGAACAAAAGGAAAAAATTCATACCTACCAATTGGTCTGCCACAGAAATGAATGACAGTATTATATTTCTGTTTCCTTGACTTACGTGCATTTGCCAATGACTTTATCAAAATTATTCTTTTCACATATTCATGTTCAATAGATGGCTAGCCAGATTTCTCAGTCTATCTTCACTTATGGTTGATTAAAGAATGTGTTTTAAAAATTAATTTTGGAAACTTTTGCACAAAGTAACAGATATAAAGGAAAGGTCTGAAATGTAAGTTTGGCAGAAATACATAAAAATCTCTCTGCACAATATATTCCACAAATTGCAATAAGGTCTATGTCTTTGTTTATTTGGGATCAATTCTAGCAGCCTTCACATGGCTCTGTAGTCAAAAAATTTAAATACAAATAAAAACTCCATGTGTTTACAGAGAACGGCAGAGTTAAAATAACTCAAGTTGTATTTTTCATCTTTACAATCCCTACGTTGCCATTTATAATTTTAGGTTTTCTGTTTAAATGCAGGAATATGTGATACCAAAGGTTTGGAGACACACTGAGCCCAAAGCACATTGAAACAAATTGCTACAAATTTTACTCAAAACAAACATATGTAGCAATTATGTAACTGGGAATTCTCTGAATATCTTCCATGTACAATATAGTATTTATTAAAATATAGGAAATAAAAACCTGCTAATATTAATCTTACCTATATATTATTAAAACTCAGCAATCAATTGATTAGAACTTAGACTAATAAGAGATGTTTTGAGAGAAGAGTATTTTATCACTGACATTGTTTAGAGTTGCCAGTGCCTGACAATAATAAAAAGCATTGAATTTTGAGTTGGTTTTGTTGTTATTTTAAAACTTTCTACAGATAATGCTCCCAGCAGTTCATCCTTGGTGTGCCATGGAGCCATGTTTTACTGATCTTTCTGTTCCCAGGACCTGGCACTGATCTCTGCAGCACTTGGACTAGCCAAATACCTGCCTTGATGCCCTTTAATCCCCTTGGCTCCCTTGACAGGGCCCTCACTGACTCTCCTCCTACCTCTCTGCCTGAAACTTGTCCCCAAGGATTTCCAAAGATTGATATTTCCAGGTATTACAATCAAAAGAGTTTGTAACATATGGAAAAAAGTTCAACATCACTGATCAGTAGAGAAATGCAAATCAAAACCACAAGGAGATACCATCTCACACCAGTCAGAATGGCTATTATTAAAAAGTCAAAAAAGGCCGGGCGCGGTGGCTCACGCCTGTAATCCCAGCACTTTGGGAGGCCGAGGCGGGCGGATCACGAGGTCAGGAGATCGAGACCATCCTGGCTAACACGGTGAAACCCCGTCTCTACTAAAAATACAAAAAATTAGCCGGGCGTGGTAGCGGGCGCCCGTAGTCCCAGCTACTCGGGAGGCTGAGGCAGGAGAATGGCGTGAACCCGGGAGGCGGAGCTTGCAGTGAGCCGAGATCGCGCCACTGCACTCCAGCCTGGGCGACAGAGCGAGACTCCGTCTCAAAAAAAAAAAAAAAAAAAAAAAAAAAAAAAGTCAAAAAATAACAGATGCTGATGAGGTTATGGAGATAAAGGCATACTTTTTCACTGTTGGTGGGGTTGTAAATTAGTTCAACCATTGTGGAAGACAGTGTGGTGATTCCTCAAAGACCTAGAAACAGAAATACCATTCGACCCAGCAATCCCATTACTGGGTATATACCCAAAGGAATAAACATTATTCTATTATGAAGACACATGCATGTGTATGTTCATTGCAGCATTATTCACAATACCAAAGACATGAAAGCAACCTAGGTGCCCATCAATGGTAGAGTGGTTGAAGAAACTGTGATACCTATACACCATGGAATGCTATGCAGCCATAAAAAACGAGATCATGTCTTTTGCAGAACATGGATGGAGCTGGAGGCCATTATCCTTATTACACTAACACAGAACCAGAAAATCAAATACTGCATGTTCTCCCTTATCAGTGGGAGCTAAATGATGAGAACACATGTACACAAAGAAGGAAACAACAGACACTGGGGCTTACTTGGGGGTGGAGGGTAGGAGGAGGGAGAGGACTAGAAAAAATAACTATTGGGTACTAGGCTTAGTACCTGTGTGATGAAATTATGTATATAATAAACTCCCATGACACAAATTTACCTATATAACAAACCTGCACATGTACTCCTGAACCTAAAAATTTTTTTAAAAATTAAAAAAAATCAATCTAGGTGCCCATCAATGATAGATTGGATAAAGAAAATATGGTACATATACACCATGGAACACTACGCAGTCATAAAAATGAACAAGATCATGTTCTTGGCAGGGACATGGATGGAGCTAGAGGCCATTATCCTTACCAAACTAACGCAGGAACAGAAAACCAAATACCGCATGTTTTTACTATAAGTGGGAGCTGAATGATGGGAACACATGGACATATAGGGGGGAACAACACAAACTGGGACCTGTTGGAGGGTGGGGGGAAGGAGAGCATCAGGAGGAATAGCTAGTGGATGCTGGGCTTAATGCCTGGGTAATGGGATGATACATGCGGCAAGCCACCATGGCACATGTTTATCTGTGTAACAAACCTGCACATCCTGCACATGTGCCCTTGAACTTAAAAGTTGGAAAAAAAAAAAAAAAACTAAAACTAAAAAAAGTCCACGAAACAAAAGAGTTTGTAAGAACCATTATTTTCTCTCAGATGCTATGATTGGGATTCCAGTCCAGCAGTACTTTCTGGAAGCACTGGGATTTATGGGTGAAACATTCTTGGATCTATAGAGCCCTGCAGCCAACTTAAAATTTATTTTCCATTGTAACCAAATGTACTGCATGTGCACTATTCTGCAACCAGGGATAGTGAATGAGTGGTGGATATACTGCTACTCTACCTCCCATGGCTTATCAATCCTTGCCCTTCTTCGCCAGTGATTGCAGCCTGCTTTCCTCAGAAGCATCCTTAATACAGCATTCCTAGTAGTAATGACCAAATGAGCAGAATTAATGAAGAAAACCACTTGCTACCCCTAGGCTTACCACTCCACCCTGAGACCTTCCAGGTACAGAATCTAAATATTGGTATCCAAAGAGTGGCCCAACTTTACATTATAATTAGAACCTAAGCCATTCTGGGGCTAGAGATTTCACTGGCTTTAAGCACAGGACTGTCTGTGCCAAATTCCAAGAGAGCTCAAGAAATACTGTTCCCAGGGATTTGTCTCCAGGGATTTCCTTTCTCTGCACTCATCTCTTACTCTGGCATCTAAACCCACCCATGCACAGACTCTCAAATCTTTGTCCATAGCCCTAGTCATTTTTTTCTTTTTTTCTTCTTTTGAGACACAGTCTCTCTCTGTTGCCCAGGCTGGAGTGCAGTGGTGTGATCTCGGCTCACTGCAACTTCTACCTCCCAGGTTTAAGCAATTCTTCTGCCTCAGTCTCCTGAGTAGCTGGGATTACAGGTGTGCACCACCACGCCTGGCAAATTTCTGTATTATTTAGTAGAGACAGGTGTTTGTTCTGTTGGCCAGGCTGGTCTCAAACTCCTGACCTCAAGTGACCTACCTGCCTCAGCCTCCCAAAGTGCTAGGATTACAGGAATGAGCCACTGAACCCAGCTACCCTGGTTATTTTCTGACATGGCCTTAACCACATTGCAACGACGTGATGGGATTTCAATTCCTGGTTATTGAAGTAAACTTCCAGGGCACTAGAGTAAACTTAAAATACTGATTTATTCTCCAATGTAACCATATGTACTGCATGTGCATTATTCTGGAACCAGGGACAGGAAATGAGTGGTGGATATACTGCTACTCTATCTCCCATGGCTTATCAATCCTACCATTCCTCTCAAAAGCAGAGGAAAACCAGTGGGATGAAGTGCCAGGTATGTGCAAGGAACAAAAAGATCAGTAAGACCAGGCCCTTACCATTGAGGACCAGCAGGGAGAGACCCAGTGCAAATAGATAAGTGCATTGAAGAGGGACAGAGGATTGGTAAGAAGTGTAGGGACCAGTAGAAGCACAAAGTTGCATTTTATTAGATTGGGGTTTGGCTGGGTAACACAGTGGTTGACATCAGAAGAGAATCAATAGAAGGACTATTTCTGCTGGTGGGCTAGTTACGCACTCTCCCAAGGCTTCAGCTTTTTCATCTATAAAATGATAGGGGGATGGGGGCTGGATGGCTTCATGGTAAAGAAGGTAGACTTCTCCATTTACTAGTTGGGTGACCTTGGGCAGGTTACTTAATGTCTCTGTGCCTGTTTCCTCATCACTAAAACGGAGATAATAATGATACCTAGCTCTACCTCATAGTGCTGTTGTGAAGACTGGACAAACTAATCCATGTAAAGTGTTTAGAGAGTGTCTGGGTCACAAAAAGTGCTCAAGTGGCAGATGACATCGTCTTTTAAGTTTTTTTGAGGCTCTAAATCCAAGGGTTTTTAGTTTATGCAGTCTTCTAACAGTTTCATTGAGAAATAAATATTAGCTCTGGGACAAGTCACCTTCTCAAGTTGGGTGCAGATCATGTCTCTCTGACCAGCTTTTGCTCTGCACACAGCCAGCGTTCCTTTCCTTTTCTCTCTGGTGTGGCTGTTAAATGTTTACAGAGTAGGGGCAGGAGTGGCATGTCAAAGGGCAAATTCAACTTGTGTGGTTACTTGAGGGGTTGTGAGTGGCTGTGTAGGAATTCTGGGCAGGGTGAGAAAGAGACAAGAAGATGGGGCATTAGATCTGCCAGCTAATTATTCCATATGGCACGTGTCATAGTGGAAATACGTCTCTAGCTGGAAGGAATTTTTAAAAATCTTATGATGAGAGAGGGGACAAGAGAGAATGAGAGAGAGAGAGAGAATGAGAGAGAGAGAGAAAGAGAGAGAGAAAATGAGAGAGAGAGAATGAGAGAAAGAAAATCAGCTATGGGAGGTATAGAGAAAAAAGTAGGATTAAAAAATAGTTCCGGTTAAGACTAAACAATAGAAACGTGTTTCTGGTTAGAACCCAAGGAAAACAGCCGAAGCAGAGAGCTAAAAGAGATACTCAATGAAGATTTTGTGAAGGAAGCTTGATTTTTAAGTGACTAGGATTGATTTGACCATAATGTCTGTTTTCCTTTGGATTGCACAGTTACTTTTTATCGAGAGGTGAGCAGAAAGATGAATCAGAGCTGGGTGTGGTGGCAGGAGCCTGTAATCCCAGCTGCTCTAGAGGCTGAGGCAGGAGAATTACTTGAACCTAGGAGGTGGAGGCTGCAGTGAGCTGAGATCGCGCCGCTGCACTCCAGCCTGGGTGACAGAGCGAGACTCTGTCTTAAAAAATAAAAATAAAATAAAATAAAAATAAATAAAAGATGTGCCAGCAACATGTTGCCTGCAGTGGGGGACAGTGGCAGACAGAAAATATATTTAATGAAAGAAAACCAGAAAAAGAAAGCGTCAAGAAGAATGCCAGCTTGCTTCAGGTTGAGGAGTGAATGAACCTGCCTGGTCTTTGATTACTTCCTTTAGGAGACCATTGCAGAAATCAGGCTAAGACTTCAAGTTACTCTAGTGGGCAGATCATAGAAACTGAATTTTTATGCTCTGAAATCAACTCAACCGCCCACATTCAGAGTCAGCTCCAGAGTTTCTTTTGAAATCTATATTATTATCTGTCTTTTAGTGAACAAACAGGGGTGTGTGAAAAGACAGACCAAGTCATCTGTGAGTACAGACATGTTTGGATTTTTGTCTTTCCTCTTAAACGTGTTTGCTTGAAGGTAAAATGAGAAGACACTTCAATAATCACTTCCATGAGAAGACTTTTATTTCATCATCAGATCTTTTATTTTTCACCTTTGGGTTTGTCCTTATAACCACCAGATAAAAAATGGAATAGTACCTATGTAAAAATTGAGGGCAATTTAATATGCACAAAAGGGAAAGGAAAAAAAAGGTTAGGTTTCTGTACTAGTGTAAAAGAACCTAAACAGGCCGATGCATGTGAATTTATGCCGATATACATAATGTTTTTTAAATTTATTTTTTGTGCTCTCTACATTAATAGATGCTAACACATACTCAGTGTGCATGATATGCCAGACATCATTCTACAGGACTTAAGGTATTGACTCGTCCCATCCTCACAGAAATCTTAGGAAGTAAGTTCTATTATTATCCCTATTTTACAGATGAGGTAACTGAGGCAGAGCAAGACTAATTGATCAAGATTAATTACACAGCTAGTAGGTAAAGACACAAGGCTTAAACTCAGTTTGCTTTCAGATTTTCTAATCATTATGCTAAATTTCTTATGTCTTTTCATTTTGTCCCAACAGATATATTTATAGAACTCTGAAATACCTCTCAAAGTAATGTTCCTCAGTATTTTGTCTGGGATCAGGAACTATAAGCCCTGATTCAAAGCCCTGTCTGCCTCATAACAATTCGGAACCAAGGCCTCTGAGGGCATCCCATGAGGCTGCTGTTCAAGCTGAGGGCAAAGGCCTTTTTGTGCTTCCGCTAAAGCCATTTCTCAAAGGGATAACAAGAGCTCTTCAGTTTTTACAGTCTTTCACTGTAATTTCAAGGGTGATTCAAGCTCACAATAAAAATGTAAACACTTAAAAAGATATAAAATTCTCATCCAAAAATATTTATTGAGCATCTACTAGGTGCCAAGCAGTGGGGATGCAATAGAGAATAATATAGACAAACATCCCTGCCACTATGGAAACTCATGTTCAAATAGAGGAAGAGAGGCAATAATCCTAATAAATAAGCTATATAGCACTTAGCAGGTGATGAGTGCAAGGAAAAATTGGAAAGGAGAAAAGGGGAAATAAAGAGTGTTAGAGTATTGTGATTTTAAATAAGGTTAACCGGGAAAGCTCCTCCAAAAAGGGTGACATTTGTGCAAATGCTTGAAGCCTGTGAGGGAGTGAGCAGAGAGGGGAAATGTTCCAGGCAGAGGGAAGGATCCAGTGCAGAGGTCTTGTGGCAGGAGGCACCTGGCATGTTTGAAGAACAGCCAGGAGACCAGCATGGCTGAGTAGAGTGAACGATGAGGGAGTGAGAGGAGATAAAGTCAAAGAAAAAAAAGTAACAGGGACCAGGAACGTAAGGACCCTTTCAGCCAGGGTTAGAATTTTGGCTTTTACTCTGAATGGGGTGGGGAGCCGTTGGAAAGTTGTGTCCATGAGTGACATGACCGAGTTAGGTTTTACACATGACTGAAATACTCCTATGCAACTTTCTTTTTTAATTAACAATACATCCTGGAAGTCTTCTATTGCTACATCTAAACCTACTGCATTATTTTTACCAGCTGTATAGTAACCCATGGTGCAGATGTAGCATACTTTTAAAAATCCTTAATTGATATTTTGTTTGCTTGCAAGATTTTGTGGCAACAATATTGTAATTGGAAACCCTTTGTACATACAGATTGACAACTCTTTGTGAGTATATCCACATGATAAATTTCCAGAGGTGAAATTGCTGAATCAAAGCCATGTTTAAAATACCCTCCAAAGAGTTACCCTCCACAAAATGTCTACCAAATTACTCTCTCACCACCACCAACAAAAAGACAAACAACCCCATCAAAAAGTGGGCGAAGGATATGAACAGACACTTCTCAAAAGAAGACATTTATGCAGCCAACAGACACATGAAAAAATGCTCATCATCACTGGCCATCAGAGAAATGCAAATCAAAACCACAATGAGATACCATCTCATACCAGTTAGAATGGCGATCATTAAAAAGTCAGGAAACAACAGGTGCTGGAGAGGATGTGGAGAAATAGGAACACTTTTACACTGTTGGTGGGACTGTAAACTAGTTCAACCATTGTGGAAGTCAGTGTGGCAATTCCTCAGGGATCTAGAACTAGAAATACCATTTGACCCAGCCATCCCATTACTGGGTATATACCCAAAGGATTATAAATCAGGCTGCTATAAAGACACATGCACACGTATGTTTATTGTGGCACTATTCGCAATACCAAAGACTTGGAACCAACCCAAATGTCCAACAATGATAGACTGGATTAAGAAAATGTGGCACATATACACCATGGAATACTATGCAGCCAAAAAAATGATGAGTTCATGTCCTTTGTAGGGACATGGATGAAGCTGGAAACCATCATTCTCAGCAAACTATCACAAGGACAAAAAACCAAACACTGCATGTTCTCACTCATAGGTGGGAATTGAACAATGAGAACACATGGACACAGGAAGGGGAACATCACACACTGGGGACTGTTGTGGGGTTGGGGGGGGAGGGGGGAGGGATAGCATTAGGAGATATACCTAATGTAAATGACGAGTTAGAGGGTGTAGCACACCAACATGGCACATGTATACATAAGTAACAAACCTGCATGTTGTGCACATGTACCCTAAAACTTAAAGTATAATAATAATAAAATTAAAAAAAAATACCCTCCAAAGAGTTACCCTCCACAAAATGTCTACCAAATTACTCTGTCACCAACAGTGTATGTGGAATGTCTATTTCTGCACACTCTTATGAACCCTGTAGACTGAAATTTTACATCTTCTTTGCCAAATTGATAGGTTTTTCATTTCTTTCATAGTGAGCTACATTGAATGTCTCTTTCTACGGCCATTAGTCAATTCATATTTTTACCATATTATTTGCCGCTTTTAATTCTGAGTCTATTTCTGGTTGATTTGTAGGCTACTTGAATATCAAGGAAATGATATATTTTTTCTGTCATATGTGTAACAAACATGGCTCTCAATATCTCCAATCCTCAAGTGTGAAATGACTTTGTTTATGGTTGTGTGTATGTGTACGTGTGCTATAGAGAAGTTTTGTTTCTAAACCAGAAGCATATTTTTACATACTCTAATTTATGAATGTTTTTCTTTATGACTTTTGGTTTTACACATATTGTCTCTCCTCCCATGCAGTAAATGAAAAAAAAAGTTTTTATCTTTTCTTTGGTTACTTTGATGGCTTTTGTGTTTGATCCATTTGAAATTTGTCTTGGTGTAAGAAGAGAGATACGATAATCCTAAGATTTCTTATTGGTGGTTTTAATAATACAGCAGTGGGAAATAAAGCTAATGCTATATGACTTAAAAAGTTCTTTGTTTTTTCTTTGTGCATTTGTTTTAAGATTTCAAAAGTAGAGAATGACACAGGATTCCACAAGTTGGTTTCCCAATTCCTGACTACCTTTACATAGAAGCCAGAAGAAATCTACTCTAATTAGCTCCTCTTGCATCTAAATCTTCTCTCAGTGAGAGAGAAGAGCTAGGAAGGACTTAAAGTAAACAGCTAAAGGGAAGTCCTTAACTTTCTCTGTCTTTTTTTCTCAGGAGTAAATGTATTTTGGGCATTGAACAAAGAACAACGTTGATACATCCTTCATCTTTAGGAACTTGTAATCTTAAGCAGACAGTACTAACATAGGTTGCGATTTCTGGGCTGAAAATTTTAGAAGCAGCTGTGCATTAAATTTTATTTTATTTGCTTGAAGTAGTTCCTCAAAAAGTCTACTCTTTCAACTAGATTTGTATTTAACTTAAAGCTAGGCTTCACTTAAAATTACCTCTTTTACCTTGCTGTGCAGGCACAGATAGAAATGCAATTTCACTAGTTCTGCAGGTAATCAACCATTATCTACAAGATGATACTCCCATGGACTGTGCACACCTCAGCTCCTCTACCTACAAAGCACACCTGCTGAAAGACTTCCAATCCAGCACATGTAGGCACTTCATAAACATTTGTTGAATGCGACCATTTAAAAAATAAGTCTGATTCTCTTTTGAAAAAGGGGGAGAAGGAAGCATAACTTCCAGCTCTGTGTGTCAAAGGAACTTTTAAGAAATTCTATTAGCTAAATCAATAGTGGTGACTTCCTGTCAGAGCAGGAGGTAAGAGACATTTCCCAGCAGTGACAACATATTTGGTTTGGTCAGATTTTTTTCTACAGTGTCACAATGAAGTAATCCGTAAACAATGCATCACATTTCCACCTCAACCGGAACAATATTCGAGCTCTCAGGTGTTAGAAAAAGCCTCTGTCAGTGACAAGTTAATCAGTTTAAGATAGTTCAAAAGTGTCCTTCGAGTGCTTAGTTTCTTCAAGTGCTTTAAAGTGCTTTAGAAACAAGTTACAGTTGGTGGAAAGTGGTTTCCTTTTTCTCCTTAATCCTTAGCCATCAACTGTGAAACTCAAGGCCTCAACAGGCCATTTGTTTTAAGATCGTGATTTCAGATTTTAGTTTTTAAACCAAATTCTATATTTCTATGATCGTCTATGTTAGGTCACTTCTTTTCATGCCTCTTCTAAAAAAACATGAACGTGGGGCTCTCAGACAGGCTGTGCTCTCGTGAATGGTCCTGCCAAGCCTGGACCATGTGGTATGTGATCTCATTCTTATTCATGTTTTGTGATCCTCGCTCACTATCAAAGTCAAAATTCCTGGTGCTATACATTCTGGCTCATTTCTTATCTTCTTATGAAAGAAATAGAGCATATATATATTTGCTTCCTCAAGTCTCCTGGACATTTCAACTCTTTTCAAAGAACAGCTACTATAGTGTGAGTTTTATGCAGGAAATGCCTAGTGGATGTGCTCCGCATCTTTGATCATCATGTCTTCCTCAATTTACTGTGGGAAGAGGCATGTTTATTTCCACATTTTCTGCTTATTTCTTACTCGACCTGCACTAAAATTAATGTGGTCTCCCCAGTCCAGTTTTGACCTTTCTATATGCATTTAGGAGGGAAAATACCTAACCAATCCAAAGTATTAGCAATTAGTTATAAGCAAGCCTGCTTTATTTGGGGGAGATTTTGAGATTTGTGAGAATATTTCACATAAGATTTTTTTTTAAAAAAACATGCCTTAAGTGAATCTGTTGCATGAAATGTTTAACCAAATCATCTTTCATTGTTCACAACCCTCTAGTAGCTTCCCTTTGTACTTAGAACTTAATTAAAACTTTGTGCCAATGGCTCCCAAGTCCTTACACGATCGGGTTTATTTTTCTAACAACTTTGAGGAAACACTGACATAGAATAACCTGCACATATTTCAAGTATACAAATATAATCAGTTTTGACATGTATTTCTACCCATGGAACCATCGACACAATCAAGATAATGAGTTAAAAAAATCAATTTCTCCCTTAAATTTTGTTACGTTGCTTTTTAATGCATGTCTCACTTCACCTCCATCCCCAAGCAACCAATGATTTGCTTTTTGTCCCTATATATTAGATTGCATTTTCTAGAATTTTATATAAGTACTTGTACTCTTTTTTGCCTGCCTTCTTTGACTCAGTGTGGTTTTGAAATTCATCCATGTTGTTGCATGTATTGATTATTTATTCCTTTTTACTTTTTATTAACTTATCATTAATATGGATATAATGCGAATATACCACACTTTGTTTATCCGTCTACCTATCAATGGACATTTGAATTGCTTTCAGTTTTTGGCTATTACAAACAAAGCTTACTTAAAAACTCTTTTTTTAAAAAAAAAGGAAACTAAGAAAAAAGTAAATTACTACTGAAAATGGAAAACAAGTTTTATTGCCACGAATAGAAGCTAACCATAGAAATAAGCAGAAAATCAATAAGAGAATTGTATTACTTAAAATCATTGCAAGTACCGCCAATGGCACATAAATGCTTCCGAATGCTTTGGGAAACCCTGTTCCTGCAGGACCCCAATGGGCTTCTCTCAGTCCCAGCCCCAGCCCCAGCCCCAGCTGAAAGCTATGGAAGCAAGTCAGAGCAGGTTGTGATAAAGATGGCAGGTATACGGACCCACTAGTCAAGAAAAGAGCCAGTTACAAAGTTGGACTTGCACCCTCCCCAGTCACAAACGAATCATGGCATAGCATTGAGAAGTTATATTCTGTGGTGCATAGTTAAAAATAGTTAACCTATCAGAGGGTAAGACAGAATGTGGTGCTGTAATGTTAACAGATGCTATTTGGTCATTTACTTGTTAAGTAAAAAAAATGATCAGTGACTCTCACCTGTGTGCTAAGCACTAGGGGTACAAGGGTGAGCAATATGGATATGGTGCCTGTTGCTCATGAGCTTATTTAGGGACTTAAGAGAAGAGACTGATAATGCAACAAGCTTTAAAGTGGGATAAGCACTGTAATATGCAGTCGCCTTGTGGTCTGAAATCTCAAAGCAGAGTACTTGCTGTGCCTAGATGGGTGTTTTAGGGAAAAACTCTCTTAAACTGTGTTTTCCCTTTACTCTCTCACCATCACAACAATCATCAACACAGAAGAAGATTTCTGTGTCCAAAAGTGTAGGAGTTTTTCCCACACACCAAGCAGTGGACACCAGTTCTAACACTATCTATCTGGAGATAGTGTCAGATCCCACAGTTTGGGGGCTCAGTCCCCAAGAGTGCCGCCCGTACCCTCAGACCCAAGTCCAAGCCTCCAGAACTTCTGACCAACCAGCTTCAAGTTGGGATTCCCATGACACCTCTTTGGGTTCAATTAATTTGCTGGAGTGGCTCACAGAACTCAGGGAAACACATTTAGTGGTTTATTATAGAGGATTTTATACAGGATACAGATGAAGAGATGCACAGGGTGAGGCATGGGAGGAGTGGTACCGAAATTCTGTGTCCTCCCTGGGAACACACCTTCTAGGAATCTTCATGGGTTCAGCTGTCCAGAAACTCTCAAAACCCTGTCCTTCAGGGTTTTTGTGGAGGTCTCATTACATAGGCATGATTGGCAACTGTGTAGAGATGTCATTGGACAAAAACTACATGATTTAAACCCAGCAAGGCCTGTCTGTTCAGACTTTTCTTGGCCTCTGTGTAGCATGCCTTCCTCTAGGGTATGAGGCAGGACTCTCTCTGGAATGAGAGTCTTTTGACCCATGATCAGACTAGAGTCCTGCCATGAGCAAGTGAAAGAAGGACAGGCGAAGGTCAGAGAGAGAGAGACTCTGTCTCCTGAGGACTAAAGTGCCCCAACATTATAAGGAGGACTATTGGAGTTATAAGCCAGAAACTATGGATGAAAACATTTTTATATATATAACACCACAAGGGGTCACAATATTTAAATGGTTACCCAAAAGGTAATTAGTGTCAGACAGAGGAAGTGGAAGATGTGGGGAATAGGACAGAGGGGCAGGTTCTGGGAAGAGGCACAGATAATTGGAGAAGTCTAGAAGTTGGGTTGCGATCTCACCTCAGCACAGACGAGGCATGATCAATGTGGTAAAGAATCCATGCCAGTGTTTTCCTCTTACGCTCTTTATCACATCACTGAGTAATTTCTCCCTGCCCAGGTGGTAACTAGGTGATATAAATGCTGGTAGACTGGTGGTCTACAATGATTCTGGGAAGAAACTGTATTTGATTTATGACTTGTAAATATTAAATGGTTTATTTTGTAAAGCTAATATCAAGTTATTCTTTTAAAATGAGTCTGGTCCTTGCAAAACCAACCAGTTAGTGACTTATTGAAGCCAGTGGAGGTGGTGATGAAATAAGTGAAGGAAAAGCTCAGAAGCTCAGACCTAGAAAGCTGGAGAGATCAAAGCTATGATGGCGAGGAGCAGTTAACATCAGAAGAGACAGGGGAATTATAGCAGACTCTTATGCCATCTACCCAACCTTCATTCTTTCCTTCTTCCTGGTTAACAAAATGCCAGTTGTATGCAGGGATCCACATTCCTTCTCAAATCCAGGGACTTCAGAGGAGAATGACTGCATCCCTGGCTTGGAGTTGGGTCTGATTGATCTAAGTCAAAAACAGCAACCTCCTTCTACTTGCCAATGACTGGTCTAGCATGAGCATGTGTCACACTTCTGGTCACAGAGATATCAGGTGAAGTCTGCTGGGGGAGCTCCTGGCAAAGGTTTTCCTTATCTTAAAAGGGGTCCCAACAAAGACTTGGTTTCTTTTTTCTCTGGAGGCTGTTGTTGTCATTGACTATGACTCCTAAACTGCTGCAACCACCTTGTGACTATGGGTAGGGAAGACAGCCAGGGAACAATTGAGGGATGGCAGGACACAGAGATGAATTGTTTATAGGCTTATCAAAGAGGAGAGTGCATCTGCTAATTGTAAAATTATTATTATATTCAGAGTTCAGTCTTCTAGACCTAAATACCCCCAAATCTCAAATAAATAAGATTTGTTAACACTGACAAATATAAAGTTTTACTTTTAAGGTTACAAAATTAATTGTAGCAGGATTCAGTAGAAATCTGATTTCCTCACTGTTAAAAAAAAAAGACCAAAGAACTGACAGAATACCCAAAAATATATTATTAAGGTTATTTGTAAAAGTATAGTGCCCAGCCTAGTGGAATCCCATAGTACTCAGTATTGCTTCCATGTCTGGGATGTGGCATGGGAACCCTCTTTCAAAGGAATATTGATGATTAGAGGTTATCCTGGGAAGAAGAACCAGGATGGCTAAGATTTACAGGTCCTCATGTGCAGGCCCTCACTAGAGGCAAGCAGGCTGTTTAACTTGGAGGAGAGAAGAGTTAGGGAGGGCACGTTTACTGTCTTTAAATCCCTAACGAGGAGCCAACTTCATCTGGGTGGGTCCAGAGGGCCAAACCAGAACCAAAAGAGGAAATGTCAGAGACACTGAGATCAGTCCAATGTAAGAAAAAACTTTGACCTTATAATAATTATATCTGTGCAACAATAGAAATGACTGGATCTTGAAATAGTGAGTTGTCATTAGAAGTGTTCCAACAGAGGATGAATAACCTGTGTGGACATAAAACTCACTCAACACTTATTGCACATCTACTAAATGGCAGATGATTAGTGGGGAGTAGAAAGATTAATGTGATGTAATCCCTGATCACAGGGTGTTGGAAGTCTACAGTGGGTAGATGACAGGTAAACAGCTATTTATTCTGTGTGGTAAGTGATATTGTAGAGTTTGTGCAAACTTTTATGGAGACATTAATTCTGCTTTGGATAATCAGAAAGTATTGTGAGGAAGTTATATTTACTGAGACTTGAATAATGATCTGGAGTTTATATTGCTGGGAAATAAACTATCAATGCAGGGGAAATTCAGTGAATTGTAAAATCTAAGAAAAAAGAAGAGAAAGAAAAAGAAAAGAAAAGAAATAAAATAAAATAAAATAAAAACAGAAAGGAAGGGAGACAGAAAGTAAGACAGAAAGAAAGAAGAAAGAAAGCAAGAAAGCACAAAAGCAAGCAAGCAAGAAAGAACAAAGAAGTGGTTGCCTTATCTGGATGGCTGGTGGCTATGACTCAAGGCTCACTAGATGAAGTGGAGAGAGTAAATAAAGCCAGAGATCTTTAAAAGTCCCAGGCAGAGGCATGGAACTGGATCCAGAAGGAAAACGTCAAAGAGCATACAAGGGCGGTCCTTCCCCTGGTTTGCTTTTTTTGTGGAGAGTCAGCCACCTTTGATGCAGTTGTTCACACACTTCCAGTGGCCTGTGAAATCCCTCAGGAGCAGGGGGAGCTTATGATCTAGTTTGATGGTAGGACTTTACTGTGAAGCTTGAATCCCCCCAGATTTGCTTAGAAATATAACTGGGAGGCTGGGCGCGGTGGCTCATGCCTGTAATCCCAGCACTTAGGGAGGCCAAGGTGGGTGGATCACCTGAGGTCGGTAGTTCGAGGCCAGCCTGACCAACATGGAGAAACCCCATCTCTACTAAAAATACAAAATTAACCAGGCATGTTGGTGCGTGCTTGTAATCTCAGCTACTCGGGAGGCTGAGGCAGGAGAATCGCTTGAACCCGGAAGGCAGAGGCTGTGGTGAGCCGAGACTGCACCACTGTGCTCCAGCCTGGGCAACAAGAGCGAAACTCCATCTCCAAAAAAAAAAAAGAAAAAAGAAAGAAAAGAAATATAACTGGGAAAGATGGATGAGTTTTGGAAAAGAGGTCAGTTTTGTTTTGTTTTTCCCAAAGGGTGTGGTGAACTGAAGTAGCCAGAGGGACAAGAAGCAGGAGAGTGAATAATCATCCCTAACGCTCTGCAACATATGAGAAGAGGGGAAGCAAACCACTCACACTGACAACTCCTTTCTTTAGCTCCAATCCAGACTCAACAAAAAAGGACTTATTTGACAAAGATACATGGCACTTGATGGCAAGCAGTGGCAGTATGATAAACTGGTAAAGCAGTCCAAGACTTAAGGCCTAAGCTTTTGCTTCTGGGCTATGTGACCTTGGATGAATTACCTCACCTCTCTGAGCTTCAATAGTCTGCAAAATTTGCAAAATGAGGTACAAGTATTGATCACTCAGAGAAGCTGTGGGGATGACACAGGATAATGTTATATAGCTCTATTAGTGTGCTAGCACAGTTCTAGCCATGTAGCAGGGAGTCGTGAATTATAACCATTGTTATTATTTTATTCTTAGGAATAATACAAGTTAAAAAAGGAATTAATAGTTAGGGCTTATTGGACTTTGGGGGACAATTGATTCAACAAATTTGAGCACCTACCCTGTTCAAGGCACTCATTTTGTGCTGGGAAAACAGCACAGAAAGTCATTTCTTCCTTCAGAGAATTACATTCTATATGAGAGATACAGACAAGAAAATAAACAAACATAGATAAAGAGAAGAGCTATAAAGAAATTTAAAAAAGAACACAGGGGTCACACTATGCTTGTGCTGTGAATAAGAACATTGGCTGAACCTGCAATATTTGGGGAAGGATGTCAATTCCTGAAGGCTGACATGAGGTCTACATTGAATGTCAGACTGACTCAGTGACTTTATATCCCATATAGTCACACTTTTATGTCTTAATGAAGTCAGGTTTCAGACAAATTGGTTCATTCATTTCCGAGGACCCCCATACTTCTTTCGGTCTTGGATAAGTTGAATTACTCATTCACTAAGTATTTTGGCAGAACCTTCAACTGATGCGTATTTTTAGCGCTGGGTTCATGTGTAAAAAAAAAAATACATTTGGAGGGGCCGAATGAATAATGGAAGAGGAAAATAAAATAGCAAACTGTGTTTTTCAAACGTCAGCTTGGTAGTAATGGAGCAGAAAGTATTGGGTGATTCATAGCATATGTGAGGCTAAAAACAAACATAAGCAAAATACCAAATTGTTCAAAGTCTCACAGGGAGGGTGCCAATCATGAAAGAGCTCGAACTGACAAAAAGAGTGAGAAGGGCCAGCATAGGGGGTGTGGGGAGACAGAGACAGACATTGACATAAAATAGTAAGATTCAAGAAGAATGTTCTGTTTGAATGTGATGACCAAAAGCATATTTTTGGGAGAGTTTAGAAGAATGTCTCTCCAGAGCCCAGACGTAGCCTCTGAGTAAACAAGGAAATCGTGGCCTATATCTTTGAATTTATAGTTTGACCCTGAAAATGTGCACTTTGGTCAGCAAAATGTTAAGAGGAATTTTCAACAACAGAAGTAGCTGATAATCATGATTGTAAAAACACTTAGCGTTTCCATATAAATGTCTTCAAAGAAGAGAGTGAGCTTTTAATAACAACTCCATATTGTGAAGTCAAGGCTGTTAATGGCATATACTTTACACACAAACGACTTTAATACAATTTATGCCATCACCTTGAAACCCGTTCTAGGAAATATCTCCAAGATTTAGTTTAGATTCTTCTCTGTTATCCAGAGCTGAGCCCCTGATTCAAGCAAGCTTATCATTTATTTTTTTCTGTAGTCTCTTAAGCCTCAAATCTACCATTTATTTTTAGTTTGTGATGTTTCCTGTCTCTGAATGTCATTTTGCCAATCTCCCTCCTGGCTTCCCTCTACTCTTTGACGTTTAGCTCAAATGTCTCTCCTTCAGTGAACTTCTTAAGCAGAGTCACTCATAACTTGATCTGGTTTCCTGCAGCATTTTATACACATCTTTATAATTCCTTTGTTAATCATTCTCATGCCTATTGTTTATTTTTTGTCCTTTAGGTGCCAGGCACTGTATTAAGCATATTACCTAAATTCTTTACTTTAATACTTGCTATTGCTTTATGAGATAGATATCATTATTATTCTCATTCATGATTGAGGTTAAGTAAGTTGCTTCATTTCATCCACCTAATAAGAGATAGCATCTGACTTCTTACTCGAGAACACATACTCTCAAGTACATGCTATGTGGCCTCTCATATCACCATACTGTTTGCTTTTGCTGGTGTTGCAAGTTTATTTGTGTTCACATCTATCTCCCTCTTTACATAAAATACATGTACAGGTCTTGCCTAGGTTGGAGGGATAGATGAAATACAGGGCTGGTCAGGAGTCTATTTACTGGTTCTGTCCATGATGCAGGAGACAAAGTTGTTAGCGTAGTCAAGGTTGATTACTGGGAGGTTACTTGAAGGAAAATGCCTTAGACCGGTGGTCCCCAAAGTTTTTGGCACAACGGACCAGTTTTGTGGAAGACAATTTTTCCATGAACCAAGGAGGAGGGGTTTGTTTTGTGATGATTCAAGCACATTACATTTATTGTGCATTTTATTTCTATTATTACTACATTGTAATATATAATGAAATAATTATACAACTCACCATAATGTAGAATCAGTGGGAGACTTGGATTTGTTTTCCTCCAACTAGTCGGTCCCATCTGGGGGTGATGGGAGGAGTGACAGATTGTCAGGCATTAGGTTCTGATAAGGAGTACACAACCAAGATTCCTCGCATGTGCAGTTCACAATAGGAACTCTTCCTCCTATGGGAATCTAATGCCGCCTCTCATCTGACAGGAGGCAGAGCACAGGTGGTAATGTGAGTGATGGGGAGCGGCTGTAAACACAGATGAAGCTTTGCTTGCTCACCTGCTGCTCACCTCCTGCTGTGCAGCATGGTTCCTAACAGGCCATGGACCAGTACCAGTCTGTGGCCCAGGGACTGGGGACCCCTGCCATAGACAAAATTGGTAACAAGAGTCAAAAATCAGAAATGAAGAAAACAATTCAGGACAATGGAAGTTACATAGGAATCAAAGGTTAAGAAAGATCTTGTTCAGACAAAATTTTAATTGGACACAATATTTACACACACAGAAGAAAGGGCATTCTTTTTCACTTGGTATATACTATGCATGGCCAAGTGTTATAAACTTCTTGGATGTACTAACCATATAAATCTCAAAATAAGTTTCTAGACTCTCCTGGTATATCAGTTCCTTCTCATTTGGGACATATGCACATTTCTATTGCAATTCTTACTGCTTAGTATTGTTTAAGAGACAATCATGCCTTGTGGGGCTCAGATCTTTTCAAGAACATTGGGTATATCTTATCCATCTTTGTGGTCCAATGTCTAACAACTAGTGAGCTATAAAAGGTGGGCCAGTATGTAAATAAAATTGAAACAAACAAGAATGTTTTCTATAGCATTTGTAAAATAATTGGCTATATATTTTTTAAAAACCCTCAAAATTCATGTTTTCTATAAATAAAACACACAGTACTTTTTTTTTGTAAGTTTAAGTTCTGGGATACATGTGCAGAACGTGCAGGTTTGTTACATAGCTATACATGTGCCATGGTGGTTTGCTGCACCTGTCAACCAGTCATTTAGGTTTTAAGCCCTGCATGCATTAGTTGTTTGTCCTAATGCTCTCCATCTTCTTGCCCCCCACCCTCTGACAGGCCCCGGTGAACACACAGTACTTTTCTAGGGAGTTAAAGATTCATTCAACAACTGGGACATTTAGACAATTGAAGAGAATTTCAGAGATAATGGATCATAACTATGTTTTTCCTCTCCCTTCTTTCTTCTGGAAAGGTAGAAATATGTATCCTTTTACTGACTCCCTTGATAACTTCCCACCAAGGCCATGACATTTAGAAGGTAGTATTTATTGTAGAATTGTAAGAAATGGACATAGTTTTCATCCCTTAAATATGTTTTCTGACTACTAAAAACAGTACCTAGTGGTTGAGAAAACAATTGACCATTTATTTATGTATTTCTTCATTCATGCAATGAAAACATAGTTAAAGCCTTTTGTATGCAAGTCTTTAAGCTAGCTACCAGGAATATAATTATGAGCCAAAATAGACATGGTCTTTGCTCTCCTGCTGTTTATTATCAAATGAGGGTCATCAAGTAATTAACTAAAATTATACCTTGCAAAGGGTTTCAAAGAGAGCTATATGGTGCTATGAGAACAAATAATAGGGGAAAGAGAAGCACAATATAAGCCAAACATGGAGATGTTGGAGTAGGTAGATCTTGCTGGGTATAACATCATGTTAAGGATTCTGGTATTTACCCCAAGAGCCACAATACGTTGTAGGCACTGAGTTAATGAAATTAGATGGTGCTTTCAAAAGACTACTTTGTTTATAGTGTAGAGAATAGGACGCAGGGAACAAGAGGAAAGTAAGACACTAATTAGATGGTTTAGATGTTGGTCTAAGTGAGAGTAGATAGTAACGTGGACCAGGTTTAAGGTCTTGGGAAACTGAAAACGAACTAGTTTCACTATTTATTTATTTATTTATGTATTATTTTTGAGACAGAGTCTTGCTCTGTTGCCCAGGCTGGAGTGCAGTGGCACGATCTCCGGTCACTGCAACCTCCACCTCCTGGGTTCAAGTGATTCTCTTGCCTCAACCTCCCAAGTAGCTGGGATTATAGGCGTCTGCCACCACACCTGGCTAATTTTTGTATTTTTAGTAGAGGCAGGGTTTCGCCATGTTGGTCAGGCTGGTCTTGAACTCCTGACCTCAGGTGATCTCCCCATCTCAGCCTCCCAAAGTGCTGGAATTACAGTTGTGGGCCACTGTTCCTGGCCTCACTCTTCTGATTTCAAATAGAAGTCCATGGGTTGAGCAAAACCTACTGGGACTACTCATTAGCAGGTGGAGGGAAACTGTAGCTGTGCCACTTGGAAGAAAAAGTCACCTGTGGGCTTTCAGTTTAGTTATTTATACTTATGCATTTGACCTAATGAAGATGCTTCAGCTTGAGGAAACAAACGGATATGGGAGATAATTGGGGACCAAATGGCATAATCATGAAGGTACACGGTATAGAACTTGATTTTTTTCTACTTTCAGCTTAGTTTATTCCCAATTCCTCACTAAAAAGCATAAGCTTAAATGAGGTTTTTGCAACATTTAATAGGTTAAATTCGTCTTCTAAAATTTGTTTTGACTTGAACTTTGCACAAGACACAATATTAAAACATGACTTAACTAGAGGCAGGGCCTTATTTGATCTTTGTATTCCCTAGGACTAGCCCCAGTGCCTTATTCAAAAAAAAGAAAAATGAATGCATAAGAAGAAAAAAGAAAAACTCATTTATTGAAGAGAGACATCAGATTAGCAGAAATAAAACATAAAAGGATCTAATAATACTACATGGGAATGGAAAAACCGAAGGTAGATTTTGAGTCTTCTTCAATTTCCAATTTGACTGTCTGATTTGTAATTTACATTTGTTTGTTGTTGTCTTTATGCCAAGATCTGTTTCTTTCCATCAGCATGTGCAAATGTAATAAATTAAATAGTTATTGGTGCTGTGGTTATCTATGGTATTTCCAGAGGTCTTTAGTGCAACCATGAAAATAAACACTGGACTGTTTCTAAAAATTCTTGCATACTGAGAATTGAATGGTGGGTCCCAGAGAAACTTGATACCCCCGGACTGGTTTTTCTTCCCCTCTCGGTTTTGATTTCACAGGCAACACGGCTCTGGGGAAGCACTGGGAGTGCTTCAGCAGATAGTTTCTGAGTCTAGAGAGCTGAGTGCACAGGGAAATGAGGGCTCATAAAGTTGCCTATAAAGAGGAGAGATGACACTGATTAGTGTGTACTGGGCCAGGATCAATATTATGAGCCTAGTGGCTTTGGGGAGTTATTCACAGGGCGGTGGATGTTTTCTTCTGCTTTATAGCTACTGGAAAGCTAAAAGAACTGGCTTAAGGTCACAGAAAAAGTGAATCAAGGTCCAGGCTAGTCCTCAACCCATGAGTGCCAAATCACTCTCCTCTCTATTGGTGAAGCTCTGAATTATCTTCCTCCTGCAGACGTGATCTTCTGTATTCATTCTCACAGTTGGAAGCATTATTATTCAACCTGTTGGCTCAGCCAGAACTCTTGGGCTCAATCTCAAAAGCTTTCAGACTCTGGCAGGTGTCACAGATACATGAAATGGCCAAGAATAAGGCAAATGGGTGTGGAGGGCCTATGAACAACTGAAGGCTTTCAAATGTAAATGAAAAAAATATACTACGCTCATCCAAGTTGCTACCTTGGTCTTAGAGTCATCTTCAATTCTCTTTTTTTTTTTTTCAAGCACACATCTTACAAATTCCTTTACCCAACTGAGCCTACCTTTGACATAACTGTTGAATCTTGCTCTTTGTCTCCCTTCCTATTGCCACTGCTTTAATTCAGGCTCTCATCATCTCTCCTTCTACCTGGCCTAACTTCAGTTTAGCCATTACACTTTTCCTGCATCTATCCATTGCATTGCCAACAAAGTTATCTAAAGCCTGAGTGTGACCATGTTATTCCCTCATTTATGAACTTGGGTAGTTCTGAACTGCCCATGGGCTGAGGGCAGGGGGGCCTCAGCATAGCTAAACCAACCTGACTTTCCAGACTCATCTGCTACCACCCCTCTCTTCTTGTCTTGTGCTCTAGAACATCAGGCTACTTGCTGGTCTCTCAATGTGCCCAAAAAGGCATTGCTCACTTAGTATGGGGGATTAGCTCCTGGAAATGGAAATGCTACCTGAACTAACCACATGTGGGGTCATGTCAGCATAATCTCCCCAAAGAGCTATTTCTAGCATCAGGCATTAGCAATGGCTCTTTGAATTTTGTCAAATCCTCTGAAATCACAACATCCCTCTGGCCACAGTTTTTTCCAGGCCACAGGTCACACAATTGTTAGTCAGTCACCCCAAGCTCCAGTCATGCTTATGACAGGCTTTATAACATTTAAGGAATGCTCTTTATTGTTTGTGTCCTTAACCACTTTCTTGAAGTGACTCTGTGGTAAACCTTGCTTTTTAAGATCCAAAGTGGTTCTCTTCCTCTTTCCTTAAACAGCTCCAGCACTAATACTGGAAGTTTTCCCCCAAACATTATAAGTGAAACCTGTTCCCTAAAACACAACATAAATAGCAGAAGGAAAAGTTACAGAAGACAAAAACCAACAAATTGTATTAGAAGAGTGTGGTAGGGTCCTCATTGGTTGAGAATTTGCTTGGCCACTCAGTAGCCATGAGCATATAGCACAATTGATAAAATATATAATATCTACTTATTGTATCTATCCAAACATCCATTCACATATGCGTGTGAATACCTTCACATATGTAAAAGAAGATACTCTACAGAGAGTGTGGCAAAGGACTGCGTAGAAGAGGATGCATGTATGTTTGTGCTTGCTGTTCCCCCAGCCTCGGGTATACTCCTCCTTTGTTTTACTTGGTGAATTGCTACCCATGCCTTCAGCTCTGTTTACATGTTACCTAAACACTTTCTCTTCATAGCGTGCTCCACAGACTTGTGGTACCAGCATCTCCGTGGAGCCTGTTATAAATGCGGAATCTCAGGCCTCACCCCACATCTATGGAATCAGCATCTGCGTTTTACCAAAATCTCAAGGTGTTTTGAATGCACATGAATGCTTGAGGAGCACTGACCTAGTCTATAAAGCCTTCCCTCACCCCTCCAGCAAGACAAAAGGCTTTGCTTATACACTTGGTGTTATTTTTGTCTTTATCACGTTGTATCATGTGAACCTTTAACAAGAGTAGGCCCTTGACAATGTTTGCTGAAATGCATTAGGACATATCAATCCAGGCATCTGCTATTCATTATGCTATTTGCAATAATATACCCTAGATTAGTTGATCCAACCTCCTCCTCTCTTTCAGAGGTTTTGAAAGTTTAAAACCTGATTTTCTAGGCTTCCTGACAGCCAGATATGGCCACGTGATTGTTCTGCCAATGAGCTGTAAGCAGAAATGTGCTAGTACTTTATCTCCTCTTTTCTTCTTTTGCCTGAAATATGCCATGTTAGAGGTACTTCTCTGATGCCATCAGAAGCCAAAAGCACAAGACAAGGATAGAAGACCAATAAGAGAAAAATCTGGATTCTTGAAGGCATCTTTCTGACCCCAAACTGCTTCTCTATAGGCTTCTTATGTGAGACAAACACTTCCTTATGTGTTTACACTACTGTCCGTTTGTTGTTAATGGAGCTGAATGCATTTCTGACCAATACGTTGGCAAATCCCATTTGAATTTGCTCTCTTTATTAGTCCTTGCTGGGGGCCCTTCAGGTGAAATACAATAAGGTATTAGAACAATGGTTCTTTAATTGTTCTTTTTATTGCTATTCTATTTCACTAATTGACTTAGAATAGCATTTACTCCTAATATTCCCCGCAATGGGAAATAGGGCCATGGGACATATAAAATTTGAATAACTTACTGCTTCAAAAAACCTAGTTGTAGGTTTTGATGAAGTCATAAATATTGGACTATCAAAGAAATCAGTCAAGGCTTCTGGTCAATATCAGAACAGAAACCTCTCCTCTCGTCATTTTGACATCTTGACTGCTCCCCAGATGGGAGTGGACAGCCACATGAGGAAGTTTTTTTTAAATATGGCACTTTGGATTGCTTTACAGGAGCTCTGTGAAGACGTCTATGAGTTATGTGTAAATCCAGCCACTGTCTCACTCCCATAGCTTGGGGCTGCTTTGGATCATTAAAGCCTCTTAATACTTCCCAAACCTCAGTTATGCATAAGCTACATTTCACTGGGAAACACTATGCAGGCCAAATGGGAAAACTAGGTGTTGATGGCCATAGTAAACAAACAGAGTGGAATTTTGTTTTATTAGTCTTTGTGACATCTTGCTTCTTAAACTCCTCTGCAAACTCTTTGTGGTATTTTGCCCTCACTGCATTGCTATATCTCCGTCAAAATCTGGCAGCTGTTTCATGGCTCATCATGAAAATACCGTCAAAAAATCCAAATGATGCAAGCTGAGCTGTCCTGGAAACTTTATACATCAATTTTCTTGGTGCCATCTGACCTCTGACCCACAACCTGGTGTCTCCTGGTATATCAGGTTGTCCTTTGTTATTTTGTATTTGGTCCTCATCGTTACCTAGCCACATTCTCAGACTGTTCCAGGTGGGTGCTATATTTAACAAATCCAGAGAAAAGACCGGGCATAACAGGCGCTCAAATTCACAGTAAACACACCTGTGGACAATCCCCCGAAGCACATCCTTCTGAACACCTTCAACGAAATAAACCTTTGTCCTCTGAGGTTGAGTGTGAGTTTGAAAAACTGACAAAAGTCATTTAGAGATGGATCAAATCTCAAGCCATGTGACTCGGCTTTTTATAAAAGGCCATCCGATGAAGAAAACACGTGAACAAACAAGTTCCACTCTGGTCCTAGTCTCTGAAGACAATTTCAAAAGGGAAGGAATGAAGCCTTTTTGAAGCAGGCTCTTACACAACCACTCCGAAGGCTGCACTGAGTTAGGAAGTTATATTAGGTCCCTTAAATAATCAGCCTCCATTCCTAGTCCATTAGTTCTCAAATGTTATCCTGCATCAGATTCACCTGTGGGATCTGTTGATGCACAGATTGCTGACCTCATCCTCAGAGTTTCTGATGCAGTGGGTCTCGGGCAGGGCCGGATAATTTGCATTTCTATCAATTTCCTGGGTGATGCTGACTGACGTTGTTGGTTCTGGACCACACCTGGAATTGTGCTTTAGTCAAACCTTATATTTTCATCCCATCAAGTCAGCTAACTGCTTGTCAGTTCTGAGATTTAAAAAAGCAGTATGACACAGTCACATAGTACCGTGTACCCTGATTCTCAATGTTCTTGACGTTTCATATTTTATGGTTACATGGTTTATAATGCGCACTGGACGGTGGATCACCAGGCACATCGGGTTACAGATAAGGCTGGAAGGAAAGTGTGTTACTGTCAGAGACGGTAGGGGAGATGGGGTAGGCAGGGCAGGATGTAGAGGTGTAATTGCCACAAACAATTGTCAGAGTTACTGCATATGATGGACAATCACCCATTCTGAACCTGGTCAGTGAGCCCATGAATGGATTTCATTTGGTTTCAGCACTTAACATATCACTCTAACTTTTGGAAGGAGCCACTGTTCCTCTAGCCACAAGTTTGTCATGTCATTTCGTCTCCTCCACACTTGGATACAAAACAGGTGAGCTCCTGGCCTGAGGCACAGATTGGTGTAAGTTCATGATTTATACTCATGACTCCTGGTTGATTTTACAATTTCTTCTCTATTCTACTTTAACTGGAAAAAAAATCTCTTGAGTAACCCCAGAGCATCAGCTAGCTGCATTATGAATTCCTGTAGTTTTTAGCTACATATTAGGATTATTATATATTCCTTTAGTAAACCCTTAGTTATGCAGAGTTTTAATATTCTGTATTTGCTTTAAAAAATCACAGCAGTGCTCAGAGGAAAATCAGTGACCTTAAGGAGGGCAGCTGCCTCCTCCCACAGAGTGCTGCCACCTGGTCTCTACTCCAGCCCTACTAAGTGCTCCTTGCCATGTGGAGGTCTGGCTGGCCACCCAACTGACATTCATCAGGCGCTGTGCCAGGCACTCTTCTGGAGATGCAAGGGGCTCAAACCTATCCTCTGCTTTCAGAGAGTTATGCAGTGTCTACAAGGCCAGAAGTACATCAAGTGGAAAGTTTCTAATCATTTTCCTCTTCTCTTGTTCCTTCTCAAATTCCTTCCCAAGGAAGCCCATGCTTTGAGTTACCAGAATACTGGTAACTCCTCACATACACAAAACTACCTGCCTGCATTAAGAGGACATCTATGACCAGAAAACAATGTATGTTTGACAGAGATTTATAAACACAGAATGGGAAAAAAAAGGACCCTGATCTGAGAGGTTCTTTCCTTTTATCCTTGCAGGTCAGGGAATTTCAGAAGCAGGACTCCTTCAGAGGAAGGAGCTGGGGACGCAGCGGGTGCGCTCGGTGCTCCGAAGAGAGCTAAACAACTCTACAGTTTCTAAATATTTGCATTCCATAATTGTCTTTGGGTTGAGTCACGCGAGGGGCACGTTCCCCCTCTCCTCAGGGATGAGCCGCTGCATGGTTAACAGGTTTCATTTCCTGCACTCGGTGGCTAATGGGCACTCTTTCAGTCTGGTCACATCTCTCCTTCAAAATGGCCCTTGACCGTGCCCGCCTGTCTGCCTGCTGCAAGACCCAAAGCGCTGCCGAAGAGACTGCCTGAATTCATAGGGCTTGCGATTCCGCATTGCCAGGCGTTCTTCTGAGTCTCTCCTCTTTTTCTTAATTCTCCTTTCCTTCCCCGGCCAAAATAAACCTAAACCAAATCCTTGGGACTGGGGAGTTTCCTTACTGTCTGCCGATAGCCAGGGATTGGAGTATCAGGGGATGAGAAAAAAATATTGAGTGTGGCGTTTTAATGAGGTTGCAACTCACTTTCCTGACACAACTTGGGAACTATAAAGGCGTTTGGAAATGAGAGTACTTGAGATTAAGCATCATGATCTGCCTTGATTTTTTTTTTCCTTTTACAAGCATAGAAAACAAAGCCAGCCATTTTTCACCTATGACATGAGAGGATGGGAGGGTGCGTCTTCAAAAAGTTTCCTCTCATTCTGGTTTTGACATTGATTGGTGGGCTTGGCTTCAGAAAATTCCAGATGGACGATGATGGATGAATTTCCTGGGGTTAAGGAAGTGATTTTTTTAAAGGAGATATTTTGGCGATCACACTCTTACTCACATTGAGGGCTAACCCTGTGACCTCAGATAAAAATATTTCACTTCACAGAGGTTCTGGGAGGTCCACATTTCTGATGGGGTCCTTTTCTGATGAGGGCTTGATTGACGTATTCACACATATTGGTGCTTCTCAGCAAGTTGTGATTGCTATCTGTGGGGTATCAATCTCAGTGCACACTTGAGTCTATAAGATGATCTCATTTCTTTACTATGCTTTATTTTGATTAAAGTCAGACTCTCCATGCCCATCCTACCAGCCAGCATGGCAGGAAGGCTAAGCTCAATCATTGTTGGGGCTCTCTCCCCCTTGGATAACACAGAAGCCTAAAATCATGCCCAATCACCAGTTCATCATGGTTACTGCTAATATCCTCATTATCCAGGCCTCTGGTTCTCTCAAGGTCCTGTAGTCTCCCTACTTTTGTGCTCCACTCACGGCATGGGAACAAGGCTGGAAAACCTTTGCCCAGGGTTGTGACTCCTCAGTTGTACAAGGCAGACTTCCCATTCCAACTCCTTTGGGGTGGCACTGAATTTGGCTCTTCCATGGCCAGATGACTTTCCCCTTTTCCAGGCTCAAAGACATGTCTCCTTTCTCTTGCCTCATTTTCAAAGGCATTTCTCTGTCTGCCCCATCTTCTTGTCTCAGGACACCTAAGATCGTATCCTCAGAGAGCTTTAACTTTTTCAAGTCAGGAGGAGCCCTTGTCTTCAGCTGCTGACTTTTCTGCCCTGTAAGTTTCTTTCAGGGAAGTCAAAACTAAGGGCCCATCATCTTGCTTGGTGTAAAAAGGGGGGATAATTTGGAAAATGAGCAAAAGGCAAAACTGAAGTAAATTAAAGTAAGTTCATGGTAATGCTGGAAAGAGGTGGAATTTCACCCAGAGAAGTAAACATTGTATAGAACCCTGGTTATAACCACATGATGGTGTTACAAATGGAATAGTTCATCCTGAGAGTAGGGGTGGATGAAAAGACAGAGAATCATCACATTGGGCAGTGTGGTGTTGTGAGCATCAAATGCCCAGCAGGAGGCAAACTTCCTCCAGGTCCCTCATGCGCGCAATGAGAACCAGGAATAAGTTGAGTGGGTAGAGAGGGTGGCTGGCTGGCTTAATCATGAGAAGGTGCTGCTATTTTTGTTTGAGAGGAAGGAGATGTTATAAAGGACATTTTGGGTAATTGCTAAATGGAAAAATCAGGAAGAATCTAGTAAAATTGAGCGATGAAGTTGTCCTCATCAGTTCATACATAATAGCTCATATTTTATAAAATGTATACTCCCTGCCAGGCACCATTCTAAGTATAGATAGCACCATCCCTAGTTTATAAATGAGGAATCCAAGACACTAGACATATCACAGGCCTAGAAAGGGAGAGAGGCTAAAATGGGGCTTGAGCAAGCCCAGTACTCACTGACCCCAATTGGGTCAAGTGCCCTTCCCTGAACTGCCTCTGGGATTACATGGATTAGAGGCTCTGGTTGTTAGACCCAAGTCTCTTTTACACTTATCCCTGCATGGTTCACAGGAGTCCATATTACTTGAGACACAGGGACAAGGAATTGTAGATTTCTACAAGAAAATCAGGGTGCTTTTGGCCTAACGTGGTGGCTTATGCCTGTAATCCCAGCACTTTTGGAGGCTGAGGTTGGAGGATTGCCTGAGGTCAGGAGTTCAAGACCAGTCTGGCCAACATGGTGAAACCCTGACTCTACTACAAACACAAAAAAATTAGCCAGGAGTGGTGGCGTGTGCCTGTAATCCCAGACACTCGGGAGGCTGAGGCAGAGGAATTGCTTGAACCAGGCAGGTGGATGTTGCAGGTTGCAGAAAGCCAAGATCGTGCCACTGCACTCCAGCTTGGGTGACAGAGCAAGACTCTGTCTCAAAAAAAGAAAAAAAGAAAATCAGGGTGCTCTCATCAGAAGAAAGGCGTTGAAACAACAGGCATTCCTCAGTAGACAGAGAAGAGGAGCTGTTCTGGAGCTAAACTCTGCACCCCTGACCCCAAAGATGCTCTTTAAGCATCTTCCTGGAACCCCTATGAAACAAGGAGCACATTTGAAAGCACTTGTCTTGCATCAGTAAGGAGGAACCAGTAGTAAGCATAAAAATTTCTTGAGCAACAAAACAGATGTTACCAAGTCCAAGCAGTGAAACTTATACACTTAACTAATAAGGGAGTTCCTTAGATCTCACCCAGAAACTATTTTTGGTTTTGTTTCAAACAATTTTAATAAGCTTGGCTATCTGATTACCCCATCCCAAGCCAACCAAAGTAAAAAAAGGGCATCCTCTGGCCACTGGGATATAATGTCACAGTTTGTTGTTCTACTCTCTTACTTCTAGTTAGCAGGGACAGAAAGATTGGAAGATAAATTTTGGCAGTGTAGCTCTGGGATCTTGAAGTGTCCTTCAGCAAGTCAAGCACAAATGATTTCCCAGTAACAGAGCCAGCATTCCCAGGATAATTTTCCCTCTACTTTAAACCATAATGGTTTGCAAGAGCTATAAGGATGCTCAGTTAGAGCTGCACAGTTTGGATATTTTATTTGGCATCACTAAACTGGATCGGGGAGTGCCTGCCAACTTGTGTGTTGTAGATGAGTCGGGTAGACAGTCCAGCGTGTAACTCCCTCTGTCTCGTTGGCTCTCATTCTCACTCATTTCTGTACTTCAGCAAAAGTCATGGTATTGCCCGATATGAATTTCCCCCCTCCTTGGCTAACACAAACAAGTGTGGGCTGCCTCTCTCTGGCCATTTCCTATCCACAGAGGCACTCTCTTTCCTCCAATATTAAGCGGAGTGCCAAAGTGTATACACATGGACAAAAGTATTCTTGAGAGAGTAGTGACTTTTCAATAGGAGAAAGGGCCAAAAATATTCTCACATTTCCTTGGGGTGACTGGTTCCCCACAGATCTGCTGACACTTGGCAGCAGTGAGTGTCAAGTTTGAAAGCTGGAGTTTGGGCCGGACGGATTGGATGCTAATCCCAATTTAGTTGTTTACAACCCTGAACCAATTCATTTTTCCTTGACTATAGAATGGGGATATTATTAGTGCCTATAGCCCAGGGTGGCTGCAAGGCTCAAGTGAGATGATGTGGGGAAAGTGCTTAGCAGTGGGTTGGGTGTCCAGACAGTTACGCACTTGGCAAATGGTAGTCCCTACAGTTATTATAATTGTTATGATTATTAGCAACACATTGTAGCTACATACTTAATTCAAGAGTGTTAAGAATGTTCTCTCTTTGAACAATGTCAAAGTGTTCTGCCAGTAGTTTTGTTTTCTTCTCTGATGTGTAAATCCAAACAATTCAAAGACCGTCTTTGGAGTTTGACAACTCTGGACTTAAACCTTGATTTTATTGCTTATTGACAGTGTAGCTTAGGAGGAGCTGCTTTCAGAGTCTCAGTTTCCTCCAAGTAAAATCTCAATTGATTCATCTTTAATGTGGATAACAAAGTACCCATGTCAGAGGCTAGTTTTGATGAGTAGGTACAGAGTAAACACTTGGGAAATGTTACTGATGACTATTCTTATACATATCTGGACTCTCATCAGATAATTTTCTTTGGTTGAATCTTGAGGAAAACAACACATTATCAGCAATCCCTTGTAGTCTTCTAGTTTAATGAGAGACCTGCTACGTTCCAACATTGTGTGATTGCAAGTTGTCATTGCTAATTTACTATTTTGAAACTGTTAATGTTAACAATTTTGATTTGGGAAGCAGGATGAGTTTTTAAGAAAAAGTGTGTAATTTTTGTCATTGAATCTTAATCTACTGAAGCAATACAAGGTACCTATGCTTTGGAATCAGGTAGAGCTGGGTTTGAACCACAGCTGTGTTTCTTAACTAGGTTATGGTCCTGACTCAATAGAGAAACTTCACTAAACTTCAGCTCTCCTATATAAAAATGGAATAATATTAATATCTTTCCCATTTTGTTGTTGTAATGACCACAAAAGGAAAACATATATGAAGTACCTGGCATATAGTAATCAAGTTAACTGTTGCTGTTGTTATGGAAACATAACTTTGATGAAAACTATGAAAGAGAATTGATAACAAATGAAAGAAAAACTGTACCAAGTTAATTTTAATGCATCTATTTAGGATGATGTGCAAATGATCTCATTTTCCATCAATCAAGCTGCCTGGTCCCAGAGTCAGTGACAACAGAGTTAGTAAATAAGGGCATTTGGATTAGCGTATGCCACATGATTAAATTTCAGACTACTAGGGGGGAAAAAAAACAACAACAGTGCAATCATTGCATTTAATCAGAAGCCTCATCAGGGTGGGATGAAGGCACTAAATGTGGCTGGGAATCATCGAGAATGAGGCAACGATCCACTCAATTGTGGAGCTGCATATGAGCAAGTGGTACTCATACTGAGGTCAGTGGGCTGAGGCTCTTTGCTTGGTTGCTAGGCAACAAGGGACCTGCTATTCTGTGGCCCATCGATATCAATATGAAGCATTAACCAAACCACCCTCCTGGTTCCACTTATATGATGGCTGCATGGAAATGCTGGGTAACAGAAGAGGATTATGTAATGTGGAAAAAGTGAAAGTTGGCACTGCACAGCAAGGCTTCATCTTTGAAGCAGGAGTGATTCAATAGGAAAGATCATCTGCTGGTTGTGGTTCCTGCTTAAATTAAAGATGCTGGAGGAAGCATGAGAAGTGGACCCATGCCAAGTCTCTGTACCACAAGGTGAGGTAAAATGTTGGAATTTTTCAGCTAACATGAGCCACAAGAACAGTCAAAGTAGATGATAATCCTTGTCCAAAAGTATAGCTTTTAAGACTGAATTACTCTGGCTGTAAATTCACCAGTTTATCAGCAAGTTCCTTGTAAGAGTCATTTGCAACTTTAATTATCCGAATAACCAATTCGATAATGCATTTCACTCTGGCCATATGGAGAAAGACTTAGCTTCTATAGTCCCTAAACAGATGTCAATGCAGTTATATTTCACAGTATTTTATATTATAAAGGTACTTGCACCAGAGGGGAAGGTAATTAACATTGCATTAGGTTATCTTGTTTATTTAATCAGCAGTATCAACTGCCCCTTTATTAAGCTATGAGAGTCAACATAAAACAAAATAAACTAGTGTTTTGATCTTATTTTCATAAATATGCTCCTACCTATTAAATCAGGAATACAAAACAATATATTCAATTTAATTTGAAATAGAATTTTCAACTGGAAAGTCAGTGTAATTGAAGTATGATGTGTTTGGGTACAAGAGCCCCCTAGGTATTGCCTAAAATCAAGCAGTAGATATAACTTTCCACAAGAAAAGCCCCAAAGAGGCTAATTAGATAGAAACATGGAATACTAGGAAGAGTAAAATGGGATATGTGGAATTTTTTGAAGATTTTGAGTCAATTATGCAACCATAAGACAGGAGCCATGGGAAAAAGTGGAGAAAGAAACATAGTTGTATGCAAGAAGTTGTATGCAGTGTTATTGTAACACCAAGGGAGTGTTAGAATAACCACAGGTGAGTGGAGTGGTCATAATTAGTCACTGCTCATTTGTGTCATCAGTCATCCCAGTTGTTTTGACACAACGTAACCTTTGGTCATAGCTTTCTTTCACTCTTCTGGTTTTCACATATGACTTTGTTTAGAGAACTGGCCTGCACACTCAGGCCACTAGGCTCTTCAGGGACATCAGTAGAGATGCTCCCAGGGCCACCAAAAGGCAAGATTTAATTCATCATTGCGGAAGAGTGAATGAAATTCACTTTCATCTTACGGGTGAGGGAAAAAGAAAGGTGCCTAGGAATTATACTGGTGGGGCTCCTGGGTGGCTCCCAGGAACCTTGGCTAGGTAATTTAGCTATGCCAATTAAGTTGTGGCCACTGACCCAACTTCAGGCATTTGCCAAGTCAGGCTCAAGTTCTTCCCTAAGCTCCACATGGGTTTAGTTCAGACCAGACACCCTAGCCATGCCTCAGAATATTTCAGAACAGCTTGTTCTGAAAACTTAGGCTTGTTAATGTAAGAGATGTCTCTGCTGATGTCTGGAAGATTGCCCAAGGAGAGAAACATGTTTAGTCAAAACAGGGAAGAAAGGACCCAAAAAGATCATGAGTAATCAATAAAGTCATGTGAATACACAAAGAATTTTTCAAAGAACTTGCATGCATTCTCACACGACTAACTCCTTGGTCTTTATATTGCTGTTAGTCACAAATTCTCTTTCTAGAGCAGGCCAGAAGAGTTAAGAGAAAACCAAACCAAGTGAATCATGGAACCACCCTGATTTTCACAAATGATTATCGAGAATTTTTCTGCTTAAGGCACAGGGCTAGGCATTATGTGCTGCGTATAAAGTAAATAAAACAGATACGGCTCTTGCTTGTTCTGAAAATTTGGGATTGCTCTTAACTAAAACATTAGCAAATACACCCAAGCAGGATAGTTACAATATATCCTAATAGAATAGAATATATTCAGATAATACAAGGATGGTTCAATAATAGCAAAACTGTTAACTAACCATAGTACTAGGTCAAAGGAAAAATGCCACTCGATCTTTTTTTACAGGTGCCAAAGATCCATTCAATAAAAAGTGCTAATAAAATAGTCCTGTAAGTAGATAAAATTAGACATATTCTACTTACAAAAAATAATAATATAAAATATCTGAAATACACTTAGCAAAAAAAAATTAAGATTTATAAAGAAAACTTCAAAATTCTACTTCTAAAAATAAAACCTGAATAAATAAGAACCAGCTCGGGTAGAGATATTTAGTATTGTAGAGTTACTAAATTCACCCTAAATTGATCAGTGAAAAGTGATCTTAATCACAATAATAATTTCTCCCTCCCCACCCCTTTCTCTGTCTCTTCTTTCCTTTTTTTAGAACTTGACAAGCTGGTTAGAAAAAGTCTGTATGAAAAAATAAACTAAGATACAGATTAAGTTATAAAGGCTCAACTGAAATTTTTTTAAAAATAAGAATTCTGATGAGTGGACTACTTCCTACAGAGATTAAAATGTAAAACTACAGCAATATAACGAGATTTTTTGGCGTAGATAGACAACATAAGAAATAGCAGAGTCCAGAAGTAAGCTTTAATATCCAAATAGACTCATGTAGATATTTAGTATATGATAAAGGAAAGCTTTGCAAACTGGAGAGGAAAACTCCAATAATTCAAACAAATGGTTTTGGAACAACTGACTAATCATTTTGGAAACAAAATAAGGCCATACCACTCCTTTCTTTAGATAGCACAATGATTTGATACATATATTTAAAGAGTAAAGCTAATAAAGTACTAGAAGAAAATGAGAAAATTTGATAAAATTATTTCTAAGCCATGCAATGAACACAAAAGCCAGACAGGAAATATATAATAAATTTAAATCCATAAAATTAAAGCATTTTGTATGGCAAAAACTAGAACAAGCTGGGAAAAATATTTCCAACACCCATAATAAAAAGTAGCTAATTTTCTTAACATTAAAATCTTATTATTTTAAATATTATAGATCAATAGTAATTAATTTAATTATAAATAAATATTTAAATATTATAAATCAAGAAGACAATGACTAATAATGCAAAGAAAAATGGGAATGAGGAAAGATATAAACTTCCAGTTTATAAAAAAAAAATGGCTTTTAAACATGAAAGATACTCAACTTACTCAAAGGTAAGACAACAAAAGGAAGGTGGATTTTTTCACCTATCAAATTGGCAAAGATGAAAATGTTGAATAAGCAGTGTGGTCAAGGGTACAGAGAAATAGGCCATCTTACATACTGCTGGTAGGTCTATAAATTGGTATAAATTCTTCAGGGGGCAGCTTAGGAATGTGTGTCAAATCTTAAATGCACATATATCTTGACCCAGCAATTATATTTTTAAAAAGTTATCCTATTATACTCATTCACTTCTGCAAAGTGAAATCTATATCTATCTAATACATATATTTCACTTCAACATTCCAGCCAAAACAGAGAACCTAAATATTTATCAATAGGAGACTTAATAAATAGACTTATAGTTTTAGCTGTGTTAAGATAGAAAGATGTCCAAGGTATTAATACGTTATTAAGCTTAAAAAGGAAAAATAAATTAGTATTATTCTATTTGTTAAAAATTAAGACATCAAATATATGCTTGTATATGAATACACTATTTCTGTAAGGACATACAAGAAGCTGTTAACTATAGTTATCTCTGAGAATTGGGGCTGAGAATTTGAAGGGTTATGGAAGAAACCTTTTTCTTTTATCTTTATATATTATTTGATTTCTTGCTATGCAAATTTGTTGCTTTTATGACAAAAAAATTTCCTTTTTTGCTACACTGTACTTCTAAACAAAAATCTCATGTGTAGTAGTATTGTTTTGGATAAAGTCTGACTTGCTAAAAATGTTGAATTTACCATTGAAACCCTCACTTACCTGAATAAAACAACCTCTGATCTTCATGAAATACATTTAAGTGGTAATCTGGTATTTAAAGACTCTTTTCAAAAGAATTAATTTCAAAATCCAAGAACTGGATAAATTTTAAAATACAGTTTTTTAAGATAAATATTATTTTCCAAACAATATCACTGACAAACTTATTTTTTATATATATATACACACGCACACGCACACACACACACACACACACATATATATATATAGTATAATTTTAAAAATACCAGTAAAGACCTAAAAGTAATAAAGGCAGTGTTGCAGTGATAACTTGAAGAAGCTGATGAAACTTCTATTACGGTACATTACCTGGGAATGGGTAAGATTTTGAGACTTTATAGGGAGTGAAAATAAAAGCAAGCCTGTGAATATGACATATTCCAGATGGAATCCTGTTTTTAAAGAATGGTCCTTTTTTTAATGCACTATGGCCGCTTTTGTTGTCATTCAAATAATAGTACCATTTAATTATCATATAATTACTCTGTAATCTTGGTTTAAAAGTGGCTTCAAATTTTGGTGTTTTTTTCTATACGTAGAGTCTTAGCAAAGCCATTTAAAAATTCAAATACAAAATAGGTACAGTACTAAAATGCAATCACCATGTTTCTTAAAATCTCATGATTTAAGAGAGTTTTTGAGCATTTTCTGGGAATGGAACCTCTATGGAGCCACTACGCCTATAAGGCCTCCTGATAATACTGATCAGATGTTTCAACTTGGACTTAATGAATAAAGAGGGAGAACAGCCAGTCCCCTATTATGCAGTACAGCCAGATGACAATTGGTAATCAAGAATAAAGATTAATAAGTGAATCTCAATTTTTATCTAAAGTATAAAATTAGGAACTCAATAAAATATGAAGTCTATAGATATTCCTCAAATTTTTTTAATTCATTGAATTTTTCTTGTGTTAGACAAAGCAATAATATGGTTTCTAGAAATATTGGATTTTGCTAATGCAAATTGAAGTTAGAGATGGACAAAACTATATCTGTGACAACTTGCTCTATCCCTCAATGTCTTCAGTTAGAACAAGACCCTATTAATCAGATGGAATGATCAATAATCTGAGCGTAATGGGAGAGAATGTATCCAAACCTTCTGGAAGGGAATAAACTAAACTGTTTTACTCTCATCTGCTTCATTAATCAATGTTAGCCCAGAGAGGATGCGAGGGATATCTAAAAAAGCTGGCCACGTGTCACCGAGTAGAAATCATTCTAGATATGGAAAGAGGGGCTCTGGCTCTGCTAGGAGTCATCTGACTGATTAGGGGTCAACTAATGAATCTCTGGATAATCCAGTTTCTTATTTGAGAAATGAAGGGATTGAGTTAGGTTTCTAAGAGCCTTTTTAGCTTTTAGTCCATAAATAACATTTGTTGCCACCTTTGTCTGGAAACGTGTATTAATACAATGGTAGGGAATTTGAAGAAATAGGTGGTCACTCTGTCGTCACTTAGGACTATTTCAGCACATATGGGGAGACACTGCCTTTCAGTGACTTCCCCAAAAACATGTAGAATGATTGATGCATGCAAACACACTACAAGCACTTTTATTCACCACTATATTATGCAGCACCTAGCACAGTGCTACTATAAGTAGCCTCTGTCACAATTACTCAACCCTGCCATTTTAGTGCAAAAAGCAGCCATACACAATATGTAATGAATGAGCATGGCTGTGTGCCAAAAAGCTTTATTTACTTTATTTACAAAAGCATGCAGCTGCCTGGATTTGGCCTGTGGGTTGTAGTTTGCCAACCCTTGCTCTAAATCATTAGCGGAGAAAGAATAACAGCATGATGTATTATAAAAGCAGCCAATCCAGATGGCTAAAAATATTTTGGCTTTCCAGAAATTAAAAAGAAAATCTAGTCATGTGGAAAATCTGCTAGTGCAATTTGGGGAACATGCTCATGTGGGATTCTGATTCAGCTGTGGCTCTTGTCTGCAAGCAGAAAGCCATCAGATGGGGGTGGATTTAAGCACCATCCAAGGAATACCAGGTCCATTTGTAGACTGGCCTTAGGCTTTGTGATTGGTCCAATTAATTTCCCTCAAACAAGTTTCATACAAACCTACTACATCAACCAAATTTTGAAGTTAAGAACAAAAGGAGCATGTTGAAGCAGTATGATCTATGGTATATATTCCATGGTCACTTCAAATGAGTTTTGTGGATTTCTTTTTTTTTTTTTTTTGAGACAGGGTCTTGCTTTTTAGCGCAGGGTAGAGTGCAGTGGCATAAACATGACTCGCTGCAGCCTCGACCTCCCTGCTCAAGTGATCCTCCCACCTCAGCTTCCCTAGTAGCTGAGACTGCGGGCATATGCCACAGTGACCCTCTAATTTTTAAATTTTTTGTAGAGATGAGGTCTCACTATGTTGCCCAGGATAGTCTTGAACTCCTAGGCTCAAGCAATCCTCCCACCCCAGCCTCCCAAAGCTGGGATTATAGGCGGGGGACCACGTTTTAATCCTGATTTAGATCATCCTTTGATGGAGACATCTTTGAAACAACTTGGGGAATTAGGTATTAGATGGTATTAAGGAATTTCAGTAAATTTTGTTAGGAGTGAAAAATAACATGGTAATTATGTAAAATAATATTTATCATTTATAAATGTATATTGAAGCATTTATGTCATTATAGGTGACACAATGTCTGAGATTTGCTTGAAATGCTCCAGCCCCATTCCCCTCACCTCCCCAAATCACATGCAAGTTAAATAAAACAAGACTGGCAGAATGTTGATCAGTTTTAGAGTCAGACTTGCTATTATGTCCATATTCAGCCAAGCTTCAAACACGCCTAGCGGTTTCTTTTTTTTGTTTTGTTTTTTCTCTAGGAATGGTCTCTGTCTTGGTAAATTCGCATTTCCTTGATTCACCAGTTTTCCTTTAAGCCAGCAAATTTCTAACTCCATTTGTCTCCTCTTGTTGTCCTCATAAGGGTATTGAGATGGGATCCTATAAATAGAACCATTTACCATGCTTCTATATAAGACCAGGGTCTATTTTCTTAGTCATCTCAGGATGCCCATCTTAACTTATATTTTTTTTTCCTGAGAAGCATTTCAATTTGTTTTGGATTTGTGGTTGAATTTCCTGATATATAATTCTGTCTAGAAAAGGACTTTAGAAATCTCTTGAAGATGCAGTTTCAACCTTTAAGTTTATAACTCCACACTGACAGATAATTAATATTTAGCCCATTTCTTCACAGTAGACATTAGAGAATGTGCTCTATATGACAGGAAGCTGCTTTCTGTATACAGAACTTTTGGGTTTTTTTTTTTTGTCCCCATTCCTCCCAGACACTGCTGATACAGTAAGGTTGTTTCACTATTTACTTAGAATTCTGTATGTCATACCAATCATTCACAACAATCTTTAAGTTCACATTTTAAAATACGCCACATGCCATTCACACCTTAGATAAATATCAGCTAACACTGAGTCATGAATCATACTTGTGTTTACAGATCCATTGGGAGGGCAGCTATCTTGATAATCCATATTTGCTGAGCATCTATGATAGGCTAGGTTCTGTGCTTCATGCTTCACAAACACCGTCTCACTAATGGTAGTTAATAGTAATAAAGGCAGTTATTATTATTACAAAGATCATGTATTAGGCATCGGCTATGTTTCATCTGGCATATTTCCCCTTTAAACAGACAAAAGCCCTGATGTTGCTGGGGCTATTTTTAAGTGAGGCTGAGTAACTTACTCAAGTTTACTCAGTTATTAAGTGGTAAACTCTGACTCCCAGACCTTTATCCATCAGTCATTTGCATATAACTTGCATAATTTTTGCCATTCTGCATACCATTTGTACAATTATTTACAAAATATTTTTTAAATTGACATATTTTTCTTTACATATACACAGCCAAAAAGGAAACTAAATATTACTGTCATACATGAAAAACTGATATTATTTGCCACAAAAAGAAGGTAACCATATAAATAAATACAGTGAAATGTTGTTCTCTGCAGCCTGGGACTGGCTCCACTCTGATGTGCAGACTGATTTTAAAATGGTTCTCCTTGTAACTTCCATTACCCCATGGAGTCTACCACATAGATTATCTTGTGTACCCTCTGTGGCTTGGGTCCCACACTTTAGGCTTTATTTAATACCATTCAATGTGGCTTCACATAGGTGAGGATATTATGGATCATGGATCTCTGATGGAATGGAAGTAAATTACAGTCATGCCCTGGCAAACACACTACTGCAAATAACTAGATAAGAAAACACACATAAATAAGAATTTAATGAATAAATGGGTTGATTGTATTTTTTGGCAATACATTTTGACGATGTTTAGTTTTCCAGTGAGAGAGTTTTTTTATAGCTATATATAAAATAATATATGTGTGTATGTGGGATATATATAATTATACATACATATGCAACACATATATATGTATCATTCTGTTTATATTGGGAAGGCTTATGCTGTGCATATGCCTCCCGAAGATTATGTATGCCTAAACTAAAACAGTCCTATAAATTATACTTGCATAGGCTATAGTCTTGATTTATGTATAAGAGGTCAATTCATAAGCAATTATAAATGGAATGTCAATCATAGTCATTATCTGGCTGAGCAATGAACATTTATTAACTAGTATGAAAAATTCCTCTTGGTAGTTTTCGGCTGGCATGTATGTGGATGGAAGGTTAAGAGTGTTAAATCAATTTCACAAGCAATGAGAAGCCTATAATTTAAATGTCTTTATTCAATTGAGTATTGTAGGAACTTTGGTCTAAAAACATGAAGCTCTGTAGGTCAGGATCCAAAGTCTTTGGATATTAAAAAAGTTCAAAACCTTCATTTTTATGAGAAAAATTTCCTATTTAAAAGGCAACATGATTTGGTAGAAATATAAGTGATTTTTGAGTCAGAGAGACCTAAGTGAAAATCCCAATTTTTAACCTACAAGCCAGGTGACCTTATCTATGCATTTGGTCCCTTGTTTAGCAAGTGAGGGTAGTAGCTCCTTTATCAGAGGATTTTTGTAAGATTAAACAAAAAAATTAAAAATGATTAAGCCTAGTGCTTGGCTGATCATATCACGGTTTTATTTATTCAGGGGCCAAACGCTAAGTGCTAGGTGCTAGGGACACAGCAGTAAATAAGGCAGATATGATTCTCCCCTCAAATAAGCCAGATTAAGAAGATCATATTATGTGTCATGAAAGCAATTGGGAAATAAATCCAATGAGAGAGACAGTAAGTGGTGGGCACAGTAGCTAGCAATAGTTTCTCTGAGGAAGCAGCATTTAATCTGAGAACTGACAGTTGAGATTGAGCAAGATGTGGGGAGAATCAGGAGATGGCATTTTAGGGGCAGGGAGGGGTCTTGGGCAGGCCATTACTGGAGTCTGGGTAGAGATGACAGTGAATTGGGTTAGGGAGGTAACAGGGCAGATTTATCTGAATCTTGCGATAACTATTATAAACTCCCTTTCTCCTAAAATAAACAGAGAATTAATATCATTGAACAATTTCCACTAAGTATAAATTAAAATGAAGAAAGCAAAAACGCTTCTTGATATAAAACACAGGTTCTTAAGATCTTGGAGCCTCTTGGCCTTCTTTTCTATGAATTATTTTTCTTCCTGACCAGGCCCTTGCATCAGATATGTTTCTATGACAAATGGAGCTGCTTTGGATTTGATTATTATTTTCGTTTAGTATTGCTTGTCCAGATTCTTGGTAATAAAACTTTTCAGAGCTAATATTAAAAAAAAAAGATTGAATGTTCTCTTCTTCCCTTATGGGATACTCTCACTCAACTGACTCATAGGTAAACATATTGAATCAGAGAAATTAATTGCTGTATTGTGGTGTCTTTGCCATGGGGAAGTGCAGTTCTTGAGTGGCTTGCTGAGCAGCCATGAAAATTGTTAAGTGAAAGGTATGAGACAGAGAGGCCAATGGAGAAAACAACTCTGTTTGCACCCTTTTCTCTAGGTTCTTTCTAATGCTGGCTTAATTTGGGGAAAGATCAATGAAAAAGCAAACCCTTGGTTTGGTTGCCAGAGAAAGGGTGGTGAAGGTGTTCTCTCTGTGGGAACACTATTGGGTGTCCATGCATTTGAAAGGACAGGTAACTTATACCATCAGTCATTAGTTTCCTTCCACTCTTGTATTTTTGGGGTTCCAGCCTGTGGACCACCTTCTTTTCTAGTTGCCTTTCACTTGCCTTGGAGTATTGATCTCCAACACCCTGCTAGACATACTGGTCTTGGATTGTTATTTAATTTCAGAAAACCAGTTCTCAGTGATGAGAGCAAAGTCTTTCCTCTTGCAGGCATGATAAGGTAAGAATTGCTTGCTTTTTAATAGCTCTAGTTGCCTTGGAATGGATTTCAAAGCAACACTGGAGGGTAACCACTGGTCTGAAATAGCCCACCCCAGCCCTCCCAACCTCCTTCCCTACTTTGGTATATTTATATAGTTGTAGGTATAAGGGCATTTGTTCATACCTCAGCATTGCATTGTTCATTTTTTTCAGATGATTGGAACACCTGGAGTATAAGTGGAGTAAAGAGTACAGAAGAAATGCCTCTGGCGGAAAGTACGAGCTTCCCATAATGATCTACAATGAGTTTGGTAGAACTTCTTCCCTTTTGTCCAAATGCCTTGGACCTGCTTTAATATGCTGCTAAGTGTTCCTTTATTTCATTGTGAGGGTAGATGATGTGCCTTTGCACGTCCGTGTGCACACTCAGCATCCTCCTAAGTGCCTGGTGCCCAGTGGGTGCTCAATACATGCTTGTTGAATAAAAGAATATGACAAGTCCAAAATGTATTTTCCAACTTACTTTCTGTAGTCTTCTGTGCCTCAGATGCTAAATAGGTTGAAAAGGCATAGATTTGTTTTGTAGAACTAAAAAGACATTTTTAAAGGTTCAATATGGAATCATTAAACAAGTTCTAGTTATTCTATATTAAAAATATCTTTAAATAATACATTTTTGGATTCCAGGCATCTGAGTTTAAAACTAATTGCAAATAATCCCCATTTTCTTTAAGCTAATCCATTGTATATCTGGGTTAAAAAAATACAGAGAAATGATTTTGTTGACAAAAGACTTGGCCACTTTTCATAATGAGATTACCAGAGATAACAAAGAATGTATTTCTTAAAATCTATTTTAAAAATGCATTTTCAGTAAGCAGAGACTGTTTTTTTCTCCCCTTTGCTCATTCTTTTTCTAATGGTTGTTTCCTTCTCTCTCTCTTTTTTTTTTTTCTGAGATGGAGTCTTGCTCTGTCACCCAAGCTGGAGTGCAGTGGTGTGATCTCTGTTCACTGCAACCTCTGCCTCCTGGGTTCAAGCAATTCTCCTGCCTCAGCCTCCCAAGTAGCTGGGATTACAGGTGTATGCCACCACGCCCAGCTAATTTTTGTATTTTTAGTAGAGATGGGGTTTCACCATGTTGGTCAGGCTGGTCTTGAACTCCTGACCTCATGATCCACCCACCTCGGCCTCCCAAAGTGCTGGGATTACAGGAGTGAACCACCACACCCAGACTCCTTCTTTTATCAGTATCATCTGTTGAACTCCTACTGACTCTCAAAAGCCCAGTTCAAGTGTTTTCTCTTTTATGGAGGTGTTGTTGTTCTTCCTCCTCTCCACTGCCAGGCTGAACAAACCCCTCCCTTCTCTGCACTTTGAACAAACACATCATACTGCAACAGCTTGTATATTTTCCAATTTCCGCTCCAGACCAGGGGTCAGAAACTGTGGAGTCCTAATTAGGGAAAAGGAGTCAGGCTGGTGGGACCAGGAGAAAGGAAAAAGAGAAAGCAGATAAGCCATAAATTTGCCTTTCTCCATGATCCAGGACACGCAGCCCTCCTGTGCCCATCTTATCACCAGACATCTGCAAGTTAGCTCACTGCAACCTTGGCATTATCAGTACTGCACAAAGCCCTCTTCAGCATACACCATAAACACAATTCAATAAAATCTCCAGCAAGCCTCTGTTTCCTTGCAGTCAGCTCCTCTTCTGCTGATTTGCCCATTGCCATCTCACAACGTATTTTCATACTTTCTCTAATAAATCTGCCTTTCTTTATGTACAACTGTCTTAGGAAATTCTTTTACCCATGTGCCACTGGCCTAGACAGTCGTTGCTCCCCCGTGACAGAAGTGATGGCCCACAAGCCAAATCCAGCCTGTTGTCTTGTTTTGGGGAGAGGGGAGTCGGTGAATTAAGAATGGCTTTTACATTTTTAAATGATTGGAAAAAAAAGGAGAATGAGATTTCATGACATGTTAAAAACACTACAAGATTCAATTCTGTATCATCTGTAGTTACTTTTGTGCTATAATGGCAGAGTTGAGTTGTTGTGACAGAGACCATACGTGGACTGCGAAGCATAAGACAGTTACTGTCTGACCCTTTATAGAAAAAAACTGTGCTAACATCTGCTCTGTGGGCAGGGATCATTGTATTGTGGTCATGTAGCATGTAACATTTATTGTTACCATATGCTGAGCATTGTGCTAAATAATTCATGTGCTTTATCTTATTTAATCCCCAAGAACTCTATGAGGTAGGTGCTACTATTATTTCTGCTTACAGATGAGGAAACTGAGGCACAGAGCTGTTGAGAACCTCTCCTAAAGTTTCTAGAGTAGCAATTTGTAGATTTTTGATTCAAATCAAGCTCTTCTTGCCTCCAGTCAAGGCTCATGGCTACCACTCTATTTAGCCCCAATATTGTCCCCACCAATCACTGTTACCCAGGTGCTGAGGGCAGTACCTGGCAATGCTTGTGAAATAAATTAGTTACATTTCCTCCCTATTGTCCCCAGCTGTATTCCTGTGTTTAGGGGGAGAGACGTGGTTTCCTTCCCAAGTCAAACATAGGCCTCCATTACTTTTGCTGGGTAGAATGAGGGCCATAGCTCATAGATGGATTAATTAATCTATTAATGGTATATAGTGGACATATCTCATGAGCTAGGGTCTGTGCCTGGGCTGAAATGTAGATGTGGAGAAGCTCGAAGTCTAGAGATACATCCTTGAATATTTGAAGGAGGAGGCAGAAAGCTCTCTATGGATCCTGGGAGTCTGACTCTGGTAGGGTAGTTGAGTAGCAGACATGAGATTTCAGACAGTTCACATAGTGGCTTCATGTCAAATATTCTTCCCCTGTTTTCACATGAGAGACCTTATTAGTTTTATTTATGGTTTAAAAAATCTAACAGCTTTACTGAAGTATAATGATTATATAAAAACTGTTTATACTTAATGTATAGAATCTGATGGTTTTGAACACATGCATATACCTGTGAAAGAATCACCACAATCAAAGAAGGAAACATATCCATCACCTCCAAAAGTTTCTTCCTGTCCCTTCCCTGCTTTTGTGGAAAGAACCCCTAACTTGAGATCTGCATGTTCAAGTGCACAATACAATAGTGTGAACTATAGGCACTGTGCTGTACAGCAGGTCTCTAGAACCTCTTCATCTTGTATAAATGAAACTTTATACTCATTGTTCAATGGGTATTGATGTTTTAAGGATTTTCCCCTTAAGAGGAAGATTTAGTGATGAGTCCAGATGGCACAGTGGCTGCTGATGAAACAGTGAGGACTTTCTACTTTCTCCACAACTTCCTGCTCTTATGCTCAGGGGGGAAAGGGCAGATGGACACTCCTCGGTCCCCTGTCACTACTTGGGTATTTACTGCAACACTTGATTATGGGGATTTCTCTAACGACGAGATGTAGCATGAGGGCCAGTGGGACCGGGCTAGGAAAGGGTGGGGACATCCACTGATTAGTTATATGACCTTAAAACTTAAAATACTTCCTGTGTTTTAGTTTCTTGTGAAATGGGGATAATAATAACTACCTTGTAGGCTTGTGAGGACTAAATGGGATACATAAAAGGATCTTAGCACAGTCCCTTTGGCATTATAAGTTCTCAAATATCCGCTGCTACTGCTACTCAGGCAGCCGTTACTCCCACCATGGTTACTACAGTATCATTTTTATTAGATTCCAGAAATTGAGCCATGAAAAGAGCAGGAAATGTCAGGATAGGAACATGTGCTGAGTGTTGGAAGAACGTGCTGACCAGTAATGAATCATTATAGAAGTTTCATAGCGTGCTATTGGCTGGAATGTTCTTCCAGGCAAAATATTATCCAGAGATCCCTACCTGAGACCTTTCTGGGCTCCAGCTTATAGGAATCTGGTCAAAAATCAAGTCATTGTGCTTGAAGAATAACATACTTTCTTTCACTTAGTCCTCTCCACTATATTATAAAGTGGGTTGTTTTTGTTCATTTGAAGAAACTGATCCAACACTGGTCTGTTGCTGGCCTGTGATCACTCGGCCAGCGAGTGGCAGTCAGGATACAGGTGGTTCCCTCTCCAAAGTTCAGGCTGTTAGCTATTATGAACTCTCTTTACTACACAATATCAAGTCAAGGGTGATAGGGACTTCCTTGTATACTTTAGATTTAAAATAAAGCAAAATTATTTAGGAAGGCAGAACATACCACTTTTAGGCAAGAAAATGCCTAATCAAGAATATGAAAGAACCTGTTTTGTTTCTCTTTCTGTCCCCTCTGCAAGTAAAAGGAAAAGTAAGGTTCTACTCTTGGGTTTTTCTTCTGTATTTTACATCCCAACCTGAGGCAGAGCGAGGAACCCGGGAGAGCTATGCAAGGGTGATGCCTAAGAGATTTGTCTAAGAAGAAGCTAACAGGACTAGCAATAAGGAACATAGATAATAATGACTACTAATAATTTAATCGTAATATGCTTTTCCTTGAGTATTTACTATGTGCCAGACATTGTGCTAAATATTTTACATGTATCAGCTGATTTCATTCCTCTAACTACCCCAAGAGGCAGGCATTAATACCTCCATTTTGCAGCTGAGAAAACAGGATCAGAGAGGTTGAGAATCCTGCCCATGGTTGCATGGCTGCCTTGGGGTGGACACAGATGCGCTGAGTCCACAGCAGAGGCTCACAAGCAATGGCAATAGATATTTAGAGGCCAGGTCTGAAGGCAGTGGAGTGGTGCTCCGTCCTGCCTCTTATTGGAGTTGTTTTCATAGAGTAGGTAAAAGAAATAAGGTTACTTAATCAGACCTGAAACTTCTGGATAAATAGAGTCATGGGGTTCTCCAGCTGAAATAATCTGGCCAATGGTTCTTAAATCTGAGCATGAGCTCAAGAATTTGCATGTTATATTAATTTCTTGGTCAGAGCTACCTAATTTGTGGGACCCAGAGCTTGCACACACACACACACAAACACGCACACACACATACATGCACACACACACACCCACATGTGCGCACGCGTGCACACACACACACTCTGAAGATGCGGGTCCCTTATTCAAAAAGCAGGAAAAGTTTTCATTAAATAAGATAATAAAAGATAAAAACTGTTTCCTATTTTCCATGATCTCTTTCAACCAGTCATGACATTTTTATTTGTTTTTGTTTAATGTCCTAAGAAAAAAATAGTAAATTATTAACAAGAATTGTATTATTCATCTGTAGATTATACAACGTCAATTTTCAAGAGCATTTAACTTGTCTGAGGAGTCACTGAAAGTATGCAATTCATCCTTAATAGCTCGTACATACAGATGTATTCCATTCTTAATGGAAGAGTAGAGCTGTGCCATATAACTGATTCTGCTGTTTTTGTTTCACTCCTTGATGTGGACACATTCCAGAAAAGTTGGCTTCCATTCATTTACTGATGGGTAAGGAAATACTGACAGGACGAGGAACCATAAGTTGCCTTAGTCAAGGATTAAGGATTTCCTTCTTTGAGTGTAAGCAGTGGCTAATACACAAGTTAGAAAGAATATGATAGGCTTCTTTGGTGGTTCATGTTTCTTAGAATGCTTTCTTTTTGGGTTCAAGCAAAGTTCTGGTTCAAATGAAAAATGTGACTTCTCTGGGCTGTCAGTAACCCCTCCAGTTCCCTTTCTGCCCCCGTTTATTCAGTTATTGAAGTGACACGCTTACTTTATACTCTGAATCTCATGCATATGGGGCCACTGAAATTCTGTGCTCATGGGCCGTTGTAAATGTTATCTGTAAATGGGGCAGCAAGAACTGCAGGTACACATATTGCATATATCTCTGCTCACACTCATTCACCATGTGTCCCATGAATGTCCCAGTATCTCATTGAACTTTACCTACCAATATCAAGTTACAGGAATTTCAATGTGGTTATAGCATTGAACCAACTATGAGGCCCTTGTGGATGTCAGGGCCTTGTGTTCAGGTGATGATGATGCCACTGGTCTGGGGACCACATTATAAGAATCCTTGATTTAGATAATTTCCATAATTTTCCTGTTCACTTTGAATGTATAGATTCAAAAACAGGCAACATTTTGCTTATTATCCCAACAACAAAGGCTTTCAAAGTTTTTCCAAAAGAATCGGATTGCTTCCCAAACAAATGACTCCTACAAAATAACATTCTAATGAGTTAAAGGGCAGGAAAATAAGAAACATCTAAATTGAATTTGTTCAAAAATACATACAGTTTCCCAAAAGTAAAGGCCTGAGGCGAAATTGGAATCATGTTTTACTGAACCCAAAAGTTTGGAAAAATGCTGGAATATACTTAGCTGGACTCAAGATGCCTGAAAGCATTCCCTATTTCTAGAATTTCGTTTTGGCAGGTTAGCTTCTGACCTGAGCTTGTTCCACCAAAGGGTACAGGATTTCAATAGCACAGAAGAGAGGCTATTTCCAGAGTTAAGATTCTTATTTCTCGTTAATTTTCTCCTACTTTTTTAGGTTAATATAATTAGCTCAAGCTATTTCTGTCTTCTTAGCAAGGAAGAATTTCCCTCTTCTTCACCCACATTTATTTTTTCTTCTTTGGTATGATCCAAGGATAAAATTGGCAAATTCCAAAGCAAACTCCCTGAGTTCTGAGGCTTATCCCTTCACCTTGACAGAATATTTTCACTCTCAGCAAATGTGAACTTTTGTTGCAGATTTGAAGCAGTTTCTGTGCAAGACTGGAGCTCACACATGAAGCCAACTCTGAGGAAGTACAAAGTGTTGTCCCCAATCCTCGTAATATCCAGGTACATCACACATCTTTCAAATCCTGTCATCTGGTCCAGCTAAGGACTAGGGAGATCTAATCAGAGGTTTTTGACTTGTTTTAAGCTTATGGGTATGAAGCATTAGCAGATTTACACTTGACCAAGTTGTTTCCTCTTCTGTGGGAAAATGTTTTTCCCTCCTCTCCTTCTGTCCTTTCGGCTTTTGTCTGATTTTGCAAACACACTGCTTTCACCTCTTTTCTGATACTGTTTCCTTCCATTCTTAGGGCTCCAGTCAAGAAAATGAATGCATGATTCCTCATTCTATGGTCTTAAGTAAATATTATAGTTTTCATTGTTATGGGGTTTTTATACTTCAGTGGTTTGGAATTGACCTGAACTAAGAGGCACAAACAGCTTTGCTACTAAATTTGTGTGACCTTATGTGAACTTGGGTAATTTGCAACATTTCTGAACTTCACTTTTATTATGAATTGCACAGGAATACCATCACCTATCTGAAAACAAATGTTCTCAAACACTGGGTTATGTATTAAAATGAAGATTTCATACCCTACTCTCAGAGTTTGATTTAGTATGTGTACCAGAGACATTTGCTATTCACTAAACAGGCAAGGACTGTTTGGCAAGGCCAAGGGCTATGAGGAAAAGTGACTTCATGTAACCATTTTTCCAAAGCATTTTAGAGCTGCTACTTGATGATCTCAGCGTTCTTTTCCATTTGCCATGTGTTCCAGTTGCATACTAACAGGATGGAAACAGCCTGGATCCCTGAATCACTACTTGGAAGGGAGGTGTCATAGAAAGTCATTAGACCTATGGTGGACTTTGAGTAAAGAATGAGCTTTTAAATACTAATAAACAGATATTTGAGGGGTGAGCTTGTTTCTGTAGCATAAACTAGCTAATGACAAAACCAGCATATGATGCCACATATGGGTGTTGCTGTGTTAGGCTGTTCTTGCATTACTATAAAGAATTACCTGAGACTGTGTAATTTATTGAGTTTTAATTGGCTCATAGTTCTATAGGCTACACAAACATGGTGCCAACATCTGCTACGCTTCTGGTGAGGCTTCAGGAAGCTTACAGTCATGGTGAAGCAGGAGCAGGCATATCACATGGTGAGAACAGGAGGAAGAGAGAGAGGGTGGGGAGGTCCCAGACTTTTAAACAAGATCTCATGTGAAATAACTGAGCAAGAACTCACTCATCGCCAAGGGGATGGCACTAAGCCCTTCATGAGGGATCCATCCCCATGATCCAATGTCTCCCCACCAGGCCCCAGCTCCAACATTGGGAATCACATTTTGACATGAGATTTGGAGGAGGAAAACATCCAAACTGTATCGGCTACCATAACAAAGCCCCATTGTATGTGGCTTAGCAGTCAGGTGACAGGCAGAGGAAATTGGTAATGGAGACTAAAAACGTGGAGCTGATGCTAGTCAGTAGAAAAAAAATGTAGGAACTCTCACCTGTGATAATTTAGAAAAGGAACCACATGAGTACTGAGATGGCAGCTCAAGGGGAGTGTTTTAGAAGATATAAAGTAGTAGTATGGTTTGGCCACTATTGGCTGCAGTCAGCAAAGTACTATTTTAAAAAAGGGAGGGAGACATGCACACACTTTAGAACGAATTGGTACAAATCAAAGGCCACAGAGTCCAGAAATGCGAGGCGTTAAAAGATTGGAAAACCCACTGCATTTGAACCACAAACTGTGAGAAATGTGATATAAAATAGCCGTGAATAACAAATGCCCAGAAACAGATGATTCAAATGATTCGGGGCTAATATTGGATTTGGTGTGTTGCCATTAAGTTCAAAGGCATCCACAAAGAAATAAAGCAGTTTTGAAAGCCATATCTCAAACAAAACCTGTAGATGTTACTGGCAGATGGGACTAAATGCAAGCAAATACATGGGAAGTCTACTGAATTTTTGACAAAGTTGTATCTGTCTAAAAAGCAAGGAACTTAAAATGACCCTTGGCCCTCAAACTTCCCTGAACAGAAAGCTAGTAAGGAGGGCATATGCCACAATACCCACTTCAGAGGCAGCAAAGGACAATAATGGAAGATTAAGAACCTCCCAGAGGGTAGAGCCAGATGCTATACTGTCACCCAAAGGCAGGCTAATCTTGCATTTTAACATTTTTCTGCCATGCCCAAAGTATTGAAGAGTAGTATGAACTCAATTTGTGGTCACTGACAGAACTTCTGCCTCTCCAAGATATTAAGGAAGCCTTTTCCAAATCGTTTGAACTGCCCCGTAACCAGTTTTATTTGTATTGCACTTGAACTGCACAAGTATTTGTCTTTTTTTTTTTTTTTTTTAAGTTAAGATAAACCTTGATGCTGAGTTTGGTGGTAGTTATAGGCTGACAGGTTAGACAAGTCTTTTTGGTATGTGGGGAAAAAATGGAATCTGGAAAAGTACATTCTTCCCATCAGAATTATTGAGAAATCAGCTTGAAAAATAGCCAGGTTACTTGGGGTTCTGGAGAACTGAGGTGGGGTTGGGACAAGGGCCCCATCTTGGGTTTGCACAATGGTTGAACATGTCTCCATACAATGCAATGTGTGTTTAGTGAATGTCTAAATCAGTGGCGTTTTGGTGTAGGTGAGGGCCTTAGGTATTATTTAGCCTAGCCACCTACAATGAGACCTATTTCATCAGTGCTGTTAACACTTTGGCAGGGTACACACTCTTTCATGGATTACTTCCACTTGTTAGAAAAATTGTAAATGCACTGAGCTTAAATGTGCCTCCCTAAACCTTCTCTCCATGAGTCTAGGCCTGCACCTGTTTCAGCTCCTGTGTCTACATTTCTGAAATTAGAATCTGTCATCACTAAGTAGAAGAGCAGTCAGGAGGAGACCAAGTAGAAGGCAGTCACTGCCTAGAGAATCAGAGCAGTCTCCCCTTAGCCTGTTTCAGAGCTGTGTCCTCATTGTTCAAACAGTCCAATAGCCGAGGAGGAATTTCATAATAGCGGATCTCCTTTGCTTGCTTTTCTTGGATGCTCTAAAGAAGACTCATGTATTAGAGTAACCCTGCTTAAAATTCCCTTTTTCTCACCATTCCTCTCCCCTTGCTTACTGCAGCTTCTTTGGCAGCTTGCTCTGCCCAAAAGAAGATAGGAGACAGACAGACAGACAAACACACAGGCATACACACAGATGCGCAGATGGACAGACAATAAACTTTTCCTGGGGATGTGAAGGTAAGCAAACCAACAAAGTAAAGATTTATTTAAAATGGCCCCCATAAAGAAAGTAGAATTTATGATGTGATACTATTATGTAAAAGTATAAAAATTACTGAAAAAGTGGCCCATAAATATGAAAAGAACAAAAATAAAATTTGCTCCATTCCCTCAAGCCTGGCCAAAGCCTATTTTCACCTCTTTTGCTCAATTTTCTCCCAGTTCTGAATATAAAAGCCCAGAAAATCAGGGAGAGAAGCTCTTTGGAGCTTATCAGGGGTGGGAAGAGAAACTGAGTGGGCAGAACAAGAATTGTTTTGAGAGTGTAGGGAATGAGTGGGAACACCTCCTGCCTTTTGTCTATCACATGAGTGGAAGCACTTAAGGACAGCACAGAATCACACTTTATGTGTATCACAGCCTTAGAGAGATTGTGGCAGGTGTTGTACTGTTTCTCAGTTGAACACTTTGAAGCAGAGTTCATTTGTATATTCATGTATCCATCCAAATAGTTTTGAGTGCAAGGCACTGTCCCTGTATGTTATTGGTGGTCACCAATTACATGGCAGTTCTTTGGCTGGTTAATAACACCTTTATCTCTACTATAAAGATGATGATGATGATGTGTAGTGTGTGTTCAATTCTGTATTAGACATTGTAAGTTTCAAATATATATACACATATATACTTTGTGACTGGAGAGCCCTAAATAAGAGGGAATACAGGAGGAGAAACTTTAAGAAACAGAAGTTGGGTTCTGGGGAGTGGTACATGGTTCTAACATTTCAGTGAGAAACAACTAAAAGTACTGTAAGAATTTTATCAAGGATCTATGAAGTTTAATACATCCCTACAGCTAAACTCTCTGAATCTCTACCAAAAGCTCAATTTGTTGGACAGTCACTGTTTGTTGAGGACCCCTATCTTACATATCTTTCATTTCCTTCCTAATCCTCTCCTAGCCTAATGTGAGCAGATGCTTACTTGCTGTAGAACTTCAGAGCTACAGGTGGCTTTAAACACCAACACAGACAAACCCCTGAATTGTAGATGAAAATTCAGGAACCTGTCTGGACCTTCAGAATAGTTTCCTGATTGACTGTTCAGCCTCTAGCTCCCCAGGTGGTATGTAGCCCCTATATCCCTTCTAGCTTGGCTCATGTGTGTTCATCTGTCAAGTTTCAGGTGGGTGGCCCTAAATGAACTGACTCCCTCCTGAGGCCCAATCAAAGTTAGGTCTCCCTTCTAATTCTCCATCAAAGCACTCCTTGCATAGCATTTGCCACCACTTAAAATTAAACTTTAATTTTTGTGACTATTTTATAACATCTATCTTCTAACCAAGCTGTGAGTGCCATGAAAGCGAGAATTAGTCTGTTAATTCATCACCACATCGCCAGTGCCTAGCATAGCCCCAGCACAAAAGAGCTTGGTGAATATTTGTTGAGTAAATAAGTGGTTGGAAGGCACACACCCGAGCTGTCTTTGTACAACACAAATCTGTTTGTCTTTCTCCTGCCTAAATTCCTTCTTTAGTTACTCACTTTTTAACAGTAAAGAAAAACATGTTTTAGCCTGATTAAAAAGAGCTACCACAATTTGGCTTTTTGTCTAAGCTCCTCAGGTCCCTTCAGACCTCCAAGCCTTTGCATATGCTGTACCCTCAGAGAAATGCCCTGCCTGCTGTTTCTGCCCAAGTGGGTAAGCACCTTCCCTTCCATCACCTTCTTGGTGAAGCCCAGACTCTCCAAGAAAGGGCTAGTTGGTTGGTTCTTAATGTTTCCACAGTGCTTTGTCAGTATTTCTGTGAGAGTAGAAGGGTGGCATACTTTCTTTCCCAAACTTGTCCCTGAATTCCTTCCACTTCCCCCCAAGGCTGTTGTGAATAAAGGAGTGGCCGAGGGTGACACGCAGCCAATGGTTGGTCCACCAGCTGCCTCTGGCAGCTCCTTGTTGCTGTCTCTCCTCCCAGATCTGTCTCCTTTTATTTTCCTGGTCTTTCTTGTGATTTCCCTCTTTGTCTTTTGCAGGGTCCTCATTCCCAAATTTCTCTCCTATTATGTTAAGTGCACTGATATTGCTGTTTTTGTTTCTCCTTTGAGAAATATGATGCCTGGGAAGAGGCAGCAGCTCACATTGCACACCTAAATAGTTCCAGCAAGGCATTTTCCTGAATACAAAGCTTTTTCTCCTGAGGTGGATTCTGCTTTCCCCTAGCCTGCAAAAAGAAGGCAGTCAAGTTTCTGGCTTTAAATGGTAACTTTTCTTTCCTCTTTTAGATGCTTTAGAACCTAAGCAGAAACAAGTGTCTTTTATAAAGCCACTTCACTTTGACATCTCAGATTCTCAGCAGGCTTGGCAACAGTGGCTTGCCCATTCATCTCTGGGACCACTTTTGAAGCCAACTCTGTGAAGAGCTGTATGAACTCTATGAGGCTCTGTAAAGAAAGGCATCATTAGGAAGGAGATGTTCTTAGCAATGGCTCTGCAAAGTTTAAACTCCAGTTTCCTCATTCTGTATTCAGAACAATTGCTCTTAAAGTATTCGCTAAGGACAAGCATTTTCTTACTCCCATACTCAACAACATGGGAAAACATGGGAAAAAACCAAGCCCTCCTAATGAAGACCAAGCAGCTGGACCTGCATTGCTCTAGTGTTACCTCTGTTTGGGGTTTCCTCTATTGCTGGGAGGCCAGACACTTAGTTGATTAACTTTGTACTTAATGAATAGGGTTGTCATTTTTCCAGCTGTTTCTAGGAGAAACTGAAACAGGATTGGAGATTTTGAAAATTTGTCACCTCCCCCCACCACCAAAAAAATCCCAATAAACTTGTCTGTGGCCTCTTTTTATCATTTCCATCCTTTCTTTTGTGAAGTCCAAGGGATATGAAGCAGATGGAAAAGAGGATAGGCACAGAGAACGTGTGCACAGATATAATATGGGTAAATTCTACTAACCAAACAAGCAAAAACCAAGCTTTAATTAATTCAGTTACATTTAGATCTAGTGCTTTTTTACTGAAACAGAGCCACTGAGAAAATATGACATGATAACACTTAGTAAAACCTCTGAACACATGAAAGTCCTTAAAACAGGATTAGCAATGGATAATACTACCTTACATTTATATAACACTTGGCATATTTCAAAAATGTTTCATGACCAGTGAAAGACTGAATGTCACATTATTTGGGAAAAGAAAAAAGGGAGGATGTTTCTATTACAATTTATGGATAAAGAAGTAGTTTTGGGGTCCAAGGTCATATGATAACTTAAATAAGAAGACCCTCTCTGTGGCAATTAGCATTATTTTAAAAATTGTCAACAGATACTAGAGAGCTTTTTTTTGAATTAATCTATCTTACATTCTATCCCGATAAATAAGGAAAAACAAATCATTTGAAGAAGAGAAAAAAAATTTCTGTTTCCCTTGAAATGCATTAAGTGTAACTGTAGTCATGAGAATCTGAAGATGCAAAATCTGAAATTAGCCAATATTAGAAACTCTGAGTACAAACTTAAATTGATAAGACTTAAACAGTGAAATACACTTTTTGTGTACTTTTAGATTAGTATGCCAATTTTGATCTGCATCAAATGATCGACATTTATGTTGCATTTACACATACATTTACAAACACTATTCTATTTAATCTCATTTTTTTTTTGTAACTGACAAATTTGCTTTTATGGAAAGAGACTTCTGGAAGACAAAAAAAAAAAAAAAGGATCCAGAGGAACCCACAAAACACCTTTACACAAAGTCTAAGACCACAAAAAGGCCTTACAAAAGACCCTTATTACCCAATTCAGGGCATGGGCAAGGATGTATAGGAAGACATACTTAGCTATGAAGACAAAGTGTTTCAAATGAATGGTTATAGTAATCCATGATTAGCTATTGGGTAAAACTTAGGCCCACTTAATTATAGATGGATAAGGGGATATGTACATTTCAGCATTCTATATATGACTCGGAGATTTATGAGAAACCAATTCCCCAAGCTTTTAATATTAGTGAACAATAGCTATCATATACCTATATCAGTCACTCATGCACACATTTACCCCATCCCAACCACAAAAAGACATTTTTTCATTTATCCTCTCAACTTGAATTCTATCTAAAATCCCTTGGTACCAGAGGTTGAAAGCATCAGGTACTAAGTCATCCTCCTTGCTAAAATTAAGCTGTCTCTGTATACACAAATGGTGACAGCTGAAATGCACTCTGGGTCTCTGCTAATAGATCCTCCATTTAGATCTTGGACAACTGAAGGCAGGGCATGTTGACCAGGGATCTTTCGGCTCTGGAATCTCCTGTCTGTCCTGGTCTATCAAAGCTCCACTTGCCACCTTTCTGGGCTTGGTGCCAACCTTGTATTTTTAGACAAATAGAGTAGTACTCTGAAGTTGGAATTCTAAAAGTGTGTCTTTTTTCTTAAAAAATTGCTTTATTCAGAGCTGGTACTAGTTGTTCTCAATCATTTAATGTATTTTATCACCTTAAACTAATTATTTATTTAATGGATTTCTCCAATTTTTAAAATTATGCCTATTGCAACATGCTCTGGGCATGAGTACAGAAAATGAACACATTAATTATAATAAAACATTCAAGGGCTGAAACAAATGAAAAGAAGAGAGTTAACACAGGCTACTCAACATCTGCCATACACATATATACATATAGTACCTCTTTCCCATCCAAAATGCACCTCTATAGTCTCTAATACCTGCCTGTTGGGAGCTGGCTCTGCTTGAAACACTTTGGTGAGAACAGGCAAGAAAATGATGGCGTCGTGGTAGTGTTCTCGCATTCTCTTCACAGCATTGGCTGCCGCCTCTGCTACCCTCTGAAATGCCTGTATATCACCTCTCAGAACATTTTTAGTTTCACACCACAAATAAGACGAACATTAATTATAGGTTGGAAAAGGGACTGGAATGCTGTGGCGGCACATTCCATTTTAATAGAAAGGGTCTGAGGGAATGTGCTGTGCACCTCCAAGCTTGCTCTTATTGTTGAGTACTCCTTTTCTTTTCCCATGTTATTTTTTTCTTAGCTTTTGTTATTACTTTTAATTTATGCCACTTTAAGATCTTAAAATTCTGTGAGTGAGTATGAAGATAACATATTGTATGAAAAGGAATATATTTTAAAATATGTTTTTGACACATTAGAACCTTAATTGTAATCCAATTTGATGGAGCAAGGATCAAACTTCTTGACCCATGATTTGATCAGCCAAGTGGTTTATCTGGGAAGACTTGCTTTAGATATAAAAGGTGAACATTTCCCTCTTAGACTTACATCCCTTATTTCCAACTTGCTATTTAATTTGGATAAAGTTCTTGGTTATTTTACATGTGCTGTTGAATATCTTCAAAACCAAATGGGTTCACTTTCAAAATAGTAAAATGTAAATTTGTTCTCTTAACACTCAGCCTCACAACATTCATACTGTAACATTTTATGTTATTTAATATGGCTTTTAAAACTTACATTAGTAATGTGCTAATGAGACCTTACAGGCTTTAATTCATTACAGAAGATGCAATAAAGACTAATATGAGTAGAGCTTCCTAGGCAACCAGGAATCAGATTTTTTTCTAATGTAAGAAAACTGGTCAATTTTCTACTCTATTGATGTTTGCCATTACAGTAATGAAGCAGGTTACATTTTCTTTGTAATAAGATGATTAATTTGGTTATTGACTTTCTGTTTCAATTTCATGTTTCATTTAAATGATTTGAAAATACAGGTTCTGTATTTTTCCACTACATGCTTGGGTCAGATGTAAAACATTTATTCTATTTGGTTCCCAACTTTAATATCGGAGAGGAATTTTTTTGTTTTTTTCATACTTAGAAGCCATTACACAGATAAAATTATCAATTGAGATTAATAGCATAGAATGTCACCCAATACAAAGGGAACTGGGTATTCATCTCAAAACTTGAATTTGAATGTGGAATCATACAGATAGAAAAATTCTGAGACAGCAGAAGAACAAAAAGTCATCATCTTTTTGTGTGAGTCACTTTCTCCTGAGACCATACCCTACATTTTGGAGGCAGATTGTTTTTTTCAAGCCAGTTACTTTATAGAGATGGGAGAGTGTAGAACTTCAAAATGCCAATGCACATGACCTTCTGATTATATGGACTTGTATAGTTTTCTGAATGTAGGTCTTATACTTCCATAAATTGATGGTTCCTCGAGAACAGATGGCATATTTTATACATCTTTGTATGATACCTAGCAAAGAGCCCTGCACAAAGTAGGTGAATAACAAATGTCTCTGTTAAATAAAGTACCATGAGAAGCATAGATGAGAGAGAGGTAAGGAATGAGGTAAGAGGTTCCAAGGACATGTCTATAAGTAGGTACTTATATTTGTTGTGTACTTTATTTTTATTGAAAGACCCTCTCTAAATCCAAATAGTCATCTACTCAGGTCTGTGGGATACAACAATTCCCCGATTACTTGGCTTAACATTCCTTCCTGCAGAGCCACTATAGGGGTAAATCAGGGATGGTCAAGAGGATTCATTCCTTATACCAACCAGTTATGTAGAATTGGTGGTGATCCCTTGGGCTGCAGTATGGAGAAAGCAGCTCAGACTATTCCTGAGCCCAGTGAAAAAGAGGACAAGATGGCCATCTATGAGCTGGATAATCAAGACAGTCCTGTCTGCTTGGTAGCACGACCCTTCTCCAAGATTTGCCCCTCATCCTTCTTTCAAAGCCCAGATCAAATTCTGCCTCTTCAAGATGGCTTTTCAGATCCCCACCTTCAAGCTAGCACCCTCCCTTTCCTGCTTGTATAGCAAACTATTCTAGCCTTTATTCTCATATTTGTCATAGTCTCCTCATCCATCTATTTCTCTCTACCTACCTAGTTATTCATGTCAATTCCACTAGAGTAGTTTCTCGTGGGGAGGCAGGGATAATCTCTTTCACTTTTCTGTCTCCTATGTGCCCAGTATAAATGGGCTTTACTTATAGGATACGCTTCATAAATGACAATGAAGGAAACTGAACAGCAGACTGATTGATGGAAGGTCACCCAACAGATCATTACAGTGATAAGAGAAAACTGATGGTATGTTAGAGAAGTAGAATGTTCTGTCACTGCAGATTGACCCTGATCTACAGCTAGGGAAGAACTGTATGGGATTCCACAGACAATGAGTATCAATGGCACAAACTCATTCTTGAATTTTTGCCAGTTCAAGAAGAGACTGAGTCATCGAATGCTCTAAATGTCACTTCACCTCATGTTCTGTCAACACAGAGGGTAACTCAGAGTGGCCAGTTCCACTCAACCATCCAAGAAAACAAAACAAGAAAAGCAGACATTAAAAGAGGGCAGTGTTCTGCACTTCACAGGTCTGTGACCTTGGCCAAATTACTTAACCTCTGTAAGCCTTAATTTCTTCTTCCTGTGTAACATGGAGATGATGGTATCTACTTACAGGCAAGAGTTGAGATAATATATGCAAAATTCTTGGCATGGTAGAATATTAATTGAACTATGAAGATGATTGTATCCACTATTCCCTTTTCCCTTCTTGGCTATTTCATTTCCATTCATGTTACTTTGTTTTATATATACACTGCTTTACTGTGTATGAGAAAAATGACTGTCCACTGGTAGAAATATAGCCTGAGGTTTTTTTTGTTTTTAATTCTCTCTCTCTCTTTTTTTTTTTTTTTTTTTTTGAGATAGAGTCTCACTGGAGTGCAGTGGTATAATCTTGGCTCACTGCAACCTCTGCCTCCCGGGTTCAAGTGATCCTCCCACCTCAGCCTCCCAAGTAGCTAATACTACATGTGTGTACCACCATGCCTGGCTAATTTTTTGTATGTTCAGTAGAGACAGGGTTTTACCATGTTTCCCAGGCTTGTCTGGAACTCCTGACCTCGGGTAATCCACCTGGCTTGGCCTCCCATGGTGCTGGGATTACAGGCACAAGCCACCGTGCTGGGCCTTTTTTAAATTATCTAACCCTAGCCCCTGAATTTTTAAAACCACCATGGAACATCACTGGAATGAAAATGGAGACCATGTGACTTCTTCAGCTTTCCAAAGAAAACAGGTTTACTGATTATACGCAGCTAGAATGGTTGGCATAATTGTTATGAATGACAAACCCTTCAATTCATTGATGTGTATGAGTCAGTGATGTTGGGATAAATGTCTTTGGATACACATTACACAGTGCTCCCAGATGTTTATATTCCTTCCCACTCCCTAACCTAATCCTAAAATATTAGCTCTCTAGACAAGAGCATAAACTGAAAACTCATATTTGCTCTTAGGACTCTTTACAATCATTTTCACATGTGATTATCTTGGTGTGTACATAGAGTGGCCATCTTTGTTTACAATGAAGACGCGAAAGCCCAAAGGTTGGCTAATGTAACCATGGAAACCAAGCTAATAAATGGTCAAATCTGTACCAAGAATAATTCTAGAGACTTCAGTTGCTTCAGAGATGGATGAGGTAGGAGTTTTTCTCAGAGGGATGCAGGTCTGTCTGTGGTCGCTTAGTTGGGTTGATTCCCACATAGTATTAATGAGCATATGGAAAGATAACAAAAGCAGCTAACACTTATTGAATACTAAAGTCTGAAGTAGCGTGCCAAGTACTTTCAGGCATTATCTCTAATCCTTATCACAAGTATATGAGGTAGGTACTATTATTAGACCCACTTTCTAAATGAGAAAATAAGCTTGGACTAGTAAGTAATTTGTTTAAGGTCATTCAACTAACAAGTGGCAAAGGATAAAAGTTAAATTTAAGTTTACCTGACTCCCAAGTTCATATTCTTTTTTTTTGAGATGAAGTTTTGCTCTGTTACCCAGGCTGGAGTGCAGTGGTGCAATCTCAGCTCACTGGAACCTCCGCCCCCCGAGTTCAAGTGATTCTCCTGTCTCAGCCTCTTGAGTAGCTGGGATTACAGGTGCATGCCACCATGCCCGGCTAATTTTTGTATTTTTAGTAGAGACAGGCTTTCACCATGTTGATCAGGCTGGTCTCGAACTCCTGACCTCGTGATCCACCTGCCCCAGCTTCCCAAAGGCGTGAGCCACCGCGCCCATCCCCAAGTTCATATTCTTAACTAACACAGACATTGCTTCTATCTCTTAGTCACCTAACATTGACTCTTTCTGTTTCATGACCAGATCTTATACTCTGATTTTTCCCCTGCTTTTGAAGAAATAAAGGTGGGAGGCAGTGGAATGGGGAAGACAGGGAGAGGAAGAGGTTGGGGAGGGAGGGATGGCTCATTCAGTGATTGTGTGCCATCTATATTCATTCATTCCTACTATGTGCCAGGCATCACACTAGATGCCAGGTCTCAGCTGTGATAAAAAATAACTTTCTTGTTCTTATGAGGCTAAATGCCCCAGGGTCCTACACCCACTTCTCCTAGTCAGTCAAATGTGTGTGGGCTTTTGAGGGGACAAGGGTGCCATGCTGTGGTATCACCCAAAGCTTTCTCTAGATAAGTGGATGTGAGAAAACCCAACAGCTGAGAGCAGCTCAGAGAATGTTTATGGAAATATGTAACTGTTTCTCTTAAAGCCAATCCTGAGTCCCCTGTTTTGACTTTGGGTACGTATAATGTACTACATACTCCCTTCCCTCTGTGTGAAGCAGATCATATTGCAGCCCTGAAGTTATGTGTGGCTGTAGTGAAGCAGCAGGCATAACACTCTGCTGTTGGCTGGTAACTGTTTCCAATAACAGACAAGCTGCATCAATGCAGGGTTTGGAATGCAACGTAGGACATAGCTAGGGGCCTCCTTGTTTTCTGTCACTAGGGTGGAGGGGGCCCTAAGGCAGGGCCTGGGTGGGCCTCTCTTCCTAATAACTCTTCTAATGAATCTCATAGCTGTCCTGGGAATTAGTTCTACCTTCTTCCTATCCATGGTAGGATTGATTTCCTTAATAGCCAGTGACTGCCTGTCATTAAGAGCTCTGGGACAGGGAAGAATGGGGACAACCACAGACCTCCTCCCTGCAAAATATGTTCAGTGATTGTGACTCACTGCATCATCTGGCCCCATAGAGCAATTTTCCAAATATTTCTCCTCAACATCTCTTTCCATCAAACTAAAATGTCAATTTTTTTTTAAAGCTCTGATTAAAGGATAAACAGTTTCATAATGGGATTTGAAAGCCTGGGCAATCATATCATTAAAAAAAAATTGGCTGCCAAGCAGCTTGCTCAAATGACACCAGGCACATTGCCTAGTGAACTTTAGGTGAATAGGCGATGGAGTCTGTCTGGGCCTGATTTGCAGAGACTTCTTAAAGAAGGGAATCTGCTGCAGGCATGCAAACTACAGCAAGACTGAGCTGTGCATGGCTAGTTTTAGGGAAGGCTCCAGCTTGGGGAGCTTGGAAGGTGGTCTTTATCAGCCTGCCAAGATATCTGTGTGGAATCACGCCCACCATTTCTTCTCCCAAAGAGACAGATGAACAGACTCCACTATGACCAATGCAATATGGTGAACAGATGTTTGCCTCACACAGCTGAAGTGAGCTGGCTTTCCAGAGATTTAAAGGAAGGAGAAGGTGTCTTGGGAACAGTGTTCCCAATATTATGATCCCAATCATAACTCATTGCTACCACTCCAGGATAGGGGGGCAGGGGCGGAATATAGTTCTGTGTCATCCACCAGTGGCTCCTCCGGGTCAAAATCCAGATCCAAGAGAATGTAATTCATGAAGCGATATTTACTAGATAGCTTCACCTGGGCTGACTGTGACATCACTAGCATGTTTAACCCTTCATTTACATTTACTTATCCACACTCTACCCTGACTCATATCCTTTGTTTCCATAATAAACTTTTAGCAACTATTGACATTCATCTTTCCCTGAGCTCACCTTTTTCCTGAATTGACCCCAACAACCTGTGAGACGGCCAAAGGCTTTTGCCTAGTCTTTGAGTCAGCTGAATACACAGATGCCTGAACCTATGCCAGTGCATCTTTATCATATTTGTAGTCCACCTGCTCTTTGTTTATCAGCTGTCTGTACACACATAAGATAACTCTGCATTCTCCTTACTTGAGTTGCATCAGTCAGTAGTGTCTTTTGTTACTGCCTAGGGTGAGCAAAGAACATTACCTATAGTGAATGAGGAACACCTTTGTTCATGCCACAAAATCCATTTTGTCTTTTTTAAGAATGCACCTCACTTTAAGTAAACTTAATATATGAAAATTTAGATTCCAGTAAGAAAATTCAAGTTTCACATAGCTTTTCAGGACCTCACTTGGCTACACAGAGCAGTGATTCTCAAGGAGGTTGATTACACCTCCTCAGAGATGCTTTAAAAATTTGTGGGCTGGGCACGGTGGCTCACGCCTGTAATCCCAGCACTTTGGGAGGCCGACATGGGCGGATCACGAGGTCAGGAGATCGAGACCATCCTGGCTAACATGGTGAAACCCCGTCTCTACTAAAAATACAAAAAAATTAGCTGGGTGTCGTGGTGGGCAACTGTAGTCCCAGCTACTCAGGAGGCTGAGACAGGAGAATGGCATGAACCCAGGAGGCAGAGCTTGCAGTGAGCCGAGATCATGCTGCTGCACTCCAGCCTGGGCAACAGAGCAAGACTCCGTCTCAAAAAAAAAGAAAAAAATTGTGGTGGCATTTTTGCTAGTCTGAATGATTGAAGTGATGTGACTGGCATTTAGTGAGTGGGCCTCAGGGAGGCTAGATAGGATAGTTTTATACAACAAAGAACTGTCCCAGCAGGCATCCTAGAGTCTCAAACTTAACTCTTTCAGACATAATAAAAAATATTGTATACAGGTTTAATATAGTCTAAATTTTTCAGGAATGCAACTACTTTATAAATCAAAGGAGATTGTATTTGATTTGTTTGGAACTTTACCAAGAGGTTTTCATCATTTGGGGGAAAAAAAATCACATCATGGACAGCAATGCAATAAGAGGTTTTCAAGTGTCCAATGTAACACACCTGCATCCATCTGCATTGGGCTGTGCATTCATGGTAATACTATTAGTATTAGTAATAGCAATATCCATGGTAATAAACTGTGTCTTTTTTTTTTTTTTTTTTTGAGATGGAGTCTTGCTCTGTCACCCAGGCTGAAGTGCAGTGGCGTGATCTCAGCTCACTGCAACCTCCACCTCCCAGGTTCAAGCGATTTTCCTGCCTCAGTCTCCCAAGTAGTTGGGATTACAGGTGCATGCCACCACACCCGGCTAATTTTTGTATTTTTAGTAGAGACAGGGTTTCACCATCTTGGCCAAGCTGGCTTTGAACTCCTGACCTCATGATCCACCCGCCTTGGCCTCCCAAAGTGTTGGGATTACAGGCATGAGCCACCGTGCCCAACCTAAACTGTGTCTTTTAAAAACTGTCTTCTAGTGTTGTCATGCCTGAGGATTTTACTGATGAAATGTGTTATTTTATTACAAATTACTTTTATCTCTCTTTCATATTATATATAGAGTACTTATTTTAAAAATTTTGTATTGGTTATATAATCTATAAATTTCTGTGTAGGATTGTAAAGAAACTGTTATTACCTTTTATATATACAAAGAGGACTTTAGGTTTTATGGAGATGAGAACCATTGGCCTAAAGCAACATCTGTCAACTATTCAGACAGAAACATTTTCCATTTGCACAAATAGAAGTGATTTCCTCTGTGCTAGATGAAAACAGTGGGGCCAAGATTTTCAACTTGTGTTATGGAAAGTCTGGAAAATGTGCTCTATTCAACAGGACTTTAATTTAGTCCGCCACTGATCAAACAATTCCTTTCTATGCCTAGCTTATTTTCATTCCAATATTTATTGATTCTATCACTGTGCTGGATATTGCAAGGATTAAACAACTCAGGGCCCTGACTATCTGGAAGCATAGACTGCCCTCTCTTGGAAGGCAATCTGCATGAAGAAAGGCATACTTCACAAACTTGGTACCCACAACTTTGACACCCAGGGCATCAAATGATGTTTCTTTTGATGAAAATTCTGAAATGCCCCTGAACCTTTCTTACAACACCATCAAGGTAGTTAACATGCAATGCTGGGGTTCTCTAAATCACAAATATCAGGTGGCCGATAAGGACTATATATTCTAAAAGAGAAGAGGAACGAATTGACTTAGAGGAGTAGGAGGAGGATGGGCTTTGGAGTTGGGTAGATCTGGGTTCATAGCTTGGCTCTACCACTTACTGTCTTACCTTGGGAAGGCTCAATTTCCTCCTCCCTAAAATGGTCATAATACCATCCGCATCACTAAGCTGATTTGAGGGTTAAATTAAGTCATAAACATAAAGTCATGGGTAGAACACCTGGCATATAAAAGGGACCAGACAAAATGTGTGAATCACCATCATCCCCCTTTCCTTGGGAGCTCTTAGATAAATCCTAGGACATGAGAATCAAAAGCGACCTTAAAAATGATCTAGTCAAATGCTCCACTAGACTACATAAATCTTCCTCTGTAGATTGTGAATGAAAAACTTCAAGCCTGCATGTTTTCTTCTCTTGATCAGTGTTAGCTAATTCTATTTTGGTTACCTAAATATCTTAAGAGTTGTAGAAAACAGAGATATAGATCAATGGAACAGAACAGAGCCCTCAGAAATAACGCCGCATATCTACAACTATCTGATCTTTGACAAACCTGACAAAAACAAGCAATGGGGAAAGGATTCCCTATTTGATAAATGGTGCTGGGAAAACTGGCTAGCCATATGTAGAAAGCTGAAACTGGATCCCTTCCTTACACCTTATACAAAAATTAATTCATGATGGATTAAAGACTTAAATGTTAGACCTAAAACCATAAAAACCCTAGAAGAAAACCTAGGCATTACCATTCAGGACATAGGCATGGGCAAGGACTTCATGTCTAAAACACCAAAAGCAGTGGCAACAAAAGCCAAGATTGACAAATGGGATCTAATTAAACTAAAGAGCTTCTGCACAGCAAAAGAAACTACCATCAGAGTGAACAGGCAACCTACAAAATGAGAGAAAATTTTTGCAACCTACTCATCTGACAAAGGGCTAATATCCAGAATCTACAATGAACTCAAAGAAATTTACAAGAAAAAAACAAACAACCCCATCAAAAAGTGGGCAAAGGATATGAACAGACACTTCTCAAAAGAAGACATTTATGCAGCCAAAAGACACATGAAAAAATGCTCACCATCACTGGCCATCAGAGAAATGCAAATCAAAACCACAATGAGATACCATCTCACACCAGTTAGAATGGCAATCATTAAAAAGTCAGGAAACAACAGGTGCTGGAGAGGATGTGGAGAAATAGGAACACTTTTACACTGTTGGTGAGACTGTAAACTACTTCAACCATTGTGGAAGTCAGTGTGGCGATTCCTCAGGGATCTAGAACTAGAAATACCATTTGACCCAGCCATCCCATTACTGGGTATATACCCAAAGGACTATAAATCATGCTGCTATAGACACATGCACACGTATGTTTATTGCAGCACTATTCACAATACCAAAGACTTGGAACCAACCCAAATGTCCAACAATGATAGACTGGATTAAGAAAATGTGGCACATATACACCATGGAATACTATGCAGCCATAAAAAATGATGAGTTCATGTCCTTTGTAGGACATGGATGAAATTGGAAATCATCATTCTCAGTAAACTATCCCAAGAACAAAAAAGCAAACACTGCATATTCTCACTCATAGGTGGGAATTGAACAATGAGAACACATGGACACAGGAAGGGGAACATCACACTCTGGGGACGGTTGTGGGGTAGGGGGAGCGGGGAGGGATAGCTTTAGGAGATATACCTAATGCTAAATGACAAGTTAATGGCTGCAGCACACCAGCATGGCACATGTATACATATGTAACTAACCTGCACATTGTGCACATGTACCCTAAATCTTAAAGTATAATAATAATAAAATAAAAATAAAAAAAGAGTTGTGGAAAAATATGAAAACATTCAAACTTTAATTTATTGAAATTACAATAAACTCATCCCCTCTGCAACCATCTTCCTCCATCTGCCTAACCAAATAGCATTGAGTCATGTAAACAGAGTGAGTGGCCAGCTCAGATGTGATATCTACTGTTATCCATTTCTCTTTTAATATTTGAGTGCTCAGCATGTTAAGCCAAATTGCTGCATAGAATATCCCCCAATTCTTCTGTGTATTCCAGCTTGAAGTAACAAAGAATGAAATAGAAGAAACAAATTTATTCTTTGTGTAAATACAAGATAATTTACAGTAAAATTCTTTTAAAATTCCTCAAAGTCCACCCCAAACAGATGGGTATTAGATGGTATTGAATGTGTGGGCCAAAGCAGCTTTCCTGGGATAGGTCCTTGATAGCTTTACCTCCTTCCTGAGAGAGGCCCTGCTTATAGATTATTTCCTCTTTTCCTTAATTAAATATTGTGAATTTTCTTGAGAGAATAAAAAATTCAGCATAATCGATGAGATTAGGGGTCTCTAACATTCTTCCACCTAAGCATATGGCTTGTAGGTATAGACTCTGTCTCTAATGTCATTCTACCTACAATCAATTTTCTCCCAGTAACTAGGCCTTCCTGAGAAATACAGTTATCAATAGGAAAATTTCATTGCAGAAGAGGAAAGACGTAGCATAATAAAGTGGAAGGCAGTATATATCCACAGACTGGGTTTCAAATGAGATTCTTTGACCTAATGTTTCTCTGGGAATAATTAATTCATTGGTCTCTGCATAGTTTTCTCATTTCTAAAATGGGGGTAATTTCTGCTTTACCTTTATTATAAGGTCTGTGAAAGGGCACAGTATACCACATAATGCTAAAAAAATGTAAAATGTTAAAGATAATAGAATAGGGGTGGAAAAATCCAAGATAGGGAAACATTTCCTAACCTTAGGAAAACATGAGAAATCTATGCCATTCTTGAGTGATGTCTTGTAGTCATTCTTTGAGTTAAAATTTACACATTAAAATAATAACACAGCCACTCCAACTTTCTTATGTGTACAGTTTGAGTACAACATCTTCTTTCATCCATTTACTTTCAGCCCATATCTGTCTTTATATTTAAAGCATATCTCTTACAGGCAGCATGTTGTCATGTTGCACTTATCCATTTTGAAAATCTCTGCCTTTTAATTGTTCAGTCCTTTAATGTTTAATGTAATTCTTGTTATGGTTGGTTGAATCAATGATTTTATTTTATTTTCTACTTCTCTCTTGTTTTCTATTCCTTTTTCTTTCCTTCCTATACTTTTGAATTCTTAAATAATTTTTAGAAAGATATTTTTATTGGCTTTGAAGCTGCATTTATTTGTGTTATTACTTTTGTGTGTGGCAGCCCAGGGATTACAATATACATCCTTAATTCTCTACTGTCTATATCCAGTTAGTATTTTACCACTCATGTAACTCATAGGAGACTTGTACCCATGTAGGTCCATATCCACTCTTCCTTCTTTATGCTACAGTGGTTATTTGTATCACATCTGAATACCTTATAAACCTAAGACAACATTATAATTTTCACTTTAAACATTTATATGGTTTGTAAATAAATTAAGAGAAAAAGAAAATAATTTAAAAGTAGTCTTTTGCGTTTTTCCAGATATTTCCTACTTTCAGTGCTCTTTAATATTTTCTGAGGATCTAAGTTTCCATCTGGTATCATTTCCTTTCAGAAGGATAAATTCCTTCAGCATATCTTGTAGTTCAGGTCTGCTGGTGAAAACTCACTTTAGTTTTGTTCCATGCAAAAATGTCATTATTTAGTCTTCATTTTGCGGGATATATTTGCTGGGTAATAAATTCTGGTTTGACAATTTTTTTATTGTCTCTCAGTACTTTGGAACTATTACTCCATTCTCTTTCAGCCTTCATAGTTTCTGCTTAGAAACTGACCATTAATCAGATCACTGTTTCCTTGTATAGGGCTTGTCATTTTGTATAGGATTGTATAGGATTGTCATTTTTCTCTTCCTGCTTTCAAGATTTGCTTTTTATCTTTGGATTTCAACAATGTGAGTATGATGATCTGTGGTGAGGGCTTCTTTATGTTTATTCTGCTTGGTTTTCATTTATCATAATGTACCTGTACATTTTAGTCTTTCATCAAATTTGTTATTTATTGGTCATTAATTCTTCAAGTACTTTCTCTGCTCCATTCTCTCCCTTCTCTTTTAGGATTTTATTTGCATGCATATGGACTATTTGAAATTACCTAATGGATCTCTGAGGCTTCATTTTTTAAGTCATTCTTTTTTTTTCTCTCTCTGTCCCTGTTATTCATGTTGGATAATTTCTATTGATTTATCTTCAATTTGACTTGCTCTTTTCTTTCACATCTCCATTCAACTCTTAAGACCCTCTGGTGAATTTCTTATTTCAAATATTGTGTTTTTCAGTTCTAGACTTTTCACTTGATTCTTTCTTGTTTCTGTTTCTCCAAGGAGATTTCATGTCTTTTCACTCATCATATACATTATTTAGGGTAGCATAATTGCTATGTTAAAATCTTTTAGTTTCAAAATCTGGTTCATTCTGGGGTCAGACCCAGTGGATTTTATTATCTCTTGAGAACATGCCCCACTTTCTTGGTTCTTTGTATGTTGGGAAATTTTGGATTATATTCTAAACATTAATTTATATGGAGTGAATATTAAGTAGTGGAAATTCTGGATGTTTTTACCTCCCTTTGATAAGTGTTGTTTCTTTCATTTAAGCTGCTAATTATTGTAGGAACTTAAGCTCCAAACTGTTTCTTGAGTGGCAGCTACAATCTCAGTTGAGCTCCTTTGTCTTTCAGCCCATATTTGTCTTTATATTTAAAGACTGAAAGTTAGCTGCTTTGAGTCTGTACCCTGCATGCATAGTTTGTCAGAGATATAGGTAGACAGAATTTGGGGATACTCTCTCTAGATCTTTCTGTCTGGTGATTTCATCACACTTTTCAGTGTGTCTTGAAAAGACTGTTTTGTTTCACAAGCACACCCACTGCGTTGAGTACACTGTACCACCTGCACTTACCCTCAAGCTGTAAGCTGTGAAGACGGTAACCTAACATGTATAGCCTCCCTTCCACCCTTTCCAAAGTGTCTACTCTTTACCAAGCCTGCTTTCTCGGCGTACTCTCCATTATTTACAACTTTTTGTATTATGTCTAGGATTAAATTTGTTTTCCATGGGAAAGTCATCTCGTAGGGTCTTATTCTATCACTCCCAGAAGCAGAAGACACCTCACCACTCATTATGAGTGTGGAAAGCTGAGACACTTCAGGATGCCCCATTATTAACAGAAAATTGAGAATGCATGAGATTGCTTCAAACCCAAGCCATTCTCTAAAAATATATCAATTAACATTTTTCTCTTCACTGAGCAATATCATAACCATTTAAAGGTGACTTATTTCATCTTCAATTACCAGACTCAAAGCTATAAAAGAAATGTTATTTTAATTTGGTAGAGTTTTGTTGTCAGAAATTCATCTGGCTTTTGGACCCATTTCCCTGAACTATCCCTAATTTATTTCAAAACTGCGTGATAGTTTGAGCCTCCTAATTCTGTTTCCCTACAGGTGTCCAGTCTGCAGTTTCAAAGGTGTTCAATAAAAGAAGGCTTAAGCCAGTTCAAATTATGGGTTCATTTTATATAGTCTACCGTTGCCCTACCCCCCTCCTTTTCTTCTTAATGAGACTTACAGGAACACCACAACTTCATGGCTGAAGGTTTTATGCCTGCTGGTTATTTCCCCTCTAAAGCCACAGTCTTCAATGACATTATAATAATTTCCATATTATAATAATTTCCACAGTTGCTAACTTGTGTGTTGCAGCTGAGAAGTAATACATTCAGATGAAAAATGTATAACAGCAGGAGATGAGCTACTGGGAAGTAACCTGTTTCTAATCACGTGAGTGTCATTTGTAATAAGACACAAAGTATATAAAATATTAAAACTATAAATGAATAGAAACTTTTCTCTACCAGTTTTTCATTTGGCCTCTGTATTTCTTTTAACATTATTGACTTTTCTATTAAGTGTGCTCTTTGGTAGGTCAAACAGGCAATTGCCAGGCAACTACGGCATGAAGTCTATTTTATTTGCTTGTCAGCAACTTCAGTGTCTATTTAGATTAGTGCAATCTTAATTATGTAAAAAATAAAAAGCATGGAAACAAGATTAGAAGTTTGTTGAAATGTTAAAGCTGTTATCTCTGAATAGATGGGGTTAAAGGAAGAAACTGAAGCTTTTATTATCTCTTTACTGGCAGGAAAACAGATTTGAGCTCATGATCCTTGGACCAAAGTCAGGATCGGCACCATCCAAATAAAAGGTTACTAAATCAGAGTTAGGGAGTAGACTGTGGGGAGACAGATTTACCAAGACCCTGTAGGGCTGGAAAGATAGATTCCAAACAGGAACATATCCGCACTAAATTTACGTTTTCTAGCACGAACTTTCAATCTCCACCACACTTTTCTTCTCTCCCCTTCTTCTCACCCTTGCAAGTTGATAGCCTTTCAAAATGTATTATCGTTTGAGCAGGCTTTCAGAAGAAAACAGAGGCAACGCTGTTCTGAAGGGCCCTGAAGACACAGCGATGAACAAGACAGACAGCTTCTTGCTCCCAAGATTATGTTCTAGTGGGGATAGTTTAATATCTAAACATAAACAAGTGGAGACACAAAACAATCTCAGATAGTATTAATTCCTCAGAATAAAACAGACCAGGGGGATGTGACAAAGTTCAACAGATGGGGGCGGAGATGATGATTACTTTAGAAAAGGTGATCAGGGAGGTTTATGTGAGGTGGTGACATTTAAGTTAATATAAAATGACAAGAAGGAACCAGCCTCATTAAGTTTGAAGAACACAAATTAAATCAATGGTGTGTTTTACAACAGATGCTGTCATAGAAGCAGGAAAAAAAATGTCTGTGTTTACTTGTCTCAAGGAAATAAGCCAAAATATCACAGTGGCTACCTCTGGATGCAGATTAAAATCTGGAAATCCACTTGCCACTGTATAGTTTACCATATTTTTAATAATGAAAAAAATACCTAAAAACTCAAGACATGTCTAGAAGGGGATGCAAAACCCATAGCAAAAGCAACATTGCATCACTGTGAGCAACATTTAAGCAGTGCTAAATAATTGTACCCTGGAGAGGGTGCATCTGTCCCAAAACAGAAAGCATGACAGGCTGGATGTGGTGGCTCACACCTGTAAACCTAGCACTTTGGGAGGCCGAGGCAGGTGGGATCACCTGAAGTCAGGAGTTCGAGACCAGCTTGGCCAACATGGTGAAACCCTGTCTCTACTAAAAATACAAAAATTAGCCAGGTGTGGTGGTGCACACCTGCAATCCCAGCTACTCAGGAGGCTGAGGTGGGAGAATTGCTTGAACCTGGGAGGCAGAGGTTGCAGTGAGCTGAGATCAAGCCACTGCACTCCAGGCTGGGCAACTGAGCAAGATTCCATCTCAGAAAACAAAAACAAACAAACAAACAAACAAAAAACCCCAGAAAACATGACAAATGGACCTCTAGTGGTTGGGGAAAGGGCAGTGAGGTCAAATGGGCACAAAGGACTCTGTGCTGCATCCAGGTCTTTTTCATGCCTCCAGGGATTGCTGCCCCTACAGTGAGACCTCCCATGGAAAATGCTGCTTTTTGAGGGTCCTTGCTTTAGGGAATTCCATTCTCAACAAAGAGAGGAGACAGAGACAGGGCACTGCCAGTGGAAAGCAATTGGAAGAAGAGGCTTAGTGACAAAGAACTTGGTCACACTCTAGTTTCATGACAAGTGCCAAAACATTTTGAACATAAGTTCTCAGTTTAAAAAACTCATTTGTCTTTAACTTAAATCATAGCTCTTTAAAGGAAATGTAATGAAATAAACACATTTTTCTAACTAACTGAAAGCGTGTGGTATGCAAACAATAGATATTCTTGTGTCTTCATTTTTATTTTATATTTTGCCTCTAGTTCTGGGAGTGCTCCAGGAATAACAATGGAAAAACAAAACATACATCAATTTGAACCTCATGTTTGGCCAGGGTCTAAACAAAAAAAAAAAAAAAAAAAAAAAGAAGCAAGAGATTTGAGCTGAAGTCTAAATTTAGACAAGGAAGCCCTACCATTTCAATATAGAGGTGAAAAGAATTCGCCACTGATAACAATCAGGTTTTTATCCTTCCCACCCCCACAGGGTGTTAACCATAATAGAAAACAAGCTGACAAGTCAGATAGTTAGCCCTACTTTCATTTACTCCTCTCTCACTCTGTGTACCACAAAGGTTGAAAAATGAGCAAACCAGAGAACCTTCTTAGTAATGGTCAAGGAGAGAGCAGCAACTTAGAAGCCTAGGCCTCCGCAGCTTTGGACATGCTGAGAACCCAGCTCCAAGCCTGGAAGTTGTTGAGGATGTTCTCTGAGGACATCTCAGCTCACTGGCTTCACTGTGTGGACTTCTGTGACTGTCGTACAATGGCCTCAGATGTACAACCCATTGGCTCAATCTGGCCTGTAGATACATTTGGCTTTGTTGACTTCCCCCTTCTTCCCCCTCCCCCCTCCCTCCTCCTCCTCCTTTTTAAAATTGCTCCAACATTTTAAAGTTTGAAGGGTAATCTGGGTTTCTGATATTTTTTTTTCTTCAATTGGAAGATCTGGCAATGTTGGGCCTACATTCTAATGTGGTCATACTTGGCAGAATCTAGCTGTGGCTGCCTGTAATAGAATGCAACTCCCACCTGGGCCCTGCACTCACTTAATGTTACCTTGTAGACACTTTTGTTTGCTCCCTCTGTTGAAGGTAGGGCTGGACCAAAATAGGCAGCGTTTTCCACTGTGGCTCAAAACCCCTGTCACGTGAACACAAAAGACTTAGCTGTGGCCAGCTGAAACGACCAAAGTGCACACATACGTTGTTGACTAGATGTCTGCTTTCTGAGCAAGAAAGATTCACTGCTCCCACTAGAAGGCTGAGAGCATAGACTTTAAAACCACTTGAGAATGACGCTCAGGTGAGAATAATTTTTAGTTCAATTAAAAGAAAAGCATTGGTGAGGGATTTGTGATTATCATTTCCTTCTGCATGATTCTTCCCTTTTAAGAAACATTTTTGTTTCCATTCTATCTATTGGGGGCTTTTACAACGAGTATTTGGGAAAAATTTCATGGAAGAGTCAAAGGTTTTGAGAGGACTTTTTTTGTTCTTATAAAATTTAGTCAAGTGCCAGATATTGTATTTTAACTAGATTTCCTGCTCTGAAATAGGCCAGGGAAGTGACCCAGAGCCAGGCATGCAATTGTCATGAGTGAGGAAGAGTTGTATACTTGGGAGTGTGGAGAAAATGATCCCAAACTTTGGAAAGTCTAGTAATAACCCACATTAGGAAATAGCCCCAAACAAATATACTCCTACCCCTGCTGCCTCTCCTCTCTACTCCAATTGTGTTGAATTGTATCTGTAAGCTGTATTATGGGTTTTCTAAAGTGGTTTACGAATAAGCAGAGTAAAGTAGTTCTTTCTATGGTCAGACTCCTAGTTGAAAAACCACCACGTATGATATTTTACAAAGCAAAAGAATCCTTCGCACAAGCTTGGAATCCCCTCTTCTTTATTTGTATTAGTCAATAAAGCAGACAATTCCTGGTTCCCAAAACACAATTCGAACTTTGAGCAGATATGGGCTCAGGCCTTGACCTGTATCTGGGCCAGAGCTACCTGCTTTGATTCTTCATGGAAAGGAAGTCCCTAATGAGCACATTACTTGACAAACAGACAAACAGGCCTTTTTAGTTTTTTTTTTTTTTGGGGGGGGTCGGGGGTGGTGTTGGGAATTATTTGGTAGGTAAAGCTAATCAGAAGACACATCTCCGTTCTTTTTAAACTTCTTGCTGAATTCAGAGTGGCAAGTGGCCAATGATTACTATCGTTTCTATTAGTCATCTAGTTACATGTTTAGGGATAACATATTTTGCTTTTGATAGGAAAAGGTTATCTCTGAAGAAAGTCATGAATGAGCCATCTTGTAGAGAGCAGTATACTGTAAAATTAGAAGAGAACTGTTTTTGTATTAAGGACACATTTGAAAACTCTTTAAAACATTTCCTTAAGCCAACAATAGGCCACAAGATCTCATTCATTCAGTAATCAACAAGGGCCAGGGGATAGCATTCTGGGAAAAGAGAAGCTGAAACGCAAATGTCCTCAAGTGGAGGGCTGAGGAAAGCTTAGAAGTAAACAAAAAGGTAGCCAGAGTAGGTGACATTAGGAGTAGAACAAGATAAAGTCAGAAAGTTAGACAGGGCTCAAGTCATAAGAGGATTTTTCATAGTAGATGGATGCATCCTTTGGGAACTCTAGACCAGTGCTGGCAAACCACAGCCTGCAAACTCAGTCTGGCCTTCTGCCTATTTTTACAAATAAGGTTTTACAGGAATACCTAAATGCTCATTCATTTAGGTATTGTCTATGACTGCTTTTGCACTACAATGGCAGAGTTGTGTGGTTGCAACAGAAACAATATGGCCCACAAAGCTGAACCTATTTGCTATCTGGCCCTTTATAGAAAAGATTTACCAACCAGGTGTGGTGGCTCACACCTGTAATCCCAGCACTTTGGGAGGCCAAGGTGGGTGGATCACCTGAGGTCAGGAGTTCAGGATGAGGCTGGCCAACATGGTGAAACCCCATCTCTACTAAAAATACAAAAATTAGCAGGTGTGGTGGTGCGTGCGTGTAATCCCAACTACTTGGGAGGCTGAGACAGGAGAATCGCTTGAACGAGGGAGGCGGAAGTTGCAGTGAGCCAAGATCGCACCATTGCACTCCAGCCTGGGCAACAAGAGTGAAACTCTGTCTCAAAAAAAAAGGAAAGAAAGAAAAGAAAAGAAAAGGTTTACCAATCATTGTATTAGATCATGCATTCTTGGTGGGTTTTTGGATGTTGCCTTTGGCTTATGGAAAGTTGTCTCTTATGTTAGCTTTGTTTTCTAAAAAGACACTGGATATGATTGCAAGAACAAGAATACCTAAGGCTAAGAGCTGGGCAACCAAGCATGTCTGCCAGAGGATGCCACCTTTTAAAACAATACCATGTGTGTCCCAGGATACTCAAAGAATGAACGTGAGAGGTGGAGGTCAGCCGAGAAGTAGAAACTGAGCAAGTCTGCTCGCTGTTACATGGATTGGTAGTGGTGGAATATGGATGGTTGCTTACATAGTTGTTCATTTGATTTAATGTAAATATCTATTGCTCTTATAAAAGGTTGAGTAATTTACTCCCACATTTGAATAAATGCTCTCAAGGCAATATCTACAACACGTTTGACCTCTCTATTGAGTCATTTTTCCAGACAGCTGTCTCTTGAGCTCGAAGAAACCACAGTTGTTTGAACACGAACTTGTTTCCATTGAGTTTTGCAAGTAGGGGCTTGATTCCATGTTGGGCTTACCTCGGGCTCCCAAACAGGTTCTTCCCAAACATAACTCCCATATTTGCATTCTTCATCTTCCAACTGGCTAGAAACCATAAACTCCTTTAATTGTCTGCTTCAGGGTGTATTATTTTATTATGGAAAAAACTCTCTCACTGGAAAAAAACTATATTTGTTTATTTGGTTTTATTCCACATATAGTTAGAATGCCTAGTACATGGCCTCATGGGAGCTTAAAGCCTGATGCTCAGAAGGCTGAATTAGTTGTTGTGTTAATGTCATTTTTGGTGGCATCTGTGAAATTATTGTGGAGAGAAATGTTAAAGGTCAGGGAAGATGAAACCCAGCAAAGAACACACCAGAAAGAACAGTGTTGAGGATTGAGTCTTGCTGTATTAGATGATTTTATACAATACCTGAGTTTCTATTTTTTTTTAATACGAGCTATTACAGTGACAGAAAAGTGACTGAAGTCCTGTAATATTTGTGGAAGACTGGCCACAACCAAGTCATTTTTATTTTGAGAGTAAGTTACCTGGATTGAAGTGACTTTTGCAAAGCTCAGGTCATGGGTTCAACCTACTAAATGATTAATTACATGATTTCCAGTCTATGGAGATAGGTTATTTTTTTTTAACCTCAGTAGCCATCATTCATATCCTCTTTCATTCATTTACTTGTTCCATATTGAGAACACCTTATATGTGTTAAACACTATATTTGACACTGGGGAAATAAATGAATAAGACATTTATGAAGCACCTGTTATGATCAGTGATTAAGGTCCAGTTCCTACCTTCAAGGATCTCACAATCTAGTGGGGAAATTGGCATCTAAACAAGTAACTATAAACAGTGAGATGAAATTTAAAGAGAATAGGCAGTACTGGCTTTTAGGTAAGAAAATGAACTTGAGTGCCAGATTTTAAACTCAAACTGTGTGACTCTGAATGAGTTATACTGCTTCTATAAGCCTCAGTTTCCTCATTTGAAAAGTGAGGATGCTGCTAGAGTGTATATCACAGAGTGACCATGAATACTAAAGAGATAATACCTCTAAAGTTATGTTGTTAGCATGGTACTTGGTACAAGGTAAGTGTTTAATAACTGTTAGCTATTGTTATGTGTTACAATGGAGACAAGCATTGGCAGACAGCTTTTTGGTTATGCACTTACATGGCTTGGAAACCAAATTCTATCATGTAAGGTTCTGTGACCTTGGGCGAGTTACTTTTAACTTTCCTGTGCCTCAGATTTCTATTTTGTAAAATAGAGATAATACCTATTTCACAGAATTGTTGTAGGACTTAAATGATATAATAGTGGTAAAGCTTTTGGCATAAAGACTGACAAATACGAACTCAATAAATGTCAACTGTATTAACATAACTGCTGCAGCTATGAAAACAAAAAAAGAAAACAATTGATAGGATGAGAAAACACTTTGCAGAGAAGGTGACACTTGCAAACATGTGTCATTGGTTGCCACGGGCATGGGTCAAAACCATCATCCTTTGTGACTGAGCAAACAATTCTGCACCTGTTCTCTGGGTAGTGGTTCCGTGGCATTTTGTTTGTGTGGTTTGGGACAGGACGTTAAATTATGGAAAATTTGAGAGTCATTGCCTCTGTATTTTCATCAGATAGCACAGGGTGTGACAAGTTCAGACTCCAGTCTCCCTCTCTCTGAAAAAAAACAAACTTTCTTGGAATTTTCTTCTCAAGTTACAGAGAACAACTTCAAGAGCATTGAGGTAAGAATTCTACTCCACACTGACCACTAATATCCTCCCTCCCATTCCCCAAAGTTAGGCTCACCCACAAAACTAATTTTAGTCTGTGGATACCTCTATCCACTGGTAGAAATTCTAGGAAATAAGTGTGAAGAAAACAAAAAATGAGCAGGATGACATGAAAAACTTATAGATATTTCTACATTCTCTAGACCCTTATGGCCTGCAAGCAAATAGTTTTCCTTACCATACTTCTTCGTTACTTGGTGTTTAGAATTAACCTCACCATTTTTCCTTTTGGGGGATAACTCTTTCTGTATTCTTAATTTAAGTACTTCAACAGAATTAACCACACTGCAAGTGACTCACTAGTGTAGACACCTGGCCTAGGCCTTATCACACTAGAAAATTGCCTTCTGCTAGCTTTGGTGATTGGCTTAGGGAGAAGAATTGACTCAGGTCTAAGCCTGCAGCTTCCAGGGGCACCATGGTGTACCTCAGAATGAAACAGACTCAGTGGAAGGTAGAGGGGAGAGAAGAAAAGCAAGACATGGTGAAATTACTTAAGTCCTGGAAACCTCCTGAACCCTGGACTTTTCACTTACATGAGCCAATAATTCACCTTTTTTGCTGAAGCTTATTTTGCATTCAGTTTTCTGTCTCTTGCAACCATAGGAATCTTAGTGCACTCAGAGGCAATGTTTATGACCTGCACAAACTGGTGAGAAGCACTTTATTGAGCCACCAATAGATTGGTCCTTCTTGGCTGACCAAACCTTACAGAATACAGCAGAAAAATGTCCAAAACTACTTTGGCAGCCCAAGGGGCAAGTACAAAAGAAGCACCGGAAAGTACCCCACTACCAACTAGAAGCCTGGACCTATGATGGGTCAGTGACTTGCTCTTGTGTTCCTATTTCTACCCTCATAAATTGGGGCATAGGCATGGCAGCCCTCCCAGGGACGAGAAAGGGATAGAGAAAGGCAATCCAGGGACCAGCATGGGTGTTGGCTCAAGCTAGACCCTGTCCCTGGAAAGTAGTCTGTAAATCAGACTTTGCACCCAGAGAACACACCGGTTTTAGAAATCATATGCTGAATTCCTTTGAAAAAATGGACAATTTTCCTTAATTTTTATTCTCAAGACCACACGGGACTATTCCCTTTTAGGTGTTCTGAAAATGAGGAAAAACTGTCTGGTTTTAGGCTTGCTTCAAGGATTAATGTCAGGTTTTACTGTGTTGTTTATCTCAAGTTGTCTTACCCTCAGATTGTTACTCAGCTTTTAGGAGGGTTTTTTGTTTGTTTGTTTGTTTTTTCCTTGGTGGTGGGAGGAACAGCAGCAGGAACGAAAACAGCAGCAGCCAGCCATGTACTGGGCATTACTTTTGTGTATGGCATATGACAAGCATGACACATATCACATGCATTCATATGCATGATCCTTACCACAAGGATAGGTGTGATTATTATCCCACTGTACACATGAGAAAACTGACAGTCGAAGGTGACAGCTAGTGTCTTTGAGAGTCAGGGATTTGATTCCAAAGCCAGTAAATACAACTCCACCATCTTGATGTGTATCTTTAGAAAAGGCAAATGAATATGCCCACCATTTGCTTAGCATAATACAAGCAAATGCAAGAGTTTCAGAAATCTAAATTTTCTACCCTCAGAAAATGCACATTCTAGAAAATGCATCAAGGCTTTATGTGAAAGTCAATTAGAAAAAATTACAAATGGCCTATTATTTAATCTAAATTGTTAAAGGCTATAGAAATTTTAGAAAATAGAACTTTCATGATGGGGTAATGATGGGTACACTGTGGAGGGGGTTGGGGATTTTATATGTTTAGATCATTTGGACTTTTGTTTAAATTTCTCTAATGATTAAAAGCTAACTGAAGATAGACATATCATCTATTTATTTTGCTTTCTACAGCCTTTGTTAGGAGTTTGCATAGGCTAATGCATACAACAAATAATAAATAGACAAATGCTAGCTGGCTCACTGAGATAATTACATACAATTATGAACTCATAGATCCTAAAGGCTATTGACTATAAGAAAAAAAGAGACTTTTAAAAGGCCAAGCAGATAATGGGTGTGAGATTCTGGGATCTATTTTTTTCCCCCCTCTCTTTAAGCGTGAAAGATCTTTGGGATATGACTTCAATCAGTCAGCTTAAAATGAACAAGAGTTGTTCATATACTTTGGGACAGAAAAATATTTAAAAAGTTTTTATTTAGTGATTATGAATTACTTCCACAAGGGGATGCCACCCTCTAAATCTATCTGACTTGTGGCACCAGCCCTGCCAAGCCATCCATCTTTTGACATTGTGAATGATAGCAAAATGATTCTTTTTCAGACTTCAAATGACATTTTAAACACAAAAGGCCAACAAGTACCACAAAAAAAAAAAAAAAAAAAAAAAAAGGAACGTTGTGGGATAAACCTGCAAAAGCAAACACAATGTGGTGGTCAGAGTTAGGCAGTGGATGGCTTAATCTTTTTCTCTGCAGGAAAAGTCAGAATTACTGGAAACTATATGGCTAAGCCCTGCTCTCGAAGCAAATTCCCACTTTGTGACTCAGTGAGCACACCTGTTAAATGGGCCCTTGAGAAGTGCTAGCACAGTGCCTTTCACTTCCATTCCCTCTATCTGACAAGGAGCAGCTTTGTTTCCAGCCGGAATTGAGAGTCTGGGAGAAGTTTATATTGTGGTTCCCAAGCTGTGGAATATGGCTTAAGAGCATGTAGTTGCATAGACTCTTGGGAAACATCTGTGGCTAAGTTAGTGTTTGCTTTGTATATGCAGAAGCTCATTTATGTGTAGGTGTGGTGATTTGGTTACACACACATGGTGCTGTTTAGCTCTTTTTCCATGGGTCTGTGATTATCATTTAAAGATAAGTATTTGAAGGGACAATTTAATGGTTAATGTTTCCTCCCTTTATACTGAGCTCTTAAGAATCTTTGATTTGGCACTTGTATGTTTTCATGTTATGACCTTAAATTAAATGCCAGAAGAATGTTTCAATAGCTGTTCTTTGGCACATAGCTCCTGATCAATGGTTAAGGGATTTGGGTCCATAGGTAGGTGAACTTGGACAAGCCATTTTACCGGTAGGCTCGGTTTCATTCAAATGACAAGGGGGATTGGGAGGGAAGGTTTGAAAAAAATGCCAACCCATCATGTCAGACTTTGAATAAACTGTAAGCTCCATGAGGATAGAGACCATAGCTACATGCACTGGAGGTTGGCAAAGTAAGTCCTGTGGGCCAAGCCATATGGTTTTGTATGATCCGCAAGTAAGAATGCCTTAAAATAGCAACACTTTATATAGGTATATGTAAGTCCTCGCATAATATCATTGATTTTCTCTCTTGGCCTGCAAAGATTAAAATATGTACTATTTGACCCTCTAAAAAAAGTTTGCTGAACTCCTGGTTTAGATCATCATTTTAATTTCAAGGTCTAGCACAATGCCTGATACAGGCATTAGGTTGAACTGAATATTCATTGAGTTATCCAGAATTCATGGTATTGATCATGAGGTGGTGGACACTATCTCACCTAATTTATTTAGAAATGGAAATGGCTGACTTGGTCAGGTGGCTAAAATGGAACCTGCTTAGAGGTTACTTAGATGTCAATGTGTAATGTGTTTGATTTCTGCATTGGTCAGTTACATTCTTTTTGTTCTTTAGCCACCAATATTAGCCAACTTTCTTGTAGTTACAAGCTGTTGATCCCAGCCTGTATTTTGCTGGGGTGCTATTTGTTGGTGGTTGTATCTTGCTACTCAAATAAGGACAGCAGACAGTGTACTTGTTAGAAATGTATAATCTCATGCCTCATCCTGGAACTTTTGAATCAGAATTTGCATTTTAACCATATCCCCAGATGATCTGATGAATGCTGAAGTTGGAGGAGCACTAGTATGGTGGACATTGACGGTGTCTAGCAGTACCCTACTATACTTCCTCCTTTCTAGCACAATACTGACTTTTTTATTGTTCATGTTTTATTCTGTTAGAATCATTATTAATGTCATGTTTTTCAAGGTACAATACTGATTTTTGTAAACATGATCCACACTCTCCAACACAGCTCACATAGCTTGGAACACTGTCCCCAGTTGCAGATGTGGCCTGATTGGCCTGATGGGTTTTTTTTATCCTCTTTTCCAGTCATATATTCAGAAAAGACTAAGTGACTCAACTTGGCCAGTGACAGTGGATCGATGATACGTCAAATAAGTCCTCTAGAAGCCTCTGGCAAAAGGTTTCAGAAGGTTATCATTGTGTGTGAAGGAGGGGCCTAGATTTCCCTCAGAAGAAGCCAAAAATAGAGGGTTGGGGCCAAGAGGATCACAGGGAATGGTATTCCTGGGCCAACCCTACCTCTGGCCCTCCTTTCAAATGAACCAATAAAGTCTCTGTAAAACAATAACTATTTCTTACTGAAATGGGAGAGTTCCCTGACCCCCTCACAGGATGTGTGACAGGGATGTGGCTCATCTGTTTGGTTGCCACCACTGCCCAAACCCTTTATGTGACGGGGAGCATGTAGATGGACAGGTGCAGGAGGCAGGGCGCTGGGCTCCAGCCCCACAGCAGCATCCAGGGGTAGAGTCCTATGACTCCCTGGAGCCCAAGTGGGCATGTGTTGCAGCATGCTCTTTTAGCCTTGACATCTGTGGACGGCTTAAGTGTTAACCAGCTCAGTGGACCCTCTGCCTTTTTGCAAGGGCAGAGGGCCAGTGTGACAGCTTTCTGTATCCTGAACTCTTGTCCAGAGTCCTGGAAGAATCAGATCACAAACAGATTTGAAGGATGGTGAATGCAGGGGTTTCACTGGGTGGTGGAAGTGGCTCTCAGTGGGATGGATAGGGAGCTGGAAAGCGGATGGAGCAGGAAGATGATCTTCCCCTGGAGTTTTGCTGTCCAGCAGCTGATCTCCTCTCTGACCATCCCCAGCGGAACTCCTCTCAACGATCCTTCTCTTCTCTCCTCTCCTCTCTGCTGCTCTTCTGTTCTTCAGTTCCTCTGCTTGTCTCCTCCTGGAGCCGGATGTTTGGGGCTCATATGGGTACAGGATTGGGGGGAGTGGCGGGCCAATAGGCAACTTTTTGGGCATGAAAACAAAAATGCCCGTTCCCATTTAGGGCCATGGATTTACAGGCTTGAGGGTGGGTCTTTTGCTGGGTAATCATTCTCTTCTACCCAGTATTTCAGTATTTCCCTGTCTCCTGTCCATATCATTACCTGCTTATTTTGTGACAGGAATAGGATAACCGTGATATGGGCTGTATCCTTTTTTTAATCTTCAAAATAACCTGTGGAAAAGGTATACCTCCCATGCACAGATAAGGAAACCAAGGCTCAATGATTTTTTAAAAAGTGCTAATAGCTAGCAGGAGGCAGAGCTATGATTAACACCCTGGTTCCACCTCAAAGTCCATTCTCTACTCTTACTCATTATTCTACACTGCAAATTTCAACTACCTAACACCACAATATACTAAGAATATTACCACTATGTAATGTGCTCAGAAGAAGAGGTCTTTTTTTTTTGACGGTTTACTTGCACTTAGAAAAGTTGGAACAAACAAAAACATTTTTCTTGTTTTTAGTTATGAACCTATAGTATTGAGTGTTCTCTCATTACACAGCTTACACAGGATCTTTATTTGTTGCTTGTTTTTAAAGACAGAGATAAAAGACAGTTTTTGAAAATAGGTTCAGGTTGAATAAAGTGTTATGCGTCTTCTTTTTTTTTTTTTTTTTTTTTGTGAGATGGAGTCTCACTCTGTCACCCAGGCTGGAAGACTAGAGTGCAGTGGTGCAATCTCAAATCACTGCAACCTCTGCCTCCCAGGTTCAAGTGATCCTCTGCCTCAGCCTCCCGAGTAGCTAGGACTACAGGTATGTACCACCATGCTGGCTTTTTTTTTTTTTTTTTTTTTTTTTTTTGTATTTTCAGTACAGACAGGGTTTCACCATGTTGGCCAGGCTGGTCTTGAATTCCTGGCCTCAAGTGATCCAGCCATCTCAGCTTACCAAAGTGCTGGGATTACGGGTGTGAACCACCACATCTGGGCAAGGTGTTATGTGTCTTTATGCTTTTTGGTACATTGTAAACAATGTAATTATAATACAAAATCACTTGGACACACATGATTTCCTAAGATGAAAAATGATGCTGTTTTAAGATCTTGTATTAAAAACAACTGTCTTTTTTAAAAGTCCATTTTTGTGTATGTATTCTATTGAATATTAAAGTTATTTTGTTTTCTTGGGCATAGAAATGTGGCATAGTCAAATTAATTCCAAGGAAACTCTGGTGCTTTCATTGTGAATCAGCTCCTTCAAACCATGGGGGTAGTGTATGGTAATTTACTGCTAAAGTACACACCAAGTGGCATTCTAAGGATGAATAGGAGGGTTTTCTCCTGGGAGAATCTGGCAGAGCCAACTTATCTTGTAAACTATTAGAAGGAGGATGAGAAAAATGGCTGTCACATCAGAGTGACTGCTCAGTGGCACTTAACACCAAATGGTTTGATTTTCTATAGACCAGTCTCAGACAGAATGGCTAGATCAGAAGTCTGCTAACCAGGGACAGAATCTGTTTATTGTTTTTGCATTTGAATGAAACTCTCATAGCCAAATGGTACTGAAATGTCATCTGGCATCTCTTTGGCTGGCTCTGGGGAGAGTTGGTTGTTTACACCCAGTTCCCAGAGCACAGTGCTTCACATCCCAGAACAGTTCTGTGTTAGATGAGATTTTGCCAAACATATTAAATAAGCAATGTTTAGAATACATTAACCTTAAGAGCCAAATAAATCAGTCAATCACATTTATTTGTTGCCCACCGTGTTGATTTCCTGTGCGGGGGGCAGGGGTGTGATGTGTGGAAAGTCACAACTAAGAGAGAACACAGGGGTTGAAGGTATGGAACATTTCGTAAGCAAAAATGTCATCTATCAGATTTTAGATCCAAAAGAAAATTTGAAAAATCATGTCCCAGATTATTTGCTAGGGAACATGAGCTTTGTGAGGCACGACTAAGTGTTCCAGAGATAAGTAAGTTTTAAAAGGTCTTTGCTAACAGGTTTCTTCACGTGGGACCTCATGGTACCTCTAACATGCTAACGCACATTGCACATCTCCAAATATGGACCCATAGCTTACAGCAATGCCTATTTGAAACAGATTTGGAAAATGTTGCCTAAAAGTAATTAGTCAACTTTCATCACTTTGTAAATAAAGAAAATGAAGCAAAATGACCTTTCTAAGATCATACAGCTAATTATTGACAAAGTCAGGAACAGGACTTACCTCTTCTCATTTGGAACCCAGGGTTTCCCAACTGAGGCTGCTATATAATCCTGCTATAAAAGTTCAAAAATATGTATTTTTGAAAGACTGCTCCTCATCTCAAAAATTGGTTGGTTGCGTTATGATATAATCACAGGTTAGGAGAGTTAGAAGATAATAGCTCTGGCCTTGAATCACCCTCTGCTACCTGGCAATTGTTTGTAAGCTTACTTATCCCTTTTTGGGTCTCAGTTTCTGTACCTGCCAAATGGGAATATAGCACTGGTCTGAATCATTGAAACAACTAATGTAGAGGCAGGTGGTGGCTGGGAACCTAGAATCTTATGAGCTCTGGCTAGAAGATGCATCTCCATCCCTCAGACAATGGAATCCACTGAAAGATTTGAGAGAGTCAAAGTCATGTCTGTACCCAGATTAGAAGCTCTTTGAGGAAAGGGGATCCCTCTAATTCTTTCTCCATGATATCCGCTCCAGTATCTTATATGGTTATCTCTCAGTATCCATAGGGGATTGGTTCCAAGACTGTCCCCCCTTGGATACCAAAATCTATAGATGCTCAAGTTCCTGATATAAAACAGCATAGTATTTGCATATAACCTATTCACATCCTCCTGTGTATTTTAAATAATCTCCAGATTACTTATAATACCTAATACAATGTAAATCATTCTTATACTGTATTGTTTAGGGAATAATGACAAGAAAAAAAGTCTGTACATGTTCAGTACAGATGCAACCATACTTTTTTTTTTGAATATTTTTGATCCACAATTGATTGAATCCAAGGATGTAGAACCCATGGGTACTAAGGGCCTGCTGTACTCAACAGATATTTAATTGACAATAAATGACAACACAACAAAAAATATGAGTAGCACAACCAATAACAACTTTACTGTGCTGCACACAGAAAACTACACACAGGGTACTTGTGGAGATACCATGGATTGTTTTCGTATATTATGAAAAATATTGTTTTTGAATAACAAGACATCTCTCTTTCAAGTTCTATTTGGTATTGTAAATGGAAACATAAGCATGTTAAAAAATAATGCAGGCACTTGACTGACTGGGCTCAGGACAGTGATTTGCAGTATTTACTAATAGAGTTAAAATTATTTCCGATTTCCTGTGATGAATTGCTTTTCCAGTACCCTGCATGTTACCCATTTTATATGAACAGTTTTAGGTACAGAAGCATTGGCTTCCCAGGACTGAGTATAGAGTTGGGTTGTTACCTCATTTGAAGGAGGGGAAAAATAAGTTTATGCATCAGAAATTTTGTAGAGTCGTTGACTTCAACTCTGTCCTTCAAAATGAATATGCCAGCTTTAATTTTAAATGCAGGTCGTTTGCCTATATCCTAAAGCACATTGAGCCCTTCTTGGGAGACCAATTAGTCATAAATCAGAATGAGCTGTGATATATGTGTGGAACCTTGTCCCTGTGTAATCCCACAGAATTGGGTTTCCTAGCGTGGAATAGTAGGAAAGGCAGATAAAGAGGAAAGGTACGGAAGAGGGACTTTTATTTACTTTTGTTTGCCTTCAGCATAATTTCCATGGGCAGCCATAACCATTTACAGCTAGAAACAGTAATGACTCTACAACTGTTCTGAAGCTTCTAAAACACTCTTACAAATAAAAACAAATGATGCAATAAGCACAATGAGCCTTTGGGAAAATGAACCATAAAGGACACTGAACTGCACAGAAACATATGCAGCTGTACCCTGCCAAGAGCACATTCCTTCTGAAGACTAACCAAGGATCTTACACTTCAACAATACAACTATTACCAATATGCCTTGACACTGCCAGACGCTTTGTTGTTAAACCACAATCTCTCATTGTCCCTTCAAGACTTTCTGAAGTATTCTCTCAACATCTGTAAAATGTACCACATTAAGCATAACAAAGAAAAAACAAGCATGCTTCTGCAAACGACAGTATTAAAAATAACTATTTTATGCAGTGGCTCTCCTAATTCTGATTAAAAGGAGAAAACCAGGAAATTGATTTTTGGGGATTTTAAAAAAGTTTCAGTGATTTGACCTAACTAGTATATTTCTATAATTTGTTAATTGTCTAATTAAAGTTATGCTAAATAGCTGGACACTGATGAGTCAAGGAAAATACTATGGAACAATTTTATGTGGAGAAGAGAAGCTTACTTAAAAGAGACTTAATTTTCATCTCTTGGGAATCTAAATGCTAGAACTAATAGCATTGGGGAACTAATAGATGGGGATCTTTCAGATTAAAAATACTTTCTGTTAAGGAGGGATTGATAAACTGATAGTATATTAGGTTTTTAAAAACTTGACTGCTTTCTTGGACTCAAAGATGCTTGCCTAAAATTGAATTTATGCTAGCTCAGGTTATCCAATTATCCTGTTCCTGTTGACCTAATACCTCTGCCTTCTCTTAGTCACTGTGGCAAACAGACTCTAAGGTGGCTCCAGGACCCTTGCCTCCTTGCATTCATGCCATGGTGTAATCTCTGCCCACTGAATGTGGACAGGACCTGTGACTTACTTCTAAGCAGTAGAGTATGGCAAAGGTTACAGGATGTATGTGATTACAGGCTGTAATGCCTGTCTTGCAAGGAAACTCTCCCTTGCTAGCTTTGAAGAAGCAAACTCTTTCGTTATGAGCTGCCTATGGAGGGCCATGTGGCAGGAAGCTGAGCGAAGCTTCAGCTGATAGCCAGCAAGAAACTGAGGCCCTTATTGACATCCTACAAAGAACTGAATTCTGCCAATAACCATGAGAACTTGTAATTGGATCCTTCCCTAGTTGAACCTCTGATAAAACCTCTGCCCCTCGTCAACACCTTCCTTGCAGCCTGGTAGAGGACCCAGTAAGCCTGGGGCTTCTCTATTGCTTTAGTATGGAATGTCTGTGGGAGCCATCTGCACTCACACATGCACAACTCAGAATTGTAGGGGAGTTAACGCCTGCAGAGCTACCATTGAACAATGGCAATGTAGACTATGAACATATGCTGCTTCTTTCCTGTAGAAGTGCATTTCATAAAGCTCCTCAGGAGATCCAGTGGAATTGAGCACTAGAAGTCCATCCTAGGCTCTGACTTGACAAAGCTTCCTTGTATTGGCTTTCCCTCTTTTCTTGTTGCAGTCTTCCCAACCCTGATCCACAGAAACTTTGAGATAAGAAAGGTATGTTGTTTTAAGCTGCTAAGTTTGTAGTAATATTGATATACAGTCATAAATAACTCATATATGACTCGACTAATTCTAGATATTATATAATCCATAACTCTGGGAAAATGAACCGCTATTACCACATTTGGCAGCCAATTATAAGCTATCCTTACAGGAAGCCAGAACTGGTCCATATGATATACATCAGTTCTGTATCAATGTAAGTGATCTGCCTCTCCCTCCCCTAAGCTTTACTCAACCTTTGATTAACAACAACAATTAGTCAAATTAATTTCAGTTTCTCCTAACAAATTGATGCTCTTGTATGATACAATATAGATCTGAAAATGGGTTAGTCAAAATTAGAATGAAAAATTTGTGGCCTTACACATATTATTTTTAAAAGTAGCAGAAGTTATCTGGATAGGGAGAATGTGCTCTACTTATTGTTTTCTTTGTAGTTATCTATATTAAATTATATGTTAGAATAAAACATCTAAATGATTTATCTTGTGCCATCTAATATGCACTTGGGATGATATAAAGCCACCTTCCACAGTTAGTGCATGGGACTCAGGATCATCTGGACTTTCTGTTTATAGAGCACTCCATCTCCCAAGGAATCCAAAGCATTTCATCCCACTAATTCCTGAAGACTTATAACATGCCTCTTTTTAGGTAGAAAATCCTGTCCAGGGAAACTGAGACAGGAGACTTAGTAATAGAGAGCCTAGTTCTTTCTTGTTGCCTCTTCAAGTTGCACTACTAGGAGGGAAAAGGGATGCAAAAGAATCAGTTTCGGCTTCTTCCTTTTGTCCGGTTGACTAGACTGGAACAGATGCGTACAGGACAGGAACATATTAATAGGTGTGTTTAAATGAGCTTATAAGACACAAGAAAGAGAGCAATTGTAAGTTGTAGATCTTTGATACAGAAGCTGGTCAGAACCAGCACAAGATAAAGTCCTAATAAGTCCCATTCATTTGTTCATTTATTAGTCATTTGTCCATTCAGATGAAAAGGTCAACCACTGTTTGCCAGGAATCAGGACTGGCATTGGGGAGCAATTCTGTATAAGAGAGACATGGTCCGTGTTTGAAAAAGTATTTGCAGATAGGACAGTGGAAGCAAAGACCCAGAGGAATATAGCGCACAGAAGGACCAGGCCAGAGGCACAGGGAGAGGTGGAGGTTGTGGGAGTTGAGGCCGAGAGGCAGCAGAGAAAGTACAGACAGAACTTGAAAGCCAAGGCAAGCGTGTTTAAGGAAGTGCAGTTTGTATGCAGTTCCCTTGACTTTCTCTTCTGTGCTTCCCACTGCTATTCTATTGCTGGAGCTCTTACAGCTTGCTCCTGCCAGATGACCCTATGCCTTTACCTTGGAACTTGAAATAGGCCTGGCCTGCCTTGGTATTCTCCGGACCTCTTCTTTATCATCAAACCAGTGGGGGTCATAGAGCTCTGTAACATGGGTATTGGCTTTGGTGTTAGGCAGTCCTGGGTTAACATCTCAATTCTACCACTTCTGACCAAATGACCTCGGATAAGTTATTCAGCCCTTTAAATTAGCTCCTCATAAGGTTGTTGAGAAGATTTAATGATATATTGAACACAGAATGTTTAACTTGTTGCCTGGAATATAATATATACTCAATAAATGATAGTCACTCTTTTATTTTTCACTCCTGGGGAGACTTAGTGATTCCTATCCTAATGCTGATAAATTAATATGAAATAATATATTAAAGGAATACTTTAAAAATACTCTTGGGAAGAGTACAAGAGGTGGTGCCAAAACCCACAGATATCTGAACACTTTAAAACTCAATATTAATATGTTAATACTTAATATTAATACTTAAATACTAATACTTTAAAAATACTCTTGGGAAGAATACAAGGGGTGGTGCCTAAACCCATAGATATTTGAACACTTTAATACTCAATATTAATACATTAATACTTAATATTAATACTTAAACACTAATACTTTAAAAATACTCTTCAGAAGAGTACAAGGGGTGGTGCCTAAACCCACAGAGGTGATTCTCTCATGCTTGGAATGTCAAATGGTAGAGCAGGCCAGCAGGAGAAAAAGTTCCTATCTTTGTTGTGAGCTGTGGACCAGAAAACATGCCAAGTGCTTTGCACATTTTATTTAATTTAACCCCCACAACAGATCTGTGATGTAGAGCCCTTAACTGCTTCCTTTCTACAGGGGAAAGAATAGAGGTTTAAGTAAACTGGTCAAGTCATATGGCTGTCACTGTCAGTAAGAATTCTCTTATTTTCTCAGATGAGGTTTCTGGAGTCAGCGATCACCTTGAATTTTGCTCATAGTATCTGCACACGTGTGTGCCATGGGGCAACCAAGGAGAGTAACGGGTCAGCTCCAGGCTTTCCTTGAAATCCTGTGTAGTTTAGAGTTTTTATGTTTGTTTTTTTAAATGAAGTCTCACTCTGTTGCCCAGGCTGGAGTGCAGTGGTGCAATCTCGGCTCAAGTAGCTGGGATTACAGGCAAGTGCCACCACACCCGGCTAATTTTTGTATCTTTTGCAGAGAGGGGGTTTCACAATGTTGGCCAGGCTGGTCACGAACTCCTGAGTTCAGGTGATCTGCCCACCTTGGCCTCCCAAAGTGCTGGGATTACAGGCGTGACCCACCGCGCCCGGCCTAGAGTTTTCTGTATCTGTGTTACCTACTCTCCATTGCTCCCCTCTGCTTCCTTATTACCCTGGCCTGAATGTGCCCCAAGCTCCTCCCCAAAGCCATTGCATGGGACCAAGAAATGTTTGCCTTGCCAGTGCTTAAGAATTTAAGTAGATTTGAAATTAGCAAACAGAATTTGAAAAATGTTATTCATGGCTCCAAAACAAAAACAAAACTAAACTTAAAAAATAAAAATAAAAAGCCTGGCTTCCCCCAGGCTTCCTCCACCTGAGAAGGGATATATGAAGGTGAACAAACAAGGCCACTTCATCTTGACTTCAGGTATAGAAGAGCAAAGTAATAAAAGCAAACAAAACTGAAATGTCCCCAGGTATAATGGACCTGGACATGGGTGCTGGTAGAGAAATGAGCACATACTTTAGAACCCGAATGAGCTGCTGTGCATAAAATAATGATTCTACAGCAACTGACAAACCTGAAAGTAACTGAGGATTTCAGAGGTAAACAAGAAAATGATTTCCCTGTGCTCTTCTAAGCCAGCCAGTCAATTCGGAGAAAAAAAAGGAAGGCCGACAGCTAAGACTCATGGTGGGGTGGGTGAAGAGGGAGAGAGAGAGGGAGAAAATAAAAATTACAAAATGTTTGTTCAGTCAGCAAGTATTTGGAAGCAGTGTAGTACTAATGGTTAAATTCACGGCCTCTACGGCCTACTACCTGGGGAACTGGGCCTTGGACTGTACTGGGCCTTAGTCTGCAAAATGGGGATATCAGTAATACCTACCTCTTAAGGGAGTTAGATAAATCCCTTGGTGTACTATCTGACACACAGTAAGAGCTCATATCTGTTACTATTTGTAAAATTATTTACTTATTCACCATTTGCAAGGCACTTGGGGTGGAGGCATTAAAGTGACACAGACAAGAATCCACCTCTGATCTTATTATCTAGCACAGCAGCCAGATGACTGCATAAATTCTGCCTTTGATTATGGTTTTAACTACCTAAAAGTTCCAAAGAATTATGGGGCTCAATAAAATTGCTCAAACAACAGAGCACCAAAGAGATACTCCCACGCGTCACTGTGTTAAAAACAATGGCCAGAAAGCACTACTGGACATAGCATGCTCTGATCGATTAATTGCTATCTTGGGACAGGAGATCAGAGCGCGCAGAAGGCAGCAGAGGAGAAGTCCATGCACACAACCCTCCACCTTCTGGTCATCTGCTTACATTATCCAGATTTGGACACATTCATTCATTTTTTTTTTGTTTCTGGAGCTAATTTAGAGTGGAGATAATTAAGTGTATGGATTTAGAATGGCAAAAATTGTCTGTTTTGTGTCTCTAATATGAGGTCCCTAAGCAACAACAAGCTGCTCTGGTCAGATATGTCTTAACAGTATATTGAATTCCTTTGCATCATGGCTCAAGCACAATTTATAAATGCTATTCAAATTATGTAAGAGGCTGGACTAGAGAGAATCCTTTTCTGTGCCAAGACTCTAAGCTTTCACAACAGTAGCAGCAATCTGAATGCTTATCAGGAATCAGAAAGTTGTCAAGGTTGTTATAGCCAAAATTTGCCATTGGAACTCCTGCTGAAAGCACCTGGTTAGCTCAGCACCCAAAATAAATCACATCATGAGAGAATTTTGTCCTCGTCCCCTCCTAGTGCACCTGGAGCATAGCCCTAAGGGAAATCCTATCGACTCTCTTTTTCCAGTGTTCCAGCAGTGCGTGCATCTGTTGTTGACACATCTGGATCCTCAGCTTTCCCATCACCTCTGACACCATGGACATGATCATGACACTTTAAAACTAAAGGAAGGAAGGTCAGAAGGAAGGCCTGCCTGATACAATTAAAATCAAAACTCAGTTGGCATTTTTGCCCACCTTAAAATATCCCTGGGTTGTACCAGATAGAGATGAGAACAATTTTTATGCCTTTTGCCTGCATACTTTTAACTGCGAGGTGTGAGTGAAGGGTTAAGGATAAAATTAAATGATTGCATCTGTTTTCTCATTACATGAGTGGGTTGCATCTCATGGTTTTTCCTTAAAATGTTTGAAGGTAAAATAGCATTTGTTTCTTTCCTAATTTATCTGGGCTACTTCAAGTCTACTTTGGAGACCTCCTTTCCATAGACAAATTGAGATTGCCTTTAACGGGGCTGGCAGAGAATAATGATTCAGAACATGATCCTGGGAACAACCCAGACCTGGTTCAATTCCTGAGTCACCTGCTTACTAGCTGGGTGACCTCAGGCAAGCAGCTTAACTTCTATAAGCCCCATCTCCTTATCTATAAGGTAGAGAGGATAACACCACTGCCCGCCTCAAGTGATTCTTTTGAGGATGCAGGGAGATCATGATTATAAAGTCTATGAAGTCTCTCTTTTAGTGCCTGACACATAAGTGCTCAATAGGCGGTAGCAAATGTTGCTTTACTATTACCAATTAGACCCAAACAAACAAAATACACAGGCTGATCGCTAAAGTAATTGGGAAATTTAAGTCAATAAGCGTTTATTTCTGCAGTTTAGAATGTGATAATTGGATGAACAAATGTTTCTTTTTTGTTGAGTACTCAGAGTTTGCATAAAGAGTTAGTAGAAATGCTTGTTATAAGAGGAACAGAAACCACTACTAGGTTAAGAGCAGCACTTGAATTTGCAGGAATTTCTTTTTCACAAAACTGCACTTTAAAAGGACAAGTTGCTATGACTAGTCAACTTTTCATGGGACAGGCCAGCAGAAAGTCATCGCCGCTGGCTGCCCAAGGTACCTCAAATGACTCATGCAAGTCCTTTAGATCTCTGTGTATCTCTTTCTTCTGGTCCAGAAAAGCAAGTTATATTATTGCATGATTGTTTATTTCTCAGTTTAACTCCGGAGTCAGGTGGACTGCCTTCAAATTCTAGCTCCACAGAACGCTAGCTGTGTGACTAATGATTTTGCACACCAGTTCATTCCTCTGGGGTGTTGGGGATTAATGGGATACTTTCCAGATAAAGTTGCTGTGAGGATTAAACGAGAATGTGCAGAAAAATATAGGAGCTCAGAAAATGGCAGCTAGTAAAATGATGATGAAAATCGTTCTCAACCTTTTTGCTTTCATCCATCTTAAATTTAATTTTTTGAGAACCCCAAGGAGCTTTAGTTTATGTGCATTTTATTAACAGATAGATCAGTTAATAGGAAGTAACTGAGAAACTTTAAAAATATTTGTGCATTAATTCATTTAAAATTGTAACACAAACTTTTACATGCTAACATACGTAATATTTTTAAAGAAAAATAACTATTTTCTAAAAACAAGAAAAAACAGATTTTCTTCAAATCTCCTTAATGTCTGTCTTAATAGAAAACAGTAGAATTCTCACCTGCTTCTGCTACAATCTGTTGCAGTATCACACATTACGTAGTTTCTGAAAAACTCCAATTTACACTCAAAGAATGAGAGTAGAAAAAAGCAAACAATATCTGAGAACTATAAAAGTAGTTTTGATTCCATGGACTCCCTGAAAGCTCTCAGGGACTTGCCTACTTTGAAAACAACTGTCTTAGAGCAACTGTCTCTCAAACTCTCAACTGTAGGAGGGGACGCAAATGCCTCAGTAGAACAAACATGAGAATAATGTCTAAGAGCATGAAATAATCATCAAGGCCAAGAAGTGCATAAATCTGAGGCCCTTGGAAGCATTTACTTTGGGGAATAAAGCTGTACTCAAGTAAGGGTGGGGGGACAGCAGGAGCCCAAACACATTGTACAGAATTGGGCAAGTATGAGTTATCGTCTGAAAACATATTGGACGAATTTCTATGACTTGGGGCTGTCCAGAAGTCACAAATCATTACTTCTCTGTCTTTTCCTTCTTCCTTCTCCACCCTTATTTCTTCTACCCCATCCCAGAACAGCAAGAAAATGCCCAGTTGCTCTCTGTATTATCGGATGCTGGGATAATATATTTATACCGCATCTGGAAGCATCAGAGCATGGGTTTTTTAGGCATAGAGACCTAGGTTCAAATCCTGGATCTGCCATTTAGGAGCTGTGTGGTCTTAGAAAAGTTACTTAAATTTACTGAATCTCAGAATGCTAATGTATATAACAGGGATTGTGATGGATTAAAAATGTCCACTCTCCACTCCTTCCATTGAAAGGTGAATTCTATTTCCCCATGCTTTGAATTGGGCTGCCTCTGTGTCTTGACCTCTAAATGTGGTGGAAGTGACATTGTGTGACTTCTGAGCAGTTTCAAAAGACCTTGTAGCTTCTGTGTTTGCCCTCTTGGAACCCTGAGGCCTCCAGGCTGCAAATAAGTCTGGAACAAAAGACCCCAATGGAAGGAGATGCCCAACCATCTCTGCCGAGGCCCAGATATCTTACCCCATCCAGACTCCACCAAGCAGTCACACAAGGGTCCCAAGTGATGCCCCCAGAAGCCCCACTAGGCCAGCCTGCAGAATTGTGAAAAATGATCATTTTGTTTTAGGCCACTAATAAGGTAATTTCTAAGGCTATCAACTTGTCCTGGTTTTAGCACTGAAAATCGTATGTCCTAGGAAAATCTGTAAGTCCTGATTGGGTTGGTCACCTTATTTGTAGCAGAGCCACCAACAACTGACACAGGGATAAAAATATGCAACTCAATGTTTCTAAGAGAATTAAGCGAAATGATACGGTTAGGCAAAATACAGTGCCCAGACAACGAATGAGATTTTTTCGTGTCTTCGATTTACAAAAACATTCTTAATAACTCAAGATTTCCTAATAAAAATGTAATCTGTTATCTTTGTCTATAACTGAGCTTCTCATTCAGTGCCCCTAATTGATTTAAATATACCAGATAGCATTCTCTGCTAGAAGAACACTACGTTTCAAGCTAAGCACAGAAGTAGTAGGCCCCTGGGAAATTATGAACAAAAACAGAAAGAAAACATTGAACTGAACTAAACTCAAACCGGCTGTGAGTTCTCAAAACAGTATCACCGCTGAATATGGAAGATACTTAGTATTATATCATTCTGGGTGGGTCTAGAACAGGACTGTGTTTTGTTTCTTTGTTTGACTATATTTTTCCCCAGGACCACATCTAGCAAAAATACAGTTCAAGGAAATGATCTGCAGATAACGTCAATATAATGCACTTACAAAAAGGAAAAATTCTAGGGGGCTGCTGGGTATGCAGGTTTGTAAATCATTCAAAACTGTATTCTAGAGCCATTCATTAGGAAGAAAAATGGGGAGTTGGAGGGGAACCCTTGTAAAAACCTGAAATTCATTAAATGATGGTGCAAATTTTTTCCTCATATCATGATTATTTGGCCTAAAATGTATTTTAAATGACCAAGAGGTAAGTCTCTTTTTCTAAATAAAATTGCCCCTTATTCATACATTAAAATAACTTCCCCACCCTGGTGGCCAAAAGAACTTCATGCTGCCAAGAAAAAAATTGTCCTGTACGTCACTGAAGAATTCTGACTCTGCAAAAACCACATGTGAAATCATTCAGCAGGCTGAGCAGCAAAAAATGTCAGCCTTGGAGAATTAATCAAGAAGGTATTTCCTCCTGCAGACTTCCGACAGCCAGTATGCTGAAATGGGCCCAGACACATCTGAATTACATGTGTCTTCCTGGCACAGAGTGGTATATCAAGAGAGTTCAGAAAAGCATTTCTGCTGCTCTGCAAATAAGTAAATGCCCAATTCTTAAACAGGTTCAAACTAGGGTTCAGTCAACCAAGTTAACTGTCACCACTTTTTGGAGAGAACTAGCAAATATAAAAAGAATATAGGTTTTAACTTTTTAAATAATGGAAGGTAGGCAGGACTCTATGTTGTTTCACAGCCTCTACATGCAATAGCCCCCTTCCCCATGGCATGATTTGTATATCTGAGTATATGCATGGATGAATGGACAGATAGATGGATATCCACCTCCACACACACAGCCATCCTTCTGACATGATGGCACCTCATTTCACCAGATACTGAAAAGCATAGTTCCTTGGCTTTGGAACACTCAATAATTTACTCCAAAATTTAATACATTCTTCCTTGTGTTGGCAATCAGAAAGCCACTGCCACTGCCACTGGAGACTGCTAGCAGACTCACCAGGATTTCCCACCCTCTATTGAAATCAATGTCAGGAGCTGAGTTTGAGATCCACTGGGATAGATTTTCTAGCCATTTTCTAGACATCTATAGGCATTTCTAGACTTTCAGTACACAGTCTCTAAAATTAAATACCTCATAGTTGGCTGGCATAAAAATGCATACAAAAAACATAAATCAAAAATCTGTTTTTCTTTTTTTTCTTTTTTGGAGACAATGTCTCACTCTGTCACCCAGGCTGGAGAGCAGTGGCGTAATCTCAGCTCACTGCAGCCTCCATCTTTCAGGCTCAAGTGATTCTCTTGCCTGAGCCTCCTGAGTAGCTGGGATTACAGCATGCACCACCACCGCCTGACTAACTTTTGTACTTTTAGTAGAGACGGGGTTTCACCATGGTGGCCAGGCTGGTCTCAAACTCCTGACCTCAAATGATCCACCTGCCCTGGCCTCCCAAAGTGCTGGGATTACAGGCATGAACCACAGTGCCCGACCAAAAATCTGGTTTTCAAAGAATACTTTTGGCCAGGTGTGGTGGCTCACGCCTGTAATCCCAGCACTTTGGGAGGCCGAGGTGGGTGGATCATGAGGTCAGGAGATCGAGACCATCCTGGCCAACATGGTGAAACCCCGTCTCTACTAAAAATACAAAAAAAATTGGCCGGGCATGGTGGCAGGCGCCTGTAGTCCCAGCTACTTGGGAGGCTGAGGCAGGACAATGGTGTGAACCCAGGGGGCGGAGCCTGCAGTGAGCCGAGATCGCGCCACAGCACTCCAGCCTGGGCGACAGAGCGAGACTCCGTCTCAAAAAAAAAAAAAAAAAAAAAAGAATACTTTTACAAACACTGAATGACATAAACAACATATGACACAAATTGCGCAGTTGAGATGATAATAAAAGGAGTGTTAGATAGATTTTAAAGATGCAAGTTTAAACATTTATCTAAGTAATCACAAATGCCATCAGTATGATAAAATTAAAAAAGTTTCACTCCATTCCCATAGCCACCATCCTCTCCCACCTGAATGAGAACTCCAGCCTTCTATTCAATGTCCTTTTTACCCATAACCTATTTTTCACACAGAAGACAAAGTCAGTTTTTAAAAAAGATAATTGGTTCAATTAGCTCCTCTGCTTAATACTATTTAAAGGCTTTGCGTTGCTCTTAGAATTAAAATCCAAACTCCTTAGCCTACAAGGCACCAGGTAACTTGGCCCTTGCCTGCACTTCAACTTGATTGCAAACCACTCTCCCCTTGATTACTGACTGCCAGCCACACAGGTATCCCATTCTGCTACTTAAAAACATTTGAGGCCGAGCGCAGTGGCTCACACCTGTAATCCCAGCACTTTGGGAGGCCAAGGTGGGTGGATCACCTGAGGTCAGGACTTCAAGACCAGACTGGACAACATGATGAAAACCCGTCTCCACTAAAAATAAAAAAAAATTAGCTGGGTGTGGCGGTGGGCGCCTGTAATCCCAGCTACCTGGGAGGCAGAGGTTGCAGTGAGCCAAGATCGTGCCATTGCACTTTTGCCAGGGCAACCAGAGTGAAACTCCATCTCAAAACAAAACAAACAAAGAAACAAAAACATTTGAATGTATCCTTTCTCAGGGTGTTCTACATCCTTCTTCGCATTTCCTGGGATGCCTTTTCCCTGACCCTCAACATGACTATCTTGTGTCATCCTTCAAATTTGGTGCAAAATCACTCCCAGAGAAGCTTCTTCCCTGCCACCTTCTCTTCCTATCATCCCTCTCTCTTGCTTATCTCCATGGCTTATATCAAAGTCTAAAATTATTATTTATTAGTTTACTTGTTCATCATCTGTCTCTGCTGCAGGAAGGTAAGTACCTTGGAGTGACCCTGACTTGGACATTCACTTCTGAATCCCCTGTGCCTAGCAGAGTTCATGGCTTTGGCCTCAGAAAAATTGCTGTCTTCTATCTAGATCATTGATTAGAGGAGGGCAAGACTGGAACAGGGAAACATTTAGGAGGCTATTGCAATACTCAGAGGGAAGGATGATGGTGGCAGCAACCAAAGTGAAGATACTGGGGATAGAGGAACATGAATAGATGACCTGAGATCTTTAGAAGATAGAATCAGCAAGACTTGACAACTGATTGGATGTGGGAGGTCTTAGGGTTGGTGTGCAGGTTTCTCCCTTGATAGCGAATTTCCCAGACATGTTTCTTCCTCCATAAGTATTTTCAGCTGCTGATAACCTTCTCAGTTGCAATCAGCATGCTACTGGCCACTGCTGATTGGTTCAGGGAGTGGTATATGGCACACAGTACCCACACATAGGTTGGAAGTAGGGGCACAATACAACTTGGGTTTTCCAGAGAAGTCCTAGGCTACTGTTTCAGCATCATTATTAACACTACCCTTTTTGCTGCTCAAAAGTGTCCTGGTTTGAATGATAAATTATAAGGTCATCCTAGGCAGTTAGGGAATTCAGTTGCCCCTAACATCATCTAGTACGAACTTGGCCCAATGGAAGTACACGGTGTTGAATGGCAGGCAAGCTAATAAAATCCAGCCTCTAGGATTGCATAAATTCTAGGTGAATAAAGAGAGTGGGTAATGTACACAAGGTGGAGTCTAGGAGGCTGGCTGCATATTCCGAGCTGGAAGTCACTGTGAGTGACAGGGAAGCTGGAGAATCCCAGTCACTGCTGCAGGCTGCTTTCATCACCGGGAGTCACTGAGCTCATGTCATCTTTACCATCAATGAGGTTAAATGACAAAATTACCACCCCAAGGCAGCAAAAGTGTCAAACAGGTGGTACATATACGTTGTAAAGACTTACACATCCACAGGAGGTGGCACTAGGAGAATTGCTACTAATCATGGCAGCTTCTCAACCTGTGATGGACAGTCTCAAAGATGCCAATGAGACCAAAGATGTGACTGTATACAAGAGCTCAACACTGGCAGCCACAATGTGTTAGAGAGGGACTGAGAAATAAACTCTCCTGATGTTTGAGAACAAGAACAGAGATTCATAGCCAAAACATCTCCTACACAAACTCACAAATCCTAGGCTTTGAAATTATTTCCAACTTAGAAAATAAAGGTTGATTTTGTAAGTGAAATTAATTTTAAGACCTAGTGGCTCAAAAATGTCTTAGAAATCAACATTTTTCTTCATATTTCTTGTCTGTCTGAACTTTTAAAAACTATTATCATCATTTTGAATAGTTTCAACTTTTATTTTAGATTCAGGGGGTACAGGTGCAGGTTTGTTACAAGGGTATATTGTGTGATGATGGGGTTTGAGGTATGGATGATTCCATCAACCAGGTAGTGAGCTTAGTACCCTGTAAGTAGTTTTTCAGCCCACACCTCCCTCCCTTCCTCTCTACCCCTTTAGTCATTCCCCAGTGTCTATAGTTCCTATCTTTATGCCCACGCATATGTGTGTTTAGCTCTCACTTGTGAGAACATGCAGTATTTGGTTTTCTGCTCCTGTGTTAATTCACTTAGAATAATGGCCTCCAGCTGCATCTATGCTGCTACACAGGATATGATTTTTGTTCTTTTTTTATGGCTGCGTAATATTCTACAACGTATATATACCAGATTGTCTTTATCCAGTCCACCATTGATGGGCACCTAGATTGATTCCATGTGTTTGCTATTGTGAATAGCACTGTAGTGAACATACAAGTGAATGTGTCTTTTGGTAGAATGATTTATTTTCCTTTGGATATACATCCAGTAATGGGATTTCTGGGTCAAATGGCAGCTCTGCTTTTTAAGTTCTTTCAAAAATCTCAAAACTGCTTTCCATAGTGGCTGAACTAATTTACATCCTCACCAACAGTGTATAAGCATTCCCTTTTCTCCACAGACTTACCAGCATCTGTCATTTTTTGACTTTTTAATGATAGCTTTTCTAACTAGTATGAGATGGCCTCTCATTGTGGTTTGGATTTGCATTTTTCTGAGGATTAGTGATGATGTGTATTTTTTCATATGTTTGTTGGCTGCTTGTATGTCTTCTTTTGAGAAGTGCCTGTTCATGTCCTTTGCTCACATTTTAATGGGGTTATTTGGTTTTTGCTTGTTGATTTAAGTTCCTTATTGATTCTGGATATTAAACCATTGTTAGATGCATAATTTGTGAATATTTTTGCCCATTCTGTAGGTTGTCTGTTTACTTTGTTAACAGTTTCTTTTGCTGGGCAGAAGCTCTTAATTTAATTAGGTCCCACTTGTCAATGTTTGCTTCTGCTGTAATTGCTTTTGGGGACTTAGCCAAGAATTCTCTGCCAAAGCCAATGTCGAGAAGGGTATTTCCTAGGTTTTCTTCTAGGATTTTTGTAGTTTGAGGTCTAACATTTAAATCTTTAATCCATCTTAATTAATTTTGTGTAGGGTGAAAGGCAGGGGTCTGGTTTCATTCTTATGCATATGTCAAGCCAGTTACTTCAGAACCACTTATTGAATAGGGAGTCCTTTCCTCATTTCTTGTTTTTGCCATCTTTGAAGATCAGGTGTTTGTAGGTCTGTAGCTTTATTTCTGGGTTCTCTATTCTGTCCCATTGGTCTACATGTCTGTTTTTATACCTGTACCTTGTTAGTTTGGTTACTGTAGTATAGTTTGAAGTCAGGTAATGTGATGCCTCCACCTTTGTTTTTTTTTGCTTAGGGTTGCTTTGGACATTTGGGCTCTTTATTGGTTCCACATGAATTTTAAAATAGTTTTTTCTAATTCTGTGAAAACTAATATTGGTAGTTAGGAATAGTATTGAATCTATAAATTTCTTTGGGCAGTATGGCCATTTTAACAATATTGATTCTTCCAATTCAGGAGCATGGAATGCTTTTCCATTTGCTTGTATCACGTCTGATTTCTTTGAGCAGTGTTTTGTAGTTCTCCTTGTAGAGATCTTTCACCTCCTTAGTTAGCTGTATTCTTGGTATTTCATTTTTTGTGGCTATTGTAAAATGTGACTGTGTTCTTGAATTGACTCTCTGCTTGAACATTATTGGTGTATAGAAATGCTACTGATTTTTGTGCATTGATTTTTGTATCCTGAAACTTTAGTGAAATTGTTTATGAATTCTAGAAACCCTCTGGCAGAGTGGTTAGTGTATTCTAGGTATAGAATTGTATCATCAGCAAATACAAGTAGTTTGACTTCTTCTTTTTTCCTGTTTGAATGTTTTTTATTTCTTTCTCTTCCCTGATTGCTCTGGCCAGGACTTCCAGTACTATGTTGAATGGGAGTGAGGAGAGTAGGCACCCTTGTCTTGTTCCAGTTCTCAGAGAGAATGGTTCCAGCTATTGCCCATTTAGTATAATGTTGGCTATGTGTTTGTCATTGACAGCTCTTATTATTTTGTAGTATGTTCCTTTGATGACTAGTCTGTTAAGTGTTTTTATCATGAAGGGATGTTGGATTTTTCAACAGCATTTTCTGGATCTACCAAGATAATCATATGATTTTTGCTTTTAATTTTGTTTATGTGATGAGTCACATTTATTGATTTGCATATGTTGAACCAGCCTTTGTCCCAGGAATAAAATCTACTTGATTGTGGTTTATTAATTTTTGGTGTGTTTCTGGATTCAGTTTGTTAGTATTTTGTTGAAGATACCTGTTCAACATGTTCATCGGAGATACTGATCTGCAGTTTTCTTTATTCATTGTGTCTCTGCCGACATTTTGGTATTAGGCCGATGCTGGCTTTGTAGAATGAGTTAGAGATGAGCCCCTTCTTCTCAAGTTTTTGAAATACTTTAAGTAAGATTGGTACCAGTTCTTCATACCTCTGGTAGAATTTGGCTGTGAATCTGTCTGGTCCAGGGCTTTTTTTAGTTGGCAGGTTTTTTATGACTGATTCAGTTTCAGAACTCGTTATTGGTCTGTTCAGGTTTTTACTTTCTTCTTGGTTTAATATTGGGAGGTTGTTTCCAGGAATTTATCCATTTTCTCTAGGTCTTTTGTATATCTGTGGGATTGGATGTAATGTCACCTCTCTCATTTCTGATTGGACTTACTTGGATCTTCTCTTTATTAGTCTAGCTAGCAGTCTATCAATCCTTTCTATTCTTTTAACTCTAACAAATGAAACTCTTGGTTTCATTGATCTTTTGTATGGATTCGAGCCTCAATTTTGTTCAGTTCTTCTCTAGTTTTAGTTATTTCTTTTCTTCTGTTAGCTTTGGGGTTGGTTCAGTTTTTTTCTAGTTCCTGTAGGTACAATATTAGATTAACTTAAAATCTAACTTATTGATGAAGGCATTTAGTGCTATAAACTTTCCTCTTAGCACTGCTTTAGCTGCATCCCAAAGATTTTGGTCATGTCTCTGTTTTCATTAACTTCAAATAGTTTTTTTAATTTAAGCCTTTGTTTCATTGTTCACCCAAGAGTTATTCAAGAGCAAGTTGTCTAATTTCCATGTATTTGTGTAGTTTTGAGAGGTCATCTTGATATGAATTTCTATTTTTATTGCACTGTGGTCTGAAAGTGTGCTTGGTATGACTTCAATTTTTTTTTGTATTTATTGAGACTCGCTTAATGACAGAGTATTTGGTTGATCTTAGACTATGTTCCATGTGCAGATGAGAAGAACGTATATTCTGTAGTTGCTGGGTGAAAGATTAGGTAGATGTCTATTAGGTCAAATTGGTTGAGTGCCAAGTTAAAGTCCAGAATTTCTTTGTTAGTTTACTGCCTCAAAATTCTAATGTTGTCAGTGGGATGTTGGATATTGAAGTCTCCCATTATGATTGTGTGGCTGTCTAGGTCTTTTTGTAGTTAGAGAAGAACTTGTTTTATGAATCTGAGTGCTCCAATGTTGAGTGTGCATATACTTAGGATAGGTCTGTGTTCTTTGTGGATTGAACCCTTTATCATTATGTAATGCTCTTCTTTGTCCTTCTTAATTGTTGTTCATTTAAAGTCTGCTTCATCTGATATAAGAATAGTGACTACTGTTCTTTTTTGTTTTCTGTTTGCATGGTAGATCTTTCTCCATCCTGCTACTTCAAGCCTGTGGGTGTCATTATATTTGTGATGGGTCTCTTGAAGACAACAGACAGTTGGGTCTTGTCTTTTTTTTTTTATTTTTTTTTTATTTTTTGAGATGGAGTCTCACATCACTGCCCAGGCTGGAGTGCAACGGCATGATCTCAGCTCACTGAAACCTCCATCTCCTGGGTTCAAGCCATTCTCCTGCCTCAGCCTCCCAAGTAGCTGGGACTACAGGCATGCGCCACCACACCTGGCTAATTTTTGTATTTTTAAAAGAGATGGGATTTCACCATGTCTCACCAGGCTAGTCTTGAACTTCTGACCTCAAATGATCCACCCACCTCAGCCTCCCAAAGTGCTGAGATTACAGGCGAGAGCTACCACGCCCAGCCAGGTCTCGTCTTTTTATCTGGCTTTCCACTCTATACCTTTTAAGTGGTGGCATTTAGACCGTTTGCATTCAGGGTTAGTTTTGATATGTGAGATTTTGATTCTTTCATTGTGTTGTTAGCTGGTTGTTTTGTAGACTTGATTGGTATAGTTGCTTTATAGTGTCTGTGGGCCATGTGCTTAAGTGTGTTTTTGTTTTAGCAGGTGTCTTTCTTTTGTTTCTATGTTTAGCATTTCCTTAAGGACTTCTTGTAAAGCTGGTCTAATAAATTTCCTTAGCATCTGCTTAGTCTGAGAAGGATTTTATTTCTCTTTCACTTATGAAACTTAGTTTGGCAGGATATGAAATTCTTGGTTGGAATTTGTTCTCTTTAACGATGCTGAAAATAGGCCCTCAGTCTCTTCTGCTTTGTAAATTTTCTAAGAGGTCTGCTGCTAGCCTGACAGGGTTCCCTTTATAAATGACCTGACTCAGGCTGGGTGCAGTGGCTCATGCCTGTAATCCTGGCACTTTGGGAGGCCGAAGTGGGTGGATCATGAGGTCAGGAGATCGAGACCATCCTGGCTGGCATGCTGAAACCCCATCTCTACAAAAAATGCAAAAAAGAAAAAAAAATTAGCTGGGCGTGGTGGCAGGCGCCTATAGTCCCAGCAACTCGGGAGGCTGAGGCAGGAGAATGGCATGAACCCAGGAGGCAGAGCTTGCTGTGAGCTGAGATAGTGCCACTGCACTCCAGCCTGGGTGACAGAGTGAGACTCCATCTCAAAAAAAAAAAAAATGACCTGACTCTTCTCTCTGGTTACCATTAACAGTATCTCAGAGGGGTTCTCTGTATTTATTGAATTTTCATGTCATCCTCTCTAGTAAGAGTGGGGAAATTTTCGTGGATTATATCCTAAAATATATTTTCCAAGTCGCTTACTCTCTCTCCTACTCTTTCAGGAATGCCGATGAGTCGCAGATTTCGTCTCTTTATGTAATCCATGTTTCTTGGGGATTTTATTTATTTATTTGAGACAGGGCCTCACTCTGTCACCCAGGCTGGAGTGCATTAGTGCAATCATGGCCCACTGTAGCCTTGACTTTCCAGGCACCAGTGATCTTCCCACCTCAGCCTCCTGTGTAGCTGGGACTATAGGTGTGAACCAATATGCCCAGCTAATTTTCGTATTTTTGATAAAGATGGGGTCTCACCATGTTGCCCAGGCTGGTCTTGGACTCCTGAGCTCAAGTGATCCACATGTATTGACCTCTCAAAGTGCTGGGATTACAGATGTGAGCCACTGTGCCTTTACAATTTTATTTTATTTTATTTTTTGAGATGGAGTCTCGCTCTGTCGCCCAGGCTGGAGTGCAGTGGCACGATCTCAGCTCACTGCAACCTCCGCCTCCCGGGTTGCTGCCATTCTCCTGCCTCAGCCTCCTGAGTAGCTGGGACTACAGGCACCCGCCACCATGCCTGGCTAATTTTTTGTATTTTTAGTAGAGATGGGGTTTCACTGTGTTAGCCAGGATGGTCTCAATCACCTGACCTCGTGATCCATCTACCTCGGCCTCCCAAAGTGCTGGGATTACAGGCATGAGCCACCACGCCCAGCCCACAATTTTACTTTTAAAAATTCTTTTTTCTTTATTTTTGTCCGAGTTGATTTGCAGAACTGGTCTATGAGCTCTGAGATTCTTTCCTCAGCTTGGTCTAATATGCTGTTAATGCTTCTGACTGAGTTATGAAATTCTTGTAGGGAGCTTAATTCCAGAAGATCAGTTTGATTCTTTCTTAAAATGGCTATTTTGTCTTTCGGCTCTTAGATAGTTTTACTGGATTCCTTGGATTCAGTTTTAACTTTCTCCTGAATCTTGATGAGCTTCTTTGCCATACAGATTCTGAATTCCTTATCTGTCATTTCAGTCATTTCATTTTGGCTAAGAATCATTGCTGGGGAGCTAGTGGGCTCATGTGGAGGTAAAGGGGTGCTCTGGATTTTAGAGTTATAGAATTCTCACACTGGTTCTTTCTGATTTGTGTGGGTTGATGTTCCTTTAACCTTTGAAGTTGCTGTCCTTTGGATGGGGCTTTTAACTTTTACGTTCTTCACATTTTTTTCTCCAACACACCATTGCTGGTTTGAAGCTTTTAAATTTTTCAATGCCCTTAAAGGTTTGACAGTAGTATAAGTTGGGTTTAGTTGACTGGCGTCATTTCTGGATGCTTTCAGAAGTCCTAGGCTCAGCTTGGCACTCTTGGGCTGCCTGCTTTAACTCTGGGAGGGACTGGGACTGGGTCTGTGGCTTTGTTCTCTGGTTTCTCGATGTCAAACACTGGCTGCACTGAGGGGGCCGAGGTGCTCCCTCTCCACTGGCAATCGTGCTCCATCAGGGGCTGCTGGCAAAAGCACTCCAATGGGATGGCAGTGGGGCCACAGGTGAAAGTGCTCCACTGGGCCAGCAACGGTCTTGGGTGAAAGTGCTCCAGCATGGTGGTGTAGTGAGGCGGCTCTGAAGTTTCAGTGAGCCATTGGTCTACAACTAGTAGCAGCTCCTGTACCTTCCCCCAACCCCTACGTTTTGTTGAAGGAGAGGTTATATTACTTCTCACTCCATAAGGCATTTCCTTAATCCAAAAGATTAGGTGATACTGTGGTTTGATTGTGATGCTTAAGAATGCAGTCTGAGTTTTCAAATCAATGACACTTTGAGTAATTTAGAAAATGCTTTAAATGACTCCAAACTCTAGCTTGTGGAGTTTATTTCATATAGTTAGTTTTCTATAAAACGTCATTAAGTCTCCCTTTCTCTTTCTGTTGGCCCTTGGTCACCAACCAGAAAAGGACATCCAGAGTTGGGATGGAAGGTAGACCTTAGTTCTATTAGAGAAAATGTAAAAGCATTTTCCCTATGCAAGGGAATTCCTTGACCATAACTTGATTACTGGGGACAGCAAATTTGAATAACTAGTAAACTTAAAAACCAGCTCTGCAATTCAATAATATAGCCTCAGACATTGAGAAAAGCACTTAAATAAATCTCACATGCTACAAACTAATGAAACTTTCCAAAGGAAAAAAAAGTAAATATATATGTATTGTAATATAAAACAAAAGGAAAATGGGGCTAAAATAAATTGAAAGGGCCCTCAGATATTTAAAACCAATAAAAATACTATATTTTGGGAAGATTTTAAAAGTATCATTGGAAAAAGCAGTACTGGCAAATTCTGTCCTTTTTCCCCCCTGAATTTGTTTTCTTCTTAAATTAAAACTCACAGCAAAAAAAAAAAAAAAAAAAAAAAAAAAAAAAAAAAAAAAAAAAGCAAGCAAGCCTCTCTAGCTGGGCTATGAGGAATACTATTCATTTCTCCATTTCTCCCCCTGACCTGATTAGTTGGAACATCTTTCGAATGATTAGTTTTCAATTTGCACCATTGTCAGAGAGAAAGGCCTCCAAATTAATGGCCACATTGATTGTTTATGCCTCCAAGAGACAAATTAAAAAAATTTCAGCAACGCTGAAAAGAAATAGTGATCTTCTGAAAAGATTTAGCTTAATAGATTTTTTAAAAAGAAAAATGAAGGTTTTGGCAACTTGCAAAAAGTATGTTTAAAATTCCAGTTACAAGTCTGGCTGCCTAGAGAGTTTGAGTACTAAGGGTTTTGTCGATTTTTAGCATAAGAAGCTGACCTAAGATTTTGGGATCCTTGGACCCATCAGTGGAAATTTTGATAGAACTGCAATTCTGGCTCATACATAGGGCCCATTTACCATGCTCACTTCCTTTTAATAAGAAATGCTGTGCCTCACATCTTCCCTCCATTGTCCTTCCTGGGTAGTTCATCCTCTCTGCCTCTGCTTTTGGAACCACACTAAAAATTCAAGAGGAAAGGTTTCTACAAACATTGTTCTGTTTGGTTGGCACAGAAGGGACAGGAATTTGCACAGAGCTTTTGTCGGGCAAGTTTCTCTTAATTCCCTGCCAATGAAGTTGTAATGCTGTGTCTCAGATGAAGAAAGGTAACAACAGATGAGACAACTATTCACTCCATCTTACATTTACTCTAAAGAACTGCAATATGTTTTTGCAGCAGGGGAAGGACCACATTAGAAGTAAGCTTACTTTCATTATTGATATTTACCTTGTTGAAATTGGCCAATATAATGATGCAATGGCTATTCATGATAGCAGCATGCCCAAAATTGTAGCTCACTGAGGACCAATAATGATCAATGTTCAAGGATGAGAAATATAGTAATGTTTTCTCTGTTCTTGTTGAGGTTTGATGATTGTTGTTTATGCCATGGCAAATGAGGTTTCATTAGATATTAACATAGTTTCCATGATTTAAATTGGTGTTGAATGCCCATTTTTCTCAATATCATCTCATTTCCTTAACTTTCTTATGTGTCTGAACCTGGTGGTCATACTCCCTCTCAAATCCCTCTTTGTAAATTCTTTGATGTGGGTCAGCACAAAAAAGAGGTGTCAGTCTCAAATGACACCTTATTTCAATGAGGTCCAATTATGGTCAAAGAGATGGTCAAAACCAACAATTTATGGAATATTAAACTGGTAAAGGCAGAGATCAAACTGATCATCTAAGGCTTGGTATCCAGCATTTGAAGCCCTACATGCCCCCCGTATTACTAAGCCCAGACCTGCTGTTGGCAGGTCAGCACAATCAAGATTGCTTCACACAACTGCAAACTGAATGACCAAGCACTGTGTAGCGTAATGGGGCCCTGCAGTCATCACTTATAAAACCCAGAACCATAACATGGATCATGTGTTCCATATGAATTGCCATGGTTGTATATCTAATTTTTTCCCTGTCCCAAACTATGGTACTAGTTATTCACAGCAGATTGGTAATATTTTGTAAAACCAATGCTTTGACTATGTGATATTAACACTCACGAGGACCTGATAACTTCCAAACACAGCAGAACATTTGGACACTTGTCACCTGAGTCCTGTGCCAGCTATACCAACTTGGCTGAACTGTTGTCATATTCCACTAGTCTCTACCTAAGGTCATCTCCAGTCTTGGCTCACTTAGCTAGCTTTGGAATTTGCTCTCCCCTTTATCCAATGCTTCCTCTTCTTTGTTACATTATATTGCTCAGGTCTTTTAAAAATCTGTAGAACAAGCTCTTGCTTGAAGCCTTCCTGAAGTCATTGGTTCCACTTTTTTTTTTTTTTTCAGGCCAGAAAAAATAGCCTCTGATTTACTTTCCTGGGTGATGCACTATTAAAAATTCTATGATTATATAATATTTCCTATTGCAGAATATCTCTTGTTATACTGAAAGCTATTGAAAACTGCCCTTAATAGATACTTTAAGGTGTCTAGTGGTATATATCAAGCTGGGTTGGGGAGCAAAGGTAGCGGGTTGTGTAAACCCCTTTCTACCAGGAGGTTTCCCTGGTGGAAAGAGTATTTTTTTAAGTCACTGGCATTGTTTAGAATTGCTGGTGCATGGTAATAATAAGCAGACTAGCTTTCAGTTGGGTTTATTATCATTTTTAAGTTATCTACAGACAATGAACCCCTTTATACCTTGGCAGACTGCTCTCACTTCAACACCTTCCCCCTTGTATATCACTGTTCAAAGCAACCCCTAAATGATCAAATTATATATGAGAACAAAACATTCCTGAAAGATCCTCCTTATTGAAGTACATATTTCACATGGCATAGTCAAAGTTTTCAAAGACTATAGGGAAAGGAGCCGCACACTCTGTGTACATAAGTAATTGCAGTTATTCTCATGTGGCCTAAGACTACAAAACACGCTTGCATCGGCTTTTGTGCTCTAGCACTGTCCTTCTGTTAATACAAATGAATTAAAGAAATTAACCAATTTCTTAGAGTCTACATAATCTCACATTTCTTAATTTGTTGGATTTGTCTCCACTATACTCAGCTTAATCTCTTTTGTGGTCTCCCCTCATTTAAGTAAAACTCGTAACAATTCACAACAAATAATCAAGCCAAATGAAATTTTTTTTTCTTTCTGAGGACTATGAGACCTGAAGGTCCCTACATATAAGGTCATGTCCGATAGTTCACCTTCTTACCTCTCAAACACTTTTGCTATTTTTTCAATGTCTTTCTTCCCAGCGAACTAGTTAGGGAAGTGTAGGGGGCATGAAAGCGTGTGTGGAGATGGGTGCATGGAAGCGTTTTAGGGCCAGGGTAGAATGACACATCCCACAAGTACTCATACCCTACATTACTTATTGGCAGAATTCAGCCACATGCCACACCCAGCAGCAAAGGAAGCTGCAAAATGTAAACCCATGAAGAAGAGGAGATGAACACTGGTGACTAGTTAGTGGTCTCTACTACACCACCAGTTAGTCAGGAGAAGGGCAAACTCAATCTTGTCACTGCCAAAAATCTTGTGCTCGGGTGCATTGCCTCACACATTGTAGATTCGTAGAAAACACCTGCCAATTAGGTTTGTGCTAAGTATTCTATGAACGATAAGGAAAGAGTGGGCCTGCAGTAATCTTCAAAAACTTTAATCAAGTCTTACTTCTAATAGACCAGCCAATCTGCTAAAAAAACCAAGAGGAGACTCAGCAGATCCCATGAATGTTGATGAAGTTTGATCATTTTGTGGAGAATTATGAAATCAAGGACAATTTATAACAATTCACTAAAAAATGGTTGCAGGGCTTGTTAACTTTCTAAGTAATCAGTTTATGCACACGTATATTTGATTACATAAGCTATTTGCATGTTTATATATAGAGAAAGAAAAATAATTGGTGTTATGTGGTTTTCAGAGACAAAAGAGAGGACATGTAAACATTTGCATTGAACAGACAGAGCCTAAATTCAAGATCTCAGTATAAGGCATCCTGGAATAAATGGGAGACAATATTTCCTGTTTTCAGTTTCCCTTACTATTGCATGTCACTTAGAAAGCCTAGCAACCAATTTATAAGCCCTCACAGATCAATCACTGCTAGGCAGTAGCCCACATTGTGTTCTAATTCTAAGCATTTCTTCTTGTCTCAGAAATGAACACCGATGTAGATTAACCATGTCTACATAGAGGACATGGTTAATTCTTTCAGGTACCATATGAGAACAATGATGACTAATGGGAAACATTTTTAAGATCACAAGAGAACAGTATATTAACAAGCAAAAAATGTAATCATCTCAAAATAACAGGCATTAACAAACCTGTATACTGCAGAGATGCATTGTTCCTGCATGCAAAGAAACTGATGAAATGATTCCCACTGCTATGCTCAGAGAAAAATTAAGTGACAGGTCCCTTTTATTTAGGAGTGTGCTGTTTTTTTTTTTCCCTGATGATGGACTGATGATATTATATAAAGGGTTATATAGTGAAGTCATGCTACATCAAATTACTGCTTACACAGGATGCTTCTGAACCATTTAACCTGATACTACAGAATAAAACATGTGTAATCAACAAGCACTAAAAAGGAATGAATACGTAACAAGAATGATCCTTCACTTACCTGAAGAATGTGCATGAATTCTATTCAATGACAGTTTTAATCGATTGTACCTCTTTGATTTTGGCATCCAGATCAACTCCCTACTGATTACTTAGAGGACCCATTGATACTTGGAAATGAATGACTTAAATACCCATAAATATGAAGAACATGGCATAATGTCAGAATTGAAACATTGCTCAGACCCATGACCTAGCCAGTGGCTCCAATTAACAATATTAAACCAGTGATTCTCAAACTTTAGGATGCATCAGAATCACCTGGATGGTTCATTAAAACACATGTTGCCGGACGCCAGTCCCAAGTTTCTGATTCAGTAGATCTGAGGTACAGTCTGAGAATTTGCATTTCTAACAGCTTCACAGGTATTGCTGATGCTGTTGGCGCAGGGGCCACACTTTGAGAACGAATGCATTAAATTAATAATCAAACATCTGATTGAGGAACCACCATATGCCTGGAAATACAGAATAACTGAATTTCCCATTAAAGCGTTGGAGATATTACCCAAACCACACATTTTTATGATAGCTATCATATCAACTTTTATTTAAAATCTTAATCTCCCCCCCTCCCCCACTGACAGAGCAAAATGAACAAAATAAACGATTCAACCCCCCTTCCCATTACCTTGCATCAGAGTCTTCTTGGAAGCTCTACCAAAATAACTCTACATCTTCTTCAGAATCTTTTTTCAGCCTCATTACATTTAGGGAAAAGAATGCAGGTTCCTCTTTGGCACTGTGTCCTCAGCTAGTCTGTGGGAAGCTCAGCAACTTGCCACTTGTTCCCAGTTTAAGTAACAGGAATGAGATCATCAACATTTTCTATTGGGTCTCCTCAATCTCCTCCTGATTCTGGTTTAATACTGGTATGCAATGGACATGTTGAACCCCAATGGTTAAGAAACTCTAAAACTTTTGGCTATGTGCTGGAAGGACCCCGAGAGACAGTCTATCCTGGGTTAAATTCAGCCGCATATCTGTTTTGTTTGGCTGGTACTGTGTTTCAGGAAGAACTGTGCCTGAATGCCTTCAGGAGGCGCATGCTCTCAGTGGCTTGTACTTCCCCCTGATTTGCCGCTGACTTCACGCATTTACATTACCTGCCTGGCCCTGTAGGTCATTGCAATTGAAGTACCTGAAAAACCCTCTGCTTTAACAAATGAGGAAACTAGGCTTTGAAAAAATTAAGTAACTCTCACAGAGTCATGCTGATAGCTAGTGACAGAACAGGACTACAACTAATAGCTCAAGATCCTCTCTCTCTCTTTTTTTTTTTTTTTTTTTGCTGCTTTCTCAACTTCTGGAGTCTCTATTGGTGTCAACACAGACTTTAGACAAGAACTTGATCAGCATCGCCTGCCTCACTCTGTATTACTTTAAGGTTATACCTATCACAGTCACCCACCTCAGTCTATCAGATGTGCTCCATACCTTTCTCAACATGGTACCTTCCTGTGGAGTGCTTTGAAACATGTTGAGACACGACTTCACATTTTTTGGTTTGTAGAGGAAGAAAATACGTGAGTAAGTCCAAGGTAAAAGAAACAACTTGAGCTCTGGCTTTGGAGTCACTGATAGAAATAGTATAGATTTTCACAAAGGCATCCTTATAAATAAAGCCAACAAAAACCAAACAAAATAAAACCAAACAAAATTAGACTTCAAATAAAAGGCCAATGCCACAATCTGGGTTTGAAACATAGTAAAGACAAGAAAGAGAAAGTTTCTCCCTGGTCTTCCTTAATTTGGCTGCCTGTGCTATTCTCCAAATTCCTTTTATCATCATTAGGTGGAGAACATTCATTCACCTGCTCCAATTTGACCTTCTTGTTTTAATGGTCAAGCAAAGCACAGGGCAGGAGAACTAAAAGCAGTGGTTCGCAAGATTAAGCATACATAGCCATCACCTAGGAGTTCGTTGATGATGCAGCATCTTTGAAACCAGCTGCAGAGATTTCTGATAGGCCTGAAATCTATATAGTTAGCTAGCACTCACAAGTGTTTTCCATGCTAGTGATGCCTAGAACACACCTGGAGAAATGCCTTGTGCTTTTCAAACTTCAGTGTGTTTACAAATCTCTGTTGAAATGCAGCCTCGTTAAGTAGGTCTGGGGTGGGGTCTGAGGTTGGGCATTTCTCAAAAATTCATGTAAGGTGCTGGTCCAGAAACTGCTCTTTGAGAAGCAAGGGTTTAGAACTCTGATATGGCAGGGAGTTATATTTCCTAGGTTTAAAATTCAGCTCTCCACTTTTCCGGTTGTCAGTCTGAAAAAGCAGCTTAACCTCTCTGAGCCTCAATTCTTTCATTCTCAAATGGGACACACTTACATGGCAATAGAAATAGGAGAGAGAGAATACCAAGTTTTTTTTGTTTGTTTTTTGTAATGGAGCTTTGCCCTTGTTGCCCAGGCTGGTGTGCAATGATGTGATCTCGGCTCATTGCAACCTCCACCTCCTGAGTTCAAGGGATTCTCATGCCTCAGCCTCCCAAGTAGCTGGATTACAGGCATGCGCCACCACACCTGGCTAATTTTGTATTTTTAGGCGAGATAGGGTTTCACCGTGTTGGCCACGCTGGTCTCAAACTCCTGGCCTTAGGTGGTCCACCTGCCTTGGTCTCCCAAAGTGCTGGGATTAGAGGCATGAGCCATCGTTCCTGGCCAATACCAAGTTCTTGAACTACATCCCATGCTAACATATTATGAATTTCTTAAAGAGGTACCATATCTTCCTTGAAAAACAAAACTTTGGAATTTTCCATTTTAAACGCCTACAAGAACAGGCTCCTAATCCACTTCCCTTTTGCCACCACCAAGAATATTTTCTCTCAGAAATTGATAAAATCGCTTCAATTCTAGGTTTGGCCAGCTAAGAGAAATCTAACTAGCAGCTCATCAGCCACCACAGAGAAAGGTGGTAAACTGGTGGGCAGAGGTTAGGATGTCTCCCTTCTTGGCTCTACTTACTGTTGTAACATTCAGACAATGCACCTGCCTCCTTCTGCCTCAATCTGTAGGAGAGTGGCTGTGACAGCTAAGTCACCACCGAGTTACATCTTATCTCCTCATTTTAATCAATAATTCCCATATCTTAGTCTACTGAAGACTCTTTTGAGAAAAATTTTAAACTCGTAGACACCCAGAGCACATTTCACAAGATACAGATTTGGCAGGTCTGCTATGAGCACTCAACATCTCAATTTTTAAAAAACCTGGCCCTCATTCTGAAACAGGTGCTCCATTCTCTGAGAAGTAAAGCTTTCTAAAAGGTTTGGGCCAGGCGCAGTGGCTACGCCTGTAATCCCAGCACTTTGGGAGGCTGAGGTGAGTGGATCACTTAAGGTCAGGAGTTTGAGACCAGCCTGGTCAATATGGCGAAACCCCATCTCTACTGAAAATACAAAAATTAGCCAGGTATGGTGGTGCACGTCTGTAATCCCAGCTACTTGGGAGGCTGAGGCAGGAGTATCACTTGAACCCGGAAGGTGGAGGTTGCAGTGAGCTGAGATTGTGCCACTGCACTCCAGCCTGGGTGACAGAGTGAGACTCCATCTCCAAAGAAAAAAAAAAAGTTTGAAAGGAAGGATGCTTAGACACCATGCAAGTTCAACAACAACAGCTTCCCTGGTACATTCTACAGATCTCTATCCTTTGTGTGAAGCAATGAAATCATGTTCTTTTCAATGATCCCAGTGAAGGCTACCATTTGCTGAATGAGCATTTACCACTCACTAAGTCCTCATGTATATTTTCCCTTACAAAGCCCTGCTATTACCATTATTATCCCCACGGAGTAGAATGAAGTCATGGCTCAGAGAGCACCTTGTCTGGAGTTGTGCCATGAGTTAGTGTCAAAGGTGGGACCCCAAACCCCTGTCTGTCTGACTCTTAGTCGAACAGACTTCTACTGTGCTCTAAAGCAGAGCTTCTTTGACTGCAGCGTCCACCAGAATTCCTGGAGGGCTTGTTAAAACTGATTACTGGGTTCCATCTTCAAAGATTCTGGTCAGTAGATCTGGGGTGAGGCCTGAGAATTTGCATTTCTAAGACACTCCCCACGAATGCTAATGCAGTTTGAGCATCACAGCACTAGAGTTAGCTGTTGGATCCTTTCCTCTGGGGAGTTGGATGCCTCTCATTAGCAGTCCTCACTACTTACACGGAGCAATTTAGAAAAGCTTTCTTTTTCCTTCAAGTGTTGTTTAGACAGTAAGTACATGACAAATGGCCAATGAAGCTGCCGTTAAGTCAGTTAAATGTCTTCAGTTGTTACTTCTGTGGGGTTTGAAGTTGTCATATGTCATCCTCCTCAAGAAGAAAGAACAATTCTCCCTTTGTGGTGGCTCTTTCATAGAACTTATTTTGTTCTGTCTTTTCTTTCTCCACTTTAGAAATGTTGAACTGTTGTACTCTGCCTCTATTCCAACTAAGCGATGGTTAGCAAAATATCATCCAATAGATTCCATCCAACTATGTGCCACAGAAATATAATAATCTACCCTCTATGTCTTCTTCCTCAGTTTAGTGAAAGGACTCCAGCTGGGGTCTGGATTGGTCTTCCCTTTATGTCAATGACCCTGTGGTTGTCTCCTGGAAATTCCAGGGTTTACTTTCAACAGGGGCATCTGCATCTATGCTGGGCACAAGCACAGACTGCTTAGTAAGAAGGGTCTATTTCAGCTTGCAGCTCTTTTTGTTCTCCTCAAGGAATTGCATGTGTGGTGGGCTAAGCTATTCCCACAGCATGTGGAAAGAATACCAGTCAGAGTAAAGCAGGCAGAATGACCCTGTGAAGTTTTCAAAGGGTGGGATGTATTTCCATTGGGATAGCTAAGTGGGAAACCTAAGAGTCAAAAGTCCCCAGTGACTTTGTTCTCTCCTGGTACATTCTATAGACCTCTATCCCCAGCAGTAAAACTATGTCTCTGAGGCCCTTTTTTTTTATTTTGCAAAATTCAAACTGCAATTTGATGTGATGAGTCTCATAATAACAATTCAAATGACCTCTGGATGAGTCTTCTTCAACTCAGAGTTCACAAGCCAGGAGCTTTAAAAAAACAAAAAAATCATTGGCTTCTTGGAAAGCCTTTTACTGTTCCTTTGAGGCAGGGAAATGGAATCAGGGCATACAAGACCTCGACGTAAAACCCACTACACCTTTTACCCAAAGTAGTGTGACTTGACCACTCTGAAGTCAGCGTTCCCAATTGTCAAACCAACAGATATATTTACATCATTGCCCTGGATGAAACGGAATGAGAGGATGGAATGGAATATCACAGATGAAAGTGCTTGAAACGTTTAGAACTTCAGAAAATATTAGTAGAATCTGATCCCTATTAAACACCTAACTTAATCTCTCTAATCTTTTTCTCTGGGGAAAAGCAACATTTGAACTGGTAACAAAATCAGACTCAGAATTCAGCAAAGTTCAAAGTGCACATCAGTGGGAAGCAATGGAGCATGAAGGCTAATAACTTTGACATGAGTGTTTGTCCTTGCTCTGCCACTCACTAGTGGTGTGACTTTTGTGAGGCTTCTTGAAATCCCCAGGTAGTTCAGGGTACTTAAAATAGTCTTTTTTTTTTTTTTTTAAATAGAGTTGCTATAAGCATGAAATAATTATGTATGAAGTTCTTCTCATAGTAATACATAGTGAACACTCAGTAAATGGGGTTATTTTCATTGATAACTACACTCTGTAAACTTAATGAAGGTTAAGGATCCTTCTCCCACAAATGTGTGTGTATATATATGTACACACAGTCATGCATTGCTTAACAATGGAAATACATTCTGAGAAATGCCTTATTAGGCAATTTAATCTTCATGTAATCATCACAGAGTGTATTAACACAAACCTAGATGGTGTAGCCCACTGCACACCTAGGCTGTAAGGGATAGCCTATTGCTCCTAGGCTACAAATCTGTACAGCATGTTACTGTATTGAATACTGTAGGCAATGGTGACACAATGGTAAGTATTTGTGTATCTAAACATAGAAAAGGTAAAATAAAGATACAGTATAAAAGATAATGGTGCACCAGGATAGGGCAGTTACCATGAATAGAGCTGACAGGACTGGAAGTTGCTCTGGGTGAGTCAGTGAGTGAACGGTGAGTGAAGGTGAAGGCCTAGGACATTACTGTACACTACTGTAGACTTTAAAAGCACCGTACACTTAGGCTACACTAAATTTAAAAAATTGTTCTTCAATAATAAATGAACTTTAGCTTACTGTAACTTTTTTATTTGACAAAGTTTTTCCTTTTTAAAACTCTTTGACTCTTTTATAATAACACAGCTTAAAAACAAATACATTATACAGCTGTACAAAAATATTTCTTTATCCTTCTATAAACTTTTTCTATTTTAAAAATTTACTTTTTATTTTTTTACTTTTTGAACTTCTTTTTTTATTGTTAAAAACGAAGACAGAAACACACACAGTAGCCTAGACCTACACAGGGTCAGGATCATCAGTATTGCTGTCTTCCACCTCCACATCTTGTCCGACTGGAAGGTCTTCAGGGGCAATAACATTCATGGAACTGTCGTCTCCTATGATAACAATGCCTTCTTCTGGAATACCTCCTGAAGGATCTGCCTGAGGCTGTTTCACATTAAGTTGATTTTTAATAAGTAGAAGTAGTACACTGTAAAATAATGATAATAAGTATACTATATCAAATGCACTAACCAGTACCATAGCCATTTATTATCATCAAATATCATGTACTGTACATAATTGTACATGCTATACTTTGGTATGGATGGCAGTGCAGTAGGTTTGATTACACCAGCATCACCATGAACATGTGAGTAATGCATCGTGCTATGATGTTGCTAGGTGAAAGGAATTTTTCAGCTCCATTGTAATCTTATGTGGTCTGTTGACCAAAAAATCATTATGCAGAGCTTCACTGTATATTTTCACAACATTTTGCATATAATTTTAGGGAGTTCATGGAGTTCCTTGTTGCCTATCTATGGCCATTTGGGCCCCTGGGCCTCATGGATGATATTATTGATCCACCAGCAGGTGAGTTGGGCTTTGTAGTGTAGTAATAATTTTTCTTCTTTTATCCTCAGATGTTGAGTTTATGGACTTTCAAATGTGCTGTTATAACTAATTGAATGTGAAAACTCAATGCAGCCTAGAAGCTTCCTGGCTCCTGTAAGTCTGTCCAAACCCAGCCTGGATCACAGTTACATGGCTTGTGATGTGCAAAGCTTTTCCTAGGAGTCCCTGTGGCCTTGCCCTCATCTTCCTCTGTGGTTCTTCTATGGTCTCTGTGGGCCCTTTGCCTACAGTTTCTATTGTGCTATGTGACACCCTGTACACAGAACTCAGTTCCTTTACTGGTTTTCACGAGATTCCTAATTGAACGTTTGGTGCCTTTGGTGAAGAATCACATTTTGGAGTGAAGTGTTTCACCATCTTGATCGCTCCATCCCGCCTTTCTTCTTTCACTCTGCTACATCAAAAGAATTTCTCTCTTCATGTGAATCCTCAGCCATATCTAGGCCCAGCAGAATTTCACTTTCTGTCCTATCCATTCATCAGGAGTTTTTTCCCCTCAGTTTTTCCTCTTTCTTTCCTATGAGAAATTTAATGGAATTTTTTTCTCCCTCTTATTCCTTATGAATTAATATTATTTGGGACTACGGATCTCATTCTGTTTTCCTAGTGCCTGGGGCAGTACCAATCATATAACAGATGTTTACCAGTTGGATCAAAGAAGAAGAAAGGAAGAGAGAGAGGAAGGTAAGAAAATAAGAATAGAGGAAGGAAGGAAAGAAATCCCTAACTTTGTCCTGGATCCAGATTGTGACTGCATTAACAGCTCAGAGATTGTTAAAGTAGCTCTCCTCCTACTTCTTACTGCTGAGGAGGGTTTTTTTTTTTAAATCCCTTTTTCTTTTATTCCCAGTATATCAGCAATTTCCCCAAGCCAATTTCTAGCTCTTAAAATAGATTCACACTGTGGTTCTTCCTTTTGTGTGTGTGTGTGAAGTAAGAGAAATTCACAACTCACTTCATAATCCCCTCACAGGTAATTAATTAACTCAGGGGGCAGTCTCAAGAAGCCAGAAGCATGTTGGCTTTAATTTCCCTTTCTGAGATTCTCTTCCTTCTATTAACTTTACCTTTCCTCAGTCAGGGCAAAAAATTAATTTGTGTCCCTCCCATCTTTGGATGTAAGTGGTCCCTTCGACAGCTTTTTCTTAGAATGGTCATTTCCTCACTTCCTGTAAACTGTAATCCTCCTTGTGTGGCTTTTCCCTTTTTAGAGAAAATTTACTGGAATTTGGGAATGAGCTTGCTTTGTTTTAAGATAGAAATATAAGTGTGGGCCTCTTTATTTCTTTGGGACATCTCTTCATGGCATTCTGAGAGAGATCGGAGTTGATCCTTATGGACTGGATCTCCCCATGTGGTATTGAGGTGGTGTAGACTGAGGAAGTTTCGTGAATTAAACAGAGAAAAAGGAAGGAGAAGGTTAGAAGAAGCCACGGGCAACTTCCTGTTTTTTGGGCGAATGGAGCTTGATTTTCAGCTTCATACAATTGTATTCTCTGCATTAGCTTCAGGGTAGTACAAGAAAATGAAGGAAGGGGTCTTTCCTTTGTAAAATTGAATTAATGTATTCAGACAGGTAAAACTGAATTGAGTGACTAGACTGTTAAGCCTGTAATTTAATCACGTACAAGATTTACATCTGCACACAGTTTGTGTGCTGTGTGAGTAGGAGGGGTGGTACCTTCATTTCTGTATCTCAGGACTTAGCCTGATGCCTATCACATGGTTAGAAGTCAAAACTCTTTGAGTTGATTGATACTGGTTAACTGGTTGCTCGAAAATATATAGAGCTGAGGGTACCACAGTGGCAGACTACTTTAGAGAAGTAAAAAGAAAAGGCTTCCTCCCAAAGTTGAAATATTTGAAAGACAATTCTCAAAAACTCTTGGAAGATGTTGGTGGAAGATGTCTGGTTTAATTTCTATTTACTTCAAGCTCTACACTAAATGATAAATGTTAAGTGAAAAGAAGACTCAGTACTTGACTCCAAGGACACCATAGTCTGGAAGGGTAGAAAGAGAAGTAATTAGATAATTTAAAATACATGATGCCAGGCAGTTTAGTTGCAGTTCAGCATTTCAGCTACACAATTCCATTTTCAGAAAGAATATATTAGGATTTGGGAATAAGTCTACATTGACTCATAATAGAAATGTAAATGTGAGGTTCTTTAACTTTTTGAGAGACTCTTCATGGGATTCTGAGAGAGACCAGGATTGATCCTTACAGACTGGATGACTGTGATGTCCACTAAAAGAGTCACCCAAGTGGCTCTGCATGTGCAACAATATGAATACACTTAATCTTGCTGGGACTCCCCTGGGGATCAGCAGTCCACTGTACATAGTTGGATGGATATTCTAATGAGACACTTGGGGATGGAGAGGGTCAGACTTCCAAGGGGCATGTGCAGTCACATTAGATGATCACCAAATGGCCTGCTAAAAAGCACAGTGCCATTTCTCTGTGGAACCTCACTTTTGCTGTAAGGAAAGGGCAAGTTCATGGGCAGTTAAATCACTTAGAACATTAATGGAGAGGTGGAGGGCTGCCCCCAGCTTCCATGCAGTTTCCTGTCTCTCTGTTGAATCAATGTTGAACAAATATTGAGAGAATCTTTATTTAACTGCATCCTGGTTACCAGTTCTGTAGCGTCCACATGTGTCCCAATCCCATCATTAACCTGGATGTGATGTAGATCCCTCTCTGTGTGCCAGCTCCGTGCCATGGTTCCACATGCATCGACGGAATCACTCTCATTAGGTCGTCCCAATGGAGGGAGGCCAATCGGGGAAAAGTTCAAGAGTTAGAATAATTTTAAGAAATTAGGCTTGATTATTTTCAAGTTTCCACCAACAGGAACTCGTTGTGGGGTTAGAGGGGAAGAGGAGACACTTGTCTTAGAGAACCCTGTGAATGTCTTAATAATCAGATAAGAATCTTGTTTACTTAGCATTTTCAGTATTAGAAAGCAAGTAGGACCAAAGTGAGACTTGAGAACTGTGTGTTCTTCACTGCAGAGATTCTACAAACAGATGTATGCTTAGACTTCATGAACCGTGCAGGAAGGCATTGAGATTCAGTTGGGAAGAGTTTCGGAAGAGACTATGAATGATTAAGCTGGAAAACATCAAAGGAGAATGGATTTCTCCTTAAATGCCCTCTACAATATTATTTGTCTTCAAAATGTTCGAGTGATTTTAATAGTATCCTAGTGTTTATCTTATAAATTCCTCCTCATTCTTTAGAACCCACTTTGGTGCCAGTATCACTGATCAAGAAAGTGATCCCTAATCTCCCCTGCCTCCTAGAATTCATCTGCCCTTTCCACATGCTGATGTCACTACTCTGACCACACTGAATTGTCAGTGGGCTTATTTGCAGGTCTGTCTTCCATACTGGACAGGGAGGTCTTTGAGTCTAGGTATTGGCTTCATTTATCTCTGGGTCCTTATTTCAACCGAGCATTTGGCACACTGCAATTACTTGGTATGTATCTGATTAATAAAGAAACACACTTATCATAAGTACAATATTTATTCTGCAACTTTTGGTGGCCATGAATAAACATGCTGGTTTTCTTTCCGGCTTCAGGTCATAGTTTATTCTAACCTAATTAAATTAACTCATGGATGAGACCACTGAGTTTAAATCATTCTCCCAAGGCTATAGAACTTGTTAGATGGCCCATCCAGGACCAGGACACAGGCATCCAAGGACGCAGGACTCCAAGCCTGGTGCTCTTTCTTTCCCCTTTTCATTTCTGACTTCAAAAAACAGCACATGTTTAGAATAGAATGTTAAAGAACAAAGAAAATTCCTCCTAAATTCAACTACCTAGAGACAACCAACATCAGCATTTTGGCAAATATCCCTTCTAATGTGTGTGTGTGTGTGTGTGTGCGCATGTATACAATTTTACACATGTAACTAGCTATTAAATGGGGTTCTTTGAGTTGTTTCAGAGTGTTAGCTGAGGCCCCAAATCTCAGGACAATGGAAGACAAGTACTCACACATTCTAGAGAGAGGAGCTGGAGCATTCTTACTGAAAGATGTCCAACTGGCTTTCCACTATCAACATCCAGCACCCACTCCAGCCCTTATGCAGTGAGTGGCTAGAGACACTTCTGGGGAAAAATCATTCAACAAAAGGAAACTCACAGGAGGAGGCAATACTGTGGTATGTCTCCTCCTCTCAAGCCCAGTGAAGGATCCAGAGAGAGGGTGAGGTCCCTGCCAGCAGAGGAAAATTGTACCTTACTGCCACAAGTGAAGCTTGCTGCATTGTAACACAGACCTGCAATGAAAAGTAATTGCAAAAACTGCAATTACTTTTACACCAACCTAATAGAAGAAAACACAGAGGCTTTTCCTGGTCTGCTCCCTGATTGAAACACAGGAGATTCTTGGGAGAGCTGAAAATGGCCCAGAGTCTAAAGACACAGACACAGAGACGGTGCATGTCTCTCACTGGGAGAATCCCAAAGTCTCATTCAGGGAGAGAAATAATTCCACCAGGAGGAGTGATCCCCTTCACAGGCCAGGGGTGGTGGAATTTCTTTTGAGTCATGTGCATGCCAGGCATCCTGTAAGGAGCCCACTTTTGGCTGCCTATGGAGGTAGGGTGGAGCTGCAAAAAAAACAAAAAAGTAGGTTCATAGATGACTTAAATTAACAGATTACTGATCTTCCTTACCTCCAGCTAGGCTCTGAGCCTCAGGTGAAACCTGATAGTGAGGGGAAGGGCAAAAACTTAAGATGTGAGATTTAGATTTAAAATATGTTTTCAACCTGAACACAATGAAAAAACAGTGAAATATACCAAGATATTGTTGTGGTGGACACATGAAATGCCATGCAGATACCCCTTTAAGTGGAACTCTTGTCCCAGCCATTTGGAGTGCTGTCAGGAGAAAACCTGGCCTTAGCCTCCTGTGGGGATGGCCTCAGCTGGAGAGAGCCTCCTGAGCAAGTCCATCACACCCATCCCAGGGTAGCCCAGATCCCATGACTGAGGCAGAGGATATAGAGGCTTTGCCATTTCAGTCCATTATGGGACCATTTTGTCTCTAGAGCTCCCTAAAGTTGGCCAAGGTGTCATTGTTCTGGCAGGTACCAGAGTTCACCTTCTCCCTGTCCAATCTGTGCCCTTTCCCTCTTTAACAGGTGTTGTTCCCAAGGGCTCTCCGTGATAAACATCTTACAACTAGACTCTGTCTCAGAGTCAAGTTCCTGGAGAATCTTACTTGAGACAATTGTCCAGAGAAGCAAAATCAAACCAAATATGTTTGAAGGGAGAAAAAAAAATAGATATTTCCTACTCATGCCCTACTGATGGCAGTATTCCTATAAACACAAAAATAAAATCAACTAGACATTATCTTTTATAAAATGCTTTTCAAAATTCCTTTTTATTGAGTGTTCAGATATGTCATTCCTTTTTAATGGCTGCATTATATTCCTTTCTAGGAAATGTAACATATTTAACCAACCCTCCCTGTTTAGGCTTACAGGCTATTTCCAAATTATACTATTGCTGCAGGAATCCATGCATACATTTTTGTGTGCTTGTTTAATTATACTTTTATGATATAGTCACAGGAGAGGGATTACTGGGCTAAAGGTATTTTCTTTTTAGATAGTGCAATCCACATTTTATTATAGAAGTTTTATATTAATTTTTACTTCAACCAAGTGTAGATAAATGTGATGCATCTCCATATTCTTGCCAACTCTGGGCATTATTAATCTTGTTCATCTTTTATAATATATTAGGTGGCATTGTTTTATTTATTATCTCTTTATTTACTTATGTTTTCTGAAGAGGTTGAAAATATTTTTATGTATTCATTGGCCAGCCTAACCTCTTGGCTTGGGATCTGGCTCTTCTGTCTTGACACTCCATTTTTACTGGCATCTTTGTATTTTTCCTTGCTTACTTAGAGGTGCTCCTTTTTTAGGTATTAAGAATGTTTCACCACTTGACTGGCAAATAATTATCTGGTTTGCTGTGTGTCTCTTGAATTGGAAAACATTGAATATGGAACATTTTGGCTTTATGCTCCCAAATCTATAGGTCTTTTTCTTTATGGGTTTTATTGTTGGTGTTTCTTCCAATAAGAACAACTGTCTTGCTTATATTACTGATTTTCCTAAAACGTTATTTTCTTTGGGACAAAATTAAATATTTGCCTAGTTATGAATTATAAGAATTCAAATTTATAGTTTTTTGAAGTCATATTATCCATACTAGCATTACTCAAACACACACAACCTGACCATGCCTATATATCATTGTCTTGAGTGCACATTATTATTAATCCAGCCCTATTCCTTTCTCTTATTCAAATTAATAGAGAGATTATTTTGAATGAAAAGTAGCACAAACTTTCTTGGTGACTATCCCAGGTTATAATACTTGTAAGTCAGCATCTCCAAGGCAGCATTTTGATAGGCATTCTTATGACTGCCAAAGTTTCAGCTTCTCTTTCCAAAAAGTGAGGATAATCAGACCTACCTTATGGGATTGTAGTAAAGAATGAATAACATAGATGTAGGGCATCAGAAGAAGCTAATCAATGATATTATTATTATTTTAATTATTAATTTATTTTTCTTCCTTCTTCTTTAAAGAGTTTATAGTTGGATAATGTGGATGAATGCCACATACCTCGTAGACTTGTATCCACAATTCAAAACCCTCAAATTTTTGTAAGTTTGTGAAAAACTCATTTGGTGATGAAACCTGACTTGCACTGACATGAGGTATTTATAGTTTTTATGATCCCATTTACTGGGAATATTCATATACTCATATATTATACTGTAGATCTTAATGGATTTGATTATTGGGTACCTCCCCTTTTATGAATATAAAAATTTCCAGATTCAGTGGTACATCTTGTCCCAAGGACTTCATAGAAGGAATTGTGGAATTGTACAGTCTGATTTCCACAAAAGGCCCTGTATCCCATAGTAAGTGTCCACTATGAGCAGTTTAACAATACCGCTGATCATATTAAATTGGAGTTAGTCATTTGAATTGTATTGTTTTTGTTCTTTTGTTTGTTTTTAATTGGAAATGTATTTTGTATATGCATTTGTTCAAAATTATATATATTTAATATTACTTTCTAATTTTGTGTTTATAATATTGAGGTACTATTATAATAAAAGTAATGTAAGTATATAAAAAATTAAAAAGATCAAGGGAAAAGAAAAACATTTTGTAGTTAAAATTAACTTGAAAAACACTTTAAATGGGCCCACAGGAGACAAGCTAGATTCACCTATGATTTTAAAAATATATGTGTGTGTATATGTATATATATATATGCATGTGTGTATGTAGCACTATATGCATATATAAGTATATAACATAGGCTCTAATAAAGATTCAAAATCTTAGCCTCCCTCCCAAAAACTCTGCTTATTTTTCTCTTTTGCTAAGAGCGTATGGAGCCCACCCAAGTTAAATGGGCTAATGAGGCATTCAGTATGTTTATTAGGAAACGCTACCTATACCCATAGTCACAGAAATGACTGATTTCATCACTTGACTAGTCTTTTTTTTTTTTTTTTTTGAGACAGAGTCTCACTCTGTCGCCCAGGCTGGAGTGCAGTGGTGCAATCTCCTCTCACTGCAAGCTCCGCCTCCCAGGTTCACGCCATTCTCCTGCCTCAGCCTCCCGAGTAGCTGGGACTACAGGCGCCCACCACCACACCTGGCTAATTTTTGAATTTTTTTAGTAAAGACTCGGTTTCACCATGTTAGCCAGGATGGTCTCGGTCTCCTGACCTCGTGATCCACCCACGTCGGCCTCCCAAAGTGCTGGGGTTACAGGCGTGAGCCACCGCGCCTGGCCCACTTGACTCGTCTTTTAACTAATTCCATCCTAACCCCTTTAGCGGCCACATGTGCAAGAGGTTGGAAGAAACTAATGAAATGAAGCAGTTGGTGCAGAATAATACAGATAGAGCTTCAATCAGAACATTCACATATTCACAGAGAAAACCAGCAAGAAAAGTTTAAATGTAACAGTTGTGGGACAGTTTAGGACTGTAGTTGCATGCAAAAGCCAGACAGATAAGGTTAATATATGAGATAAACAGGCCATTAGAAAGAAAATAATGCAGGCTGATGAGGGACAGCAAATGAAAGTATTTCCAGTATCACAGTATAGATAGGCAGTGGTGGGGTCATGGTGATTTGCACTTTAACTGCAACTCAGTGTCACCATATCTTCTGTTTTTATATTTCAAGAAAAAAGGAGAAAGCTGGGGTTTTATGTGAATTCTTCTGACTTCCAGTATTGGCAATTAATTCAATAAAAGAATAGTGTGGGTCAAATAAAATACATCTGTGGGCCAGATCTCATCTTCAGACCATCAGTTTGCATCCAGTGTCTCAGAATCTGGACGACAGTCATTAGCATCCTGAATAAACTTGGCCTCCTATTTCTAACACTGGTTGAAATAATAGAGTGAAAGAAGACAGGAACTCTTGTGGTAAATCATATTATTTTCATCTGAGGTGATAGCTTTGGCTGTGGCTCAAGAGTTCACTTCTGGAAGCCAGAAATCTCTCCCTGTCCTTTTTAGTGTTTTTGGCTAATCTTTGTAGAAATTAAACTGGATTGGAGCAAATTGGAATGGATACTCAAGGACCAATTAGAGGGCTTTATAACCCTTCATTTCAAAGTGAATCCCAAACTGAAATTTATTCTCTTTCCATTCCCTTTATCTAGACTTCTTAGAGTAGTATAAGGTGCTGAATGTTTAACACTGAGTGTTTCTTTTGGCCAATCTTTGAGATCAATCTGTTTCACTAACAAATGACAATCATTTAATGATGGAATGTTTTCTCTCATTTCCATGGAAACACAATTATGTGGCAACAGATTTGCAAAGTCGTTAAAGAAAACAGCTTTCATCTTTCAACCCTGGCTTGTGTTCTATACATTTCTTCATGCAGCAATATGCATTAGGTGCCTGTAATGTACTAGATGCTATTTTAGCTGCTGGGAATAGAGTGGAGACTCAGACAAATTTCCTAGATTCCTGTAAGAAAAAGTTAAATCTACAATGATACATTTGATGCCACTTCTAATATATACATTCAAAGTGGAAATATAGAAATATATATTGCACAAAGCCAAATATAAAACCCTAGACTACCCTATCCTCACAGGATAGAGGAAAAGACTGTAGCCATCTATAGTCTTCCCTGTAGACAAGGAAAAGAAGCACAGAGAGGGAAAGACAGACAATGAAGTAAGATAGTAGTGAAAACGGTGAAATTAAAACTCCTGCCAATGCAGATGAGCACAGACAGCTCTCTGCATCAGGTAGTAAGAGACTCCTTCATTTATGTGTCTCCAGTTGTCAGCTCTGTATTTCACAAATTAGAAATTGATAAACAGAAATGGCTACTTTAGTGGAAGTTGAACTTACCATTCTCTGTAGTTGCATTAGTAACTGGATTTCCCAGGCAAGGTTGGAAGGAAATCCCAACTGGAATGAATAAGCCAGTAAAAATGTCCAACTAATAATCACAGCTTAGTTTTAAGAGGCAAAAGAACTAAAAACAAGACTGTGACAATATAAACAAAGATTAAAGATGATGTCTGCTTATGTAAATGTCTCCAGCAAAAGAAACTACAGACCTGGGTTCTAATGTGGTTAAATAACTGCTGCTCATCTTGACTTCATCTTTTATATCATGCTTTTTCTGAATAAAACTCTTGACAAAAAAAATCAATAGGTTGGGTGAGATCATCAAAGCAAAATTATTTTACAAGTCAAGCTTCCCTATCAGCTGGCTCTCCCAAGGCAGATTACAGCATTTGTCTCAATGAATGTCAAATTAAACAGTTCCTGTGTATTTCTGGAGGCAAAGTCTGAAAGTGCAAAAGCTAACATGCTAGGAAACTTTTTTTTAAGGATTGAGAAACATTTTCCCCAGCTTACAAAGACACAGTTTTGACTATAGCTTTTTTTTTTTTTTTTTTTTTTTTGCTCCCCTAAAACTGTCTGCTAAAGGGAAGGGGAAGACTAGGTTTAAAAAAAAAACTTTATGAAATAAAGGGTTCTTACTTTTCTGTTTAGACATATGATCAAATGAACAGATCATTAATTGAATAAATTGTCTAGATATTCTTGTCACATTCAAAAACAAATTTTTATTGAACTTCATACATAATTGAGAATGGAGTGCTTTGTGTTGTTGTGGGGATAATTCAGGTAGTACTTCATCTTTCTGTTCCATTTAGTATGTAGACGTACACTATAGCACACAGCAAAAATAGATTCAGGAGAAGTGACAACTTCTGAACAGTAAAAGATGACTTCTACATAGTTATTTATTTATTCATTAAAATGTTTATTGAACACATTATGGACAGGGTGCTATACATAACACTGAAGACACAATGATGAAATAAAATGGATGTGGTCTCGCCCTCATGGAATTCATAATCTATAGGTGAGATAGACAACAAACCAGACATTTTTAAGTATGATGAGGGTTATGAAGAAGAAATTCAGGTTATCCTCCAGGTCTCTGCAGAAGTGTCACTTCCTTCTAGAAGACATCCCTGACCTGGGGGATTTGTAGAAAGTTGATATGACGGGAGAAGGAGGGAGATGAAGAAATGAGTGAAGCCACCTGAATGTTCTAGTCTAGCTCCCATCTCATTCCAGATGCATGAGAGAATGGAAGCAAGGATAACAGAAAAACCATAGAGCCATGCCCCACTCAGTCTTCAAAATTATGAACAATAAGAAAGCCATCGTTACGTTAAGCCACTACATTTTGGGGCAGGTTGTTATATGGGGATAAATAACCCAAACATAGTGGCTTCCATTTTGCAAGTTAAAGTGACCTTTTTAATTGTGAATCTGGATGTCACAGGGCTTGGCTGAGCCTAAACCAGGAATCTCAGTGTGTCTCAACGTACGTGCCTCCCCAGGCACCTATTTCATGGGGAAGAAAAGAGTTGGAGAGGGAAAGTTTTAGTGCAGGTGATGATATCGATAGATCCTGGGGATGAAGGGCAGGAAATCCAGTACATCTTCCTCAAAAAGGCCTCATAGTGTGGATTTCAGTCCTGGACAGGCTATTTTCTCCACATGTGGGTGGAGCCCAGTTCAGGGTTTGGGAGCATTGGGAACCAAAGGGAAGGTGACCCATTTGGCAGTGCCTTGAGGGCTGCAGTATTAGGCACTCCTGAATGTTGCTTTGAGGGAAGAGAAACCACGTCACAAAGGAAGAGTTGAGGCATCATTCTGAAGGCAGTTGAACTTTCCAGAAGGCCAGAGTGAAGGATCATGAATGGGCTCGCATATGCGGCACTCCCCAGGGATGCCCCAGGCAGCCGTGCAGAATGGGGGAAGGGGTCAGAGTGGTGTGGGTTCAGGTCTGAGAAATTTGAATATCTGTGTTACTAGGCTCTTTTTCATCTCCAGAGAGGCTGTCCCATCTCCCTTTTTGCTTTTTATCTCCTCCTTCTTCATAATTCTTCCTTCTAGGAGAAGTAGCCTAACCTTTCTAAAGTAGTTTTTTTTCTAAAAAATACACTTACGGATTTCTTAAAAATCAGGGCCCCTCTGCTTTGCCCTCTTGGCACTAAGGAAATAAATAACCAGAGGGGGCACAGCTAGGGAAAGGGGAAAAAAAATCAGATCTCAAGACAGATTCTTTGAACTACCCTTTCTCCATCCCCAACTCCCACCCACCTATGGCTCTTGGGACATAGCACCTGAGCAAGCACCTCAGTGCGGGTAGAGTGTGATCGGCACCAGGGCATGTCTGCCCTACCTAAGAAGGGAGACAGGCCCTGGGGTCACTTGTTTCCAGCCCTTGATGACCCCAAGACCTGTTCCCCACACTGTACATAGTATTTTGCTTTCGGATGTCCTGGTGGGAGATGAACTTAGGAAGATCTCTCATCCAGGGAGCCCCCACTCCAAGTGCCCGGCTTCCAGTTTAGGCAGGGGTGGAAGGTCTCAGTGACATGCTGTGGTTTAGCCAGCCCAGGGTTGCTCTGATCCAGCAGGGAGAAGGTGACACAGTGGGCAAAGGGCCACTCAAGGAGATTGTCAAAGGCACCAGGCAGCAAGCCAACGTACAGTGAGAGGTGTGTGCCCTCGCCACTGCCATTGCCATTGAGGAATGCAGACACCTGCAGCTTGTAACCATACTTATGTGTGTAGAAGGCTGGGCTGAAGCACTCAAGGTTGGGCTTGGCCTTGGCCTTCTGTAGCCACCGACCATAGCTGCCAATCTTCCAGATGAGCATACCATCACTGCCCACTGATAGCTCCTCCAGCTCTTGCTGAAGGTCCTGCAGCTCCTGCCATTGCCAACTCAACAGAGCACACATCATGGCCAGATGTGGCTTCACACTGTCCTCCACATGCCGTGCCATTGCCAGCTTAGGGCGCCAGTGCTTGCAGCTGGAGTCTTTGAATGAGCATAGCACCAGGGCGGTGCTACAGCTGTCCTTCAGATGGTCTGGCAGGTCCTCCCGAGCCACAGTGCCCACACCACAGTACAAATTTTAATCCATAAAATTGGTAGAATAACATCTACTGTAAGATGATGCATGTATGTGCTTAAGTACGTGGCATACTGTCAGAGTTCAATAATGACTAAATCGATTATTATTCTACTTGGAAACACTCCTAATAGATTTGAAAGCAATTAGCTAAAAGCTGGCTATTGTTGGCTTCTAAAAGATAAGGGGCATTGGTGAGGCGCAGGATTAAATTGACAGAGAAGTCTGTTAGTGGGTATATCCAGGATTATTCTGTCCTTGTGCCAATCTGCTTAGATGTCTCTGAGAAAATGAGCAGAAGAGGCAGAGCACATTAGATAGTCAAAAGATATTTAGCGAACGCCTCCTACGTGCTAGCACTGGAAATAGGGCGATAGATGAAACTAACTACATCCTCTCATAGAGCTTACAAGGAAACAGGAAAGGCAAATATTAAAGAAACGTCAACTCAAATACTCATTAATTGTAGGTTGTGCGGGGTATTACAAAATGCCCACTGCCTACTGACCCATTTGGACAACATTTTGTATCTTCCCAGCAGACTGCCAGCCCAGAAATCAGATTCAGTTTTTCTTAAACAGACCCAATTTTCCCTGGATTCAGATCCAGGTCACTTACTATTAAGATCAAATTTAGTTTCTGAGTCTCAGTTACCTTATTTGTAAATTGGGGGATGTTATAATCATTCCAATCTCAAAGGATTATTGAAGAGTTCATTAACTGAAGCCTGGGTGAAATCTCCCTCAATGCCTGGCTCATGGTGAGTCCCAGTAAATGCTGTTTCATTCCTTTTTCTAGTGTAGAAACACATTAAACTTACGAGTGGGCTGCTCTGAGTATCAAACTTGAAGACAAAGATAAGATGAACACACATACTCCTCACATGTGAGGTTTGAGCTCTTAATTCAGAGAAATGAGCGTATTAACAGAAGAATTTTTTTGGCAACGTTACTGAGTCCTCCCTCTCTGGATTGTTCCCTGTCAATTGTATTTTAAACAAGCTATGAATGGGAACCAAACCAAAACCGTTTTGTTTTAGCAGCAGCAGGTTAAAAGTTGTCTGAACTACATCATCCAATAAAAGGCTAAGGCCGGGCGCGGTGGCTCACACCTGTAATCCCAGCACTTTGGAAGCCCGAGGTGAGTGGATCTTGAGGTCATGAGTTCGAGATCAGCCTGGTCAACATGGTGAAACCCCGTCTCTACTAAAAATACAAAAATTAGCCAGGCACGGTGGCAGGCGCCTGTAGTCCCAGCTACTCGGGAGGCTGAGGCAGGAGAATTGCTTGAACCTGGGAGGCAGAGGTTTCAGTGAGCCAAGATAGCACCAGTGCACTCCAGCCTGGGCGACAGAGCAAGACATTGTCTCAAAAAACAAACAAACAAACAAAAAAACAGCTAACCCCCTCGGTGAGTAGGCAGGGTTCATGGTGTGCCTGTGGGCCTGGGTGTGTGTGGTAGGTCGTGAGGGGTTGGAAGGTGGTGAAGGGATACAGCCGTATGGGAATTTGATTTAATGTAAGGGCCAGACTAAACCTTTGTGAAAGGGAAACTCAGTGATCATCAAATTATGAAATTGGCAAGTTCAATTCAAACTATTTTCATAACAAGTGGTTTAGGGAGCTAACAACTTATTGGGAAATAATAATTTGCTTATATAACTGTGCCATGTTTCTAGTTGACAATTTCAGAACCAATTGGCAATTTGGTCAATGATGGCACGATATTAAATAATAATAACAGATTAGTCTTAGAAGGCTAGTGAGTGATCCTTTCTTCCAGCCCTCATTAATATTGCTATTCTTCACTTTGTAAACATACATCCTCACATACAATATTTTAATGTACTTTTTTATACTTTAAACAAAGGTCATTTTAATAATGTGGGTGATTTCAGGGATCTAACTTTTGATATTTTAAAATGCCCATTGTCATTAGTTGCTGTGGGCAAGAGCAAAAGAAAAAAAAGTCTTTTATTTGCCTTCAGCAATTTCATAGCTTTCATCTTTAATTGGTTAAAATTGGCAAAGGATTCTTTCAAAATGTGTGTTTGTTTATCAATGAGTGTGCTTGATAATTACTCTAAAGTAGGTATTTTAGGGAAGTTTGCGGATAATGCAGTGCTGTGATTAAGCAGGGCTTTATAATTTACAACAGGCTGGTGTTTAAGATGGTTGGCAGAAACAGAAGGACTCACAAACACAATCATTCTTTTTGTCTGGGAAAATTGTTTAAGATGATTTTAGTAATTGGGCTCATTACTTTAATATAGCTGAATATCAAAATATTCCATTGTGAAACCAAATAATATGTGGATATTACGTTTCTGCAGACTTTAGGGATATGGATAACAGATGTTGTTTGGAACCAAGTGAAACTCAAAGGAGTGTTTTTAAATAGCCAATAAACTGTAAATATTAGCTAAGGTACTTGAAAATTTCTACCATAATATTTAACCAAATTTTCATTTCTTTTTATTACTTAAAAAAAAAAGTATTATGTAGGCTAACATCAATTTTGCCAGCTGGCTGGATCTCTGATGTTTATAAATTTTCCTATGCAGATTTTCAATTTTTAATATGCAGATTTTCAATATTTAGTTGAAGGCCATTACTTTATCACTTGGCATTTGGAGGGATAGCCATCAAAATTGTAATTTAGGCCGGACACCGTGGCTCATGCCTATAATCCCAGCACTTTAGGAGGTCAAGGCGCGTGGATCACCTGAGGTCAGGAGTTTGAGACCAGCCTGGCCAACATGGTAAAACCCTGTCTCTACTAAAAATACAAAAATTAGCCAGGCATGGTGATATGCGCCTGTAATTCTGCTACTCGGGAGGCTGAGGCAGGAAAATAGCTTGAACCCAGGAGGTAAATGTTGCAGTGAGCCAAGATTGCACTACTGGACTCCAGCCTGGGCAATAGAGTGAGACTCTTGTCTCAAAAAAAAAAAAAATTAGTTTTTTTTTTTTTTTTTTTTTTTGTGAGTGTCTTGCTTTATATTTATGGAGAAACTAAGGGCTAGATAGTTGAGAAAGATTAGTTAAGATTTTTAGTTCACTTGGGTATGGATGAATTTTGGATATTTTATCACAGTCTAAAGTTTTGTAAGTTTATTAAGTCATATATTTCTACAGGGAAACGTTCTCATTATAAGGGAAACAGAAAAAGTCATACCTTCATGACCATTCAACTCTTTTTTTAAAGATTCATAGTTTAATAGTCAATAAAACATGATCCATTTGTGATGCAAAACAAAACAAAACAAAAAGTGAATTTCTTGCATTGAAATAGCACCAAAAAGTCCATAACAACAGACTTGAGAGATTCTAGCTTTTTTTGCCTAGAAGTTGAATTTGGAAATTCAAACAGCTTGACACCAACTTGAACTTTGAAACATTCTCAGGGTCTCTTAACAAACAGCTGTGAAAAATATGTGAGCAGCTGAGTGCCTGAGCATTTATTAATCCCAAACAAATGGGCACACTCGGAAAGGAAATGTAAAATAACTTCCCAAGTGTGTAAATTTGAAAGTTTCTAAAATTTTTTGAACTAATTATTTTTCTTTTGTCAATACACATTTTGGTGCACTTGAAACTACAGAAAAATTTCACTGAATAGCAGGACAAATCAATTGATTCTCTAGGTCATTCTGGTGCTTTGAATATAAAGAGTTTAAATTTTCAACTGTATAACTTACCGATGTGGTAATAGTTAAGCCATCCAATTTAGAGAAAAATGGTTATACTTTTCTCAAGAGGAAATGCTGCACCCTAACTAGATGAAGCCTTGGGATAATCTCTAATTGAAAGGGTTTCTGCTAATGTCACTATAGTTTGGGTCACTGTCTGCTATTACTTCCCAGGAACTAGGGTTTATCTCACCATAAAAGCAACGCCATTGGGTCTCCTTATGGCCATATAAAAGTGGACCAACTACTGTTTTTTTCTTTTTTTGAGACAGAGTATCACTCTGTCACCCAGGCTGGAGTGCAATGGCACAATCTCGGCTCACTGCAACCTCCACCTCTTAGGTTCAAGCAATTCTCCTGCCTCAGCCTCCCAAGTAGCTGGGATTACAGGCGCCTGCCACCACGCCCAGCTAACTTTTTATATTTTTTAGTATAAACAGGGTTTCATCATGTTCTCCAGGCTAGTCTTGAACTCCTGACCTCAAGTGATCTGCCCGCTTCGGCCTCCCAAAGCGATGGGATTACAGGCGTGAGCCACCGCACCCGATCTACTGTTTTAAAGTATAATGACATCTTAGGGCAAAATTATGTTTGAATTAGGAAATTATATGTCCTCCACTTAATATCAGTTGGAGTTTTTAGTTCAAACCAGAGGTCTCTTGTGTGTTCATAACGAAGACTTTTCTCTCTGGGATTCAGGTCCACCCTTCTTGGGTTGACATCAGTTTCTGAAAACTTACTTGGATCCTGCATACAAAGTAACTTGCATGAAATTCTCCTTTCCTGGGCACACAATCATACTGTTTAGATGCCAAGGCCTGCATCTGTTTTGAAAGCCATTTCAATTGGCTGCTCCAAATAGCTCTAGGACTTAACTTCTCTTCATGAGTCATTCTGTCTTTTCAAATCCTCCAGATTGGTTTCTTCAAGTTTCAAACTTCAACTCAACAAACATTTACTGTGGGCCTTCCATACTAGTGACTACATTAGACATAAAAGCTAGATAAAACCTTGGTCTCTGCTCTTATTCTGATCTTTCTGCCTGAGGGGAACTGTCATGAAATCGAGTAACTACTACACCATGGTTAAGTGCTATGAGAGCTGGTTGAAAAGAACAAAGAGAAGAACCAGTAACCACATTGAATATTAGGCTCTATCACTTACTTACTAGCCTTCCGTCTTGCATAGGCTGTGCAAGTTCCCTGAACCTCAGTTACCTCTTCTGCAAAGAATATGCATGTGACATGCCACATAGGATTATTGTGAGGACTAAATGAGATAGCCAAAGTACACCTCTGATCATGGCCCTTAGAGTATAGGCATTTGTCATTAATGCTCAGCTACTGTTATTATAATCATATAATATTTGTCATTTACCAAAGTGTATTTATGTATTAGAAAATTTTAAAGCTAGAAGGACTGCAGAAGTAATGTAGTTCAATAATAGACACCTACATCAGTCAGGGTCCAATGAGACAGAAAACTCTCCAGTTATTTGAAAAAGAAATAATTTAATACAAAGAAATGTTAACTAGATCTAAAGTTGCCAATTATGTAACCAAAAAGAAAAAACTTGGAGGTAGCAATTATAGGAAGCAGCTATCACTCTTAGGGCTGAAGGCCCAAAAGGAAGACACTGGAATGATGACAATTTAGAAGCATGGAGGAGGGGCCCCAGAGCTGTAGCTCAGAGGAAGCACTCTATGGAGCTAGTTTTAGATTTCTGAGGAGGAGGCATTGGCCAGCCAGTGCTTGGGCTGATGTACTTACGGGGGTGAAATGAAGCTGGTGCTGCATATGTTGAAAAACTGCATATTGGATTCAGCTGCTGCTATTGGGAGGCCTGTGGCTGCCAAGGCAAAGATCCCAGTGCCGAGCAGCACACACAGGGGCAGGAGAGAAAGAATGCTACCTAGCTTACTGTGTCCAGTTCTTGCAAGAACTGGCTGTGTCTTGACCTAAAGTTCAAGTAAAACCTGTGTCTTTAAAATAAATTCTCCATTCTTATTTAAGCCAAGGAGAATCTCTATTACTTGTGGAAAAAAGTCTTAATAAATACACATTTTGTGAATCAAAATAACATCTTTCTGGAATGCAATGTACCTTTTACCACAACACCGACCTCAGCGTGACCATGTCTTTAAAAAGTCCACACTAAGAGTTGCGAGTAGCTCAGGGAACATGGGTTAAAGTTTTGCTGATATAAATTCATCTATGACCCCAAATATTGCCTGTGCATTTCACTGGGATCCGTTGATACAGCTCCATGCTTTTGGAATTATTTCACTGCTTCTGAGTGCACTATGTGCATAAACCTGTGCAGAATGGCCAAAGCAATTTGGAAAGAATGACTGTTGACAGCTTTTAGTTCCACCTCATCCTCATAGGCCTGGTCAAAGGAAATCTCTAATTTCTTAAAGTGAATTACAGCTCTCCTGAAGTGAGTGAGCTAACAAAATATGTTCATTTTGCATGTCAAGTTTGGTGGTGTGGTTCATTTCAACGGACACTTCAGTGCATCTAACAGTTTCAGTATCATTATTATGAGTTCCCTCTCGTGCCAAAAATGCCTGGAAAAGCCTGTTGCATATGAGTAGTGCAAGTCATGATTGTTCATCTGGAAATTGTTTTGAGTAGAAAAATGATATTTCCCCATCCCGTCTAGAACAATTATTTTGGATAATGTAAAAGGCAGAATTTGCTGTTCGACACAAAATGTTTGGCACTACAGGAGATAATCGGAAGAGATACTAGCAAACAATGAGTGGGGAAAAATAAGCAAATTAGCAGGATAGGGTAGTAGCTAAGCTTTTATTTTTGGGGGGTGTCTTAATGATTTTCTGATCCAGATTTGTCTAAGTTTCAGGGTAGGCATGGTTAAATGATGAGGAGAGACAGAGAAAAGGGGGCTTAAGCTCAATTAAAATCAAACACTTTGCACAGCACCAACATACACTTGAATGAACGTTTTCCCCTTATCTATTGTTGTGTGTGTGTGTGTGTGTCTGTGTCTGTGTGTGTTTAATTTTGTAGCTACAGCCACACACTCCAACTGTCAGTTCAGAATATTTTATAGGCACTTTTGGTTCATGTGTTAGGAGGTGTACAGTTTACCATCTATGTTATTTGTGTGGTGCTGACTCATATCACATGGGTAGGCTATTCTGAGTTTTAATCTTGCCTGGATATATCCTTTAAAAATACATCTTCATTCATTTGTATGAGCCAAAGTGTTTGCAACTAATTTCTTTTCCTTCTGTGTCCTATTACATTTCACTGCATGACAAGCATTTTTTAAGCATTTAGAGGAAAATGCAGTGATGACATAAAAAAATCTTTAATTGGATCTGGATGGAAGTCTCTTGCTATATTAGAAGGCTTAGTTGTATAATACTAAAAATTGTACAAATTGTGCAAGTCTGGAGGCAAAGAATTTGTGGTGTTTGTGTAGGTCTGTTCCTGAGCTGGCATGATGCAAGAGTTTTGTAAGGACCTCCTGGGTGTCCTTCTGCTTCTAACACCCTAAAACCTCTCAATCCCAGGTGTCAACTTGGTGTGTCACCCAAAGTTATGTTCCAAGAAGGTGACTTCTTATGGCTTTGGGTTAATGAAACAGGATTCACAATTATGTCATACAGAGATGGAGTTAGGACTTAAGAGTGATGGGCTAGGTACATTGACTTAGAATCCAAAAATGGACCAGGCAGAGAAACTCAAAATGGAGTAGCTAATTTCTATTGAGCACAATCAACATGCCAGACACTATTCTAGATGCCTCACATGTATGAGTCATTTAGTCCATCCAAAAATGATTATTATGGCCACTTTCAGATGAGAAAACTGAGGGTCAGAGGTAAGAAAGTTGCTGGAAGTCATGCAATTACTAAGAGCCAGAGATGATTCAAATCCAAGCAGTTGGATCTAGAGATCACCTTTCTAACCACTGGATTCTACTGCTGCCCAAAGGCCTCTTCAAAGCCCTGGACCATCACGTGGGGACTCCTAGAAGTCTTAGTGCTTAGAAGTCTTCCCAACTCTGCCAAAGCAGATTAGTTAATGTTATCATGGCTCAATTGTCTCCTACTTTATAGATATTACCATAATGGTAATTAGATAATTATGTAAGTAATTACTCATTTAGTGTGTGTTTCCCTGCCAGACTGTAATTAGCCTAAGAGCAGACACCAGATTTGTAAGCTCACTCCTGCATTCCCAGGCCCTGGGTTCTAATCCAACATATCAAATGCATTCAATAAATTCTTGTTGAAATAATAAAAAATGACTATTGTATTAATGATCTATTACTGAATAAGAAATTATCCCAAAATACAATGGCTTTAAACAATGAACACTTATTATATCACAGTGTCTGTGGGCTGGGAGTTTAGGAGTGGCTTAGCTAGATGCTTCTGGCTCGGGGTCCCTCATAAAGTTGCAGTCAAGGTGTCATCTGGGGATGCTGTCATCTGAGCCTTTGGTGGGGCTGTAAGATGGTTCACTCACATGGCAGGATGCCTCAGTTCCTTGCCACATGGTCCTGTCCATAGAATTTCTTCATAGAGTATTCTCATGACATAGCAGATAGCTTCCCAGGGGAGGCAGGAAGGCAGCCACAATGCTTTTTATGACCTTAAAGTTACACAGTGTCACTTCTACCATATTCTATTCATTCAAATCAAGTCTTAGTCTAACCTACACTCAAGAGGAAGGGAATTAGACTCCCTTCCCTCTTTTGAAGAGAAACACATTAACGAATGGGTGGCCATATTTTAAAATCACCATATCTTATTACTTTATTTTACATAGGCAATATTTCAGCACGCAAGAATGAGGCTCCCGTAAGGAGAATTTTCTACTCAAAGAACAAATATAGATTAAGGACATGGAGGTGGGGGAGCAAGGTTTGTTGGAGAACAGCAAGTGTCCTAGATTAGAAGGTAAAGGAAGGGTATAGGAATAGGGAAGAGAAGGAAAATAAAATGAGAAGAGGGAGGGGAATGTGAAGAATTTTTACTTGCCATGGTGAACAAAGGAAAGCAGTGAAATGACATAATTAGAAGGGACATTCCTTTAGGAATATTTATCTGGGAATGTGGAAACAAGCACTGGAGACTGAAATTTGAAATCATTAGGAGGCCACTGTCTTTGCAGCAGATTTCCAGGACCTTAGCTTGAACAGAACAGTGGAAGTAGAAAGCAGAGAACAAATCCTACAGTGCTTGGCTGGCTAATTAAATAATGATTGAGCCCAGAAGGAGCTGCCAAAGGTGACATAACGTTTTGGGTTTGGGTGATAGTATGCAATCAAAAAGGAAATAAGGAGGACCGGGGGACAGTGGTATGACTTTTGCAAGCAGATCCTGTATGATGAGAAAGAATCCCAGGATATTGACTGTGTGCTTTCCTAGAAAGATGACGACATTGGATTTCATCTGTTAACCCTGGGTTGTAGTAGGATGTCCAAGGACATCCAAGGGTTAGAAGCCTAGAAATGTGGCAATCAGAAATGTGGGTTTGGAGGTCATGAGAGAGGTCAGACTTAAAGACCAGCCCTACTGTCCATAAAAGTGAAAACATAGGCAAAACCTCCTGGAGCCAACCATGTTACTGGGCAGTGTCAGGATTTCTGCTACTTACTTGTAATATGAATTCTGCAGCCACAAGCACATCATGTTAATGCTACGACTTGCCTTTTAAAACTCATTTTTCTTTAAGGAATTATTCGGTAGAAAAAGTGTTCAGGCAGCTATTTCATTTCTGGCTAGTGTCACTGTATAAGATTTTTACTGCTGCTATAACAAATTACCACAAATTTAGTGGCTTAAAATGAAACCAGTTTATCTCTTACTTCTCAAGTTCTGGAAGTTAGAAGTCCAAAATCAGTTTCACTGTGCTAAAGTCAAGGTGTCTGCTGGCTGGCTTCTTCAGGAGTCTCTGAAGGGAGAATCTTCCTTACCTTTTTCACCTTCTAGTTGCCGCCTATATTCTTTGGTCTGTGATCCCCTCTACCTTCAGTTAGCATTGTTTCAATCCCTGCTTCCATTAGTACATGGCTTTCTCCTCTGACGCTGATGCCTCCTGCATCCCTCTTTGAAGAACTGCTGTGTTTCCATTACATCCACTTGGATAATCAAGGATAATCTCCCCATCTCAAGGTCCTTCACTTAATCACACATGCTAAGTCCATTTTTCTGTATTAGGTAATTCACCGATTCTGGCAATTAGGATATGGACCTATTTGAGAGGCCACTATTCAGCCAAAATTCAGCTGGGTGTAAATATACTCTGCGTGCTTCCAAATTCCCATTGTCCACTTGAACACACACAACCTATGTGAAGTTTCTAAACATCCCTTCTTCCACCCTCTCATCTTCAAGAGTTTTTATGGGTTTCATCATCATCATCATCATCATCATCATCATCATCATCATCATCATCACGACTATTCTAAAAAGGCCTTCGATATCATCACAGAGCTACATGGTCTAAAGAGATCTCAAATTTCAGCCAGTCCAGCACCAGTTGAGTATTTATATCGCTTGGTCTTCAGATCTGAAGATGGAAAATGAAGCACTTGAATTTACTTCTAAATTTCTCACTCCATTTGTCTTCCTTATGTGCCATTGATTCCTTGGCAACCCACTCTGCTCTCCATGATTTCTCTTTCTTTAGCAAAGAGTATGTCTAGCAAATTTCTAACATAATGTATTAGAAGTGTTCAACATCCTGATCAGAACAACAGACATAAATTTCCTACCATGATTAGCCAAAGTTTGAAGTCTCTTTAGACCCTCAGCTTCTATGTTTCTGTTAAAGGTTTTCTTAAAATGATATTGATATGAACTCCAATATAATATAAATGTATCATATTTCACTAGAAATGATTTCATCTTTAAAATGAAATATATTTTAAAATAAATCCTGCTGAAGTGTAAATCACTGTATTATTGCTCACTGTTGAACCGAGGTTGCAATCCTTTATCATATAGTTTGTGAATAATTTTCAGTGATCAATATTTTCAGGTATCAGGAGTATGAAAGAAAGATCTGGGATTTACAGTTGAACAAATCTGGTTTCAAATTTTAGCAATGCAGCCAAGTTATAGGCAAGTATGTTAAATTCTCTGAGTCTGTGCTTCCTTATTGGAGAAATGGGAATATTAATACCCACAACTACAAGGACTAGGGGATTAGATGTGATAATGATGTAAAGTACCTAGCACTGCTTGGCACATAGTAGACACTCAGTAAATACTAATCCCAGTCACTCAACTAGTGTTTATCTTCTATGTGTCAGGAACTGGACTTGGTGACTTGGTGCTAATTCTTTACTCCTTCCTCTTCATACTCATCACCACGTATACAACAGAAGAAAAATGTCCTTAACTTGACATTCCAGATCCCTGACAAACTGGGTTTATATCCGTAATAAAAAATAATAATTAGAAAATATGTTAATGATGAGCAGGATTATAATTATAATGTGAAGGATAATTATTCATTAGCTTAGTAAGGCTCCATGTTTACTGACAGCTGCTGTTATATAAAATTATAAACTGTAAGGAAGGAAAGGCTAAAATGGTTATGTATGACTGGTTCATTCAGGCAGGCAATAAGAATTATTATAATCCATGAATTCATAGGTCAAAGATGTGCTCATTGTTGAAACAGAAAAACGTGATTAAAATCCAGTCTTTATTGTATAGTTATTGTAAATAAATTTGTTACAATTTTCAGCTACACTATAACCAAGTTTGCCTTCTTTTGTTATTTGTGACTGAAACCAATTAACCAAAAATATATTTAAAACATTTGTTTTCTTCATTTATTTAAACTTTCTGAAATATTTTATGCTCCATACAGGGTGTATTAGTCCATTCTCCTGTTGCTAAAAGGACATACCCAAGACTGGGTAATTTATAAAGGAAAGAGGTTTAATTGACTCGTGGTTCCACAGTACTGGGGAGATCTCAGGAAACTTACAATCATGGCAGAAGGGGAAGCAAACACATCCTTCTTGACATGGTGGCAGGAAGAAGAATGTGTGCCGAGCAAAGGAGAAACTCCTTATAAAACCACCAGATCTCCTGAGAACTCACTCACTATAATGAGAACAGTACAGGGGAGACCACTCCCATGATTCAATTATCCCCACCCAGTCCTGCCCTTGACACATGGGGATTATTACAATTCAAGGTGAGATCTGAGTGGGGACAGAGAGCCAAACCATATCACAGGGATGGAAAGACTGTGTTATTATGTGTTGAAAGTAGATCGTTGGTCTCAACATTGTGTTCCTCTATCTTGGGTCTGGATAGCAAATGCACAAGATCATCATGTCCCCCAATACTAGAAATGTACAGGAAGTATACGGTTTTGAAATTTCTTAAGTTTAACTGTGTGTCCAAACTGCCAAAGTAAGTTATAAACTCAGTAGTGATACAACAGTTACCTCTCCATCTGTCCTTTCCTTTGGATTTTGAAAATATTCTCTCTAAAATTACTTTCCCCTTACACCAAAGATACATCTTTTTTAGAAAAAAAAAAAATAAATATATATATATAGAAAAGTGGTCCATAAGATATTTTGGATTCTGAATAATCAATTTTTATGTCACCTTGCTTAGTTGGAAGACAGTCTGAAGTTCAGTCACTGATTAAAAAAAAATGAAAAAAGAGAATAGGGGCACAGTCAGACCCCCTTTGTGTAGCAAAATACATACAGTTTTGTGGACATGAAGCCAAGGATGTGGAGATTGAGTCTTTCATTATTCTAGGGTGTGTTAGTTAAAGTCATTTAACTAGAGTGTTTGTTTTTTACCCCTCTGGAATTATTATGACCCTTAAAGCTTTAATGCAATTTCAGCCCATGACACTAATGGAATAGTTTTATTAATAAAGAAATTCTGGATAAATAGAATTCAAAGCCAAGAGCGTGATAGGTTAATGGCAGATGGAATATAAATTCACTGAACTATTAGTGCCTGCCAAATAAATTTGTATGCCTTAAATCTCAATTCAGAAATGAATACCAGGGATATTTTGCTACTTACGTTGTATTTACTTATCAATATCAAAGGATTTTTATTAATGCAAGTGATAGCTTGTTAGTACTTTCTGTGGACTGTATCTAGCATGGCTGTATTAATTTGTTGCATATCTTCTCATGGAGGTGTTAAACTACAATTAAGTGTGACAATGCTCTCAGTAATGAGGCTTTGGGATTAACCAGTGATAAGGGTGGAGAAGAAGCATCATTTATCTTGACATTTTTCCTTCCAGTAACTTGAATGGCATATATATGGATTTAAATTTTCCTAGTTGTTATTCTTAAGTTTAAAAAGTGTAGTTATTAACATTATGAATGAAACTTTATGTATTATGTTCCCTCATAAAAATGCAGAAATTCACTCATTTCTCTACACCCCCCTAATATCCTTCTTTTATTCTCTGTGTATTCTTGGAGTTTTGACAGAGTATAAATTAGTAATAATTATTTACTAATTTATTACTGTAAATTTTTTTTAGTATCACATATTTTCACTTTCAAGAATTATTACATTTTCATTCTGTTTTGTAATAATATTCAAAAATAATTATATAATGAAAATGGGAAAAATATTTATATGAGCGATTCTATATTGAAATGACATTAATCTTCCATATTAACCTTTTATTAAATAAATTACTCATTCTTGAGCTTTTTGTTTTGATTTATCTTTTTTGGTCCTGAAGACCTTTGTCTTCAGAAACCTGAGGGGTTTGTTTTATTATTTTAATTTATCATTTTATCTTAAGTATACTATTTTGAACATTTTTTGTCTTATTATTTGACTTTTAGTGTTGTATAGAAGATCTTTAAGGCCAAGCTGAATTTTTTTCCTTTATAAAGCAATCCTCCTCCTGTAAAACCCAACTCTCTCTGCTTGACTCTTCTGGAAAATTATCTTTAGTTTTTGTAATTCCACTTGTTGAACAGGATATGTCTAAGTGCTGATCTCGTTTTAACAAATTATCTTGCTACATGATAAATAACTTTGATCTGCAAATTCAGATCTTCATCTTAGGAAATATTTTTCTTTTGTGTCTAACTTTCTTTTGATTTCCTTTGTTTCTCTCTCATTTTCACCAGTCTTCTAAATCAAGGAGAGTGTTTCAATCTTTTTCCTTACATAACTAACTCCATTTTTACAGTAGTTACTTTACTGTTTATTGATTATAATATAGTTTAAAGTTTAGTTTTAGTAATATTAGTTTCTTCATTTTTTTTCACTATCTACCAAGTTTCCTTTATTTTTCAGTATAAGACTACCATCTAATCTTTCTTCTTTATCTCAGAGACTGTTTTATTGGATTTTATTATGAGCACAAAACAGGTGCTATCTGAACTTTATTTCTGTTTTAACATAGTATTTTCATTTCAGGTGGATGCTGTTTATTTCTAGCTTACAATGTTATATTTCTTTATTTTGTTTTTATAGATTATTGTTTATCCACCCTTGAACATGAACATGAGATTGATTTATGTCTGGCATTGAGTCTAAAACTGTTGGGCAGATTCTGCGTGGATCTCCTGAAATGCCTACACCATGTGAGAATATTCTCTAAATGTTGAAGCTGGAGTCCGAGGTGGTACAAGTTTCCGTGGTTAGTTCAGTGATCCCCTCCACTAGTTGTGAAAGGAGAAAGATTTAGGACTGCCGGCAGGTTTAGAAGAACCACTTTATCTCTGGGTCATTTCTTCCCTGCTTTTGGAGAGGAAGGGGGACAAGGAGCCCCCTTTCCATGTCTGTGTTAAGGTTTTGCCTAGCTTTCACTCTCTGTACTCCGTGGGTCTGTGCCTGCTCTCTGCGCTGCTGTGCATGTTCTTGGAAGAACTTCACCATATTAAGGAGAAGCCAGTCACTCTGGGTATTTCCCTTAACGGGGTCACACTTATTTTTAACTCCCCACCCAAGACAGCTGCTTGGAAAGCTTGTCATCCATGGTGGCAAAGTGGTTTCTAATGGCAAGCTCTCTATTTCTTCTCTTTCCCACCATTGGGAAGAAGAAATCAAATCCAATCCCCAATCCCCTCTTCCTCCATTTAGAGCAAGCCTGTCCAACCCATAGCCCATGAGCTGCATGCAGCCCAGGATGGCGTTGAATGAGGCCCAATGCAATTTCGTAAACTTTCTTAAAGCATCATGAGTTTTTTTTTGTTTTTTTTTTTTAGCTCATTGGCTATTGTGTTAGTATATTTATTTGTGGCCCAAGATAATTCTTCTTCTTCCTGTGTGGCCCAGGGATGCCAAAAGATTGGACACTCCTGATTTAGAGGATGTGGATGGGTTCTGCCTGTTTACTTAATAAATATTCATTACATTTAATTGTTGTTGAAATGCCTCTCTTAAAATTAGAGTGACTCCCTCCCCCCAAGAAAAAAAGACCATAGAAAGTCCTAGAAATACAGCTTTTGCAAAATAACACTTCTGATAATCAGTTTAACAACGTCCAGGGTGACATTGCTTAGGGAAATGGAGTGTTATTCTGCAGCAGAAAATTTCAGGTGGAATATCATTTACTGTTGCCATTGTTGCCGATCAGTGGGTTGTCTCCCTTCCCTTAAAGGAAAAGCTACCCATGTAAACATTAAAAATAAATGATCGGCACCCAGTTACAAAGCTTGAGGGATTCTCAGAGCATGGCTTAGAACTGCTTGGAAGGGTGACGGAGTTAAAATCCTAATCATTTTTTGAGAAAACCTATTCTAATTAGGACAAAATTATGTATTCCTGAGATCATGACAGAATTGTATACCTAAAGCTTTTTATCAAATCTCTAGGTTCTAGCCTTTTCTCCATAATCTATTGTTCCACCTGAGCACTCTCACGCTCAGATCAAGGGATTTCTTAATATCATTCTGCAGATTAAACTTTGATGCTCTAAAAGGGCCTGAGTATCTGTATCTGCAACACTTGACTAATTTCCAAGGCATAGTGGAGCTTCTTGATGCAACATAGGTTTGAAGAAAAAAAAACATTGATTAACTGCCTATCTAAAGAACTTACAAATCAGTAAGATAAAGATAATCATACAGAGTAATAGGCAGAAGATACAAGCAGAAATTTCACAGAAGAAATTCAAGTAGCAATAAGCCTACAGAGATGCTCAACCTTACTAGTGTTCAGGGAAATAGAAATTAAAATAGTTAGATGACATTTTACAATAGTAGAATTGGCAGAATTTAAGCAGTTTGCTAATAGAAAGTGTTGGTGGAGAAAAGAAAATGCATAATCACTAATGGTAGGAGTGCCGACTGGTATTACTTTGGAAAGTGATTTGGTGATATTAAGCAGAGTTGAAAATGCACATACTCCGTGACTCTCGATTTCACTTGTGGGTTTCTATCTTAGTGAAAATTTTGTGCATGTGCTACACAGAGACATGCCAAAGAATGTTCTTTGCAGCATTGTTTTTAATAACAAAATGTTGGAATTGATTCCAATGTTTGTCAGTAAGAGAGCAGAGATTAATGAATTGTGATGCATTGATGAAGATGAAATGTTGTACAATAGCTAAAATAAGTTAGGAATATTTTCATACCTCAACTTGGAAAGAGCTTAAAAACAATGTTGAATGAGAAATGCAAGTTATATTTTGAAACCATTTCTTTACAAAATGGTGCATATAATAATGTTATGTGGCATTTATGGATATATATGTATATCTATATAGCCACTCACATTACATGTTTAAAACCGTGATTTTCAACATATGTATACAGATTGAACATACTGTGTGGTGATGTAAGTTGCTTCTGGGATTGGAGAGAGTAAAATACGTCTGAGGATGGGAAGAGATGAGATGGCGTCTTCTTGGAAATGTGTGTGCTTATTTCTTTAAATACAAGATATTTTGAAGTAAATAATATACAATATTGTTCATTTTCAGTGGTGGGTACATCAGTATTTATTGTATTTCCTTTGTAAATGTTAGGTTTTTTCATTAAAAACATCTCAGACATTTACTCTTTAGGTCACTGGCCCCCTGTAACTAAACCCTCTGGGGCCTTGTGAGCGGCAGAGCACTGGAAGGATGAGCAGGGGCTTCTTTTTCTTTTCTGTGCCTGGAAAGCTGTCTTGCCAGCTCTCGATTTGGTCTAGACCTATCTTTTCTGGCAGCATTCTGCTCAGCTAAGCATATGTGAAATACTCTTAAAAGGCAATTCCAATCCAATTTTGGGGGAGGATCTATTTTAAAACTGCAATAATTTATCTCCAATGATTTTTAATTTTTTAAATATTTTAGGATAAATGCTAGAATACAATCTAAATAGAAAACAATAAAATGAAACATTTTTGTACTCAGACATTATTCCTATTTGTTTCATTGCCAACTTTAGCTGGCATTCTCAGGGGAATGTAATTCTTGAAAAAGTAGATTGTGGTCTTTTTGTTTTACAACACAACATTAGAGATGCACACATATTTCTCTGACTTTCTCCACCTGATAATCCTCCTTTTAACAGCTAACCCAAGAGCCTGAGTGTTGTTAAAGTAAAATGAATATGTAGAGACAAATCTCTAAATGTAAGGATTTATTTGGGATATAAGAATTGCAATTTGGGGAATACACACAGACCTGGTGGTCTTCAGTATGTCTGAAGAACAAAGAGGAATTTGCAGGTTTTATAAAAAGGAGAAATGTTACATATTGCTCTTTTTTGTTCATTGGCACAAGTACAGTTTTGGGGGGCTGGCAAGTTCTGATTGGTGAGTGATGGCAGTGGGTAAAATTAGAGTTGCAGCAGTTTATTTCAGAAGCCATTAGATCACACTGGCTTCAGGTTACAGCAGGCAGTTTCAGCAACCATGCTGCAGAGAATTAACATTTTTGGAGCAATATTATGTGTCCCGAGTGCTTTTCTCCCCCTGGCTTCTGACTTTGTTTGAGTTGGGTATGATGAGAATGACCCAATTCATATGACTGACTTTCACGGTGTTATGAAAAGTAAAATCCAGGGGAAGAATTGCATTTTTAAAGACCTCACCAAAATTATTTGGAGGGCTTTGAAGTGTTTTAAAGGAAATCCTGCCTTGCCTTGGGCTGGTGAGGGCTGGGAGTAAAGAGGATAGATCAATATAGACTCTGCCTGAAGTGCTGTGGTGATGAGAGGAAATGGCTTATCAGTTGCTTTTACAATCTGGAAAAGAAACCATTTGTGGAATCAATGGGTGGGTGGCAGAGCCCAACAACTGGAGCTCAAAGATACAGTACATCTTCATTACTATCAGTCACCTGCATCAGTGGGGCGGTAACAAGGGACCTAAATTCTACAGCCCGGTGCATTGTCGCAGTCAAATGCATCACTGTGGTTTTAGACATGATTATTATATGCAAGGAAAAGCTTGGCATTAATTTGTCTTATAGAGAAACAAATGCTGGTTTTACTTTTATTATTTACACAGCATAATACGTTCCTTCTGAGAAAATTTCAGCTCTATCTTGACCCACTTGCAAGGACCAGCAAAAATAATGGAAGGACATAAAATATAACTACTCTGGCAATGATGTGTGCAATCACCTCAGCTGCTGGAAAACTCTGGGTTGTTCAAACAGCTAATGTGAAGTCAAGAAGGAGAGAATATTTTTCTGATTAGTGCTGTGTAAGGAGTGCTGAAAAAGAGTACATAGAAAATGTTTGTACCTGAGTGAAACAGCCCAACCAGAGCTGAAATAAGACCCCCTTTCATCCTGCAAGTTATTTCTGGGCTAGAATGTTTAAATAAGAACAAGACGGATAGTTCCTCAGGATTTCAGAGCTGGAACAGAGAACCTTTTAGCTGAGGCAGGGTGGAATTGTGGAGACAGTCACATTCCAAGGAAAAAGTCCTCAACCAAGAAGGTTTGGCTCAGAAAGCAGCAGCAGGGCAGCTGGAGTCCAAAGACTTGCATCTTTCAACCGGGAAAAATCTGTTTATAGGTCCTTGGAAATTTTGGATCCTTGCGGTCTGGACTGGCTAGGGAATTGCATTGCAGTGTAAACAAACCATACTGGGCTTGAGCATTTTTCTTCTAAGCAATTCAAGTCGACTCTAAGATATTTCTTGAGACTTTGGGGGCCACATAGATAACTGCTCATTTTCCCCCTCTGGGTTTAGATCTCACTGAGAAATTTATCACTGGAAATGAGATGATTAAACACCAAAATTTTAATGATGAAAATTGAGCCAGAACATAGCTTGGTTCTGCAACCAACAAAGCTTTTCTCTGTGAATTAAACCTGCCTACTCAGCCAGGGCAGAAGGGGACAGCCGTTGGTCTCTTGCAGGGCAGGCTACTCCACTCATGCTCTGGGGAGAGGCTGATCCTGCAGAGAATGCTGAGCTGCCCAGTCCTTCTCCCCAGCTCACTCAGCCACTCAGGGAGGAGGAGGAAGGGAGCAGGAAGAGAGAGGTCTCAGTGTTTCTCCCACACTTTTCCTGCATAGGGGAATGTTTCCCTCTACAGAAATTCCAAAAATGTTACATTGTCTGCAATTTGCTTTAAAATACTCCATCCTGACGAGTTAGTGGGTGCAGCGCACCAGCATGGCACATGTATACGTATGTAACTAACCTGCACAATGTGCACATGTACCCTAAAACTTAAAGTATAATAAAAAAAAAGAAAGAAAAAATAAAATAAAATAAAATAAAATAAAATACTCCATCCTAGACAATGTGATAGATCTGTTCATTTTAACCCACATCCTTGGGCTGAGGTTGGTTAACCTAGATAGAAATATACATTTCATAATTGCCAGGAGCACTCAAATCTCACTGCTGGGAGGTTATAAATTAGTAGTTTTTGAGAATCAGCAATGCCAGTCTAACCTCCTCATTTATAGATTTGAAATCAGGGACCTTGTAAGACCAACCTGCTCAGGGTCCAAGTTAGCTCACTTCAGAGCTGGGACCAGCAGCTAGGGCTCTTTCTCAATGGGCAAAATCTCCTTCTAAGGAACTGTATTTACTTCAGTGCTGGGATATTACTAGTTAACATTTTTGATGGAGAGGCATGTGCTTATCACATAACAAGTACTGTTCCAAGCATATGTGTTATCCTATTTAATCCTTACAATCACAATGAGATTGGTAATACTATTATTCTCATTTAACAGGTGAGAAAATTGATGCTTAAAGAGGGACTTGTCCAAAGTCATTCAGTGAGCAAGTGACAGAGCAAGGACTCAAACCCAAACACTGGAGTCCAGAGCCCAACCTTCTTCACAAAGTCAGGGCTAGAAAAGGCCATTAGAGAAGATTCTGCCTACCCCTCCCGTTCCACAGCAAGGGAGCAAGTCCAGAAAACAGAGGAATTTATAAAATGTAGCTGATCTTGCTCAAAGATTCTTCCTGAGGGTGGGGCTGTTGAGTACTCTCCAGAAGAAATGACCAGTTAGTCTTTTACTCTTATTATTACATAGAGTTGTACATGATAAGTGCTCAATAAATTGCACAACAGAGCCTATGGTTTCTCACATTATTAATGATGAATATCAGACACCTGGTTGGTGTAGTAGTCCATTCTAGCAATGCTATAAAGAAATACCTGAGACTGGGTCATTTATAAAGAAAAAGGTTGAATTGGCTCATGGTTCTGCAGACTGTACAGAAAGCATGATTCTGGCATCTGCCTAGCTTCTGGGGAGGCCTCAGGAGACTTATTAATACAATCATGGTGGAAGGTGAACAGGGAAGCAGGCACATCTTGTATGACTGGAGGAGGAGCAAGAGAGAAAGGCAGGGAGGTGCCACACACTTTTAAAACAACCATATCTCGTGATAACTCACTCACTCACTATTGCCATAATAACACCAAGGAGGATGGTGTTAAACTTTAAGAAACTGCCCCCATGATCCAATCTCCTCCCAGCAGGCCCTATTTCCAACATTGGGGATTACAATTTGACATGAGATTTGGGCGGGTCCATATCTGTTGGTTCACTTAACACATTGTGATTTCACTCATTGAGAAGATTTCCAATTAAAAACTTACAGAGATAATAGGAAAGACCAAATGCCAAATCATGGTGTTCTGTAATTACATGAAGAAGTCTTCAGAACTAAAGGCTATGTAAAGTATTTCGATATATAATGAACAATTAGTCCTATTGAATTATAATGAACAATTAGTCCTATTGAATTCTAATTACTTATGGGAAAGCTGTGGTCTCTGAAATATTAGAGGTGGCAAATAAACAGAATGTTTTCATTAAATAAGATCACAGCAGCTTGAATAGTGAACTACAGTAGGGTCTTCCAAAAATATTTTCAGAGTCAATGAAGGGGACAATGCAGTTAACTAAATGCATATAGACCATCAGATGTTTTGTTCTTCATCTTCTGCTCACTCTCCACATCCACAGGTAGACAAAGGAAGCTTTGTTGGGGTTAGAGGTGTAACAAGGCTACCTGCAGACAATTAAACGAAAGAAAGAAGGAGAGGACAGGGGATCTTGAACCTCTGATTCTTGCCATATCACCTTCCCAAAGGACCATGGGAGAAAGTCATCAATACAGAACAAGAAAATTAGTCTGGAAAACAGATATTCTATGATGCTGAGATTTTGGCCCTGACTTCTAATGTTGAACTTGATCAAGCTAGGCTGAGTTACAGGAAGACTCTTTTTGCTGAGACTGGACAGTTCAAGTGGTCTAGAAAGAAAGTAAGCTGAAGCTTTGCTTTTTCGTCCAAATCTCAAGGCCTCTTCCCAAATTGTAACATTTTCATGTGGGTCTGTCTAGTCTGGAGCTCACCTGGCAGTGAGAGAGGCTTGGAGAAGTCAAGGCACCAGCCATGAGCAGACCATGGGCTGCAACTGGCCCAAAGACATATTTTATTTGGCTTGAACAGTGTTTAAAATTTTAACTGATTTTAGAGTCAAAAGACTTTTACTTGAAGTAATTGGATTTCCACCTCTTTTTAAGTTAGAGATCTGGCTGGCTGGGCTGATGTTCCTCCAGGAGGCCAGAGTTACATCCTGGCTGCCCCTTTGGATGATGCATGGATTGCCAGTTTATACAGAGCCTCCTGCCCCCTAACAGCTCTTTTCACCTCCGCATGCATATTACTTGTCTTGCTCTGTCATGTTTGACTTTGGAACCTCTGCCTGATCTAGATTGTTTGAGACTCCTGGGAAATAAAACCCAGCAAAGGAGCAGATACCTTCCCTCCCCAACTCTGATGGTCTGGCCTAGTCAAGTCTTTGGTTTGGAGCAACACTATCCCTCCTTAGAAAAGGGAGTGAAATAAAATATGGCAACTCTTTTCAGAGGAGTAGTAGGACGAGGGGAGATGGAAGGGGGGAACTGAGACTGCTACTTGCTTCCAACATGGTGTCCAGAATGGGTGGCTAATGCACCCTCCTTGCCCTTAACTACCCAACACCAGACCATCATCCAATCTTGTTGATTCTGCTAAAAATGTAGATAATTCTATGAAGGAAAAAAAAACAGTGAGAAGCAGATCAGCCAATCCTGCTTTTTTGACTTACTTGACCACTAACCTTTGTGATCACATCTACCTTGACAAAAAGGGCATCTTTATATCTGGGATAATCAAGGAAAAGATCTTGCTGGTCTGGTGATCGATTGTAAGTTGTAGTTTTCTTGCTTCATTTATAAAGTTGCATCAGGAAAAGTGAGTTGGGGATGTGAAAATCTGTGTGACATAAGAGAAAGCAAACCAGGGATAGTATGGTCCCTCATTAGTATTCATATAAAGTGCATACAAATGAATTCCTGATTTATTCAGGGTTTCCAGAGTTAATTCATTCCCATTTCCTTGACTTCTGAATAATAAGCTTCATATTGTTTGACTGGATACTATTCCTAAAATGGCCTTAGAATTTATTTCACATTGTTTTATTATAAGAATTTCTTTGTTCTATTAAACCTATGTCTGCAGAGGAATAAATAAATGGATAAAAACCTTTGAACCAAATTGCTGTGCTGCAGGATGAGCTCATACGTTAAGGAGACCCAGGTCATAGTCACAGCTCTGTCAGGAACCACTGCATGACTCAGCATAATCACTTCGCCTTTCTGGGCCTCAATTTTCAATTTGTGAAAAGAAGATGTGACCTAGATGACTCTTCAGATTCTTTGCAACTCTTATATTTTGACAGGCAAATAATTGGGGTGTCTCCTTAAATTCAATATGGGTCCATACCACTGAGTACTAACACATGAGTAGATCTAAGCATAGCAGCTTCCCTCTGGATTTCTTTATACAAAGACCTCCTGTTCAATTTGATTACTCAGTTAATTTGAGAAAAAAATACATAAACCAAGAAATTATAATAAATGATATATACCTTAAGTATTTTTACATCATTTAATGAACATTAAATAAACATTCACTTATTTTCCAATTTTTCATAGGGCCAAAGCCTTGCCTTTGATTTTTTGGGTCTGCTGATTGGAATCACCCATTGGGAATGGTCTGTCATGTCCAATTTTGATTTGTTTAAAGGAGAATAAGAACTTAACTCTTGAGAAATGATTTTATTTAAAAATTTCTTCTAGAGGACTGGCTGTGATGGCTCATGCCTGTAATCCGAGCACTTTGGGAGGCCTATGTGAAAGGATTGCTTAAGGCCAGGAGTTCAAGAGCAGCCTGGGTTATATACTGAGACACTGTCTCTACAAAAAATAAAATAAAATAAAACCTAACCAGGCATGGTGGTGCATGTCAGTACTAGCAACTCAGGAGGCTGAGGCAGGAGGATCACTTGAGCCCAGCAGGTAGAGGCTGCAGTGAGCCATGACTGCACCAATGCACTCTAGCTTGAGAGACAGAGTGAGACCCTGTCTTTAAAACCTAAAAAAAGACTAGAGTTTTATTATTTTGTACCATTATCTGATAATCCTCTCTGTCTTACACACACCTAATTTATGACAGCATTTTTACTTGCCTACCTTTATCAAGACTCCCACACAGTTTTCACAAGAATAAGCACTGGTTTTGCCTTCACATTTCATTGGTTTACTTAACATTTAATTATGTTACATAATTGCTATACTATGTACAATTGGCATAAGCAGATTTGAAAACAAATACTATGATGGTTGGTAAGTATAGAATCAAATGGAGTGCACAGGTGTAATGGAGTCAAGCTTACTAGAGGTTGGGGATCAGCATGCTGAGGTACTAGTTAGTACTCGGTTAATAAAATCAGTTAAGTTGAAGTTGATCAATCAGACTGCTAATTGAATGTTTTATCAGTTCATATTGTTGCAGGTAAATAAAACCAACCCTATAAGCTTAGGCAAAAGGCCGGGCTCAGCGGCTCACGCCTGTAATCCCAGCACTTTGGGAGGCCGAGGTGGGTGGATCATGAGGTCAGGAGATTGAGACCAGCCTGACCAACACAGTGAAACCCCGTCTCTACTAAAAATACAAAAATTAGCCAGGCATGGTTGGCAGGCGCCTGTAGTCCCAGCTACTCGGGAGGCTGAGGGAGGAGAATCGCTTGACCCCGCAAGGCGGAGGTTGCAGTGAGCCGAGATTGCACCACTGCACTTCAGCTTAGGCGACAGAGTGAAAAAAACAAAACAAAACAAAAACCCCTTAGGCAAAGAAAAAAGTTTATTGGAAGGATAGGAACCAGGGAAACACTGGTCATCTTGGAAGCAGGCACTAATGGATAGTCTCAGTGTGTCATCACTGGATAAATTGGTTCCAACTGTTTTTTCATCTTTGTGTCACTCTGATCAAGACTAGAGTCTCCAGCAGAAGGACTCTGATTGGCTTGCAGATTACATGTATTCCTCAACCAAGGGAAAACCAGATGCTATAAAAGACTCTCCCCAAAGACTACATGCCCTGGGGAGGAGTCATTCCCAAAGACAACCTGAGATGCTGTTACCAGAAAAGGGGACTATGCATGGAGGATCTAGGTCTGTAAGTGCATTAGTCAGGGTTCTCCAGAAAAGCATAACCAACAGGTTGTAGATAAATATGTAAAAAGAGACTTATTTGTATTTTTTTTATTGATACATAATAAAAGTATGAATTTATGGTATACATGTGATATTTTGATATAGGCACATAATGTGTAATGATAAAATCAGGGTAATTGGGATATCCAAAACATCTCTCATTTTGTGTGTGTGTGTGTGTGTGTGTGTGTGTGTGTGTGTGTTGGGAACATTCCAAATCTTCTAGGAAGAGATGTGTTATAAGGCAGCAGTCCTCAACCTTTTTGGCACCAGGGACCTGTTTTCATGGAAGATAATTTTTCCATGTATGGCGGGATGAGGGGACACAGCGATGGTTTTGGGATAAAACTGTTTTACCTCAGATCATTAGGCATTAGTTAGACTCTCATAAGTAGTATCTAGATCCCTCGCATGCACAGTTCACAATAGGGTTCCTGCTCCTATGAGAATCTAACGTCACCTCTGATCTGACACAAAGAAGCAGAGCTCAGGCAGTAACACAGGCTCACCCACTGCTCACCTCGTACTGTGCAGCCTGGTTGTGTGGCTGATCTTCTTTACTAATCTATGGATTCAAATGCTAAACTCTTCCAGAAACACTCTCTCAGATACACCCAGAAATTATTTTTACCAGCTATCTGGGCAGGCCTTAGCCAAGGCAAGTTGACCCATAAAGTTAACCATCACAATAAGTATGTATAGGAAACAGCATTAGCCATGGGGAGATCCAGAGCCCAAGAAGTAAGTACTGATTCTGGTTAGAAGGGGACAGATGGGGTTCAGAATACAAGGAAAACTTCAGCTGCTGACTGTTGCTTTATGCTTTGACATCTATTTTCCTGGCAACTCTCAAGGCTGCTACCTTCTGAAACTCTGAGTAAAAAACCATCCACATTGTTCCAGCTCAGATAGGCGTGGAGATCTGAACCCAGGCCCCAGTTTGTTGCTTATTAGTTGTGTGATCTTGGGTCAGCCATTACTTCTACAGACCCCAGATTCCCCATATATAAAATGAAATCTCTTTTCGGATGTAATATTTTATTATTTATATATCTTGGCACATCCCTGTCCTTCATACATTTGACTATATAATTCAGTAAAGCAGAAATATCTCCATGTTGTTTGTTGGAATTATTTTTCATGCTAGTAAAAATTAAAGTGCAAAGTTGTATTTTGTTTGAATGGAACTATATAAATATATAAACATGATGCTTAACTATAAATTAGAATTTTCAAATATAGCAATAAGAGGCATTAAAACATGCTGCCACTTGTTATCGCATTATATACTAGCTAGCTGACTACTACAATAATCTCCTATCTTAGGTTGCTCTTCTATTTTTTTCATGAACATATGTGTATCAGAGATTTTAGTGTCTACAATTAACTAATTTTTTTTTTATTTTTTTTTTTGAGACGGAGTCTCACTCTGTCACCCAGGCTGGAGTGCAGTGGTGCAAACTCAGCTCACTGCAACCTACGCCCCCACAGATTCAAGCAATTCTCCAGCCTCAGCCTCCCAAGTAGCTGGGACTAGGCATGTGCCACCGTGCCCGGCTAATTTTTTTCTTCTTTTTGTTTTTTGAGACGGAGTCTCGCTCTGTTGCCCAGGCTGGAGTGCAGTGGTGCGATCTTGGCTCACTGTAAGCTCCGCCTCCTGGGTTCACACCATTCTGCCTCAGCCTCCAGAGTAGCTGGGACTACGGGCGCCCGCCACCACGCCCGGCTAACTTTTTGTATTTTTGTTTTTAGTAGAGACGGGGTTTCATCATGTTAGCCAGGGTGGTCTCGAACTCCTGACCTTGTGATCCACCCGGCTCGGCCTCGCAAAGTGCTCGGATTACAGGCATGAGCCACCGCGTCCAGCCCGGCTAATTTTTTGTATTTTTAGTAGAAACAGGATTTCGCCACGTTGGCCAGGCTGGTCTCGAACTCCTAACATCATGATCCACCCGCCTCAGCTTCCCAAAGTACTGGGATTAGAGGCGTGAGCCACCACTGAGTCCAGCCTACCATGAACTTTTTTAAGTTTCCTCCACCCTTGTACCCACAACAACATCTTATTTTCTTGCTTTTTTTAAAAAAAAATTTCAGTGCTACTGGGCTTGGCTTTCCTCCTTTCACTAACTGAATGAGAGTCTCTCAAGATATGGTTTCCTTATAAATCATTCTAACATAAAGACATATGCACACATATGTTCCTCGCAGCAGTATTCACAATAGCAAAGACATGGAGTCAACCTAAATACTCATCGATGGTAGACTGGATAAAGAACATGTGGTACATATACACCATGGAATACTACACAGCCATAAAAAAGAACAATATCATGTCCTTTGCAGGAACATGAGTGGAGCTAGATGCCATCATCCTTAGAAAACTAATGCAGGAACAGAAAAACAAATACTGTGTGTTCTCACTCATAAGTGGGAGCTAAATGATGAGCACATATGGACACTTAGAGGGGAACAACACACACTGGGGCCTATTGGAGGGTGGAGAGTGGGAGGAGGGAGAGGATCAGGAAAAATAACTAATGGGTACTAGGGTTAATAGCTGGATGACAAAATAATCTGTACAACAAACACCCATGACATGAGTTTACCTATATAACAAACCTGCACATGTACCCCTGAACTTAAAATAAAAGTCAGAAAAAAAAGATATGATTTCCTGGAGTGTTATAAGGGCAAGAGTTATGTTGGTTTCTTCCAGAAAATCCCTCTATGATGACTCTATGAGAACTCTGTGCCTACTCAAGGCCTTGGCTTTGTGTGATACCCCCAAAACTTAGATCTTACTCCAGATAAAGGAGGGGGAAACCTCTGAATTAAGGTTATAGTTCTACTACCTGTCAAGATAGGAGATCAAAATTGAAATTAAGTTTAGTCATAGACCAGAAATATTATTTGTACACTTGAGTTTGTGGACTGACAGTTTTATTTTTGAGGGATCTGAACTTTATTCGGTAGGGGATAGACAGCTAAATAAGGCCAGTGACATGCCAAATAATTGTTTTAGAAAAGTCACTTTGGCAGCAAGGTGAAAGGTGATTGAGCGGTGACAGACTTGAGAAGGAGAGACCAGTCAGGAGGTGACTATCGAGTCAACGGGGTTGTGTTGGAGGGGATGCAGGGAGACGAGCTAACTTACTGATGGCCTGCTCACCCAACACGGCTCCCTTTGCTTCGGGGACACATGGCTAACATGTTTTCCCAGCTTTCCTTGCTGGGTGTGGCAGTGTTACTGAATTCGGACCAGACGAACGTGGCCAGAAGTGGGGCACGCCATATGCTGCCTCCCATACAAGCCTCTCTGTGCCCTCTCTTCCTCAGTCTACATGTGTCGCTGGCAGAGCCTCCATGGGGCTGGGCCCCTGAATGACTGCATGGAGTACATACAAATACACATGCCTCTAAACATATGAGCAAGAAACAAATTTCATCACATTATGATACTGACATTTCCAAGTTCATCTTTTAATGCAGCTGGTGTCAGCTTCATTTATAAAATTTCTGAATCTCTCTGGTTAGAGTAGGGCTCAATCCTTTGCATGCACTGTTGGCCCTGCTGTGTACCCACACTTCCTCTATCCAGCCCCCATTATAGGAAACACAGAAAAGTAGAAAGAAGAAAATAAATGTTAAGTATCACCTCACCTGCCAGGGACAGGCACTCCTCTTTGTATATTTTCTCTCATTCTATTTTTTTTCTATAGCAAAAAAGGCTGTAGTCTTTTTTTTTTTTTTTTTTTTTTTTTTTAGATGGAGTTTCACTCTTGGTTGCCCAGGCTGGAGTGCAGTGGTGTGATGTCGGCTCACTGCAACCTCTGCCCTCCGGTTTCAAGTGATTCCCCTGCCTCAGCCTCCCAAGTAGCTGGGATTACAGGTGCCCACCAACCATGCCTGGCTAATTTTTGCATTTTTAGTAGAGACGGGGTTTCACCATGTTGGCCAAGCTGGTCTCGAACTCCTGACCTCGTGATCTGCCCGCCTTGGCCTCCCAAAGTGCTGGGATTACAGGCGTGAGCCACCATACCCGGCCAGTCTTTTCATACAACCATTATTAGATACATCCCTGAGTTCAGATGTAGCTTATCTTATATTTCTCATTTAGTGACTTACTTATTTAACATTCGTTGAATGCCTAGGTGTCAGTCACTGACTCAATGGTAGGAATGAAAAGGTGAACATGGCATAGTTTCTGCCCTCAAGGAAACTCCAACCTCATGGAGGAGAGACACTTAAACAGATAACGGCAAAATATGTCAGCAGAGTGATAAAGGAGTTAATAAAGCTAGAGGGAAGGGTTTCTAACACATTTTTAAAAAAACAAACATTTATTATTTACTATTTGCCAGGAACTCTTCTAATAGCCTTGCAGATATAAATTCGTTTAATCCTCCTGGCAATCCCAGGAGAGACATCTCACAGCATCTCAACGTTGGAGGTGAGAAAACAAAACAGAGAGGTTAAGTAACTTGCCCCTTGCTCAAGATCTCACAGCTACTTAGTAAGGAAGGAGATTCAGCAGTGTGTGTGTGTTTGTGTGTGTGTGTTTAAGGTGTGTGTGTGTGTGTGTGTGTGTGTGTGTCTCCCCAGAGTTGCCTTCCTAGAAGCCTCTCAAGGAAGGGAAGAGTAAGCGTGAAAAAGAATGAGTGACTAGTGAGAAACTATGAGTGGGATAATGGTTACCTGGTAAAGCCAAGATGGAACATGTGGCCCAGGTCTTTTGATCTTATCATGTTATACTGGGCTCCAGGCATTGAATCTTAATGTAAGGATGTGTTAGGCTCATTTGAGGAAGTCAGATGACTAAACAAGATAATAAGGCTTTAAGGAGCCTGGCTGGCTTACAAATTGTGCATAGAAGGAAAACTGTTCAAGTATGTGACCTTTGAAATCACAGTGTGATCCCACTGGCTAGTAAATGCGAACCAAGTGGTATTCTAGAATATGAGAGATTTGTAACCCTTTCTCCCTGGGGCTTGTCAAAATTAAACAAGCATTTAGAAGAGAGAGAAAGACTTCTTTTCTCTACAATGATGACAGCTCAAAGTGCTGTCACATCCAGAGAGGGGGACATGAATTTTCATTGACCCAAAGCCTGAGTAAGTGTTAAGAAAGAAATAAGGTACCTGTGATGATGGGTTAGGGGAAGTGGTGCTACTGGAGAGAGGGTGAGTTTTCAACACAGACCTGTGAACAAGGCTGGCTGGAATCCACCCTTAAATCAGCTGTAAGGCAGCCTTTCAACCTTGTTGTCTTCATCTAAAGGGCATGGAAACAACCCTCTGAGCCCTCCCTGTCAAGGGTGCTCTCTCACATGCCTGACATTCTTTTGCCCCTTCTATACGACACCATGAATGGGCCTGCTTTTCTTTCTGCCCCAGGAATCTTTTATAGCATTCCAGGATTGTTCTTTTCCCCATAGAGACAATGGTTTTACATCAATGATTCAATGACTGTGGTAGACAGAATAATGACCCTCCAAAGACACTCACTTCCTAATCCCAGGAACCTGTGAACATGTCCCCTTACATGGCAAAAGGGACTTGCCTAATAGATTTAGTGAAGGATCTTGGGATCAGGATGCCATCTAGATTATTTGTGTAAGCTCAGTGTAACTACAAAGGTACTTAAGAGTTGGAGAGGCATAAGAGAGAGGCAAGGGGAGATTTGATGACAGAAGAGAAGGTGATGCAATTTGAGGAGGGCTCAACTTGCCGATGCTGGCTTTGAAGGTGAAGGAAGAGGACCACAAGCCCCAGAATGCAAGGGTTTCAGAACCTGGAAAAGACAGATTCTTCCCTAGAGCATCCAGAAAGGATTGCAGCCCCGCTGACAACAAGGTTTTAGCCCAGTGAGACCCATGCCAGACTTCTGATCTCCAGAACAGTAACATAATAAATTTGCTTTGTTTTAAGCCATGAAATTTGTGGTCAGTTTTTACAGTAGCCATAGAAAATGAATACGATGAAATTTGCTATTTTCTGTCTTTATGAGGGCAAGCAATTCAGAATTCCATAACTCAAATAACTCTGCTTATCCCATCTTGTATCTTCTTAGCCCCATCAAATTTCCTCATTTATCTTGACCTGTGTCAGCCCACATGCATTGTGACTCTGGCTTTCAAGTTGGCTTTTGAAAAGTGCTTGCTTTCTGTGCCTGGGGAGACATTCTTCCTATACCTGGAATGAAGCCCCCAAGCCTATGTCATGATTTGATTTTGCATCAGTGGGTATCTTATATATTTTGAAAGGAGAAGTGGACTTGGGAAAGATTTGGCCTTTATGATTTTGTTAGAGGACTAACAAAATCTCACTCACTCTTCACTTCTTTTGGAAACTCTTATTTTTAAACATTTTACTGTTTACTGTAGATCTTACCTGATACCCAGCATTGTATCTGCCCCAGTTTGGGGAGAGCGGCCAGAAGATTGAATGGACTGTTAAAATCTGCAGAATTTTAGAGTACAAAGAAATTGTAAGAAGCCATAGTTATTCAGTTAGGATGGCTCAGCAGGAATCTGGAAGGCTATCTTGGGTTCCTCATTTAAGCAATTTTGGTCTAAAGTTATTGTTACTCCAAAATTAATCAAGGTTACAGACTCAAGGTTTATTAAGCAAAGTTACCTGTTAATACAATCTACACTTACAATCTGCACTCTTACAAGTTTTCCTCTAGTTCAGTGTTTCCCATAGAGTGGGATGCATACATGTCCCACCTGCTGGTATTTGATGTGGTTTGAAGTGGTTCATGGACAGAGCATTTGATAACATTGAATTACGGAGGGTGAGTGTTATTCCTCTTTGATTTCTCATTCAATCCCTCTTTGTGCAATCAAGGTTAAATTCTTTGGTATGCCATTAACACTTTCTAAGCTGAGCCAATCTGCCTTTTACAATAGGGAGAGCAGGCCATAGTCAGAATATTTTTAACAGCTTCATTGAGGTATAATTGACATAAAGCAAGCTGCATGTGTTGAAAGTGTACAATTTGAAAAGTTTGACCTATGCAGATACCCATAAAACCACTTCCATAATCAAGATAATAACTACTTCTGTCACTCCAAAAGTATTCCTGTGACCCATTGTGATCTCCTCTTCCCACCCTTCTGCTCAATCCCATCCCCAGGCAACTACTGACCTTCTTTCTGTCGCTACAGTATGGTGAACTCTTTTCTGGGAGGGTCTGGCTACTTTCACCTAACATTTATTTTGAGATTCATCCAAATTTTTGTGTGTATACAGGCAGTTTTCCATTATATAAATAGATCACAATTTGCTTTTCCATTCACCTGTTGATGGACATTTGTGTTGTTTCTAGCATTCGCCAATTGCAAATAAAGCTACTGTGAATGCTCGTGATCATGTTTTGTAAGGACGTATGCTTTCATTGTTCTTGGGCCCATACCCAGGAGTGGAATGGCTGAATCACATGGTAGTGTATGTTTAACTTTAAAGAAATTGCCAAACCATTTTTCAAAGTGGTTGTACCATTTTACATTCATATCAGAAGAGTATGAGGATGCCAGTTCTTTCATATCCTCCTCAGCACCTACAGTCAGTCTTCTTAATTTTAGCCATTCTAATAGGTTTATAGTCACTTATTGTGGTTTTAAATTGCATTTCCCAAATGACTAATGATACTAAGCATCTTTTAGTGCTCAATTTGCCATCTGTTTATCTTCTTTAAAATCTTTTGCTAGTTTTTAAAATTAGGTTATTTGTCTTATTGAATTTTGAGAGTTCTTTACCTGTATTTGATGTAAGTACTTTACTAGATATACAATTTTCAAATGTCTTCTCCAAGTCTGTGGTTTGTCTTTCCATGCTCTTAACAATGTTTTTTGAGAGCAACATTTTAATATTTTGACAAAGCACAATTTTTCAATTGTGTTATTTTTATGTATTGTGATTTTGTGTCTTATCTAAGAAATCATTGCCTAACTCAAGGCCACAGAGATTTTCCTCTATGTTTTTCTTCTAGAAGTTGTATAATGTAAGGCTTTAAATTTAGGTCTATGATCTACTTTCAGTTAAATTTTGTTTATGGTGTGATGTACAGATTGAAGTTAACTCTCTTTCTCTTTTTTGCGTACATCAAATTGACCCAGCACACTTATTGAGAAGATTACACTTTTTCCACTGAATCATCTTTACACCTTTGTCAAAAACACATTGTCCATATATATGTGGGTCTACTTTTGGACTCTATTATATTCTAATGATGTATGTGTCTATCTTTATGCTGATACCACACTGTCTTTGTTATTATAACATTATAATAAATGTTGACATCAGGTAGTATTAGTCTCCAACTTTGTTCTTTGTAAAAGTTATTTTGGCTGTACTAGAGCTCATTTTCACTTCTCTATAAATTTTAGAATCAACCTGTCAGTTTCAATAAAAGGACATGCTAAGATTTTGTTTGAATTGCATTGATTTCATAAATCATTTAATGGATAATCGACTTCTTAATATTTAGTCTTCTGACCCATGAGTACCCTATCTCTCTGAACTTGTTTATGTCATCTTCAATTCCTCTCTACAATGTTTTGTAGTTTTTAGTGTATATACCTTTCACGTTTAGCCATATTTACTCCTAAGTACCTAACATTTTTGAAGCTATTGTAAATGCTTTTGTTTTTAAATTTCAATTCCGATTATTTGTTACTAATATTTATAAATACAAATGATTGTAGATGTTGATCTTGTATCCTGTAACCCTTTAAACTCAATTATTGGTTCTAGAAGGTTTTTTGTAGATTCTATTACATTTCCTACATAGATGATCATGTTGTCTGCAAATAAAGGCAGCTTTATTTCTTCCTTTTCATCCTGGATGGCTTTTGTTTTCTTTCTCACTTATTTTACAGGCTATCACCACCAGTACTGTGTTGAATAGAAGTAGTAAGAGCAGACATCCTTTACTTTGTACCTGATCTAAGTGGAAAGCATTAGGCCTTGACCACTGTTTGATGTTATCTTTACCGTTTAGACATCTTTAATCACATTGAGGAAGTTCCCTCAAATCCTTAGTTTGCTGAGATTATTATTTTGTTAAGAAGGAATGTGGGTCTTAGCAAATGCTTTATTGGCATCTATTGAGATGTTCATATGGTTTTTCATTTTTAGTTTGTTAATATGGTGAATTAGATTGATTTTCAAATGTTAAACAAAATTTTAAATCTTGGGATATATCCCACTTGGTAATGACGTATTATTGTTTTTACATCTTGTTGGATTTGATTTGCTAAAATTTTATTTAAACATTTTGCCCCTATGTTCTTGAGGATTTGTGGTCTATAGTTTTCTTTTCTTGTAATGTCTTTGGTTGTGGTATCACTGTAATTTTGCTCTCAGATAATGAGTTGTTAAGTATCCTCTCCTATTCAATTTCTGAAAGAGTGTTTGCAGAATTGGTATTATTTCCTCCTTAAATATTTGGTAGTGAAGTGGCATTGCTCATTTGGGATAATACCCGAGGTTTGTTGCCCTATGCCAAAGAAATCAAGGGCATGGACACACATGGAGTGAGGTTAAGAGTGGAGGTTTAATAGGCAAAAGAAAGAGAAAGGAGAACAGCTCTCCTTCCTGCAAGAGAGAGGGGCACCCGAGTGGGACTTCTCATCCTTTGGTGAAATGCATGGGGTTTTATAGACTGGCTTGAGGAGGTTGTGTCCCAGCTACTTGTAAGGCTGAGACAGGAGAGGCAGGAGAATCACTTGAACCTGGGAGGTGAAGGTTGCAGTGAGCCGAGATTGTGCCACCTCACTCCAGCCTGGGCAACAGAGCGAGACTCTGTCTCTCTCTCTCTCTCTCTTTCTCTCTCTCTCTCTCTCTCTCTCTCTCTCTATATATATATATATATATATACACACACACACACACACACACACACACACATATATACATCTATATACACACATATGTATATACACATTTATTTTTGATTCTACCTGACATCTTTAAAAATGGGATATATTTGTCAAAACATTTAATGTCCTTGTCTGCTAATTCTAATACCTATACTACTAACCTTCTATTTATGATTGATACTGATTTTCCATTTTAATATGTAATATTTTCTTTTTAAAATAAGTCAATTGCAGTCTAAAAAATTGAGTCAATTTTAAGAAAAAATATTTAGTAAATAATAGTAAAGATGGTAAAGAGCTATGACAAATAATATGACAGTGATAAGCAAATGATGGAAATTTGAGGAAATGATGCCTAAGCTTATTTGTAAGGTGTGTGTAATGCTGGGTATTAGAATCTATTCATCAGGACCTGGCTAAGGAGTCTTGGCCCCTGAAATTTATCAAGCTCAAATCCATTAGTACTCGTGGGTGGTGTTGAGGATCACAAGATTTCTTGAGTTACGAGATACTCAGATTTCAAGGAGCCTCCTAGGATAAAAGAAAAGATTTTGCACTGGCTACCTGATATAGCCTGTCTCTTAAAATATGATGTTTACTCCATTGACCTCTCACAGTGTATGGGAGGTAATGTGTTTTGTTGAGGGCAGGGGAGGTTGGTGTGGGACTTGGGAGATGTATAATGCTGAACTAAGAAGAGGTTTGTTTGGTTTTCCTCTGTAGTCTCGGTAAAAAATGAAAGGTGGGAGACATCACCTAATCTGTCTCTTCTATGGCTGTTTGCCCATAAAAGGTGAATGAAATCTCTCAAGTTATGGCCAGCCTGCCTAGTATTTCCTATAGCATATGTTGGCACTAGTAACATTCTTCATTTTCCTCAAGGAGTGGGACTAGAATATACTCTATGAGGATGATAAATACTTCCATGTAAAGTTTAGTTGACTGTAAATTATATAACACAAGCTAACAATATCTATTTCCTTTTCTCTGCCCCACCAAAAAAATATGATAATACAAATTAAACCGTAGACTGCTAAACTGTCTTGCTCATCAGTGCATCCCTGGCAGCTAACTAAGTGCCTGGAGCAGAGCAGGTATTCCTTAAATATATGGTAGAAGGGAAGCAAGGAAAGGAGAAAGAAAGGAAGAGGGAAGAAAGAAAAGAAGAATGGGGAAGGAATATAGTCCAAGTGGCAATGGAGCCTCCCAAGTAGAACGTGAACTCCATAAGAACAAGGACTTATGTGTTCCCCATTGCTGAGCTCACTGACTGGCATACTGTGAGCACTTTATTCATATTTGTCAGACACATGCATGAATGAGGGCAGACATAGTCCTTGCTTTCTCTGTTTAATGAGAACAATAAAGGTATTCATATATGGTTATATTTACTGTGGTGATAAGTGTTTTCAAGGCAAAAATATAGCATTAGAAAAAAGAGAATATGGTGCAACTAACCTAGCCCTTGGTTGTAAGGCAGGATTTTTCCAAGAAATGACTACTGACTGGGCTGAGACCTGAAGGATGATAGAAGTTGGCCAGGAAAAGAGTTGGGGGAATCAGAGTGAATACTTACCTCTATCCCAGGGTTCTTTGGATTTTGACCAATTTATTCAATTGTAGAAATTCCATAAAACTCAATATTGCCAAATCCAATGTAACTTATTTTTAAATCATCTCTTTTTGGGAGAGCCATCACCACTGTATCATCTAGCCAAATAATACATATTTATAGCTGTGTTATTTCTGTGCTTATCAGTCATGTTACTCAAAAGGAAGGGTCACATCTCTATCAAATTTGATAGGGGAAAAAACACTTCTATAGGCATTTTTCCCATTAGAGAAAATGAGAGAGTCAGGTTTTCTTCCAACTTTCAGCACTTCCTGGTGTCCTAAAGTCCTTCCACACCAGAAGTGTTTGACCCACAAAACACTGGTCATCTCCAAGGAGAAGATCCAAGGAGTCATGGAGGACCCAACAGTGCCTCCATAGTATTAGAGGGAAGTAGACGAAGTGGACAAAGGCACAGATGCCTGAATGAACTCAGCAGGGTGGAAGGATGTCACAGGATGAATGTCATCATTGTCACCCAAAATTTTTACTGACAACTCATGCAAGGCCTGGCATGATTTGGTTGCCGTCTACCTTTCCAAATTCACCACCTCCATTTTCTCTCACTCCTACTCCATACCATCCTTATATCTTGGCTAACCACCTTACAGCTGTTTTAGCCTCCTTTCTATGCTTCAAACAGGCTGAGTACCTCTTGCTTTGGAGCTTTTGTGTTTTGGCATGCTCTTCCCCTGATTATCACATAACCAGGTTCTTTTTAACCTTCAGTGCAGGATCAACTATTGCCTCTTCAGAAAGACCCTCCCTGAATATTCAAGGAAATAATTTATTTTACTAATTTACTTCTCTGTCTGTCTCTAGAATGTAAGCCCCATGAGGGCAGGAGCTATCACCTATGCTATTCTTAATTGTAACCTCAGAGCTAGCACAATACTTTACATATAGTAGGTGCTCAATAAATAGTTTTAAATGAGTGAACTAAAATCAGACACCACATTGGGTTGTAGTCAATTTATAAGCTAAATAATTCTGATTAAAAAAAAGTGGTGGAGCTATTTGGTTTGCTATGACATATAAAAACAAACAGTTGATTTATTTATTTATGAATTTTATTTTTTTCTTTTTTTGAGATGGAGTCTTGCTCTGTCGCCCAGGCTGGAGTGCAGTGGTGCGATCTTGGCTCACTGCAAGCTCCACCTCCTGGGTTCACGCCATTCTCCTGCCTCAGCCTCCCGAGTAGCTGGGACTACAGGTGCCCGCCACCACGCCCAGCTAATTTTGTGTTTTTGTATTTTTAGTAGAGACGGGGTTTCACCATGTTAGCCAGGATGGTCTCGATCTCCTGACCTCGTGATCCGCCCGTCTTGGCCTCCCAAAGTGCTGGGATTACAGGCGTGAGTCACCACGCCCGGCCCCAACGTTGATTGATTTTTAACTTTTTAGTTTGATGACAGGTCTCACCAAATAACACCAAGACTGTATGCCTTTATTTAAATGACGTATATCAGCTTTTGTTGCCACTGTTGCTGTCACAGACATGGCAAATAAACCAGCTGTGACCCCTAAGAGACTGTCTTCTCTAATTGATGAAAACAAAAATTGCTGTTTTGGCTTGATCTGAAGGCTGGGTATATAGAGAAAACATAAATTTATTTCTAGCCTTGATATAAACTCATCTGTTTGCCATTTGCCTGGTACAATTGAAAGTACCATTCTCACAGCCAGCCTGCCTGTAATGATTTCTAATACTTGCTGCTCCCAATGTTGTCAGAACTGTGTCCGCAACATAATATGCAAACACTAACTTTTGCAGATGTCAATAATTATGCAGGTTTATCAGTCTAGAAGGTCAGCATATATTATAGAGCAGACAGTTTAGGCTGATTAGAAACCTCAAACACTGATAACAACTTGAACATCTCTTATTGTTTAAAACAAACGAAAAGCCCAGGAGCTCTTTCCTGTGATTTATTCCTTGAGGATGCTGTGAGAAAGATGATTGCATCAGATTGTCCAGAATCACAGGTTGATGGCATCAAGCTCTTGCTATTTGCACTTGTATTCTTCATCAGGAGGCACAAAGAAACACAAAGCCTGTGTGGCAAGGCAGGGAAGGCAGAGAAAAGAAAGAGGCTGCCTCTGAGGTCCAAGAACTATTAGTAAGGCCAAGGTGGGGAGGGCTGTGGAAGCAGAGAATCTGGGTTTGAATCCAGGGCCTATCACTCATTGGCTGTAGGATCCAAGATAGATTATCTAATCCCTCCCAGGCTTAATTTTCTGTCTGTAAAATAAGAAAAATAACATTTTCCTTCTAGGTTGTTGTGAGGATTAAATAGCATAATAAATACATAGCCCTTTTAAATTAAAAATTGCTATTGAAATACCAGGTATTAATTATATTCATAGATGCTCTGCCATCCCCATTTTTAATAGATTTTGGAAAAATAGTAGGAATGTCTGGGCATCAAAAGCCCTGTGTTCTTTTGAAGCATCCTGAATGTTGGGAAGACAATAAATATGTAGTGGGAAAAATTCAGGCACGAACAACCTGGGTTTGAATTCTGCCTCCACGCTTCCTACGTGACACTGGGCATGTTCCCAGACTTCTCTGTACCTTTTTCCTCATCAATAAAATAGGAATCCTAACAGTAGTTCCTTTAAGGGCCATTGCAAAACTAAATGAGATAAAAGAGTTATTCTTTATAATTAGCAGGATTATCTATGGAATGAAATTGCTGACTAAAAGGCTACTTAGCAATTTCATTCTATAGATAACAGGTGATGGATTCCAATTCCGTAGATCAGGAACAGTACATGGAAACCTTCATTTTCAGAAGTTCTAAGTAACTCTGAGATATAGCCTTGGTTGAGACCTGTTGTTGCCATAAAGCAAAATGTAACCATGATTTCTTGTTGTTTATGGAACAGGTCCATAAAGATCCTACACACTGCTAAGAGATTTTTCTTCTTGACCTTCTCAAGTCTCAGTTTCTGTGTCATTACATGGACATAATAAGGTCAAACCTCGCAGAGTTCCTATAAAGAACAGTGTTTATGAGTATAAACTCTGGAGTAAGACGATATGACATGGAAGGAACTCTTATCATACCAGGCGAAGGGCAGAAATCAGTAAGGTTTGTTTCCCTTTCTTCCCCTGACATGCGTTCATATGTCTGGTCTAGTGGGTGAGGGAGCCTAGCCCCCTGCCCACCTTCCATATCCCCATCTCCGCATGGTTTCATTGTTCCTTCCCTACCACATGTGCCATGACTCTTAGGAAACAACAAAAAATATTTGATTTATTTTTAGAAAACTGCTTCTGAAAAAAGCCAATGTTAGTGCCAGTGAAGAAAAGGAAGAGAAAGTGAAAGGGGTATGAAAAAGCATTCTTAGCCAGAGAAAACTAGTTTAGGTCAGAGTCACTAAGGATCTGAAATCATCTGAATGTTATGGAGGAAACTGTGTGTTCACAAGTACAGATATTCCCATAGGATTTGGGATAATTTCTAGTAAAATCTAAGGGCTATCTATATTATGGAAATCTATGTTGGGCCCCTCACTCCCCATGGCCATATCAAGCTTACAACTAATTGCGCCTGCCAGCCACAATCACCCAATCTGTGTTACCACCAGACAGAAACTCACTTATTGCCTTCGTGAAGAAGTGGGTTATTCTTTGTCGTCTGCCATCTGTGTGGTCTTTGCAGTCTCCCGTATGCTGAACACAAGAATGAAAGCCTGGCTCACTGCCCTTTTTCAGCAGGGATAACACAACCATGTGCTTACTGAGTGTGTAATTGAACAATCGGCTCAGACCCCCTTTTCTTTGGAACCTCAGGCAGAGATTAAATTTTCACTCTGCAGTCAACCTCATGTCTCTTCCCTTGAGGACTGGGTGGCAGATTTTCCTCCCCCGCTGTGAATTGTGCTGGGTCCATTATTAAATTTTTTGCTGGTGAATGAGGAAATCCAGGAGACATGAGGTGATTTCAAAAGCACATATTCCTTGTTTTTTTTTTTTTTTTTTTTTTTGTAAGGCCTTTGGGGAAAGAACACAACTAGATTATTTTAGGACTTTATTTTATGAAAAGAGAATTAGTGGTCTCTGGAAAATTATATGTATTTGAAAAAAATTCAAGTTATAGTAATTCAAGTAATTAGGAAGTTAGTTTTGACAACACTGAAAATACCAGCTGAGCCCCTAAGGACCCAGGGTTCATCACAGGGGGTGAGAGGAAGAGGAATAGCAATTTAGGCACAAGATACGTGGAGCAACTTGTCCCTGTAAGATATGGCTGCTGTGTGTCCTATCTCGCAGGAGCAGAAGCAGATTTTCTGCAAGGTTGTTGTGATTCACTTGCAACTCCCTCTGCCCCTTACAACACAGCAGTACAAACCGTGTTGCTTTGTTGAGGATTTTAAGATTGAGCTCAGGGTGGCAGTTTCTTATGACTATGCTCAAGGCACTGAGTGAATCACTTTACATCCAAAATTCACTTAAGCCTCCTAATATCTTCACAGGAGGGCACTATTGTTACCCAATTCTACAGCAGGAAAAATGGAACTTAGGAATGTGAAGAAACATGCTCTCTGTGGATAGCTTGGGAGCAGTGGAGCTGGAATTCAAATCAGGTCTGATAGATGTTAGAGTCTGTGCTCTTTAGTGTTATGCTGTGAGGCCTCGGCTAAGGACCATTCTCCTTCTGCTTACCAGGAAGCTTCAGCCTGAGCACTCCCTCCCACTGGAAGTAAATAAAATTTAGAGTTAAAATTTCAGATAACTCTCCTCCTTCTCTTCTGTACCACCCTACAATTGTCTTTATTTCCACAAGATCCATGTTTATTTAGATCCCTAATATTCTTTTTGGGGCTTTACCTTACCTAGTTTATCACTTCACCAGATATACTCATCCATCTGTCCGTCTGTCCATCTGTCCGTCCATCCACCCATCCATCCACCCGCCCACCCATCTATCCATTCATCTGTCCACCCATCTACTTTTTTATTTCTTCAACATCCCTTGATGAATATATATTGACTAGCCAGGCATGGTAGCTCACACCCGTAATCCGAGCAACTTGGGAGGCTAAAGCAGGAAGTTTGCTTGAGGCCAGGAGTTTGAGACCAGTCTGGGCAACACAGTGAGACTCCAACTCTAAATATATATATACCTACCACCCAGTAGACTACAGGCACTGAGTTAAGTGCTCAGAATATGATAAATGGTGAACAAAATAGTCATGATTTGTGACCTCGCTGAGTTTATAGCCTAGCAGAGGAGACAGAAATCAACCAAATAGTCACCCATAACTACAAATTGTGACAAGTACCTTAAAGAAGTGGAAGAAGTTGCGAGTGCACCTAATAGGTTGTCCAGGCTTGGCCTGGGGGAGTTGGAGAGGCCTCCCAGGGAAAGTGCTATTTAAGCCGAAAGCTGAAAGTTGAGTAACCTCCTGAAACAGCTATCACTTACTGAGTGTAGACTAGGTATCAGGGTTTACTCTAGGCACTTTTCATGTAGTAACTCTTTGAGTCCTCAATACAGCCCTGCCTGTTATTTTCCAGAACCATTCTCTTAACTACACTCCACTGCTTCCCATATAGGTGGAGAAGAGGGGAGAAAGACTCCATACCAGATGCACAGGAGTTTGGGGCTGGAGCACAGAAAACAGAGGGGAGCAGTGTGTGATGAAACCAGCCAGGTCAGAGAGGACGATGCTGGGGCCATTTACCTTACTTTGAAGAGTTTTGAGAAATCACTGTCTTTTTTCTTAAGCTAGGGAAGTGACAAGATTAGTTCTGTGTTTTCAAAGATTACTTTGGCTGCCGTGTGAACACTGGAGTATAGGAGAGTAGGGTTGGTGTCGGGAGAACAGCTAGGAGACTATTGCTATTCTCCAAGAAAGTATTTGAACAAGGGTGGTAGCTCTGCAGATAGGCAACAAATAGATGGATTCAGAGGTACAGGTGGGTAGTCATATATTCAACTCCAGTTATGTGTGTAAAACCTCATGTTGATTTATACAATAAGATAGTCTTAAAATGTATTTCCACTCTTAGTTGCTTTGGTCCCTTCTCCCCTAGTCCCTAAGAGATATACTTTTCACTCTTCAGTTAGAAGTCCTCCAGGTGGGAAAGTTTTTTGTGGGGGTGGTTGTTTCTTACAATCACAGATTTCCCTGAGTCTTGAAGACTCTGGGACCCATACAGTTAACCTGCAGGCAACAGAACTAAGCATCTTGGCACACTTGTAGAGGTTACTTGACATCGACAATAGTAGTTGAGAAAAATCTAAATTCAACAAGCCCATGACTATTGTCAGTTCAGTGCTTCAGTTTGAAGATAAAACAAAAAACTGTCATAAACTCCATAAGCTAAGTGGCAGTTTAAAGGGCAATTTAAAAATATTTTATAACGAGGAAATAAAGGTCTTATTGTGATAACCTGGCCATAAATGCATGAGAACTGCTTTGACCCTATATTTATTAGGATACTTATGAGATTTTTTTAAGCTAAATGGAAAAGTGAGGGGCCAAACATTCTTGTTTGCAAATAGGACAGAATTTCAGCAGGTACTGACTTTTAAAAATTCAGACATAGAAGAAACATCTTTATAGTTTATAAATATAACTATATTGTGGATGCTCACACATATAAGCAAAATGAAGTAGGTGGCTGAAACACTTATTCACCTAATTATTACCCCCAGAATTGTCAAACCAGAAATTTGAGGCAAAACATGTTTTTGTTTTTGGCAAATGTGTCCTGTTTTGTTTTGTTCATGGAGGTGATGTTTGAATTTGAATAATGGAGCAAGGATATGTTAAATTCATTCAGAGCAACTGAATTGTTTTGGAGCTGAAAGAATATTATTAATAGACCATGGAACTGGGAATGGTGTTTCTGGCTTTTCACATTTGCACATACAAGGCATGGAGAATTTAGATGGGATCTAGAATTTCTTTAGTTTTATCCCTAAAGTGATGGCTGGCTGTGACTATAGTTCTGGAGAGTTTTGCAAAGCTGCAGCTCCCTAGGAGGGCAGAGCACCCAGTTAAATCACCAGGAAGAACCCCATCTGAAGCAACGTGTTTATGGGTATAATACTTCTGCGAACATATGCTCATTAGATTGTCACAGCCATGTGAGGAGGTTAGGGCCAATTCTGTGAGCTCCATTTCAGGGCTGAGGGTAACAGAAACGCGGTGAACCATTGATAGTAGGGGAAGTGACCAAAAGTGATGAGGTTTATTAGCAATCATTTGGTGCAGACCTTCATTCTCGGGCATACACGTCCAGTGGGTTTGCTAACAAAGAGGCATCCTCCTCCCTCCCTGCTGCCCTCCTTCTCTCCTCTTCTCTCTGTCTTTCTCCCTTACTTCCTCTCTCCATGTATATTTATGAAATCGCTCTGAGAACAATACTGTGGTAGTCACTGATGAGAGAACCGAGGCAATAAGCCAGATTACCCAAGCCAAAAACAAAACAAAACTGTTCCTAGAAAAAAGAAGAGTATAATTTCTGAGCCAAACTTTAAGAATGGTGAGCCAAAATTCAGATAATTGAGGCAAATGGTTTGTTTTGTCTATTTGACTTAATTAGCTAAATAACATCCTTATCTCTAATTATATCTTGGTGGTGAAACCCCAAATCATAAGAGATCCCTGCCCTTGGGCAATTTGGGGCAAGTTGCTTCAGTTATAAATTAAGTTTCCTCAATTATAAAATGATTAAAGTGTGGTGAAGATTGAATGAAATGATACATGAAACTGCTTGGCACATAGGGAGCCCTCAGTAATAACTGTTTATTGTTTATATTAAGGTGGGATGTAAGGAAGAACTTACAAGGATGAGAGGGGAGGTGGGAGGGGCTTCCAGGGAACCAATATTTGTAAAATGTCTATGTAACAGGGTACTCACCGAAAAGGTGTGTGTTCTCTCTCTCCGCATGTTGGCCGTGACCCGAATGTACCTGTCTTGGGCCCCCACTGAGTTTGCAGGTCCCTGTAACCAGAGAAATGGGGTTGCCCTTAGCAGCGCCCTGTAACAGGCACTTCCTCATTACTGATAGTCCTTAGATAAAAGCATTACATCTCCTTGCCCCACAGGATGAGGAAGTGATTCCCTTTTCAATTCCTTCTCAGTGCTGATTTCATCAAGCAGAAAGTCTAAGTTAGGAGCTACAAATCTTTAACACATATCTTTTACACTTCATAAACTCCATCTTTAAAAAAAGCAGGTCAGAAGCTCAGAATCTTAGACAACCTTCTAGTTAGAATTTATACTTTTTAAAATTTTCTTTTTATGGTGATTTTTTAACATTGAAAATAATAATATAAACTTTCATTTTAAATAATTTTGGGTAAAAAGAGGAGGTGACTTAAAAGAATATTAAGGAAGTATTAAGCAACTATGATAAAAACATAAAGATGAGTTGGTGTGTCAATGTGACAAAAATCATGGCCATCATATTAAAATGACCAAAGTTTGGGAACTGCTGCTCTTGCCAAAAGAAAACCGTGACTGTTCTTCGTGGTCTTATGATTGATCTCTCAGCCTTATTTTAAAGCCATCCAAGACTGACTGCTCCAAGAAAATGATGAGTTGATAGACATGGCTGTCTGAACCCACCTATCAGCATGGGAATTTCTGCATTCTGGATATGAACAATAAAAGCATATGTATAGGGACTACACACAGTGAGCCTGAGATAAATTTCTAGAGGGGAAAGAAGTGACCTAACCAAAAAAGAGCAAACCTTTATTGGGTCCCTTCATCCATCTATGTTCCGGAAGACTGTTCTATGTGGGCATGAAGTGGATTTGGAGATGAAATGTCCAAGGAAAACAAGAACAGTAACCAGATAAGAAGAAATCTGTTCTTGGCATCAGCATACTTGTTATATTCTTACTGCATGCTTCTCTGATCAACCTAATAAATTCTCCTTTCTCTTGGAAAATGGCATGAGCACATTACTTTGTAGTCAGCAGCAAAGGGTATGTTAGTGAACATACTCCAAGAAGAAAGAGGAATCTAAATAGAAAATTCCTATCAAGTGAAAAGAACCCACAAGGCCTTTACCTTCATGAGCTTACTTAGTATATGTACTAGGTTAATACACTTCCAAATAAGTATGGGTAGCACATTTCAAAGACAAGGAAAAAGGCTCGAGGGAGTTAAGTAACATTCCTGAAGCAAACAGAAGAGATGGAGCAAGAATCCAAGCTTAGGCCTGACATCCTTTTGTTTTTCACTATATGTTCTAATTGGATGAAGCAATGTTTTTGTTTTGCTTTCTCATCTTTTTTAAAAAAATTAATAGAAATGGGGTTTCACTATGTTGCCCAGGTTGGTCTCAAACTCCTGGGCTCATGTGATCCTCCCACTTTAGCCTCTCAAAGTGTTGGGATTACAGGCATGAGCTATTGTGCCCAGCCTGTTTTCTTATTTTTTAATCATGACCTGCATATGTAAGACATAAAACTTCTGTCTCCTTTTTTTTTTGAATTTGAGATACCTTTATCTGCCAGCAATTTTTTTAGATGTACTAAACAAGTTTGGATTCATTTTACTGTTTCATTTGTTGATGCAATAAATTGTTGGTGATGCGATAAATCTATGACCAAGCAGAGAACTTAGACGACTCTTTCTATGGTGTTTTCTCTACATATGTATGGTTCAACTTGTTTTGTGTTCATTCATTGGTTTATTCATTTGACTGTATTTATCAAACGTTTACTCTGCACTTTTGCATTGGACTTAGTATTCTGTGTCTATCCACAAACAAATTGGAACCAGCCTTCAATTTGCCAGTATCACATATCCTCCTGGATAAATGCTCAAGTGTGTTGTGCACACCATTGTTACGTTAAATGTGTTCCTAATATGTGTTATCATCATATCAACTTGGGCAGAAGTCCTCCCCAGAGAAGGCGAGTGAAGATGAGGTCAGAAACATGTGTTTTGTTGAGAGAAATGGTTTCTAGAAATCATTTCTTTCTGGTTTTTCTTCCTATTCTAAAAGAACCAAATAAGAGAAAACCTCCACAAGCAAAACAAATGGTGGCTTCAGCACATGGATGGTCTCCAATAGATCTTCATAAATATCAAGATGCACAAACACTTTTTCTCTCTCTTAACTCACCCTCCCAGCACAGTGCTCAGAGTGCTGGTAATGTGCAGACTTCAGTGTAGGTGATGCCTTAGGGTCTGAAAGAGAAGTTAGTGAAATAAGCTTCCTTCTTCCTGTCTTGCTCCAGGGTTCCTCACTATCACCTTTCCTTGTAGTTTCTACCTAGAAAGTCAACACAGCGTACTGTCTTCTTTAATCTAAGTGTACTTTTCGACACCTCTATATTCTTGCCTTTTCACACCTTTATCATTCCTTCTTTGAATGTAAACCTTCCCCTGTACCTGTTTTCTATGTCCTTTCAAGAATGGTTTGGGAAGCTCTCTCTTTTGATAAGACTTCTATCCTCACTCTTCTGTTCTTTCAGAAGCAAAGATGGATTTTTTTAAACAAAGTTTTTATTGCTTCTTTTGGCCTGAAGCACCAAACAGGTCTCTGAGTCTATAACATGGGCTTTTATTTTAGATGAGATTCAAGAGAAGAACATGGGAGATACTACATATCATGTGTGCGCTTTTACTTACTCCTTTACGTCCTGAATGAATTTAATATATTTTTCATTGATTAATACATTAACATAGCTGCTAAATGCCTAGTATGTGTAAGACAGTATGCTAAGGTTTGGTGAGAAATTGACAGACAAGGTATAGAGTACTTTCGATTCTCTGTTTTGGAATAAAAGGGTAGTTCTACAATCAAATATCAATTACCTTCAGGTATATGAAATCAAATATTGCCTTCCTCAGCTACAAAATTGAGATGTGGCTATGTACAGTATGTAAGTCTGGATATAATAAAGCAATACTTAGTAAATCTTTGAATAAACAAAGGAATACAGAGCTGGAGAAGAAAAGTCTCTGGGAAAGATCATTTAAAATTAGAATTAGGGATTTTGGTAAATATACAAATGGGAAAATAAGCACTCAAGTGAGAAAATACGAAGACTGAGAAGACATAGAATTGATATTTTTGAAACAATTGAGGGGACCCAGAGGTGAAAAACAAATATATTGACATACTTATGGACCTCATGGACCGGGTAAATGAAGTTGTTCAGTGGAAAGTTAGTTATTTTTAGAGCAAAAGGAACAGGAAATAATGCTTTACACACTGGTTTATTTGTAGCACTTATTACTGAAGAAGTGATGTCAGTCAAAACGAAATAAATTGAACTATGTTGAGAATGGATCTAAGCCAGTTTGGTCATTCCCAATTATTAGCTTCTTTTTTTTAAGAACTAGTAACCTTCAAAAATTTAGAGGTAGTTTACAGTTTAGGATCTCCTCCCCTGCAACTTTCCTACCAGGTTATAATGAAAGTAACTCTTAGCCGGGCACAGTGGCTGATGCTTGTAATCCCAGCACTTTGAGATGCTGAGGGGGGTGGATTACCTGAGTCAGGAGTTCAAGACCAGCCTGGCCAACATGGCAAAATCCCAACTCTACTAAAAGTACAAAAAATTAGCCAGGCATGCAGCATGCACCTGTAATCCCAGATACTTGGGAGGCTGAGACAGGAGAATTGCCTGAACCTGGGAGGCAGAGGTTGCAGTGAGCTGAGATTGTGCCACTGCACTCCAGCCTGGGCGACAGAGCAAAACTCTGTCTCAAAAAAATGAAAAGAAAAAAAAGGAAAATTCTCAAACCCAGATCTTTCACACATTTTTTTTTTTTTTTTTTTTTTTTTTAGAAAGCAGACACCAAACAGTCTAGAACCTGTTTGGCAATCTTCTTGAGTCCCAATTCTATCCTTTTAGTTTCATTGGACACAAAATGGATACTATTCTGGGGGCAAGATGGATTCAACACTATGGCTGGCATCATGCAGAAGAGTCCTTCCCACCAGCAACCTGGGTCCTGCATTGGCTGCCATTTCAAAAGTGCAGATGGGGCTTTCCACTTAGAATAGAGTGGTTTATGGCAGCTTAACACTCCCACGGGAACACAACTGAAAAAAAAGCTAGATCAAATTCAAAAAACACATCTGTTTCAAGGCATCAGAGAGCTGCAAAAGCAATGAGGACTAGATGGGCTAAAATTCCAGACGGGAAAATCCCAGAGGGGTGAGGAAGGGATCTTTTGCAGCTTTTCCTAGGGGGTATTTGCCTAGTTCTAGGTGTGGCTATGAGGCTGAGAAGCCTTTCTTGGCTCCAGCAAAGGGCCGCTGTTGCGAGGGAAGGAGAAAACAGCAGAGACTGGAGCAGGTATGCAGTAAGGAGGTGACCCAACTGGTGATTTCAATGGCCTTAACACACAGCTAGTTACTTCTTGAAGACATTTGCTCAATCCTGAAGCTGAGCCCAGTGGGAGACTTAGAAACTAAGTTTAAAAATCTTAGAAAAGCAGAGCAGAACTTTCCTCCAGTTCATGGTTCTACGAAGACGCTGACTGCTGGGGAGGAACTCTGGTTCATGGGGCCTGGGGGCAGTGGTGAGGTGACTTGTTTGCAGCTGCCTGTTCCCTGTCAGCTTTGGCCAGTTCCGGGTATGGCCAGAGCTAAGCATCTTGCTTGGCCCAACAGAGGGCCACTGTTGGGATGGGAAAGCAGAGGTTTTTGCATTTATGTGAGGCTGGAATTCACTGGAGACTTGAGGAGCCTCAAACACACAGCTGGTTTCCCTTTAAGAAATTTGCAGAATTCTGAAGCTGCATGGAATAGGAGATTAAAAATCAGAAAACTTCTGAAAAGCAAATGGGAGTTTTCTGTATTCTGTGTGCACTGAGAAGTCAAGGATCTCCCAGGCGCTGGGGTCCTGGTCGATACTTCATGTTCTCACTTAGAAGAAGGGCCTCATTCTGGGAACAGGAACAAACCCAAGATACACGCAGCCCAGTCACAAGCTTGGGGAAGATGCTTCTCCCAGCCCCAGTCTATCCACCCCACAGAGGAAAGGGTTGATCCTCTCCTGGTGGAAGATAACATCTACAGCCTTCATAAGTTTTTATACACAACAATCTGTCATTCAACTAGATATAAAGACCACTGAGGTCAGAAGATTCTCATACCCTGTCATGCAAGGATGGAGTATGTCTCCATGCTATTTTTAGCCAATCTACCTCTTGAACACCCTAATTGCACTAATGGAAACAGCTTTGATTATTAGCATGATAGAAAATAATCTATTATGCCAATAAACAAAACATATTGTTGATTAGAGATAAAGAGCTGAAACTCTTGCAGCAGCACTTCCGGGGTATCACTCTAATAATTAAGGGCTGGTTGATCACTCTGAAGTATGTATTTTTTATTAGAGTGTAGAATAAACACACATGTATTATAATACTTTATGATGAAATGTTTTAAAGTAAATAATAGCTCATATGAGACTAAAAGCTCTTTAATAATTTGTTGTATATTTTCAAAAAGTTAGAAGAGACTATTTTGAACGTTCACAACACAAAGAAATCATAAATGTTTGAAGTAACTGATACATTAATTATCCTGATTTGATCTTCATATATTGTATACACATACTGAAATATCACTCTGTATCCTATAAATATATATAATTATTACATGTCAACTGAAAATAAAATGGAAAAACATCAGAAGCCTTGGTAGATTCAACTCTGTGTGCCTAGCTCATTCAGCTCTCAGCTTGTAATAGGGGATCAGTCACACTTGTTGAGTGAATTAATAAATTAAATATTTAGGTAAAATAATAAATGATGGGCTGGGCGCAATGGTTCACACCTAAAATCCCAGCACTTTGGGAGGACAAGGAGGGTGGATCACGAGGTCAGGAGTTCAAGACCAGCCTGGCCAACATGGTGAAACCCGGTCTCTACTAAAAATACAAAAAAAAAATTAGCTGGGTGTGGTGGTACGCACTTGTAGTCCCAGCTACTCAGGAGGCTGAGACAGGAAAATTGCTTGAACCTGGGAGGTGGAGGTTGCAGTGAGCTGAGATCACACCACTGCTCTCCAGCCTGGGCGACACAGCAAGACTCCATCTCGAAAAATATAATAATAATAAATGACGGATTATTCTGGGCGTTATTTCAAATGGTGAAAATCAGAACAAGGGGCTGTTCGCCTGTTGGTACCTCTTCTCCCTAACTCATTTTGAATCCCCAGTAATGTCCTATATCCTGATTGGTTCTCATATCCTGTCTTGGATTGCTTTGTTACCATTCTGATTATTTTCCATGCCTTTCCTGGAAGGCAACGTAGCAAGGAGACTGGGAAGCAGGCACTCAGGTGTCAGGCAGACCTTATCAAGGGGCCTTGACTCTACAACTTACCTACCACCCATTTGGCCACTAGCAGGTTACTTAACCTCTCTGGATCTCAGCCCTCTACTGTACAATGGGTATAGCATAGTAGCTTTTACAGAAAGTTGATGTGAGGATTAAATAAGATAACACTTGTCAAATGCTTAGGAGAGTTCCTTCAACATAGTCCAATGTAGTTGTACAATAAAATATTAGCAATTATTGTATTCTTTTGTAAGCCTATGCATTGCTCAATTTGGATTTTTCAAACAAACAAAAATTAAGATTACATCAAGATTGTGCACCTTAACAAAACAAAAGCTCAGGAGAGATGAGACTCAAATAATAAATGCTAGAATACATACTTTTGTGTTAATATTCTGCCTTCAAAGAAGTCAACTTGAAAGACTAACACTGAGCTGAAGACATTTAAAAAGCAATTTCCCAGCCTGTTAACATTTTCCAGTCTATACAGGTCTCAAACATTTTGGGAGACCCCTAAAACCAGCTTCCTCACTTCCTAGGCATGTCTTAATATATATACGTGTGTGTATGTGTATATATATATATAATATTTTATATATAATTATATATAAAAATATATATAATATCTTTCTACCAAAATTGGTATCTCTAACAGAATTAACTTAACATAAGATCTAACTGAAAATTGCATTTACTTTTACAGAAATTAAATCTGACTTTAAAAGATGAATAATCTACAGACTCTCAACAATGAAGAGTATGTCTCGGCTTTTAAATACCACTGCCAAAGAGTTCTTTTAGGTCAAGACTCATTCATTTGGGGGTAGGATAACAGACTAGACTATTTACCTTCATTAACCTGAAACTATGGGAGGTGTGGAAGTCAACCTGTATTTGTCATTGGGTCCGAGTGTCTCTGCGGTCTACCTGTCCTTGAGCTGTCATAATGGCTGGTACATTTTCTAGGAGCATTGCATAAGGACTATTAGCAATTCCAAACAGCCAATCAAGCATATGTATATGACAACCTGCATTAAATATCAGTTAGTTTTCTCATCTCTGAGCAACAGAGCTGATTTTAAATCATATAAGTGTGTACGGCAAGAGTTGCATATAGCCAAAATTACCTTTTATAATCTTTTAGGAAGACATCAAATTGAATGCCAATAAACCCAACGCAGCCAGTTTTTTCCCACTGTCTAGACATATTCCTGTTTCTTTGGATTACTACCAGAATAAATAGTTGGCGTGCATTTGGAGGCCATATTTTAGGAAATGTTCTTATCTTGAAACACTAGTAGCACATTCAGTGCAGAGAGATGTCCATACCATGAGAGGAGCATGCGGGAACTGGCACCAAATGTGGAAGATCAGATTCACTTTTCCCATCTCTCCTGCACTCCAAGCACATATGTATTGAGGAGGTGGTCAGGTAGAATCACTGCACTATTTACATGGTTTATAGTATTTTCTTTTATTTTATGTTTCGCCTGGGCACACTGTATTGAACTCTACCAGTTGGCTCTATTAAATTAGATGCATGGAGATATACTCTATACCACAGTCTTGGAAAGAACTCATAGATAAAATTTACTGTCTGCCAGGGACTCTATTAAACATGCATTATTTTATGTAATCTTGTTTAAAGTTTTATTTTTTAAAGTCATACAGTAAAATTGACCTTTTTGGTGCACAGTTCCATGACATTTAACACAGACATAAATTCTTAAAATACCATCACAATCAGGACACAGAACAGTTCCATTACCCCATGAAACTCCCTGCTGTTCTCTTGCAGTCAACTCTTTCTCCACCCTTAACCCTGAGCAGATCCATGGCAGCCAAGCTCCTGTTTTCTGTCAATATACCTGTGTCTTTTCAAGAATGTTACATAAATGGAATTATACAATATATAACCTTTGAGACTGGTTTCTTTCACTTAGCCTAATGCCTCTGAGATTCATCCGAGCTGTGTGTATCAATAGTTCATTCCTTTCTGTTGCTGAGTAGTATTCCATTGTATGGCTATATCATAGCTTATTAATTCATTCTCCCAGTCTTTTGGGTTGCTTCCAGTTTTGGTGATTATAAATAAAACTGCTGTAAGTATTTACATATAGTTTTGTGTGAATATAAGTATTCATTTCACTTGGGAAAATATCCAACAGTGGGATTGTTAGGTCATATGGTAAGATTACATACAAAAAAACTACAAAACTTCTTCCAGAATGGCTGTACCATTTTGCATTCCCATTAGCAATGTATGAGAGTTTCAACTGCCATGCATCTTCATTAGAAGTTGGTATTGTCAGTAGTATTTTTAGTCATTTAATAGGTATGTGGCATATAATACTCTAATATCACTATAAAGTAGGTAGTATTATTATCTCAGTTTTATGAGTGAAGAAATGAAGGCTCAGAGAGTGTAAGTACATCACCATAGACCTCACATTATGTAAGGGTCAGAAGAATCCCAGGATTTAACTCCAGAGTCCTAAAGACATTCCACATTGTGGTATAAGAGCAATCTATTTGACAAGACATGTATCTTCATATGTGACTTCTATTTGCAAGTCATAAGCTTTAATACACCTTGTTGATTTCTTTTAAAAGTTGGGGATACGTTGCATAACTGTCAGTTTGTGAATAAGCTGGAAGATGCCTTCAATCAGACATGTACTTTCTTTTGAACAAAAAAAAAGAGAGAGCTTAGCAGAGACATTGAAGACACCAATTTAAATTTTCTCTTGCATTAAAAAAAATATTCAGGACAAGAAACCATGAAAAATTTTTAAAAACACATACACACATAATGCTCCCTGTGACCTTTTATTTCCCTTCTGCTTTTTCCTCCCACTGGGCAACCATTGCTTTTGGCTGGTTAAGAAAAATTCCAGCTCTTAAGAACCATTTTTATAGATTTGAAAAGAGAACATTTTTTGCTTTTTTTTCTTTCCCCCGAGGTTTTCTTTTTTCTTATCCTTCTTGAGCTATGGTCTTAGGACAATTTCACAGCCTCTCTGCAGCTATGATCGGGTTCCTTAGTAGAGGTAAAGTCACAGAAGAATGAAAGGCTGACTGCCGGGTCCATTTACAAAGAAGAAAATTTTAAAACAATCCGGCATCTTTGCATTTGTTATAATATATGCATATCATAAGTCTAGAAATATCAAACATCTGCCGATAATTTGGTTAGGTCATTTTCCATGGGCTTTTCTTTGACCTTTTTAATTGGTTGATAAGCACTTGGTCTAACCACAGGCAGTTGATAATAAACTAGAAATAGAAGAATGTTCAAGATTCAGACACTGGAAAGGAACCAATTACCTTTCCTAAAAGGGTAGATTTTCAACTTTGAGGACCAGAAATAATTCTTTGATTTTTCTGTCATCTGGCTCATCTTTAGTGCAATCAATTCTCAGCTACCTGCTTGTGTGTGCTCTGGCCTGCCTCCCTTGGGTGCTTCCTTTCTTCCTACTCACCCAACTCTCCCTCCCACTTGGGAAAGTCCTTCTGTTGTGTACAGGGGATATTTTTAAAGCCATGTACCGGAACTTCAATGCTGCTGGGAAATTCCTCCAAACGGCTTTATTTGTAAGAGAAGTATGCTGCATGCTGGTTTTTTCAGTATTTCATTACAGACCACAGATGGAGGAGTGCCTCCTAGGGTAGGTCACATGGAGCCTCTGGATTCTGCATCTATGACCTTTCTCTGTGGGTCCCAGATACCTTATTTCCCTCCTCTCTTCCATCTCTTCCAGCCTGCAGCTTCTGCTTCTTTCAAGCACATTGGCTCAAAGGTCTCACTATCTTTGGAGAAAAATGAAACTGAATCCCTTCCTAATACTATACATGCAGGTGAAGTCAGATGTGTTGAAATGTAAAAGATAAATTGAGAAATATAATAGGAGAAAATGTAGGACAGTATCTTTGTTAACTCGGGTGGAAAAAATTTATTAAACAGAACATCAAAAGCACAACCATACATTTTAAAAAAGATTAATATGATTACTTTAAAAGTAGGAATTTTGGTTCAATGAAAGGCAAAGATAGCAGGCAGATGAGAAAATTGAAAAAGAATTAATCATATCTAAAATTGACAAGAAACTCTTACACATTATTTAGGAAAATATATAATATCAAAAATTCTTAAGCATCAACAAGGAAAAGACAGAAACCCTAGAAGTGCAGACAACGGGTAGGAACAGGCAATCTATAGAGGAGTGCTTTGAAAAGACCCAGAAGCATTGAAGAGATGCTCAAAATCATCTGCTAATAGACAAATGCAAATGCAAATAATTATGATATATCACTTGACTGGAAAAAAAATTGAAAGCAAGATCATTTCAAGAGCTGGCAAACATATGGGGCTGGAAGACTCTCAGGTGTTCTGCTGTTGCTGACTGAGGAGCCATCTGGGGGAGTAATCTGGCAGTAATTAGTCAAACTAAGTATACATAATTGTATAACCTAGCAATTCTATCCCAGGTATGTACACCAGATAAATTCTCACACAGATCCAGAGGGGGCCACGTACAAGGTTGTGAACTGCAATTTAATTTCTGGTGGCAAGGAGCAGGAGGCACCCTGGCTGTCCCTCACTGAGAAAGCAGGTGGATACAAAGTGATGGATGTGACCACCCTGCAGTTAGAGACCATGAATTAGATGTTTGTGTAGAAACACGGAGGGGCCATACAACATAGTGGAGGTGGAAGAAGAAATAGAATTAGTTATAATCCAGTATCATTGCTGTAAATCTGAAATACACACACATGCACAAAATATCATCATATCCATTTTGCACATAAAAATATACACATTAAACACATTTATTTAGAATGATGTGGGAGGGGGGCAATGAAAGACAGAAATGGGGGTTAAGGGGAATAAATAAGCACAATAGAGGAACCTCCATGGACCACTGATGACATTGCGCCATGAACCAAAGAGTGTTATTAACTCAAGCCTCTGTTCCTGAGAGCCAGAGTAAACAAAACAAAACAAATGTGCTCCGTTGAAACTTTCAAGCTTCCTCCAAAGGGGCCTGTCAAATTGGGGATATCCTACCTGCCCTCAGTTATCCCCTCTTAGGTCCTGAAAAATGCTAAACCTGGCCTAGACCACTGAAAGGGTTGATGACGTTTCTGTGTTTCCTCTCTATCCTGTTGGGGTATTATCCATGATATTGTGATTTTCAATATGTTATATTAACCTCTATATGGTATACATCTCTTGCCACCTACTTATATTTAGGGTTCATGATTCTAAGTCCCACATATGTGGGTGTCCATGACAAAATTCCAATCTTAGATGATACTTTTTGCTGTTCTCTCTTTTTCTAATAGCAAATAATTTTCATGATAGTAAACAGCAAATCGAATAGCAAAACTTAAATGCCCATCACTAAGAGACTGGTTAAATAATTATGATACATCCTTACAATAGACTATGCAGCCACAAAAACAAATGAAGAAGGTTTTAAGGCACCAATATAGAATTAACTTGTAGACATAGAAGTAAGTGAAAAAAAAGAGCGTGGAAAATCATGGGGATAATATGCTACAATTTACAAGCTTGTATATCTCAAGCATCTCTGAAAGAATATATAAGAAACTAATATTGGTTGCCCTAAAGGAAGAGACCCAGGTGACTCTGGACAGAGATAGAAGGAGATTTTCTGTACGTTTATACCTTTTGAACTTTTGGATTATGTGACTGCATGAACTGTTTTAAATTAATATGTAAAAATCAATAAATTTGGGAAAGGGGTTAGGGAGATGTTGGTCAAAATAAACAAGAAAAGATAAAAGAGGAGGACCAAATTAAAAATATAAAATAAAATCTACCAATAAAATTTATAAATTTATAATAGTCAAGGATTAAAAGTTTTCAGAATATTATATCATATATATGTAGATACAGAATAAGCAAACAGATTAAAATGATTATAACTATGCCCGCTATTGGTAGGTATAAAGTGATGCTGAATTTTAACAACTTAATTTAAAATCTTTAATTTTAAAAATTAATTTAAAATTAAATAATTTAAAATTTTAAAAGGTTTACAGTAGGTTTAAAAGTGGTGCTGAATTTTAAAAATAACCATGTATGTCAGAACTTATACACCATGTAAAGAATAACCTGTTTAAGGTCACCTTAAGAGGTAATACACTTACTTAAATGTAGCTGCTACTGCTGAACCTATTCTGGATTTCTCTAATATAGGGTTTTAAAATTTGGGGTCCATGGAGTCTGTGGATAAGATTCAGAGGCCTGTAAATCTGGGCAGGAAAAATTATATCTTTCTTTGTACTAACCTCTTTATGAAAGTTAAAGTTTCCTGGCCAGGCGCGGTAGCTCAAGCCTGTAATCCCAGCACTTTGGGAGGCCGAGGCAGGCGGATCACAAGGGCAGGAGATTAAGACCATCCTGGCTAACATGGTGAAACCCCGTCTCCACTAAAAATACAAAAAATTAGCCGGGCGTGGTGGCGGGTGCCTGTAGTCCCAGCTACTCAGGAGGCTGAGGCAGGAGAATGGCATGAACCCAGGAGGTGGAGCTTGCAGTGAGCCGAGATTGTGCCACTGCACTCCAGCCTGGGCGACAGAGCAAGACTCCGTCTCAAAAAAAAAAAAAAAAAGGAAAAATAGAAAGTTAAAGTTTCCTTTAATTATGAAAGCAATAGTAATACCTAAATTTTTGTTACCAGTGAAAATTCTGAGTCTAATTTAATTCTGTTATTTTCATAACACATTTTAGTTTTTGCAGATATCTGTAAATATCATTCCCAGGTTGATATTAGACATTTTTAGATCTTCTTATTTAATATGTTATTAAAGAAGAAAATATGTTACTATGTCACAATTTTTAACATTTTGATAACTGTATTCAATATAATTGGCTCTTTATAATTCTATATATTTTCTTTTATACTTATAAAAATGATGATTCTGAGACAGAGTCCAGGGGCCTTACCAGAGTGCATAAGCTTCCCAAAGCACAGAAAGTTAGACCTCCACACCTCCACAAATAGATCTAATTTCAGGGCAAGAAAAGCAGTGATGATGCTTTATGACCATATGTTCTTTTTGACAAAAAAGCAGTCTTTAACAGTTTTGGCTAATTGCAAAAAGCCAATGCATTCTCAAAGGAAAAAGATATGCCAACACTGAAGATACTTTTGAGAAAATTCCATCATCAAAGAAGATGGTTTTTGTTTTTTACAGACCCAGTCTTTCTCTGTCATCCAGGTTGGGGTGCATTATTGGAGTGATCATGGCTTACTGCAGCCTCAAACTCCTGGGCTCAATTGATCCTCTGGCCTCAGCCTCCTGAGTAACTGAGGCTACATGTATGCACCACCGTGCCTGGCTAATTTTTTATTTTTTATTTATTATTTTTTTTTGTGTGGGGATGAGGTCTATGTTGACCAGGCTGGTTTCAAACTCCTGGGCTCAAGCGATCCTGCTGCCTTGGCCTCCCAAAGTGCTGGGAATTACAGGTGTGAGCCACAGTGCCTGGCTAAGATGGAGTTTTATATACAGAATTATCAGGCCTTCTTTCATATCTCATCCTCAATATGCAAATAACTAATTCATTTAGCAAATATTTATTGAACGTCCATTATGTATGAGGCACTATTGTAAGTATTGGAATAAGTGCAGTGAACAGGTCAGATATGGTAACTGCCTGGATGGAGTTTATGTTATAATGGAAGCAAATAGACACAAGAAATATGATCGCATCAGGTATTTATAAGTGTTATGGTGAAAATAATGCAGAGTAATCTAATCTAGGGAGTGAGAGGGTGACTAGGGTCACCCATGTGGTGGCTAGGTGCCTGGGTCTGGCGTTGCACTTCTTCCATTCAAATCCTGGCTCCATGCACCTCTGGCTCTATGGCCTTGTCCAGTTGTGCACTCTCTAAATCCCAGTTTTGTTACCTGTAAAATGGACATATTAACATTACCTACTTTAAAGAGGTGTTTTAAAGAAAATGGCTACTCCTAACATCTCCCCAAGAACCAAGCACAGAATTTTGGAAGTTTTAATATATTTTCTTAAAGAAGTCTCTTTCTCAGCATTGTAAGACAATTAACTAGATTCAAGTCTCAGAGTTGTTAAGTTATTTTATCTTAAGGCATCCAACGGCACAGATTGACATTAAAGTGAAAGAAGAACTAGCTTCATCATTGCCATTGTTCTTTACCATAGCCCATGGGAACACAGGACCCGGCTGACTGAGAAAAGTGAATGAGGGGAATTATATCAGAAATGACAGAGAAGGATGGGCAGGATTTCTGGCAGGCACAGGTATTTCTAAGTAAGAAATGGTGTGGTTAGGAGAGAATACTCTCAAGAAGGGGAGAGATGGATTCTGCGGCAAAGGGAGGTTCCTTCATTCAGTGTTTATGGAGAGAATAAAGGCGCTGGCCCCTCCAGTGAGGATATGGAGTAAACGAGACAATCAAGTCCATCACTCCTGGAGCCTGCATTCTAGTGTGGAAGACAGACAGCAAATGATACATCAACATTAAGAAATTCATGAGTAAATAAAGATAATTTCAGGCAATAATAATTACTCTGAAGAACATAAACAGGGACCTATGATAGAAAAGGGGTGTAAAGGAGTTTGGAGGATTTAAGCTGAGTGAGCAATCTCATCTCTATTTTGATAAGGTCACTGTGGATTCTGTGTGGATAACACATTGGATGTGGATAAGAACAGGAGCAGAGAGACCTCCAATAGCAGGAGGCTGCTCTAGGGGTCCTTGCAAGGGATGCTGGCAGCTTGGACCCGAGTGGTGGGATGCAGATGGAAGAGGCAGGTGGACAGATGAGACAGCTGAAGCAGGAAAAGCAGGCACAAAGGCTAACACAACACAATGTAACAGAACGGGAGTTTAGAACGGAAGGAACACTCCAGAGTCATTCTGGTCCAATTCTGCAGATGAGGAAACCACATCCCAGGAGGCCGAGGCGGCTTGCCCCGCATCTCAGAAGCCGGGCAGGCCCTGAGCCTTCTGACCTCACATCCTCTGCCACACCACAGTGGAGAAACCAGAACTGGAGGAGCAGCCAGAATGCAGAGAAGAAAAAAGAGGTGAGGGAGCGAGGAGGAGGGAGAACAGAGAGAGAGGGAAAGAGGCAGCGAAGGGGCAGAGAAAATGAAAGAAAATGCTGGTGGAATGAGAGGGAAACCACAACAGGTGAAAACAGGGATGGCGGAAGGCAGGGGAGAGGAGTGAGACGGCCCTTGTTGCTGGGATTATTTAGGGCGGATAGTTTCCAGTTGAGGTTCGGTTTCATAGCCCATTGCCTGGCTGCCTGCAGCTGTCAGGGCACCAGAGGCAGCAGTTGGAGCAGCTGCCTGCACCACCTGAGCCACAAGGACAACGGCAAGGGAAGTGCAGATGGGCAGGAAGTCCCTCTGGGTCGGAGCCAGGGTAGCCAAGATCACATTGTTCTTGCCCACCGCGTGGGATGCTCAGGCTTCCCAAGGCAGCCCAGAGACCAGACCCGTCCTTTATCCTTAGCATGGCCACCATCATCACCATCATCGCCATGCTCCCACTTCTTAGGATCATGTGCCGGGGGCTTTGCATGCATTTCTCTCTTTCATCCTCACAGAAGCACTTGAGGGGGGTATAGCTTTCCCCAGTTTACAGATAAAGACACGATGGCTTCATTCCTTAACTCACTAACCTCATTTCAGAGCCAGGAAATGGCAGAAAGGCCCTGCTGTCGTGTTTTTTGTTTGTTTGTTTGTTTTTTTGTCTTGTTTTCTCCTCTTGAAGAGGACACACGGAGCCCTGGGTTGACGTTATAGGAGGTGTTGGTGCCGTGCACTGAAGGGATCTGCTGTTTTCTCCTTCCTGCAACTGGAGGTCACTCAGCCTGGACTGATGAGGCCGGGGAAGCCTGTGCTCTGTCTGGTCCACACAGCCCCCTCAGCCACCCCAGGGAATGCTCAGATCCAGTTGCACAGGTAGCCCACAGAATACAAACAGAACTTTCTTTTAGAATTTTTATGCTGTTTTATTGTTTCATACAGACAACTACCGACCTTCCCTTTTTTCCTTCAAGGCCCCTTTCAAATGTCACCTCTTCTATGAAGGTTTTATTTCTTTCCAGGCAAAATAAACCACTCCCTTTTTGGTGCCCTCATAGTTTTACATTTTGGCCTAAAGCACTTGTTCGCCTCCTCCATCAGAGCATGGGATTCTTGAGGGAAGGAACTGTGTTTTAATCATTTCTGTATCCTTGGCATCTAGCACAGTGCTTGGCACAGTAAAAGCTGTCAATAAATGTTAGCTGAACTGAAAAGTAAAAAATGGAAAGGGCATTTGTTGGGGCCAGCATAAGTCAACTGTTTCCATCCTTGTTTCCTTAACTCAGAAACTCAAATGAAGAAAGACATTGTCAGTCTCATGAGCAGTCCATATTTTTTTTTATTGGTGAGAGATAAAGTAAATGGCATGTGGATTTCCTTTGGAAGAATAACAAATAAAATTCTTTTGTAAGGATGTGAATTATAAAATTAACTTTTTTTATCTCCAGATTGTCATTTTGCAAGGAAAAAAATATAAGTAATAAATATGAACATACCTTTTTTATTTCAGACTTTTGCTCCATAGGCAATAGAAATGAGATGGCCAATTACAGTATTGAAGCAGAAGTACAGATATAACTCAGTGCAGAGGCAAATATGGCACATGATATTTTCATATTTTTATGTGTTACTATGAGTAACACTATTGCAAATTCATTTTATTTATGATTTGGTCTTTGTAGCTCCAATTTCATTATTAACTGAAATTTCATAGCATCATTCTTACTGACATGCATTGAAGATAAAAATGTTCTATATTTTCCTCATCTATCCTTGTCTTTTTCTTTATTAAAAATGTAGCCATTGGCAAAATAAAAGAACTAGCAATAAGCATACTGAAATCACAACTGAGACACATGACAATAATCTATAACCATGACACCTGTCCAGGCTGCATCCAGCCAAATATGGATCCAAAAAAAGGAATACTCATATTTGTTACTTATATTTTTTTCCTTGCAAAATAACAATTTGGAGATAACAAAAAGTTAATTTTATAACTCATATCCTTATAAAATACTTTTATTTGTTATTCTTTGTCTCTCGTCAATAGAAAAAAATATGGACCGCTCATGAAATTGACAATGTCTTTCTTTATTTGAGTTTTTGAGTTAAGGAATAAGGATGGAAACAGTTGACTTACACTGGCCCCAACAAATGCTCTTTCCATTTTTTGCGTTTCAGTTCATAGTAGGAGCTCACTCAGGACTTAGCTGTCAGAGAGAGGACAGTCTGAGGCCTATGTGCACTTCCCAGCACAACATCTCACATCCTCCTCATTTTTTATCACTCAAGATATTGAAAAACTAATATGCAAGGATGCTGTCATTATAGGGGTAATCTTCAATCGTCTCTAATTATATTTAAAATTATGTCATAAACTTCAGAAAGTAACCAGTATTAGTGTATACCTTATTATTAGCATAATCCAAGCTGGCCTCACCTACAAATAGAGTCATAATTATAAAAATTTTATCTTTTAGTCTCCTACTTTCTCAAAATGGAATTTGTCCCCACTAAAAGTTATCCTTCAAAGTAGTGCTTCACCTGTGCCCACAAATACCTGTGGCTATTGCACAAATATTGTGTGGCTTCTACCAGGTTTTCTTCCTGACCTAGCTCTCATTTGTTGATATTTGTTATCCCGTCAAACCTTTCTGTTGCTCAGCTTTGCAGCATGGATGGTGCAAAAATGCAAATGTTGCTCTGTCTGATACTGTTCCCAAAGCTGGCAAATTGTAGGATGTCACCATGGGGCAAGCTCCATGAATGAAGGGATTAGGGGTGAAGAGAAGAGAGAACTGACCTTTCTAACAAAGTTCAGAGACCTAAATTACTGAACTTTTCCCTAATTCTGTATTAGTTTCCTATTGTTGCTATACTGAATTACCACAAATTTAGTAGTTTAAATCTGCACAATTCATTATCTTACAGTTAAGAGGACAGAAATCCAATCAGGGCCTTATTTGGCTATAGTCAAGGTGTCAGTGGGGCTGTGGTTTTAGCTGAAGGCTCTTAGGGAGAATCCTTTTCCTTTCCTTTTCCAACTTACAGATTTACCTGCATTCCATTGCTCATGGTCCCATCTTCCGTCTTTAAAGCTAACAATGTTGCAGCTCTCTAACCTTTTTTCAAAGTAATGTATCCCTTTAACTTTCCTGTTTTGCTTCCCTCTTCTACTTTTTACTTTTTCTTTTTTCCTTGTATTTTTTTCTTTTTTTTTTTTGAGATGCAGTCTCGCTCTGTCGCCCAGGCTGGATTTGGAGTGCAGTGGCGCAATCTTGGCTCACTGCAACCTCCACATTTCGGGTTCAAGTGATTCTCCTGCTTCAGCCTCCTAAGTAGCTGGGATTACAGGTGAGCGCCACCATGCCTGGCTAATTTTTGTATTTTTTTTTTTTTTTGAGACGGAGTCTCGCTCTGTCGCCCAGGCCGGACTGCGGACTGCAGTGGCGCAATCTCGGCTCACTGCAAGCTCCGCTTCCCGGGTTCACGCCATTCTCCTGCCTCAGCCTCCCGAGTAGCTGGGACTACAGGCGCCCGCTACCGCACCCGGCTAATTTTTTGTATTTTTAGTAGAGACGGGGTTTCACCTTGTTAGCCAGGATGGTCTCGATCTCCTGACCTCATGATCCACCCGCCTCGGCCTCCCAAAGTGCTGGGATTACAGGCGTGAGCCGCTGTGCCCAGCCCTCTTTTCCACTTTTAAGGGCCCTTTTATTACATTAAGCTTTCTCAGATAACCCAAAAGAATCTCCCTATTTTAAGGTCACCTGATTAGCAATCTAAATTCCATCTGCAAACTTAATTATCCTTTGCCATAGTTCTGAGGATTATGACATGAGCATCTTGGGGGAGAATATTATTCTGCTACCAAGAATATATTTTTTAAATATTCTCATTTCCATAGGTTATTGTGGAGTAGGTGGTGTTTGGTTACATGAGTCAGTTCTTTAGTGGTGATTTCTGAGATTTTGGTGCACTCATCACATGAGCTGTATACATTGCATCCTATTTGTAGTCTTTTATCCCTCACTCCCTTCCCACCCTTTCCCCCTGAGTCCCCAAAGTCCACTGTGTCATTATTATGCCTTTGCGTCCTCACAGCTTAGCTCTCACTTATGAGTGAGAATATATGATATTTGGTTTTCCATTCCTGAGTTACTTCACTTAGAGTAATACTCTCCATTCTCATCCAGGTCACTGTGGATGCCATTAATTAATTCCTTTTTATGGCTGAGTAGTATTCCATTGTATATATATACCACAGTTTCTTTATCCACTCATTGATTAATGGGCATTCGTATTGGTTCCATGATTTTGCACGTGCAAATTATGCTGCTATAAACATGTGTGTGCAAGTATCTTTTTCGCATAATGACTTCTTTTCCTCTGGGTTGATACCCAGTAGTGGGATTGCTGGATCAAATGGTAGCTCTACTTTTAGTTCTTTAAAGAATCTTCACACTGTTTTCCATAATGGTTGTACAAGTTTACATTCCCACCAGCAGTGTAAAAGTGTTCCCCGTTCACTGCATCCATGCCAGCATCTACTGTGCTTTGATTTTTTGATTATAGCCATTCTTGCAGAGTAAGATGGTATTGCACTGTGGTTTTGATTTGCATTTCCTTGATCATTAGTGATGCTCAGTGTTTTTTCATATGTTTGTTGGCCATTTGTATATCTTCTTCTGAGAATTGTCTATTCATGTCCTTAGCCCACTTTTTGATGGGATTTTTTTCTTCCTTGCTGATTTGTTTGAGTTTGTTGTAGATTCTGGATATTAGTCCTTAGTCCTTTGTCACATGTATAGATTGTGAAGATTTTTTTCTCACTCTGTCAGTCATCTGTTTACTCTGCTGTTTCTTTTGCTGCGTAAAAGCTCTTTAGTTTAATTAAGTCCCAGCTATTTATCTTTGTTTTTATTGCCTTTGCTTTTGGGTTCTTGGCCATGAAATCCTTGCCTAAGCCAATGTCTAGAAGGGTTTTCCCAATGTTCTCTTCTAGAATTTTTATAGTTTCAGGTCTTAGATTTGAGTCCTTAATCCATCTTGAGTTGATTTTTGTATATGGTGAGAGATGGGGATCCAGTTTCATTCTCCTACACGTGGCTAGCCAATTATCCCACCACCATTTGTTGACAAGGGTGTCCTTTCCCCACTTTATGTTTTTGTTTGCTCTGTCAAATATCAGTTGGCTGTAAGTATTTGGGTTTATTTCTGGTTCTCTATTCTGTTCCATTGGTCTATGTGCCTATTTTTATACCAGTACCATGCTGTTTTGGTGACTATGTCTCATAGTATAGTTTGAAATCAGGTAATGTGATGCCTCCAGATTTGTTCTTTTTGCTTATCTTGGTTTGGCTATGCGGGCTCTTTTTTGGATCCATATGAATTTTAGAATTGTTTTTTCCTAATTGTGTGAAGAATGATGGTGGTATTTTGATGGGGATGGTGTTGAATTTGTAGATTGCTTTTGGCAGTATGGTCATTTTCACAATATTGATTTGCAGTAGCATCCAAAGATATCAAATACCTAGAAATAAATTAGTAAATGCAATGCAAAAATTCTAGGCTGAAAACTACAAAACTGCTGAAAGAAATTAAAGGAGACCTTTGAAAATGTGGAAAAGTATATTATATTCATGGATTAGAAGGCTCAATATTAAGACAGCAATATCCCCAAACTGATCAATAGATTCAATGCAATTCCAATACAAATACCAGCTGGATTTTTATCAGAAATTGACAAGTTAATTCTCTAATGTGCAAAGAAGCATTCAAGGTAGGACACATTAGTCATTTGTGGCAAATATTCATGCAATTCTGTTCAAAAAATTATTGAACTTCTATATTATTCCAATAGGCATAGTAAAAGAGGAAACAGAAGCATAACAAAGTGGTAAGACAGCCCTGGGTTTAAATCTTAACTCTTTGCCCATGACCTTTACACATCCACCAGAACTTATAGAATTCTTTAGGGGAAGGGTAGGGTAGGGATGAAGGATGGGTAAAATTTGAAAGGACATCAAAGCTTAGATCTAACTCACCCACCTCCACCCCTACTCAAAGTACTGGATAAAGAAACACTGTTCTAAATAATTTTTTAAAGTGATACTATACTATTAAGTTGGAAGGGACCTTAAATAGTATTATATTTACCCAAGGCCTAAATAGAGTGAAGTGCTTTGCTCAAAGTTACACAAGTATCAAAGTGACTATTATTTATCACAGTCAGACCAGAGCCCAAGCCCAATAGCCCAAATGTGGATACAAATTCCAGATCTTCCACCAGCCAGCTATGCAGCCTATAGTTAAACCTCTGAAATTTGGAACTCTTCCTTGAAAACATGGGGAGAAATAACATCTTTTTAAAGGATACTTTATGGAGTAATAAGATAATTTTTAAAGTGTTTAGCCAGTTGCTTGACACATAGCGAGTACTTGCTATTTTTTTTTTCTCTTCCTTTTTTTCTTCCCTGGCTCCTACCCCTAGCTGGTCTCTCCTTAAATATGTACTCCACCACATGCAATGGTTAGACCTTCTGTTGCAAGTACAGAATTCTATTCAGGTTAACATCAGCAAAAGAGGGGAGGTCTGGTACAAGGATAGAGGAGTATCGTGAGGACCTCAAAGTCAACAACTCAGCCAGGCTTTAGGAAATCACCTGAACTAGAAAACATAAAAACAAAAGACCATTCTTTTCTATTTCTTTTCTCTGATTGTCTCTCTATATCCATCCTCCAACTCCCACCTCTCTGTCTCTGTATCTCTCTCAATCTCTCTTTTCTCTGCTTCTCCATGAATGTGGTAACAGAAGATAGGAATTACACAATTCTTGACAGATTTCTTCCACTTACCAGCCAAGACTCACAATATTTTAGTCCCAATACCAAATTCCTGGGAAAGAGAATTTGGTTTGCCACTGGTAGGGAGGAGCATGGAGTCACATAATATACATTAGTTGCCAACACTTAAGCTGAAAAGAGCAGTTATGGGGTTATTGTAAGATGGGCAGAGAACCCTAAAAGTCTACTACAATATCCTGGCAACTTCCTTGTAGATATCTGAGAGGAATCCTTATCCGTATGTGAAAGGCTTTCAGCCTAATACAGTTTAAAAAGGGTCACACCAAGATGGTGAAACCCTGTCTCTTCTAAAAATACAAAAATTAGCCAGGCACGGTGGCAGGAGCCTGTAATCCCAGCTACTCGGGAGGCTGAGGCAGGAGAATCGCTTGAGCTCGGGGGGCGGAGGTTGCAATAAGCCAAGATCGTGCCACTGCACTCCAGCCTGGGCGAGAGAGTGAGACTCTGTCTCAAAAAAAAAAAAAAAAAAGGTGGGGGGCGGTGGGGAGCACAATGGCAATACCCCATGTCTCAGTGTATACATTGAACATTTAGATTTTATCCAGTTCCAAAGCTCCCTGTTGATTTTTTAAATGCCCAGAGTGATGGCAATAGAATAAATTTTCTCTAGTCTCCTTTCTTGGCTTAGTCATGGCAAGGGTGACATCAGATATTCTTGCCCTTACAACCTGGGCTTATGGAAAAACTGTTCTTAAGAGAATAATCTCATTTCACATAGGCTTGGCTCTAAAATAAGGGGCCCCTTTCATGGTTGCTCTGGAAATCTGCCATGAGATATACTATATCAGGAAATATTGGCTTAATGTTTTTCTGCTATTCAACAGTTACTCTCAGAGTTCAGTTATTAGAAACTCTCCTGCTCAGCAGTTTGGTTTTCTGCATGTATACATGATTTTATTTCTAATGAATGAATTCCATATGAGCTAATTATAGAAAATAAGATTTTTTTGCAGAAATTAGCATGGTTCTTTATTAGCAAAACTAATTGCATTTCATTAATTTTCTTCTTAATTAAAACCACTGGTTTTCGTGGGAAATTCAATGAATAACATGCTTTTCTAATGAATGTAAGCTTATGCTATGCAAATACCAAAGCCATGCATTACTACAGGTGCTGCCCCGGCTCATCATAAGTAAAAAAAAAAAAAAAAAAAAAAAAAAAAAAAACAGAACAAAACAAAACTAAAAAGCTAACACAAGTCCTCTTTACTCTGTTTGGAGTTTTATTAATCTAAATAGAAAATACTGCTGAGAAGTTGTAAGCTCAAGTCTCAGCTAAGCCATTCTTTTCTATAGGTTCTCTGCATGTTTGGAAGTCGGAATTGGTTGAAGTTGAAGATGATGTGTATCTGAGGCACAGCTCTTCCCTGACTTATAGGCTTTGACACTGCTGTTGAGGTTTGACTCGAAGCCCAGAGTTTTGGTGTGGATGAGCAGGGACAAATTGCTGAGCATGAAGAAGAGTAAAATTAAGCAAGTGGAACATATGCCCTTTGCCTCTGCTCTGCACAGTGAAATGAAAAGTCAACCTTTGAACATGTGTGTGTGTCTCTCATTTTCCCAAACAGGATCAACCCACCATGATTTATGAATTCACCACTTTCTTAGAGGCTTCCTTTCTTTTTTATTAGATCCTCCTTTGAGAGCATCTAGGGTCCTATCAAAGAGGGAAGTGACTTCAAGCAAATCCACACTCAGACGTGAATTAACAATGGCTACCAAGCACAGAGCCCTTTTCCCTGGCACACTCCTGGGAAACAAGCAGTTACAACACTTGTGGAGAGTAATGTGATAGTATACATTCATTTTTTTTTAAGTAGAAACATTTATATTTAGAAATTTAACCTTTAGTAATGTGTCCCACAGGAATGCTTGCCTGAGTGTACCAGGATTTTTATTGTAGCAGTGTTTCTCAAAGGAAAAACAACAACAGCAACAACCTTAAAAACAAACCTAAGTGTCTATCGCTAGGGAAATAGTTACATAAATTATAGTACATTCATTCATACTATGGGACACTCTGTGGACAATAAAAGGAACGGAGTATACCTATATGTTAGAACATGGGGAAAATGTACATACTACCTGGTTAAATGGAAACAGCATTTTTCATTTATGATTCAATTTTCATAAAATAAATATTGCACACAATAAAAGATGCAGTTGGGAGTCCGAGGCAGGTGGATCACAAGTTCAGGAGATCGAGACCATCCTGGCTAACATGGTGAAACCCCTTCTCTACTAAAAATACAAAAAATTAGCCGGGCGTGGTGGTGGGCGCCTGTAGTCCCAGCTACTTGGGAGACTGAGGCAGGAGAATGGCCAGAACTGGGGAGGCGGAGCTTGCAGCAGTGAGCCGAGATTGCACCACTGCACTCCAGCCTGTGCGACAGAGCGAGACTCCATCTCAAAAAAAAAAAAGAGATGCAGATGAATACACAACTAACTGTTAACAGCAGAAAGTGGGTATGGAATGGTGAGTAGGACTTACACATTGATACTGTTTGAACTTCCTACCATTAGAAGACATCATTTTAAATTAAAAAATTAAAAATAGGTATGGTTGGTTAGAGAATTTCAGTTTGCAGTGATGAAAAACTTCTGGAGATGGATGAAGGTGATGGTTGCATAAGAATGTCACTGAACTGTATACTTAAACATAATTAAAATGGGAAATTTTATGTTATATATAGTTTACCACAATAAAAAAAATGGTGACCTTCACAAGGGCATTTCCATTACATAAGAAGTGAGCAGTGTGTAGCTTAAAGACGAGTTTGGTAAGGGGGCCTGGGCCAGATTGGAAGTCCTTTGAATGCAATACCAATGAATTCGATGTAATAGACCCTCTAGAGTTACAGATGATGTCTTAACAGCATTTAGGATAAGACAAAGGACACCTTTGGCTGTGAGCAGCAGAGGAGGCCTCCATTTGGTGAAATAGATATTGAAGGGAGGTTATTTGTGGTCTCTAATATCATGCCACCATTGTCCCCGTCCCCATCAGTCATAACTTTTTCTTTTGCCCTCATAAAGCTGAGCCTGCCAAGAATAATATGTTTATGTCTTTATATACAGCTGCCTAAACCCATTTATCAACTATTTAAGAGTCTGTATTACATTTCATTTTTTGGCCATTTAATTGTATGGAATTACAACTTTCAAGCTTATACATACCCTATTTGACATAAGAAGTAGTTACTGGTATCTATGAAATAAAAAGAAATAAGAGTCCAAAGCCAACTTAACACTTCCACTACCAAGGTGTATCTTTAAGTAAGGCAATCAATAAGCACTTAGCAAGCTCCTACCATATAAGCCAGGTAGGACACAAAGAAACATAGTAAAGTGCCTAACCTTAAAGGGCTTACCACCTATAAAGGAAATAACCAGTATACAAGGCATTGAATTGAATTGAATTGAATTGAATTGAATTGAATTGAATTGAATTGAATTGAATTGAGCTGGATTGGATTGGATTGGGTTGGATTCTTTGCAATTTCATACAGGGAGCATTTAACACCCACTAAGATATCCCACTGTGCAAGGTAGTATGGGTTTGAAGGAGATAATAAAAATACTAATAAAATATGTTCCCTCTCCCACAAGACTCCCAATTTAGGGGACAGCAGGAAGGAACTAACTAAAATGCAAGTCAAAATGTAATCGTGATATAATAAATTATAAACATAAATTTGCAAGGAGGACTAGCTTCATTCCCTTCGTGTAATGAATGAGCATTTGTAAAGGGGTTGAACATAGGAGCAGACTGAGAGAAGGGAGGGCCATTCAGGTTGAGAGAACAGCATGAGCAAAGGCCTGGAGGAGGGAATGTGCCTGACTGTTCAGAGAACAGAGAGAGGTTCTTGTCATTTAGAGCGTAGCGTACAGGTTGGGGCACAAGACTCTGCGTGAGATAAATTAGGGGAGGGAGAGCAGGGCCAGAGCCTTGGGGCACTTGCGAGGAATCACAGATGCATAGAGTCCAAGGGCTGCCGGAATGTTCAAGAGTGGAGATTTTGTGCACAGGAAGCCATACCCTCTCACCCAGGTTACTGTACCAGCTTTCCATCGTTCCCTCCATTCTGTTTCCACTCAGGCCCTCTCTAATCTATTCCCCACACTGCAACCACAGTGGTCCTTTGGAAACTGCAAATCAGATCAGGTCAGTCTTCTGGTTTCCTTTTCTTTTAGAATAAGTTTGGAATGTTAATATGACCTCTGGTGTTGTGCAGAGCAGGTCTTACACACACACCCCCCAACACCTGCCTGACCTTGTACCAGGACACTCCATTTCTCCCATAATGTTCCAGTCTACCTGACCTGCTCCTCCCTGATCCTAGGCTGCTATGGGGTATCTCTTGTGCTAACTGTAATGCTGGAAAATAGTAGGTGGTCAATACACAGCTGTGGAATGCAGTACGAAAGGTAGGCGTGCATGAAGGAATGAATGGAGTGCCGCTATAAGATTCTTTTCAAGTACCATTGGGCCTTATCATGAAGTGCCTGCAAGAGCAAGAAACTCCCTATTCTGCTTGGAGAGCCAAAGACAAATGGGCACAGGTGGAGGAAGATTCTGAGGTAAAGACAAAGGAAGCTGAGGATGTTCACATGTTTTCTTACATTTACTACAATGTGCATTTAGTATATTTGGGATTGAGGGGAGTAGAAAAGGCCTGACATGGGGACCATGGAGAATAAAACAGGAAGCAAAGAAAGTTCTCCTGAAAGGTCTGCAGAGGAGCTTTGAGGTTTGGTCAGAGAGGATGAGTGGGAAGAAGGTCAGGGCAGTGCTGGGGAAGAGAGGGCAGAGTGCTAGGTAGACTCAGGATTGGTCAGGATGGGCATCATGGAAGGTCAGGGGATTTTAGAGCAGGAACAAGGGTATGGCTGAATTGACCTGCCATGGAGTCCTGAGCAGACAAGAGAATACAGAAAGAGGGATTATACACTGAGGGTGGAGGAAAGGCTGGCTGGAATCCAAAGGAGTGTGAGAGACATGTGTCCATGAGATTGCAATCACAGAGGCGATTCAGAAAGGTCAAGGTCACAGAAGAGAAGACCTGCTCGAGGCAGGGTTGCCCGGTGGCTGCAATAGAGAAGGAGATCACGGGAATCAAGAGCAGGAAATCATTGGTCCAAGAGCTGAGGTCACTAGGGATAATAGCTAACCACTGGACCTTTTTAATGGCATGTATAATTATAATCCCACATGTACTGGTTTACTTGCCATTGTCCATTTTTCACCATACCAAACTAAATTATAAGCCCCTCAAGGGCAAGGATGAAGTATGTTTCTGTGTGATATCCAGTGTCTGTCATAGTAAGAAATATTCATTAAATATTTGGAGAGCAAATGAATGAATGATTGAATGTTTGACTACAGCACACCACTTCTCACGAAAAAGACTTTGTTTATAGCAATTGTGTAGTACCAGTGGAAAAACACTTGAGACTGGGGAGTAGTGAAAACATAGTTTTACCAAGCCGTGAAGCTCTGGATTATATACAGTTGTTTGTATGATACCTAAGTTGTTCTCTCCATTCTGAAAGTGTACGTACTTCAAGGGCAAGAGCCAAATCCTATATAATCCTTATGTAATACTTCCTTTCTATCCACAGAGCAGCCAGCAGAACTCTAGAAAAATAACAAGCAGATGTATACAGCCTGGAGGAGGAGGTTTTATAGTGAAACAGACTTTTATAGAGTTAGAGAAAACTGCCCCATCACTGATCTTCAGTAACTTGTTTCCTCATCTGTAAACTAGGAATAAAAAACAGGATGCAGCACATAGGGTTGATGTAAAGCTTAAGTGAGATAATGCGTATACCCATCTGTCAGTGCCAGGTACATAGCCCTCCATGTAAGACAGCTAAAGATAAAAATACTATTTTATCTGTTTTTTGGACTGTGTAAGCTGCAGTTGGATTTAGGGTTTGTCACTGTTTGTAGCAGCGACATTCTCATGCTCTTCTCAGTACCCTGGCCAAAAGGTTTGCTTCAGCAGCAGTGATTCCAGACCCCAACTCTGCTCTTCTCTGGAAGCAGGTATCTGCACGCTCCCACAGCAGGGGCTGATGACCTCAGGGGCTGATCTGTGCAAGCACAGCTCTATGCTGCCCTCTGGTGGATGTATTTTGGGCTGCCCCTTCCCTGCCATGGACTTGCTGCTGTGCTGACATTAAGGTGCAAAGATAAACTATATGAAGAGCACCTATGAGGAGGTTCTTTGGAGATTACAGGGTAATGAGGGAGGAACGCACTCCACCAATTGTTGTGTTTGGTTCAGCTTCTCAGTTGTACAATCCTACTTCTACCAAGGGAATGGCTATTTCTGCACCAATGAAAAACTCATTACCTCCAAGGGATTTTGGAGGTTAATCAAGGTGGTTCTGAGGCTCTGAGAGGGGCAGCGTCGAGCCTAAGATCACACAGTTAAACGACGACTTTGGCCTCTTAATCTCTGTATTATAACCATTTGCAGACCACTTTCTTTCTGTAAGGAAAAAGTCACAGGGCTCACTGTAAAATGCAAATTATTCTGGAAGGGCATCTGCTTTGCCTCACCTGAGAGTAATCTAAATGGCCATAATAGACCCAGGAGCCATGTTTATGTCTTCTCTTTTCCTCATCTATTACAGCCAATAAATAAGCAGGCTCTTCGGTTTTCCATATCATGTGTCTTATTCGCTGTGCTCCATCTCATCTGCTACTAACTAGCTCCATTCCCTATCTCTTTGTTTGGATGACTACAGTTGTCTCCTAAGGGCTCTCTCTGCTTTTCTCCTCCCAGCTCCTTCACAATCCTCTCTCCTCCCAGCAGCCAAGATGAGCTGATACAAGTCCTGTTTAAAACTCAACACTTCACCCTTGTCTAGACATCCATATGTGATTTCAATCTCATTGTATACCCATGCCCCCTTGGCTCTCCATATTCCAGCCAACCTGAGCCCTCTTCCATCACTCCGACATGGCCAGCCTTTGCCTTTGCACTTGCTGTTCTCTCTGCATGGAATAGTCTTCTCTGCACACTTCTCATGGCTGGCTTTTCCTCTTCTTTCATCTCAGTATAGATGTCTCCTCTTAGAGAGGCCGGCAATGACCACCCTATCTAAAAGAACTCCTTCCCCCAACATTCTCCTTCCCCAATATGGCAGCTCTTGTTATGCGTTTCTATGAATTTCCTTCATAACAGTAATCACTACCCGTCATTATCTTGTTTATTTGCTTAATGCATGTTCTCCATTAGAATATAACTTCCAGGAGGGCAGACTCTTTGCCTTCCCATTGCTGGAGTCTTCTCAGTGTCTGGTACATAACAGATACTCAAAAAAGTGCTTAGTGGAGTGGAAGAGGAGTACTTTATAGCTTGTGGCATTGGCTAACTTTTCATAACCTGGCCCCATCTGTAGCTGCTCCCCTGCCATACCCAGCCACGTAGAACCATCTTGATCAGATCGTTCCCTTATGTTGGTTGACTGAGTGAATGAGCATGTTTAAGGGATTTCATTTTCTCTATAGCATGTCCTGTATGAATGTTGATATATGCATAGACAAAGCTTTATATATTTACACAAAATCACATTCCTTCCTCCATGAAACTTATAATCGTGAATTTGAATTCCTTTCTTTATTCATTGCTGTAAGTCATAGTAACAAGATTTGATTGTACTAAACGCCATCCCATCACATTAATACAAACTTGATATTATGTTTATTTGATGAAGGTTTCCCCTGAAACTAGGCACTCAGGAATTGTTTCCAAGAAAAATAATTGAATAGGGAAAGAGACTGCAGTTGCCATTAAAATTAAAACCAGAAATCATTTCGTGTGTGTTATTCTTCCCTGGTTCCACCTCCAGCAATGACTGGAAACAGGTCCTTAAGGGCAAGTAATAAGAATGAATGTCACAAGAGTCAGAAATAATGAACCAATATCTTGCAGAAACACTACAGCATATGCCAACACAGAAAGAGGGTTGGGTAGGAAAGTGTGTGCATGTGAAAAAATAAACATCCCAGTAAAGAAATACGCAGAACCACGTTGATATATATACACAATGTCAGGTTCCTTTTGACTCAACAACAATAATCTGGTCACACAGAGTGAAACTGCAACCCTATCTGGCCCTTGATGTGGAAGGTGCTGAATCACCTGCCCAGGGGAAACTGCAGACATTTAGCACTTTCAAAGATGAGAATGAGCTAATAAAATTAGAGTCTGGCTCACTAAGCAAACATCACTGTGTGCCAGCCTCTCTTTGGAGCAAACCTGCTTTCTCAAATGCACACCACAATTTACTCTCCATGTACCATTTCCCTTATGTCAGTGAATGCCTTTCTCATGTCTTTGAATGTCTTTCTTGATAGCATACGAAAAATGAAGAGAAGGTGAGTTGAGAGGGGAAGGAGTGGGGAATAATAACATTTAACTAGATTTGTCATCTACTATTTCTATTAATTACCCTGGGGTTTCATCTCCTGGATCTTGTTATCTCTTTAGAGTAAAAAGCATTTAGTTTACTTAGATGATGGCCAAATACTCTTTTTTAAAAAAATACAGTTAGATAGAAAGAATAAGTATTAGTGTTCAAGGGTGACTATAGCTAACAATAATTTACTGCATATTTAAAAATAGCTAGAAAAGATTTGGAATGTTCCCAACACAAAGAAATGATACATGTTTGAGGTGATGGATATCCCAGTTGCCCTTATTATTACATATTATATGCATGTATCAAAATACCACAGGTACTCAATATACATATACAATTATTGCATATAAATAACAAATATTAGAAAAATACTTTTTTGTCCTCAAATACTTTGACCTTTTTTTCATTTACATAGCTGCTACTCAATATGTGAAAAATTTATGCTTTCTAATTTAAGATTTGAATACTCTAGGAAAACCAGTGTCAAAGATAATTTTGCAGCAGGGAGCGGGGACTAACAATGAAATCAAGATTAGTAATCCCAAGACCTAACATGCTGAATAAATTTAATGAAGAATTTGAAAGAAGGATTTTTATCAAAATACACATCAGGCAAGCCAGCGACAGTTAACCAGATGACCTGACTTTCCTCTTCAAGAATGCTGGATCACAGAAACTTTATTTGCTGTGGTCTGTGTTTGTTGCAGAAAGAATCTAAGAAGTAAAGATGGGACTCCGTTTCAGATGATGAAGCTCTAAAATGACTTCAGTTGACGGGTAAAGCCCATGACCTCTGGCCTCAGCAGGTTTCAGAGAACAGGCAGATGGGTGATAATACTCAGAAAGGCATCCATTTATCAGTGAGTTTTCCTTCTAAGCTACATCCCACACAGCAGCTTTGTGAATGCCTTCATCCCACACCTCAGCAATTTTGAACCAGAACAAGTTTCCGTAAAGGGTAAGGATGATCTGTATAAAATGGTCTGTGTAAGAATGATCTGCATAAGAAATGAAAAGAGCAGGTGTGTTCAAGGAGTCAG